>NC_000008.11:57802265-58427265 GCF_000001405.40 Homo sapiens | reverse complement strand
ACTCGTGAGCTCAAGCGATCTGCAATGCTTCAGCCTCCCAAAGTGCTAAGATGACAGGCGTGAGCCACCGTCCTTGGCCTTGAATCCAAAATCTTATTACCTCATTCCTTAGTTTACCTCAATTGTTCCTGTCTTGATTTCTTTCTCTCTTTATCCTGTTCTCTCCATCCTCATTAATTTTATATAGTATTGCCAGTCCTATTTTCCTAAATGAATAGTAATAGCTAACATTTATCAAGGGATGACTATGTGTTTAGTTAATCCTCCTAACAATGGTATTACTCCTATTTTACAGGTAAGAAAACTAAGACTGAAGGAGTTTAAATAACTTGCCAATTGGCAAAACCTTATTAGAAGACAGAGAAAAAAAAAATTACAGGGAGGAGGAGCAAGCCAGCCTAGGGGGCGGCTGCACAGTCTCCAGGATCCCCAGGCCTGGAGGGGGGTCTGTGCACAGTCGGCTGGCTCCGCCCCGCATCTGGTCCCGAGCGGGCCTCCCTCGGGCCAGCCCAACGTGACCGAGCCCAGTGGAGCCTGAGCAAGGAACGGGTCTGTCACGGAGCCGGAATGTGGGAGGAACATGACATTGTAGAGATGGTTTCACCCAAATATCACTGGGGTGGAGGCAGAAAACCCACTGTTGATAAGAGGAGCTGACAGCAGTTTTTTGGCAAGGCCTAGTAAAAGTAACCCTGGAGACTTCACACTTTTTGTTAGAAGAAATGGAGCTGTCACCCACATCAAGATTCAGAACACTGGGCCGGTCACGGTGGTTCACACCTGTAATCCCAGCACTTTGGGAGGCTGAGGAGGGCGGATCACAAAGTCAGGAGATTGAGACCATCCTGGCTAACATGGTGAAACCCCGTCTCTACTAAAAAATACAAAAAAATTAGCCGGGCATGGTGGCAGGCACCTGTAGTCCCAGCTACTCAGGAGGCTGAGGCAGGAGAATGGCATGAACCCAGCAGGCGGAGCTTACAGTGAGCCGAGATCATGCCACTGCACTCCAGCCTGGGTGACAGAGCGAGACTCTGTCTCAAAAAAAAAAAAAAAAAAAAAAGATTCAGAACACTGGTGATTACTGTGATCTGTGTGGAGGGGAGAAATTTTCCACTTTGGCTGAGTTGGTCCGGCATTACACAGAACATCACGGGCAATTAAAAGAGAAGAATGGAGATGTTATTGAGCTTAAATATCCTCTGAACTGTGCAGATCCTGCCTCTGAAAGGTGGTTTCAGGGACACCTCTCTGGGAAAGAAGCAGAGAAATTATTAACTGAAAAAGGAAAACATGGTAGTTTTCTTGTATGAGAGAGCCAGAGCCACCTTGGAGATTTTGTTCTCTCTGTGCGCACCAGTGATGACAAAGGGGAGAACAATAACGGCAAGTCTAAAGTGGCCCATGTTATGATTTGCTGTCAGGAACTGAAATACGATGTTGGTGGAGGAGAACGGTATGATTCTTTGACAGATCTTGTGGAACATTACAAGAAGAATCCTATGATGGAAACATGGGGTACAGTACTACAACTCACGTAGCCCCTTAACACGACTCGTATAAATGTTGCTGAAATAGCAGAATTCGAGAACTAAGCAAATTAGCTGAGACCACAATAAAGTCAAACAAGGCTTTTCGGAAGAATTTGAGACACTACAACAACAGGAGTGCATACTTCTCTACGGCCGAAAAGAGGGTAAAAGGCAAGAAAACAAAAACAAAAATAGATATAAAAATAACCTGCCCTTTGATCATACCAGGGTTGTCCTACACGATGGTGATCCCAACGAGCCTGTTTCAGATGACATCAATGCAAATATCATCATGCCCAAATTTGAAACCAAGTGTAACAATTCAAAGCCCAAGAAGAGTTACATTGCCACACAAGGCTGCCTGCAAAACATGGTGAACGACTTTTGGCGGATGGTATTCCAAGAAAACTCCTGAGTGATTGTCATGACAACGAAAGAAGTGGAGAGAGGATAGAGTAAATGTGTCAAATACTGGCCTGATGAGTATGCTCTAAAAGAATATGGCATCATGCGTGTTAGGAATATCAGAGAAAGCACCGCTCACAACTATATGCTAAGAGAACTTAAACTTTCAAAGGTTGGGCAAGGGAATATGGAGAGAATGGTCTGGCAATACCACTTTTGGACCTGGCCGGACCACGGAGTGCCCATTGACCCCAGGGGTGTGCTGGACTTCCTGGAGGAGGTGCACCATAAGCAGGAACGCATCATGCATGCAAGGCCAGTCGTGGTGCACGGCAGTGCTGGAATTGGCCGGACAGGGACATACGTTGTGATTGATATTCTGACTGACATCAACAGAGAGAAAGGTGTTGACTGCAACATTGACGTTCTCAAAACTATCCAGATGGTGCAGTCTCAGAGGTCAGGGATGGTCCAGACAGAAACACAGTACCGATTTATCTATATGGCGGTCCAGCATTATACTGAAACACTACAGCGCAGGATTGAAGAAGAGCAGAAAAGCAAGAGGAAAGGTCATGAATATACAAATATTAAGTATTCTCTAGCGGACCAGACGAGTGGAGATCAGAGCCCCCCCCCCCGCCTTGTACTCCAACTCCACGCTGTGCAGAAATGAGAGCAGACAGTGCTAGAGTGTATGAAAACGTGGGCCTGATGCAACAGCAGAAGAGTTTCAGATGAGAAAATCTGCCAAAACTTCAGCACAAAAATAGATGTGGACTTCACTCTCTCCCTAAAAAGATCAAACTTTCGCAAGAAAGTTTATGTGAAGACCAAATTTGGATTTGGAAGGCTTGCATTGTGGTTGACTACCTTTTGATAAGCAAAATTTGAAACCATTTAAAGATCACTGTATTTTAACTCAACAATACCTGCTTCCCAATTACTCATTTCCTCAGATAAGAAGAAATCATCTCTACTATGTAGACATTATATTTTATAGAATTTTGTTTTAAATTGAGGAAGCAGTTAAATTGTGTGCTATATTTTGCAGATTATGGGGATTCAAATTCTAGTTACAGGCTTTTTTTTTTTTTTCTTTTTATAACCTTAACCAGTTTTAATTTTTTTTTCCTCATTGTCGGGGATAAGAAGAAATGATTTGGGAAGATTAAGTAACAACATCTTAGAAAAGTGAGAACAATCTCATTTACCATCATGTATCCAATAGTGGATAATTCATTTTGATGGCTTCTATTTTTGGCCAAATGAGAATTAAGCTAGGGCCTGAGACTGTCAGAAGCTGACTGGTCTACCTTTGCATTGGCATTGAAGAGTCATAGAAAAGGAATCATGGATATTTATGAATTAAGAGGTGTAGCTTTTTTTTTTTCCAGCCGATGACCAATTACAGTTTGGCTTTTGACTGAGAAGGTTGTGGTGGGAAAACGTTTGCCATATTTTCTTTGCATTTGAGTAACTGTCTTCTACTCAGAAAAAAGGCATCTATGAATGACCAGTGTTTTTGGTTGTCAAATGTTGCTGACAAACTTACCCTAAAACTTTAGTGGCTTAAAAAAAAAAACCCATCCCCGGCTGGGCGCGGTGGCTCACGCCTGTAATCCCAGCACTTTGGGAGGCCGAGGCTGGCGGATCATGAGGTCAGGAGATCGAGACCATCCTGGTTAACACGGTGAAACCCCATCTCTACTAAAAATACAAAAAATTAGCAGGGCGTGGTGGCGGGCGCCTGTAGTCCCAGCTACTTGGGAGGCTGAGGCAGGAGAACGGTGTGAACCCAGGAGGCGGAGCTTGCAGTGAGCTGAGACCTCGCCACTACACTCCAGCCTGGGCGACAGTGCAAGACTCCGTGTCAAAAAAAAAAAACAACAACAAAAAAAAAACCCACCCCCAACTGTTCTTCAATTTGAGTTGGGCTCAGCTGGGCTGTTCTTCTGCCAGCCTGCAGGTGGCCACTCATATGGTCAGCAGGTTGGCGGAGAGACTGGGATGTCTGGGCTTCTCTTTCTGCCTGCAGTCCTGAGTCTCTCCTTCTTCGTGTAGTCTCTTTCAGTGGCCTGGCTGGCAGGTAGCTAGACCTCTGACATGAAGCTCAGAGCTCCCAAGAGCTCAAAAGCAGAAGTGGCCAGGCCTTCTGAAGACTTAAGTCCAGAATTGTCGCAGCTTCCCTTCTACTGCCCTCTATTGATGATGATGATGATGATGATGATGATGATGATGATGATGATTTCGTCTCACCAGAAGAGAGCTGGAGTATGCCCTCTACTTACTAAACAAGTCACATGCCCAGACCAGATTTTAAAAAAGGGTGTGAAGTAGAGGTGCAGTTAATTGGGAGGCCACTAGTCTAACAGACGGTCACAACCACTGCCATGGAAAACCAAGGATATTAGCAAAAGCAGAAGTTGCTAGTGACCTTGGGAAGCCAAAACTGCTTACAGTAGCTGAGACAAGCTGAAAGACTGAGAAATAAAGAGAGGGTCTTCAAGAAGCTTCCTGAATGATTTTTGCCAATCCTGAGCCTGTTTTTGGAACCAGCACTTGGGGAAACTGATCTTGTGAGGATGGATGTGTTTAGGGACTCAGGGCTTTTGAAAGCAGCACCACCCCACTGGGGCACTCCCAGACTTGGGAAATGTGACTCTTTCTTAATGCCACTGGTTTTTAGTCAGGCCACAGTGAGAAGGAACAGCCCTAACAGGCCTCCAGCCAGGTTGAACGAGATCATTTTTGTTTTAGCCAAATGGTAAGATTTGCTAATGTTCCACCTTAAGTGCCTTTTCCAAAGACATCCCTCTTCGCCTTATATGTTGAATCATCGAGTGTGGATATTTCAATGAAAATATCATTAATTGACTTTTGTGATGGTAATAAAATGCTGTGGCATCTTTGCTGTGAAGTTATTGTTTCCTCGGATTCTTCTGACTTTGGCTCCTGAAAGGAAGGCCTAGATCCAGCCCTGGTAGTAGTTCCTTTCTGAGGTCTCTCAGTCTCTTAAGACCCTGAGTTAGTTTGGCTGCCATTCTCACTAACAAAATGTGTATCAGCCCCTATCCCTGCCCCCCAATATTCATTGAACTTTGAATTGCTTCAGAACACGGGTGTGGCCTAAAGGTATTCCCTTATTAGGGAAATGTCATGACTGCTGTCTTCTAGTAAAACTTGTAAAGAAAAAGATTCCAGTTCAGTATTTGCAGCAAGAAGCTTGAATCCTGTTCTTTTTATTGCATTGTTACATTGACTCATTCTCCATTTTGCTTTGGTTTTGTTTTGACTTGACTTTGGGGGTAAAGTCTTTCACCAGCACACAAGAGTTTGATTGTACAAATATATCTCCGGTATTAACATCTCTGCCCGTTGCTTAAGATCAGTTGCTTTTATACTCAGAATGGAAATACCTGATCTTGGCTAGCTTTGTTTGTTATATTGATTTCATTTAGATTTCCCTCCACAAGGTCAGCAAACTATCATGTTCTTATGTAACCTTAGGCCAAGGCCAGAGTTATCATAGTCCCTAGGTTGCTAAGGCTTATCATGTGTTTGGTAAAAGGTGATTGCAGGTTCTCAGATGAGGTTACTTTACATGGGATGGAATCAGGCAGAGAGGCTGGGATGATGGAGAAAGCTTGAGGTGCAGGTTTTAAAAAAAGGTGTGGAAATTAAAGTTCCAAAGAGGTGGTTGCTGAGGAAGTGAGAGAGCCCAGGGCCAGTAATGAGAGAGCCCAGTCAGTAATGGGTGAGTCAGGTTATTTGGAAAGTTGGTATGACAAATACATGGTATTTGTCTACTTCTAGGTTGCTGGTAGGTATTAAATATGCACAATATTCCAGAGCTCACTGAGGGTTTTAAAATTATAAGCATAGGATTTTATATTTTGGGGTGAAAGAGTTATCTGGCACATGGTATTGGGTTTTTTTAAAAAAGACAAATTTCACAGTCTTAATAGCTTTAAAAAAAAAAAAAACTAAAAGGTGCTTCATGTCTAGTGTGTGGCCTTCCTGAAACTTATGGTCATCTCTCCCACTGAAATCAAGGTCTTTTGAAATGTGGCTAAATGGGGATGAGAAAACATGTGTAGGACTTTCTTGGTGTGTGTGCATTCTTTAAAGAGCCCAGTTGCTTCGGGGAAACAGTCAAGAAAATGGTCAAGATTGTTTTTAGAGGTAATTTTATTGGGGATTTTAAAACTAATAATATCTTGAGTTATTTTTAGTTCAGGGGGATGTGGAAAGGTTTGCAATTGTGAAGTGTTTTATTTTAGCTTAGTATCCATAAGGGAAACTTAGACTGTAGACATAACTACAAAGCCAGTGCAGTTTTTATTTTCTGTATGTTGTTGGGGGAATCAAGTTTTACATATAGCAAGCACATGGCCTCCCTGATGTCAGGATGCCTTTGTCAGGATCTGTATTTGCCCTTAATTTTATTGAAATAGCTTTTCCTTCTTCCTCTTGAAAAGTTCCAAAATATAGTTTATTGTATCTTTCATCATTAAAAATTTGTTCTTTTTTCACTACAGGCAGTTCACACAAGGCAAAAACTATTGAACAGTTGGTTTTAGTGGGTCATATAACTTTGCTGTATATCAAACTAATTTTGACAAGTTTTCATCCTAAGCCTCAAATCATGTAATTAATAATTTGTCTGTTTATTTGTGACCTAATTGTAATTCTTTTATTAATAAAAGCTAATGGGAAAAGGATCCCTGATTAAGCTGATGACTAGACCTACAATTAATTTTCCTGCAGTATATGAAGTACCAGAGTATTAAAAGATATTTAATATTTTATTGATAAATCTTTTAAAGGGAATATGTTTTAGGATGTCATCATTTTGATGTGAATCATGTAAATGTTGATAATATGCTGTTTATTATACATTTAGTGTTTCAAGAGATTCACTTAATTGCCTTTTTGCCCACTTACATTATGTAGTCTATTTGCAACTGTTTTTTAAAAAAATGACATTAAAAGAATACTTTATGTAGAGAAACATTAGTGGATGTTAATTGTCTCCCCACCTATATTTATGGGTGTTAGCGCAACTGCTTTGCTAGTTGCAAAGCTGTATTATCAGAGTAAAAGTGTATTTGTAAACTGTATGGGAACTAAAAATTAGGAATAAAACCATTTTCTTATATGAAAACAAAAAAATTACAACTGAGATGTATCCATCTTGAGTCAAAGCTTTTAACATTGTATTATAGTTTTGTCACTAAATTTTTATTAAAAGACAAATTGACTTTCCACTGCCTTCTACACAGGGGCAACTTATCTTCTTGGTCTTCAAGGCTGTATCCGCAACTGGCTACATAATTTGTGAGACCCAGTGCAAAGTGAAAATCGAGTCCCCTTGTTCAAAACCAATTAAGAATTTCAAAACAGTAACAGCAAAGCATTACTCCAAGCACAGGGCCCTTCTAAGCATGGGGCCTTGTGCAATAGCACAGGTCACATGCCTATGAAAGCCTTCCTGGCTGCACCCCCATCTATCCAACCTTATTTGCTACTAAGCTACTAAAGTTCTGCTGGTTCTTTTTCTGGTTCCTCTGGTCATTTTGATTATGTGACTCTCTGTTCCTGGAATTTTGTCCCTTGTCTTCTGTGCTTATCTAACTCCTAATATCTTAAATCCTTTTAAGGCCCAGCTAAGTACCAACTCTGTGCTAGGCATCTTATTCACTTTATCTCATTTAATTCTCAAAGCAATACTACTATACAATGACTTGTGGAGGACATATCCAAGTTCTGATTGTGATATTTAACTTTTCATGGATGAATATGTCAAAACAGGCATCAGACTATATCCTGAGGGTCTTTCTGTAGATTACGTAACTCCTCTTGTAAATTAAAAACACAGACCATCTTATGTCCAGAGTTTCAGATAATGAAACTGTCTTGGCTTAAAATGACAATGAGACAATAACTGTTTTGATTTCAAATACCGCCCAAGGAGGTGGACCATGAAAATAAGCACTGTTTTCTGTACCAAACAGACCTGTAGAAATACAACGAAACTGGGAAAATTTCGATATTGAATATGAAATCAAAGGAAGTATACACTTAGCATTAGAAGATATCATACGTAGAAAAAAAGATTGCGAACAATCTGCTATACATTGTATTATAAACAGATTAAACACAGTTTACGTCTCAACCTATATATTTTAAGGAAACTCAGTTCTTTTGATAGATAAATTATTCTAGAAATCAAATGTGAGGCACAAAATCCTTACAAACTGGATTACTGAATTATACCTATTAATCACAGCATTGTTTCAGACAGCATAAAAGAAAACCCTTCACTGAAATATCTTAATGATTATATTTGAATAGCAAGGAAAATATTAATACAGTAATCTTATGATAAGAACTCAAATATTAAGTCATTCAACTTATGTTCAAACTGGGGAAACAGTGGCCAAATAGTGAGTAAAATGCAAGTACAGAGATACATATTAAGTACTTTCAAGACTTGGGAGAATATACAAATTAAAGAAGCAGCTAAAAATACAGTATTTTATATGTATAAAGGTAAGAATTAAATGAAAGAATAGGATGTTCAACTAGTGTCAAGATACCAAACTGCTGATTACAAAGGACACACAGTATCTTACAATGGAGTGCTGTGGTGGTCAGCACCTTAACCAAATGAACATATCACTAATGGTGGAAAATCCTGAAATTATGACTCCTGTTGTCATGTAATAAATAGCAGACAATATCACTTATCTAGCATACCCGACAAAAATTCTAATAAAAATCTAATCATGAGGAAACAGTGATCTACAATGTTAGACATTTTATAAGACATCTGGCCTAGACTCTCTAAAAAAGTCAACATAATAAATTTTAGATTATGTAGCTGAGCTAAAAACAACAATAAAAAGGTGGGAAGAGTTCTGTGTATTCAGAAATTCAAAACAGGAATAATTAAATGCAATGCAATGTCCTCAGTTGAATCCTAAATCCAAAGAAAAAGCTATAAGAGATATGTGACTACTAACTATATATTAAATGGCATCACAGAATTACTATTAATTTTTTTTTTTTTTTTTTTTTTTTTGGAGACAGAGTCCTTCTCCATCATTCAGGCTGGAGTGCAGTCGCGCCATCTCGGCTCTCTGCAACTTCTGCCTCCCAAGATCAGGCGATTCTTGTGCCTCAGCCTCCCAAGTAGCTGGAATTATAGGCTCGTGCCACCATGCCCAGCTAATTTCTGTATTTTTAGGAGAGATGGGGTTTTGCCATGTTGGCCAGGCTGGTCTTGAACTCCTGACCTCAAGTGATCTGCCCACCTTGGCCCACCTAAAGTGCTGGGATTACAGGCATAAGCCACCACTCCCCGCCTGAATTACTATTAATTTTGTAAGGTGTTATCAATTTTGCAAGTGTGTGCTTCTTCTCGGGAGACTCATGCTGAAGTATCTAGAGGTGAAGTGTCATGATGGCTACAATTTCCTTTCAAATAGTTGAGTAAAAAAGAGAGAGAGAATACATGCGTGCACAAGTTCAATGTAACATTGTACCAACTTGGTGAATATAGGTGAAGTAAACACAGTATTTACTCTACTAGTCTTGCTTTTTGATGAACTGAAAACTTATAAAATAGACTTTCTGAGAATAAGATATAATGGGAAAACTGACGTTTCTTCCCCAGGGATGGTATTTACAGTACTAAAAAGATGTTAATGAAAATATTCCTGGCAACAAGAAAACTCACAGCAATAAAAGACACCTGGTTCTCATCTCTTAAGTCTTCACAGTTGGTTGTTTTTATACTTCAGGGATTTTAATAACAACAAATACTATTTAGGAGGTCACACATTAGAGGAATCATCACCCAAAGGAAGAAGAGACAGACTTCAAAAATCATAGATTCTTAAATGGAGGACAAAAGACCTGCAGAGGCTCCATGGAGTGGCTTCAAGAAACACACATATCCTTAAAAACGAATGACAAACTTGCACATGAAAGTTGTTTTGAGAGGAGAATTCTATAGCTTTCATCAGACCCTTAATGAGTCCTATGACTCAAAAAATATTAAAGAACCATTGTGCCCAAGAAAAATAGTATTCAGGATATAATTTCATATGATATCTACCAAAATATTAGGTATTTTAAGGTAATTTTTCCGTAAGTTTCTTTTGGCTTTCTGATTGTAAAAGTTTTAATAGTACCTAAATGATATTAATCATTTCTATTTTTTATCCAAATCTGCCTCGATCTTGGAATAATAATTTTTAAAAATTATTGAAGAAACCTTGAAGAAGGCCATTTAAAATAATTTGAAGTTAGTAAATTTTTAGAAAGGATTATAATTTCTTTTTACAACAAAACAAAATAAAACTTACCGTTGAGGTGGTGTCCGTGGGCTCTTGAAGACTGTGGCTTTAGGTCTATTAGACTTGGAAGATTTGCACTTCACTTCATCTTCATACAATTCTGCCAAGGCCAACTACATAATAACAGGCTTGTTACAAAGTATAACACTAGGAATAACCTCTTCCATACAACTAGAAGTTATGTATAGAACACTAACTTAAAATTGAGTGGTAAAGACTTTTCATGAAAAAAGCTGCTGCTTCAGATGATTCCTTTCTGAAATAAACTTACTGCATCTCATTATATAGAACTAACCAAAATGCCACATCTATTAGAATAACTTTAAGTTATAATAATTACTTGATTATTTTCAATTAACTACTGAACAGTGTCAAAATCTGTTTTAGGTAACAAACCATTTTCAAATTTAAACCTAAAATTCTTGTGCAATTCTTTTAAGAATTCCTGAAGATGTTCACACTAACGTCAGCTTCTTCCATCAGATCTCATAAAATAGTTTCATTCAGCTATTCAAGTTTTCAAACTCCAAGCATATAAAACAATTTCAGAAGTATTCTATTTAAAAGTCTACCAAACTTATAAATTTCATCGTGTTTAGGAAAATGAGTTTCTGAACAAACAAGACCATAAATTATATATGGTTTATATACCATTTAGAAAGTAATATTACCAAATTATACATTCTAGATATTGGCTGGATAGTTTATTTCAAAATGAAATAAAATTATATTTGTTCTTAAAATGGAATTTTAAAAAGTAATCCAATATTTCAGTATTGTATAGAATTTTTTCTGACTTTTGACATCTTTGGACAACAACTCAACAACTTTCTTTAATGCTCCTGTGGCTATTCAATTATAATTGGCATGACCATAATCTCCGGTTTTTTTTTTTGTTTTTTTCAAAAAAAACCCAAAAAACAAACAAACAAAAAAACCCAAAATCATAACAAAACAGATTAAAATGCTCCTTTTAGACACACAAATGATATGAAAACTACCTCCAAGAAGAACAGGGCATTGGGGCAATGTTAATTCTTTGAAAATTCTATTAGTCAACTTTTAAAATATACACAAATAAAACAAAATGAAAGACTTCTAATTTTTTTACCCCTACCCTCCCACATTCAGTAACATTCATATTTGTACAATGGCAACTTTGCTAGAAATCTGAATTATAAAAGTGTTTGGTAATCTAAAAGGACTGAATTCAAATCGTAACTTAGGCACTTCCTGTGTGATCTTGGGCAAATTATTTAATTTCTCTGAGCCTTAGTTACCACATCTTCAAATGCCTATAAAAAATCACCGTAGTCATTTGAAGGATTAAATAATGTATGGAAAGCACAAAGCATGTGTTCCATCACTAGAAGATATTATTCTTAAATGTTTAGTAATGATTGTATCAGTGTTTCATTTTCCCCAAGATTTTTTTTTCTTCCTACAGTGTTATATCTCCTTATGGTCCTTTACTACTCCATCCCCTCCAAAAACACAAAACAAAAAACAAACAAATGATAGAGGAGAGAGAGACAGACATGCACATACACAGTCTGATGACTAGGGTCTAAAGTTTTCAGAAATTTTACCTCCCTGAAATTTCTTTAAAGTAGTATTATTTTATGGATTTCCTTCTAAGCTCATTATGTCAGCTTTATGAATTACTTTTATGATATTCCTATTCTCATCAATGAAAATGTCATCTGTATTTCAAAGGCCCATTTCAGCTCTCCTTCACAAAACCTTTTCTAATCTTCTTAATATCTTTTTTTCTAAATACTCATAGCACGTAATACCCCCAATGACATTCATATTAAGCATTATGTTGTCATTACTTGTGTACTTTTGCTGTTTTATTTCCCCAACTAGATTTTAAGTTTCTCAAATTGTTTCTAATATTGTACCTAAAAGGCAACAAATTGACGTTGAATTATATAAAGAACATAATAGAAAATGAATCAGAAATAGATATAGATAGATGTATTTTAAATTGGGGTTATATTTGTTAAACACTTTTTGCTTTAACAAGATTTGAATAAATGCTTCCAATCAAATAACAATTTTCTTTGGTGACATAAATTAAAAAAGCAAAAATGCCACTAGCCCCATGGAATGTGGAACATACATTAAGAAAAGAGGAATATGAGGAAAATGATATTAAAGAGTCTACCTGGCTGAAAGATCCTAGTTATTAACGGTACATCATTAAAAACTTAGAAGAAAATGAGTAATATTTAGAGGGAGTTGATGCCATATGGCATCATATGGCATGAGTTCATTAGTAAATACTACAAAGAAATTTAATTTATATTATTTAACATAGATGACATTACATCAAAAGAGGAAATGATAATTTAAATTGATAAATATTAATTGAAGTACTGGTCAAAACTAACACAACAAAAAAATCTCAAAACGTAATTAAGAAAATGTTTCAATAATATGCAGAGGATAAAGTATGTAAGTAAAGTATTGATAATCTTTCCTCTAGAATTTGAAATGTGAAGAACTTGAAACCTGAAAGCAAAGGAATCGGGTGAGAAAATAAAGTATATAGCAAAATATTAAAAGTATTGGAATTCTCAGCCTTAGAGTAACCAATTCTAGACGCTGTAATAAATGATTATTATACAGACACCTGGGAACTTCTAGGAAATGCATATGCTTAAACTCTACTCTAGAACCAATGAATCACACTCTGGGGTAGGGCCCAGCAATCTCTGACAAGCCTTCCAGGTCACAGATGCATACTAGAGAATCAACGATACAGAATAATGACATTCAATATGATTAGGGTACTTGTGGCAACACAGTTATCAGAACAGCTATCAGACATTTTAATTCTTCTCATTTATAGTACCCACTATTGAGTCCATCCTAACAAATCCAATCCTAACCCTAACAATACTGAAGTTATCCCTGTTCCCACTCCCTCCCCGTCCAACCTATGTAGAAACAGATAATATGTGGAGGAAAACTGGGACAGAGTATACAACTAAATACCTTAATGAACATGTGTGTGGCGGGCTGAGGGACACCAGAAGAGAAAGCAATTCAGAAATACTATTGAACACTGGTGAGGTTTTGGGCTTAGTTTTGCCACTAACAATCCCACCCCTAACTTTCCCCATGACCATCTCCTTATTTGAGGGGGATGAAGGGAGCTATGAAAATCTACTCTGATATGCAAAAAAACATTTCCGAGTCTGCAGTTTGTAACCTGGGGGCTCCCAGGGCTGGGAGGCCTTTTGGGAAGCAACTATGCAGCTTTTCTCTGGTGGTACCTGGAACACTCCCTCCTGATTCAGATGCTGACAAACCCTACACTGCATGGCAGCTAAGATACACTTACTCAGGGGTAATTCTGCTTGTTCCAATTGGTAATATGTTGCCCCTTTACTCACTCTGAAAGACTCTTAGAGCAAGCTGTTAGGGAAGTAAGAAATATCTACTGAAAGCTGCACGAACTGCGTAACTCTTAAGAAAAGCATGTCTAGATTAAACGGTAACAAGATAATCTATAAATAATCAATATCCAAGGTACCATTTGGGAAGAACATTATTTAATTCTTTTAAACTTTTGATACATACTTTATTTCTTGATATGCCATCCCTTTGGCTGTTTTCAAGTTTCTTTGCAAGTTCTTCACATTCATATTAAGTTCTAAAGGAAAGATTATCAATACTTAGATACTGTACTTGATACACCAAATCACATTCATAAAGAAATCAGTTATCTTCCTACTGCCCTAACCTACAACAAGTAGACAGGAGATGAAAAAAAAAATCCCCATCATAACTTAGGGTGGAAATGAAGGCATTCTCACAATTAGCAACATCTACCAGAGTATCTCCAAACATTAATCGTACTTTGATCCACTGGATTAAGACTGCAAACAATTTGCCAAGAATCAGGTGGTCATTAAGCAAGCTGTTCTCACTTTTCACATAAAAAGAAGAAATGGATTTAAATTAGGGAAAGGACATTAAGTTACACACTCTATTAACTTTAATGATATTAGAATTGACTAGCCAGGGAAAGTTATAGCATCTTTCTCCTGAGGAAAAAGGAATCAAATATTTGCCCAGCAACAACTGAGCCAGGATAATGTAGGAATTTTGCATAGGCCCTTTATAACATTATTTAATCCTTACACCACCACCAGCACCCTGACCTTCCTCAGTTTACAAATGAAGACACAGGATCAGACAGGTTAAGACATTTCTCCTAAGTTCACAAAACTACTAAGTAGCAGGACTAAGAGGCAAACCAAAATTGGTGGGACTACTAACTCCATGCTGCCTCTTAGTGATGTGGGTTTATAATAGGAAAGATGAGGTACACAATAGCTTCCTATCCCTTGATACTGTTTACTACTACTGAACCAACTATGGGAGCTGGAACTATTCTACATTAAGTTCACCTCCTAATGTTACACTGATCTCTCCAGCCTCCAAATTCTTCGCTTTATGCACTGCTTATTTTGGCACCCAATCATACTCCATCTTAAAATGTTATGCTAAGTATTCATACCCTATTTCTCCGAAGAAATCTGTAGGCTTCCAAAAGGTAGAACTGTCTTTTACACTTACATACCTACCCATCAATAGAGTTCAGCACCGACTAAGGATTTGATGTCCTTATTTCCACATTCGCAAAGCTCAGCAGTATGTTACAATGGATGGTGGTTTGTTCACATTAGAATGAAGTGTGGTTGTAAAGTAATACAGTAAAACTGTTCTACCAAGATTCTCCTTAGTATCTCCTTACTGATATTTACTTGTCAAATTTTTATCAATAATCTTATAATGAGACACAAAAACGCCTAAAATGAGAAAAGTGGCGTTAGTATCTGATAAAACGGGATTTGGTGCGCTACTATTTAGCTAACTAATACTAGTGTCCTACACAACATTACGAAATTTTATTTCCCAGTTTCTTCAGTGCAATGTTTTAAAGACCACAGCTTAGACAACTAGGCTGTATGGGCATAGAGTGCATCGCTTTCCTTCACCCCTTTAAAAGAAAAACCTACCTGATAAAATGGAACCATTTTTATATTTAAGTAAGCAAGTCAGAAATAGCATCCAAGACAAAAAAGAACAAATCACGTATCATTACTGTTCAGGTGACTGTCTACTTCCCTGCGGCCACAGTAACCTTTCTTCTGGAGTAAGTCTCAAGAAGGAAGCATCAACCCGTGAACCGACCAACTGACCCCGCAAAATGTCATTCTAAACGAATAGCTATTTTTACATCATACGTGGGGTGGAAGGGAGACAAAGCACCAGCGCTGGAGGCTTGGGCACTTGTGTTCACGACCACCACAGTGTCAAGACCCGACATCGGGAGACCGGGCGCCGGATTCTATCCCCAGACGGGGTCGGGGAAAGGCTCCGCCGAGGCCAGAGGTGGCCTCCAACTCGCACCAGCCCGCGCCGTCACCAGCCCGCGTCCACCGCCGCGCTCCCTCCCCCGGCTCCTCGCCTCACCTGCAAATCCCGCGCGCTCGGAGGCCGCGGCCCGGAAGACCTCCTCTCCTGCTCGCCGGGCTCAGGGCCTCCGCCCTCCGCCATCTTCCGCTGGCTAGCGGCGCCCGCTGCGGACGCACCTGCCGCAACTTCCGGGGCCGGTTGCCTGGCAACCGCAGGAGGGGCGAAGACGCGCAAGGTGCGTGCGCGTCCCCGCTACCCGAACCCGCGCCCCCGCTTCCGGTGCTGGCCCACCTTTTTGGTTTCTCCTTTTTTCTTAAAGGGAGTTTCTCCGCAGGGAAACCTCTGTTAAGTTTTGTGTTGCTCCTGCTACTCGCCTAAAGGCACTGTAGGCCGCCCTAGAGGGCAGCATAGACTTGCAGATTCATTTAGCTCAACAATGAAAACATCCTCTGGATTTTTCATCTGATGAAAAATTGCAACCTCTCCATCTAGTCTTGGTCAGATTCTCTGATCTTTCCTATCAAGGATTGGATGGTACATCGTCACCACAGCGTGAATTAGCACTGAGAGTGAAAAACACCGTAAAAAGTGCTTGGAATAATTTGCTAAAAGCAGAACTCTGCCGGGCCTGTGGCTCACGCCTGTAGTCCCAGCACTTTGGGAGGCCGAGGCGGACGAGGTGATCGAGACCATCCTGGCCAACATGGTGAAACCCCTTCTCTACTAAAAAAAAAAATATATATATATATATATATATATATATATATACACACACATATATATATACACATATATACACACACATATATATATACACATATATATACATATATATACACATATATATATATATATATACACAAAAATTAGCTGGGCGTGGCGGAGCGTGCCTGTAGTCCGAGCTACTGGGGAGACTGAGGCAGGAGAATCGCTTGAATCAGGGAGTCGGAGGTTGCAGTGAGCCGAGATCGCGCCACTGCACTCCAGCCTGGCGACACAGGGAGGATCCGTCTCAAAAAAGAAAAAAAGCAGATCTCGAGACTATCAAGCCCTCGTCATTCAACTGAAATTGATTTAGACTCTGGTCTTCTTATCCTAGGCACTTTTTGTTTTTGAGACGGAGCCTCGCTCTGTCGCCCAAGCTGGAGTGCAGTGGCGCGACCTCGGCTCACTGCAGCCTCCACCTCCCGGGTTCAAGCAATTCTCCTGCCTCAGCCTCCCGAGTAGCTTGGACTACAGGTGCGTGCCGCCATGCCCGGCTAACTTTTGTATTTTTAGTAAAGACGGGGTTTCACCATGTTGGCCAGGATGGTCTTGATCTCCTGACCTCATGATCTGCCCACCTCGGCCTCCCAAAGTGCTGGGATTACAGGCGTGAGCCACTGCGCCTGGCCTCCTAGGCACTTTTATGCCCAAGGGATGCAAAGGTAAAAAGAAATAGTCCCAGTCATTATGAAACTCAGTCTAGTAGGGAAAAGAGACATGTAAACGGGTAAGATGCAGCTTGCAGTAGAGCTTTGCTTGGGAGGGTTACAAAGGAAATGTGAGCCATGTGAGGGGAAATACTCCGTTGGTATCTGCTGTGTGCACCATGCTAGGTGCTGGAGTCGACAGCTTGCCGCCCGAGCTTTGGCATACTGATCGTTTTGATGTATAAAGGCATTTGAGGCTGGGCGTCGTGGCTGACGCCTGTAATCCCAACTCTTTGGGAGGCCGAGGCAGACGGATCACTTGAGGTCAGGAGTTTCAGACCAGCCTGGCCAACGTGGTGAAATCCTGTCTCTACTAAAAATACAAAAATTAGCTGGGCGTGGTGGCGCGTGCCTGTAGTCCCAGCTACTTGGGAGGCTGAGACAGGTGAATTGCTTGAACCCGGGAAGCAGAGGTTGCAGTGAGCAGAGATGCACCATTGCACTTCAGCCTGGGTGTCACAGAGAGACTCCGTCTTAAAAACAAAAAACAAAAAACAAAAAAAAGCATTTGATAAACAGCAGGTGCAAGAAGAGCACTCTGACCTTTTCTTCCTGAAAGCAGGAAAAGAAACTACCATGTGATAGATGCCCTCCCTATACCAAGAGGAAAGATACTCATCACCAGAGAAGGGGAGTTGAGGCCGAGAAACATCTGTACAGATATTGTTAAACTAACCAGTATCTTCCTAGATACTCTTCCACGATTGCCTCTCTTTGTTCAACCTAGTATATAAGCACTTAGGCCTAGCCACTTCTTCGGGTGTTTATTTTCCTGTGAGGACACCCACTTATACGTAAAGTTTTATTAAATAAAATTTGTATGCTTTTTCCCTGTTAATCTGTTTTGTGTCCGTTTAATTCTTGGACCCAGCTGGAGACTCTGAGAGAGTAAAGGAGAAAATTTTCTCCCCCAGCTGTGCATTCCCTGTGTAATTTCATTTATCCCTCTACCAGGTAGTTATGATTATCTTGTTATACCCGAGGAAACCAGATGATGAAGACTAACTTCACCCTGTAGTAAATGGCAGTGCCAAATACTAAACTGCACTTGTTTTCCTGATACTCTCTTAACATCAGATTCTGCCCTAGAAATCTCGGGCTCTTTAACAAGAAATGCCTCATAGAGCCAAAGACATTTTAGCTGAGTGTTGAAGGAAAGTACTTCCAGTAGAAGTATTAGACCAGAAAGAATCTTGGTAAAGGCAAAGATATTTACAAAGACACTGATATTTAAAATATTATATTCATGTCAGCAAATTGCTATATGGTTGCAACTTAGAAATGACAAAAGATGGTTATGGAATGGTGGGGAGGAGACAGATGTAGAATGGAGGCTTGAGACAGATTCTGAAGGATCTTGCCTTAGGTTGGGGATGGAATCCTCTGAGCCAGTGATTCTCTAACATTCTTGTACATTAGAATCACCTCTTCTCTCTCGTCTCCAGGTACTCAGATTTATTAATAATTGGTATAGAGTGGGAGTCAGGCATCATATTTCTTAAGATGTTCGCAAAGTGGATTTTGCTGCTGGCCATGACAGTATACCTGATGTTGGACTTGTCCTCCCACTCTTAACAACTAAAAACAACAGTTTTAAGGCATTGAGCAACAGGCAGTACAGGTCTGTGATATCTGAAAGAAGGAAAACGAACAAGGTGACTATATTTGCCCAGGCTCTTTATTTTTATTTATTTATTTTTTGAGATAGGGTTTCTCTCTGTTGTCCAGGCTGGAGTACAGTGGTGCAATCACGCCTCACTGCAGCCTCAATCTGTCTAGTTAGAGCAATCCTCCCACCTCAGCCTCCCGAGTAGCTGTTGCCTTGGCTTTCTGCATGGAACTCTCATACACTGCTAGTGGGTCCTAGAATGGTACAGCCACTTTGGAAAAGAGGTTGTCAGTTTCTTCTAATGTTAAATATTCCATTATCATAAGAACCAGCAATTCTACTCTTAAATATTGACCCAAGAGGGATATAAGTATACATTTATAAAGTATTTCAACTCAAATGTTCATAGAAGCTTTATCTGTAATAGCCTGTAAACTGGAAACAATCCAAATGTCCATCAGCCAATGAATGGATACAATTTTGATAAATCATACAATGGAATACTACTCAATAGTAAAAAGGAAGAAGTTATGGATTCACATGTCTTGAATGAATCTCAAAGATATTATCTTGGGTAAAAAAAGCCAGGTGCGAAAGAGTAAATATTGTCTGATTTAATTTATATGAAATTTTAGAACAGGCAACACCTTTAATGACTAAAAGCTGGTGGTAGCTTGGGGCTGTCTTTTGGAGTAAGGATTCAGTTCCCCAATTGTAGGACATGTAGGAACTTTTTGAGGTGACAGAAGTGTTTTATAACTTGATTGTGGTGGTAGTTACACAGGTATGTATTAATACGTTTGTTAAAAGCACACTGTATACACTTAAAATGCATGCATTTTATTATATGTAAATTATTCATTTATAAACTTGATTGAACAAAATCCTTGCTCAGCTGATTCTGTTGTGCAGCTATGTTTGAGAGACACTGCTCTAAGGCAACTGGGAGCCATTAAAGGATTTGTGATTTACAAAGATTACAGATGCATCAATGTGTATGATGAGTCAAAGTTAGGAAATAGATTATTACAACAATGGGAAGTAATTAGGACTCAATTTTTATCAGTGGCAGTGAGAACAGAAAGAAGCAATACTTGGTAGAAATATTAACGTCAGAACCGACAGGAGCTGGAGTCTTCAATGTGGAATACATGAAAAAAAGAGGAATAAAAAATGACATCTGGGGATTTGGCTAGGTGATTTGGCAAATGGTGCTACCCGTAAATTATTGAGTTGAAAGGGGGAAACAAATTTCAAAGGAAATAAACAAGTTTGTTATGGACATTTTGAGTTCAAAATGTATGTGGAACACTCTGGTGAAAATGCATCATGGAGCAATTGCAAATGTGGGTATAAAGATTAGAAGATTAGGCAAGAATTTTGGTTTGGACATACAGATTTGGGTGTTGACTGCATGTAAATGATAGAGTAGACAAGGCTTCGCAGGAGCAGTGTGAAATGTGAGAAGATTCGAGGATTAAGAACACTCACAAACACCAACATTGAAGAACTCAGTGGAAAAAGGAAAGCTTTCAATGTAGCCCTGAGTAATAGAGAGGTGAGAGGAACACAAGAGACTGGAAAAACTGGTGATGAGGCAGTTTCAACAGGCATACCAATGATGTCATTTACTACAGATAATCAAGAAAGATTAAGACTAAAAAGTATCCACTGGACTAAAGGAACAGGAGATGCTGTCCCAAAAGTTACTACCAATTTCATAGTTAGTGAGGAAAATCCATATTTTACTAGTTTCAGAGTGACAGATAGGATAGTGAAGGCTACATATTCAATGAACTTAATGTCAATGGTGTGCAGAAGTTGCCGTGCACTGGCTTATGAGAGCCTACTGTTAAATTTTTAGGAATTTTGCAAGGCAGTTGTTAAACAGGGATTATTAAAAATTAAATGATATAAATGTACAACTAAATTATACAAAAAACTCATGCAATAAATATTCAAATCTCTAATTTCCTAGTTATTTGAATACATTTTGCTATTATCTATGCTCCTGAGGGGATTTACATCTATTGGATCTATATGGTGGAGATGCTATTGCACACCTCTTCCCAATTCGCATTCAGTGACAACATGTTAGTAGCTTGAAATCTACCATGGTGTAAGTATTCCCACCTCAGAAATTGGTAAACGCCATAAATAAAAGTTCGATTTCTTGTTTTGTTGATTGCCCACTGGAGATTTAAGGATCTGTTGGAGAAAATGTTTACGAGGCAGATAAGACTTAAAAGTATGCTGTGCCTGCAGCTGTTATGCTGTGAATAGCAAAAGAAAAAAAATGTAAATTTTCCTCTAGTATTTGAAAATTACTAGCTGATTCCGGAAGAAGTTGCTCACGTTGTTGAGTTACTATGGGTGTTTGTGTTTCACTTGCATCTTATGTGTATCTTGTTAATGTGAACAAAAATATCAACAAACATTCAAGTGGTCGCCTTGAAGTCTCCTTTCTTTTGGCTTGTGATGAAAGTGATATCTTTCCCCATTCTTCTTCAAAGAACTACGACCACATACCTCACTCTCCTTGATTCTCTATTTTCTGTTCTCAAAGTGGGTGAGGAGGTTCAAGAATCATGACATTCATCGTCTTTGAAACATTCTCCAGGAGCATCTTTCTCACACCCATTTTGACCTATCATATATATTATGGGGTCCTTAAACTGGAAACTTAATGTTAAACATTTTATTATACTTATTTTCTCCTTCCATTAGACTAAGCTCATGGAGTATGTGGGCCAGGACTTCATCTCTAGTGCCTTAACACAGAACCTGGAACCATAATATGTACTTTTAATAACTATTTGCATGAGTGAGTGAATGAAGGTGGTAGGGATCCTGTATTGGTCTGTTCTTGTGCTGCTATAAAGAAATATCCGAGACTGGATAATTTATAAAGAAAAGGGGCTAAATGGCTCATTGTTCTGCAGGCTATAGAGGTAGCAGAACAGCTTCTGCTTGGCTTCTAGAGGCCTCAGGAAAGTTATAATCATGGCAGAAGGCAAAGGGGAAGAGAAGCAGGTACATCTTACATGTCTGGAGCAGGAGGAAGTGTGGGGAGGTGCCACACACTTTTAAACAAACAGATCTTGTGAGAACTCTATCACAAGAACAGCACTGGGGGGATAGTGCTAAACCATTAGAAGCAGCCCCTGTTATCCAATCACCTCCCACCAGGGCCCACCTCTAGCACAGGAGATTACATTTCAACCTGAGATTTGGGTGGGGGCACAGATCCAAACCATATCAGATCCATAACTCAAACCACATTTGACTATCTCCAAAGCCCATTTTCCATTCATGGAAAGTCAAGAAATAAGAAGATCTATCAACAGATATCTTCATTAGATACAGACAGGACAGACAGTATAAAATGCAGGCCTATTTATATTGCACTTCTAAACCAAATCCAGCTCCAACTTCACAACCTAAATGAAACTCACGTTTGTGTAATTTTACATATGCTGGACATCACTGAGAACAAGATCAGAGGTCACTGTAATATATAATGGCCTTGTTCCATCCTTTAAAACATTTTTATCTCATTCTAAAAATAGAAATAGAATATTTACAGTTGGTAATTTTCATGGATTGCACATTATTTCATGTAATCTACAACAACTTTCTGGGATAGGTATTGTCTCCATCTTACAGAAGTAGTTGAGGATCAGAGAAATAAGATGAATTTCCTTATGTCACTCAGCTATTAAGTAGCAGAACTAAATTTTAAATTCAGGTCCATTACACTCAAAAGCATATGTTTTTTTTTTTGTTTGTGTTTTTGGTTAAAAAATACCATCTCCGTGTCTCCTGGGAGCTTTTTGCAGCCTCTGACTCTTGTGATTTTACCTTTCCTGAAATTTCCTCATGATACTGCTTAACATTGGTCTTCTTACCTACCTGACCATTCCTTTTGAGCTTCTCCTAACATTTTATCTTCTATCCACCCTCTAAATAATGATGTTCTTTAGGGCTCTGCCTTTGCCACTCTTATTTGCTCACTGTGTATATGCTTTCGCTGTTCAATATCTTCTGTTCTCATACCTACTATTTACACACAGTCAATTCTCATTATTTACAGTAGTTATGTTCCTTAAAGCCATTGAGAACACTGAGTTATTGAATACTGAATCATTGCTGCTAGGGAAAATACAGGGTAGGTTCCTGTGAACTTCTTACATTTTCATCAACTGATCAATGCATAACCTTGTTTTATGTCTATTTCTGTTGAAGACCCCATGTTTAATATGATCATTGATCCACTCACATTGAACTCACAGCCACCAGCACTATAACTCCTGCATGAAGGAAGTTTATCTAGCACATGCATTTTCTCCATAAGGACATCACAGCCTCTTGTACTTAGGAACACCAGACAGTACTTCAGCACTACCCTTGGGGGCCATCTCAAACAGCAAAATCACCAACAAAAAGCACAAACATGTGAAAAACATGGCACTAAATAGAATGTGCAAGGACACTTATTTAAAGTATAAAAGCTGAAATAAAAAGGCAGAATGTCACCTTGTTTGAGCTCAGCTGGGAATGTGCTCATGGGGCAACAGAAATATTTTGCTCCTTTGTGTCTGGGTTTGATCACAAAGCACTGCATGTATTTGGTTTGGGGGTCACAAATACATTTTGTGAGTAGGTGAATATGCAAATATGGAATCTGCGAATAACTAGAATGGACTGTATCTAAGACTCCCAAATCTCTTTTTCCAATACCCAGGTCCCTCTCTTACCCCACATCTACATTTCCAATTGTCTTTTCAACTGATATTTTCATTTGGATGTCTCAAAAACATTTGTGTCTCCAACTAATCCTCTGTTTTTGTCGTACAAACCCACTTCTTTTTCATTCTATCATTTATTAGATCAGCATCTAGCTTCAGCTAGAAATCAGGGTCATTTTAAATTCCTCTTTTGCCTTTAACCTTACAGTTTGTTGTTTACCAAATCTTCAATTTTTCCTCCAAAATATCTCTTCGATCTGTATTCTCCTCTTCACTCTTGCTTCCACTGGCACAGTTCACGATCTTCAGACTTCTGCCTTGGTTGTCACCCTGCCTCCCAGCTGGGGCCTCTGCTTTCATTCTGCCCTCTGTATCGCTCTCAGAACTATTTTTTAAAAGCACAAAGACTATCATGTTGCTGTTCTGACCATAACCCCACCAACTGGAGGAGAATAAAAGCCAAATCCTTGTTATGGAACATAAAGCTTTTCTTAGTCTGTACACTTTTTGTTTTACCACCTTTACCTCATTCCCTTCCCATGTGCTTTAGCTGTTCTAAGCCACTGATGGATTTGCAAATATGCCATGTCATTTTGCACTTCATTACCATTTCCTTTGCATGGAACTTTCTCGTCCTCTTTATACCCAGTAAGCATGTATTCATCTTTCATGATCATGAATTCTAATGTGATATTTTGTCAAATCTTTACCACCTTCCTGAGGCAACTTCCCTATGTAACTACAGAACTTCGCACAGTTTTTGTGAGACATTTTTTCAGTGTACGTTTTGTTGTCTGGTGTCTGTACACTGTGAAGTTCTCAGAGAGCAAGGATTATGTTTAATTCTCTCATATCTCCAATGGTTGGCTTATAATAGAGGCTTGATAATATGTTCTGAATAAATAACACACATACAAATGCAATTAGTTGGGTGTGCTTATTTTCAATGTTTACTATATTTAAGTTTACATTTTAAACATAAATTTCTTTTTTTTCTCAAATCCATTTGGTTATCTATTTCCAACTTCAAGATGCACAGGATATAGGTTGTTATTAATAGGCCTAAATTCTGGTGAAATTTACCAGCAGCATGTTCACTAATTGTGATGCCTAAGCAGGAATGGGCTCCTTCTGGTTAAATGAAATTATTCCTCTCAAGTCTCCTGGGCAGAAAGAGTATGTAGGGCACTTATACTTGAGTCAGAAGGACAGGCTGTACTATTTGATTAGACGTTTACTGTGTGAAATTTCATTTAAGTATGAAAACTTCTAAATTTTAGCTGCAACAATCTTTATTAATCACCTACCTAAATAAATGTGTTTTGTGTGCTGTGCTGTGGGGAGATTCAAAATTAAATAATCTAGCATTTGTTCTCACACTCCTAATTTCAATGTATAAAAATAATGCTTGTAAAAATCTAAAGTTAAATTTGGTACTATTAAGAAAAGGATTATAGATATGAAAAGGGAGAAATTAATTCTGATTGAGAATTAGGGTAGCAGAGAGGGAGGCATCTGAACTGACCATTAAAGGATTGGGAGATTTCAATAGACAAAGATGACATAAGGGCCTTCTAGGCACAGGGGACAACAGCAAAGTTCCAAAGGGGAGAATGTGTGGAGCATGTTTGGGGAATGGTAAAAAGATTCGGCTTCAGTGGAGGATCTATGCAGTGGAAAACGGCCTTGGAATGATCAAGACGGGTCATAAATGCAATGCTAAGGAGTTTGGTCTTTATTTCTAGACATTATTGTGAAAAATATTTTTGATGCAAGGAAAATATTATCTGCTTATTTTAGCAATTGCACTTGGTATGTCAGATGGAGTAGGGGAGTAAGTGACTGAAAGTCAGTGGATGCCAGTGGAACATTCTGAGGTAACTTCTGGGTAAAAGCTATGAGGCCATGAACAAGATCAGTGATAGTGAGAATGGAGGGGGACACATGGATTCGGGGCTTCAGTTGAACTGTGCCAGATTTACTCCTGAATTATTATGCAGGAAAATATTTTCTATCTTTGGGTCTGTGAATATTCTCTTTAAATCTCAAATTGTATCTCTTGTTTTTATAGTTAAGCCTGTCTGCATTATTATCCACCCCTGACTCAAATGCTTTTCTTTTTTTTTTTTTTTTTTTTTTGAGAAGGAGTCTCGTTCTGTCGCCCAGGCGGGAGTGCTGTGGCGCGATCTCCGCTCACTGCAAGCTCCGCCTTCCGGGTTCACGCCATTCTCCTGCCTCAGCCTCCCGAGTAGCTGGGACTACAGGTGCCCGCCACTGCGCCCGGCTAATTTTTTGTATTTTTAGTAGAGACGGGGTTTCAACGTGGTCTCGATCTCCTGACCTCGTGATCCGCCCGCCTGGGCCTCCCAAAGTGCTGGGATTACAGGCGTGAGCCACCGCGCCCGGCCGACTCAAATGCTTTTCTAGGTTAGTAATGAAACCTCTACATTCTGTTTCCTTGTATCAGAATTTAATCCACTGAAATTATTTTATCCCCATAAATTGCCTATTAATCATCATATTATTCTCTTCTATTTATAATTTAAGCTTTATTATTAAGCTCCTTATAGGCTGGGAGATACTTAAGATAGCACTCTGGCCAGTCACCTATAGGTTGGCAACAGGGAAATTGAGATGGTCTTTGTTGTTTATGGGTGAATGAGTAACTTTTGTAAACACAACCTCCAACAATAGTTCCTATAGTAATTTTGTTTTATTGCTTATACTCAAATGAGCAAAAATGGTTTGTGACCTCATAGTAGATGCTTTTAAGCCAAACTGAATTAGTTAAAACATATTTTTATAAGTTTTACATTAAAAAAATTGTAAGTAGCACATAGGAAATCTTAAAATTATTAGAATATGAGATTACCTCTGCAACAATATTGGATTCAGCTTTAGGATATTAGAAAGTGTTATTTTCATAAGATGGGTACAATATCCTCTTATGACTTTATGTTATCTGTAAGAACAATAATGATATATCCCTTTTTCATTCTCAATTTTGGTTAATTCTGTCTTCTTTCTTTTTCCCTTTATTAGCTTTGCCAGAATTATATAAATATTATTTCTTTTTAAGGAATCAACTTTTGACTTTGTTTATTCTCTCCATTTTTTTGTTTACTTTTTGTTTCATTAATTTTTGCTTTTTTCTTTCTTCTATGTTCTTTGCATTTAATTTAGTATTTTCTAACTTCTTAAGAAAGATGCTTAACTTACTGACTTTTCAGCCGTTCTACATTTCTCCTATATGCATTTAAGGCTGTAAGTTTCCCTCTAAGAATGGTTCTGCTTCAAATCTTATGTGAAAGAGAAATACAGTTGTATTTCATTTCAGCCATCAAAGATATTTTTATCTAGTTAAATACAGCCAAATTACATCATAAAAAATGTAGGGACTCAGTTTCATATGTGAGCAAAAGTTAAAGTGGAGACAAAGCAACAGCTGTAGTATGTAGAGTAGAAAAACAATTTCAGTAGAGCCTGGAACCCATGCCAAGTGACACCCTGAGAACATAACTCACGTTTCTGTCTCCACATCCCACCCAGGCAGTTCACAAACTCTAGAAAAGAACATTTGACTTTCCAAAGGAGTTTAGGACATTTATAGCCACTCATATCAGGATCTTAAGCACTCAAGTAACCCTGCATGGCATTTGGGTATATTTTGCCTTAGCTTTGCTAGGATGAGTGTTGGGTTTTTCATATCCATTCATAATTTTATCCTGAACCCATACATGGAGTGTTCTGGTTCAGAGGCAGAATAGTTATTATTTCTTATATTATGATAATTGTGTCAGCCCCCACCCCTGCACACACCAGTGCTTACTCCTGAGGTGTCCGATGGCCCAAGATGCTCCATAGGTGAAGGATGGGGAAAATGGATTTTCTTCACTTATGAACGGGACCTCCTGGTTCCATCTTGAAAGGAGGGAGAGAAACGTTTGTTCCCTGGAGAGGAGATGGAAGGGTTCTGGGCTCTCACTTTAACCTTTTGGACTAGAAAGGCATCTCTCAAGGGCCTCAGGAGCCCTGGTGTCTCTGTCATGACCTAGAGATGTCTCCAGGGTCTTGAGTCTCACTTTCTCTTGAAATGTAAATACATTCCATGAGAATCTCTGGAGTCCTGTCACTATAGAGTTATAAAATAACTTCTCAAGACTTACTGTTAGCTCAGTAATATGGTTTGGCTGTGTTCCCACCCAAATTTCACCTTGAATTGTAGTCCCCATAATCCCCACGTGTCATGGGAATAACCTAGTGAGAGGTAATTTAATCACAGGGTGGTTACCCTCATGCTGCTCATGCTGTTCTCATGACAGTGAGTGAGTTCTCATGAGATCTGATGGTTTTATAAGGGGCTTCCCTCTTCACTCAGCACTCATTCTTCTCCTTCCTGCCACCATGTGAAGGAGAACGTGTTTCCTTCCCTGTCTGCCATTATTTTAAGTTTCCTAAGGCCTCCCCAGTGCTGCAGAACTGAGTCAATTAAAGCTCTTTTCTTTATAAATTATTCCGTCTCGGGCAGTTCTTTATAGCAGCATGAGAATGGATTAATATGCTCGGGATCCAAATTTTTCAGGAAAATTTATTCAGAAAGCCTCAACTCTGCAGAAATACAAAAATATTTTCTCAAAACTCCACAAAGACTTTATGCCAAAGCAAATGCCATCATCTTCTTTTACTTGCACCTCACCTCCTACGTATTCAAAAATGTCAGAAGAGTGCATATGTAAGTTCTAGGTTTATGTTTATTACATACACTTTAGGATTAATGCAAAGACTGCTATTTTTCTGTCATTTGATTTGCTTCCCTTTCTACTCCTAATGTGTAGAATTATCTTTTAAAAAGTATCTCCAAAAACACGATTAGACATTTACATATTCTTGAATCTGAAATTTCATCATTAACATAAAGGAATACGAAAGTAAAACCACTTCCATTAGAAATTTGACTGGGGGAAATTTGGGGGGTTGGGTGGTTCAAGACCAGTGCACCAAAGTCATGGATAATGTCAGAGTCCACTAAGGTATGTAGGTCTGTGGGCTTCTGATAAATAACCTGATTGATACAATTTCTTTCCCTTCTGTTATAGTTTATATATATTCATTTTGGCTATCAGCTGTTTCCTTTAAAGATATGTAGTAGATCTACCTACAGAAGTAAGGGCCTTTTAATTTACTGAATATTGCATGTTAGATAATCTAGGTTTGCATGACCATGTGAAGATAAGACACCCTTTGAGGAGTGATATAGGAGTTCTCTATGTACAATGAGCATGTGTGTATGTATCAGTAAGGAAAGCATACTATGTTAACAAATAATCCATGAATCTCAGTGTCTTATAAGCAACAGGGATGCTGATACATTGATGGAAGGCTCTGTCCCATGTTGTCTTCACTCAGAGATGGAGACTGATACCACTTACACCCTCCGGGAACAATATCTGACATCACACAGGGGGGTGAAATTTGGCAAATTATGCTCAGGGCTTGACGTTTTTGACTGGAAGGGACACATTACTTCCATTCTTATTTCTTTGACCAAAGCAAAGAAATAAGTACCTAACAATCACAGAATTAGGGAAGTGCAACCCTCCCATGTGCTTGAGAAGAGTAGAATGGGAAATGCCAGTTAGTAGCACCAACAATGATTTCAGTGTCATCCACACATTCAGAGCAGGGGAGTGTTAAAAGTTTTTCCTGCAGTGGTCCTGAAGCACTGGTCCTGGGACTTCATCTTACTCTGGAGTTGTAACAAGGATACTACATGGCCGACCAGAAAATGCACCTAAGAAAAAAGTACAGATGCTCCGGGACTTACAACAGGGCTACGTTCCTATAAACCCATCATCAGCTGAAAATATTTTCAGTCAAATATGCATTTAATGCCCTTAGCCTGCTGAACATCACAGCTTAGACCAGCCTACCTGAAATGTGCTCAGAACAGTTATATTAGCCTGCAGTTGGGCAAAATTATCTAACACAAAGCCTATCTTACAATAAATTGTTGGATATCTCATGGAATTTATTGAATGCTGTACTGAAAGTGAAAAACAGAATGGTTGTATGAGTAGCATTATGAAGTTGTGAAGTTGTAAGTGAAACACAGTAAGTTGGGGACAGTCCGTACTTACAAAATTGAGGGTAGTAATCCCTAAAAGATTCCCAGAAAACTGTTCTTTTCACCTCTGACACCACTAATGTCTTCCTTTTGTCATAGCAGTAAAAGGAGTTAGAATTGTTCTCAGTTCCGAGCTTCAGAATTATGCAAACATCACATCAGTCTTACACATGGACTTTGCAATATCTATTTTGGCTGTTCAGAGACATTTTTCTTCCCTTTTTGCTTACTTCCCCGTTCTCAGTTGTGCAATATGTTACTGTCTTTGTCTGTGTTAGTGAAGTGTTCAGACATAGAAAAATGACCAGATAGAGCAGGGATAAAAACAAAGAAAGAGCAACAGACACCAGAACGGCAGCATTTCTATTCATCACTATCTAAGTATAGAGCCACTGAGGGAATTTAAAAGCCCTGTGGAAACTAGCCAGGCAGAGGGCAATGGACGACTAGATTCCAATATGACAGGATGGTACAGAACAGGAGAGCTCAGACAGGCTGATTTTAGAAGATGAGCAAGGCCAGGCGCAGACCTGAGACCCGGCCGCTGCCCAGAGGCTTATTGCTGCTCCTCTTGACTGATCTCTACCATCTCCTCCAGTCCCGCACAGCCGACCTACTGCAGGACCTCCCATTGGTGTGCCTGGAGTCGGCCGCGGTTGTGCTGACGTGTTGACGCCTCTCAGCGCTTAAGACGCAGTCCAAGGACAGGGTGGCCAGACGCTGTGAACATTACTTCTGTCAGCGAGCTGGACACATGTCATTTCCTGTGGTTACCTTCTTGTGAAAAAGATTGCTTAACACTGACCTATGGCATTGCTTTTGCCTTTTCTCAACGACTTCCATAGTGCAGATCCAGAGATATTTAAGCTTTCTGGATTCTGAAATCCCTTTGATGAAGGACCATGGTGCTTTGTATGGTAACACTGGTCTCCTGTATTCACCTGTCCTTTCAGCCTTTCGATCTGTGTTTCAGCTAACCCTCTTCAGCCCCTGGCTAAGTCAGCCGCCACAGCAAAGTACCACACACTGGGTGGCTTTAACAGCTGCAAGATTTACTCAGGGTTCTGGAGGCTGGAAGTCCCAGATTAGGATGCCAGCCAGCATGGTTGCGTTGGGTGAGGGTCCTTTTCCTGGCTTGCTGATGGCTGCCTTTTTGCTGTGCCCTTACATGGTGGAGAGGAAGAGAGAGATAGAGAGATAGAGATAGAGATAGAGAGAGACAGAAACAGAGAGAGAGAGGTGGTGCCTCTTCTTATAAGGGCATTAATCCCATCATGAGGACCCTACCCTCACAACATAATTACCTCCCAAAGGCCCCGCTTCCCAATACCATCACCTTTGGGATTAGGGATTCATATGTTGAACTTACACTTATAGGGACAACACAGGTCAGAACATTGAAACCCCTCAAATTACACAAGACATAGAATTAAGCCTCTGCCATTTTCCATGGTAGGACCTACATATATCTGCTGAAGATTTGTAGGATGCCAGGAACTCCTCAACATGTTAGACTGCACAAAGCATTTCACTAGAATATTCTCTCTTCAACATATATTTTCTCTGTGGTTCCTACTGTTCTGTGCTATACTGTCCCAGGGTGAGGTTGAAATTTCTTGCTCCCCAACTCTCAAATCTAAATTCCCCATCCTTTATCAACCAGAAGTAACATTGTATTTATTTATTTTTAACTTTTATTTTAAGTTCAGGGGCACATGTGCAGGATGTGCAGGTTTGTTACAGCGGTAAACATGTGTCATAGTGGTTTGTTGTACAGATTATTTCAGTACCCAGGTATTAAGCCTAGTATCCGTTAGTTATTTTCCTGATCCTCTCCCTCCTTCCACCTCCACCCTGTGACAGGCCCCAGTGTGTGTTGTTTCCCTGTACATGTCCATGTAGAACAATCTTTTTAAAAAACAACTATTATAAACGAGCCATTTCCTGCAGCTTTATCAAGTCATTTTTTTCTTCACAGATTCTCTGAGAATTCTGGTGAATACAATCAGCTCAGTGTCATTGAACACATGCATTTTTGACCAGGCAGGGATGTTTTGAAATTACTTCCTGATTGTTCTTGGCTTTGCGAGATGTTTCTTGGCCTATGAAATGCTCCCGCATTTAAAAAAGAGAAAAAAAAGAAAAAGAAAGAAGGAAATTTGCAACGTGGCAAATTTCCACCAGAGGGAGCACCAGCCCACAGACTTCCAGTGTAATTTGACCTGGGAATTCAGTCCCAGCCCCAGGTTCCTTTAATCTTTATTGGGCACTAGAAGATGAAATCCTCAGAAATACAGTATTATCTAAAATATACATTAATAGAGGATTGACTATATGACTGTGCCTGCTATTATGTAGAAATGTAAAGTTGAATTTGGCAGAGAGAGAGAGAGAGAGACTGCTGATGTGAAATTTCAGCCGCCGTTTTCATTCATTTTCTAACAGCCTAGGAAAGAACAATTAAAAGCAATCTTTAAAACACCTAGCATAATTGGATGTTGATTTTATTAAGTGATTTCACGGAAAATTGTAGGCAGATGATTCTTTACATGTTCATCTCTTTGTAGAAACCCTGGAGGTGTAATGAACCTCTGACTTTTTGCTTCTCCATTTTCCCAAGGCCTCCTCAATTTACACCCTTCACTCCTCTTCCTCAGCCCCAAGACAAACACAGCCACTCACTGTCCTCAGAAGTAAGGACCAGCCAGAGGCAGGGCAGTGAATAGGAACAACAAGAATGCAACAAATTAAATTGTACCCCGAGTCCCTACTATTACACCAGGTCTCCCCTGCCTAGAGAAGTGAGCCTTACAGCTGAATGCACATTTCATAGAAACCAAGAGGTTACTCTTCATTGCCGAAGTGAAGCATTAGTCTTGTAAAATTAAAAAAAAAAAAAACAGGCCATCTTTGAGTGAATAATGAGATACTTGCCTTAATTTGATTCTTAATTATAATGACATATCTGGCCTTTGAAATTGGATGAGACTTGCTTGGGCCTGCTGCATTTGACTCTGACTTTAGCTGAGAAAAGACTAGGTCCAAGGTTAAACAGCCTCAACATTATTCCTGTCTATATTTCTTTGATTTTGATAGTACAGGAAAAAAGGAAGAAACTTTTTCTGATTCCTTCTTTTAAGTTTTTGTCTTTCATTTTTTCCAGGTAATATGAATTAATTTGATATCAATTAGGTTTCAGGCTCCCATTGTTCACTAGCTATCAGCAGAGGCATCAGTGAGTGCCTTCATACAAAGCATAATGAAATAAACACAGGGGTCTCCCTATGGGGTAACAGCCTTAGGCGGACAAATAATTAACTAAATATGGCCAGTGGTAAGTGGATGTATTATGAAGTGGCAGTCACAGCTATTTCCGTTTGTTGTCGGCCCAGTCACAAGTCCTAGATTTTCAAAGAGCATCACTGGTTACTATGAGTATCACCAAGTGAGATCAGGAGGTAGTAAGTAATTCATGCAAAAAAAAATATTCTAAGGGTTCTTTACTTTAAGGATACTTAAATACTAAAGTTCATACAAACAAAAGAGATGAATAAGGAAATAATTATGTATCATTTCAGGAGGATCTTTTACTTTTCAAAAGGATATTTTCTATGGGCCTTATAAATTAAAAACATTATATAGCGTGTTTATATATAATATAAACATTTATAAAGCTTGATTTGTGCATGTTTTAAGAAATATAAGTGCTGTTAAAGAAGTAATACTGTGTACATATTTTTATATTATAGACATTATATTCCTTTTGAATCACTACCCCTAGCCCAGTCCCAAGCACACATAAATAGACATCATGGATATTTGGTTGATTAAGAGATGCTAAGCTCCAGCCCCTGAAGTACAGGAAGACCTCGAGGGTACATATCTACTTATTTCCTAAGACTATTTGGATCCTTGAGCAAATGTGCTTTGGCTTCATTTTCTTTAGGAGAGATTAATTTTATGTACAGATAGAATAGGATGGCTACTTTGTCATTCATAGAGTGGCTACTGTGTCATTCAAAGAATGCTAGGTCTTATTATCTGTATTCTCCCAAACTTCAGCCTCTGCTGATCAGCTGTGCTTCCTAAAATTCCTCTAGTTGAATCACTGGGCCATAGACTTTTAGAATTGAAAGAAAATTCAGCAATCATAGTGCACTTCTTTTATGTAACAGCTGAGGAAACAACAGACAGATTAGGCATGCACCAGATAGCACAGTGATAGAGCTCAGTTTTGGGGTGCCTCCTAGTTCATAAACCATCTCCCCTTTCCAAGGATCGCATCCCACCAGGAGATAGGTCATGGCAGCCATGCATAGGACCCTGCCTCCTGAATACAGATCAATGAGTTGCTGGTTGTCACCCAAGCTTGGCCAGTCTGGTTCTCTCTCCCGGAATATGGAGTTAGGATTCAGATGCGTCAGGTAGACAATGTCTCAGAAGCTGGAACTGGAACATGCAAGCCATGAGGCAGACATTTTCTGCCATGGAGACGTGGAGTCCTGAAGGACTGCTGGACAGAGAGAGATAAAGGGAGCAGACCTCCAGGGAGAAGCAGAGGTGAAGTGACAGCACCTTCTGCTTTCTGACATCTTTCCCCTTGCGAGTTCCAGTTCCTGCCTGTCCTGTAAGCACACGCTAACTTCCCCCTTTGTGGCAGGCACATGTGCATGCATCGTGCCATCAGATTCTCACAGCATCATTGTAAAATAAGTAGCATCATCCTCACGACGTCCACACTTGGAAACGTGCTCAGAGCAGGTGGAGTGTTGGCCAAGATTGGCCGCCTAGTTGTGTGAAAGAGACAGACTGGCCAAAACTCCTTGCCATTTTCTCCACACCGTAAACTGCTAGTACAGAACATCCTCTAGCTTAGCTTCTCTGCTCTGGCAGGGCCAGCAGCCCAAGGGCTCCAGGAGGCAGGGGAGAGCAGAGATGGTGTGGGACATCCAGGGAAGTCAGGGACTAGGGACATGAGAATACGGAAGAAAGAGACATTTTTCCCCCTTGAAAATGTTCTCCTGTTTGACATATCTTTCTAATTTTTTATATTACATATAAACTAGTTTTTTTAAAGCTATGAAATACATGGTGATGGTTAAAATTATTCAATCACGGTGATGGTTAAAATTATTCAATCAGTGTAAGACTGAATAAAGTAAAAATAGAATCCTCTCTTTCTCTGTGCATGACAAGCCAAGCCCGCATGCCCTTAAGTAACTACTGAGTGTCACAGAAGAGTCACAGGGCCCCACAGTTCCCTGCTTCCTCAGCGCAGGGGGCAACTGAGGCTCCCAAGTTGTAGCCTCCAGGCTGGGGCGTTTTGGAGGATATCTGACCAGGGCAGGGCCTGGTGCAAGCCCAGAGAAGATGGGGAGGAGTAGGAGGGCAGTGTGGCTGAGAGCTCTGTGGTCCTGGCACCGGCTTCTGCAGACAGGCCTCCAACTCCCTGGTGGGCCTGGGCCCATGGAGCTTTCAGAGGCCCAAAGCTCCAGATTCAAATACCTGGGAAGCCTCAGGGGAAGAAGAGGACAAGGCTGTTGGCCTCCAATTTTTGTCTCCATGTGTATTAATGTTTCAGGGCTGCCATGACAAATTACTGCAAACTGGGAAACTTATTGACATGCTTCTGGAGGCCAGAAGTCTAAAGCTGAGGTGTGGGCAGGGTTGGTCCCCTCTGACATCCCTGAGTGTGAGTCATTCAATGGCTCTCTCTGAGCTTCAGGTGTCACCGGCCATCCTTGGCACCTCTTCCCCGGTAGACACTTCACTGCAGTCCCTGCCTGTGTTCACATTGCCTTCTTTGTGTCCCTGTGGTTTCTCCTTTTCTGACTCTGTAAGGACAGTCATGGGATTCAGGAGCCACCCTAATCCAAGATGATCTCATCTCACACTTTACCTTATTACATCAGTAAAGATCCATATTACAAATAAAGTCATGTTCTGAGGTTCCAGGTGGACCTGAATTTGGGAATGGGGACGCTATTTAACCCAGTACACTGTATCATAAACATCCTGTCTATTTGGGGATGATGCGGCCTTTTAGGGGCATCCAGACTACTTTGAGGATGACTGCTCTAAAAAGGCAAATTCCTTTTAGAAAATTAGAGATGTGTTAGATTGTGAAACCCTTGGTATGAAAATGTTTATGTTGGAAATCTATTCACATCATTTAATAAATTTTAACATTACGTTTATCAATGCAAGAAAAGGAAAAGACATTCAATTAAAAAATAGACTTTCAGCTATATTACAATTTTTGCACAGTTGTAAGGTAATTAAAGTTTTAAATTATATAAAAGTGCAAATAAAGTTTTGCATCAATGGAGGCCGTGAAGAATTAGACTAAATCCTTTGTAAGAACATTTTTATTTATTTTTAAGTTTAATGGATACTTGATAGATGTACATATTTATGGGGTACCTGTGATGTTTCAATACAACAAGCATACAATGTTTAGTGATCAAATCAGGTAATTGGGACATCCATTACCTTAAACATTTATAATTTCTTTGTGTTAGGAACATCCCAATTAACTCTTCTAGTTATATTGAAACATACAATAAATCATTGCTGATAGTACTCATCCTATTGTGCTACTGAACTCTAGATCTCATTCCTTCTATCGAAGTACGTTTTTGTACCCATTAGCAATCCCTTCCTTATCCCTTTCTCCCTGCTGCTCTTCCCAGCCTCTGGTGGCCACCATTCTACTCTCTACCTCTATTCGATCAACTTTTTCAACTCTGACATATGTGTGAGAACGTTTGATATTTATCTTTTTGTGCCTAGCTTCAATTAAACCATTTTGGAAGAGTTTTGACCAGAAATTGCATGTAGCCATTTACAGAATAAAATCGCCCACTAAAAAATTATGTTGGAGATAACAAACTTAGAAATACATCAATATTTAAAAACAACTTTTCAGAAGTTTAAATCAGTATTTAGTATCTTCCCAAATACTATGTGGTTTTAATCATAATTTTGTAATATAAAGAAAACATTATGATTTTTTAAAATACCAAGCTTCATATAGATACTTTTACATCCCCTCTAGTTTTCCTCCAGAGTTTGGGACCATTATTTTGCTATGTGAGTCATAACCTGAACAAGGTGTAATGCATTATGTTAGGGACTTTTCTGTGCATAAACAAATGTGCATATTTGTTTGTGTATATACATACACACATAGACAGTCCCTAACTTACCATGGTTTGGCTTAACAAGTTTTGGAATTTACAATGGTGCAAAAGCCATAGGCATTCAGTAGAAACTGTACTTTGATTTTAAACTTTGATGTTTTCCTGGGCTAGTGATATATGGTACATGCTGAGCAGCAGTAGCAAGCCACAGCTCCCAGTCAGCCATGCTATCATAAGAGTGAAGGACTGGCGCTCTGCCGTGTGCAGTGTTGCCAGCTGATTTTGCCCAACTTTTGGCAAATATAAGCTGAACACATTTAGGGTAGGACAGGCTAAACTACGGTGTCATAAATGCATTTTTACTTAATGATATTTTCAACTTAACAATGGGTTTATCAGGATGTAACCTCATCTTAAGCCAAAGAGCATCTGTATGTGCAGACATTTATTATATTTATTTATAAAATGAAATCCATAAAGTCATATATTAATATATTTTGTATTTATTATATTATAAATATTTATAAAGTTCCATATTTTTACACATGTGAAATGACAGTATACATATAAAGCAAAGGCTGGCTCCTTCCTTTAAATAACTTTAATTATTTTTTTAGTATGCACAGTACTATGTTATTTTAAAAAACGGCAGCATAGTATTTTATATAGTATTCTATATTGATATCTTATAATTTGTCAGTCTTATATTAATAATATGCAGGTTGTTTCCAGATTTGTCTCTGCTATTACCAATAATGCTGCAATAAATATTTGTGCAAAAGTATCTGTAGACTGGATTCCAACAGTGGAATTGCCATGCCAAAGGCTGCGTGATTTAAAATTTGTTAGAGACTATCAAATTACTAGCAAACTTTAGCACTAATTTACTCTCTCACTTACAGTTTATGAGGGAGCCTCTTTTCCCACACTATTGCCAACAGTCTTAAGTTGTCTATCAGAAAGTTGAAAAATGCTACCTTCTTTCTTTCTTTAATTATGGGTCAGAAAATAAAGAGATATTATGAGAAACATAAACTCGCTTGCACTAAATAATTCAATCAATCATCATCTATAGGAGAAAACATAAGAACTTAATCGAAATTTATTTCTTAATTATTCTAAGATAAAATGAGGCAGTAAAAGAATAATGGGAAAGCTATCAATATAATAATATTTATGGGAAAACCAACTTTGCTTTTACTTCAAAAATGTTTTAACCATTATTAAAATGGATTTTGACAGTCAATATGGCACGTTGTAAGGGCAAGTTAAGGCACAAAGATCATGTGACTGAGAACCAGGGAACCTGGTTTAGAGTCTTACATATAATTAGTCATCTATGATAGTCTTATATACAATTAGTGGTATGATTTTGAGCAAATCATTGAACCCTATTTAGCCCTTCTGTGTCTATTATCTCAGGTGTGTAAGGTAAGGGGTTAGGGCCTCAATACCTTAAAAAATTGTACAAATGAAAGAATTTCTAAGTTCAATCGATATTGCTATTGATGATTTCCAAAATGAAAATCTTCCTATTCTAATCCTCCAGTAGGTGGTGATGTTATAACACCTCAAATAGTTACTGATCTAGTAACTTGGAATCTTTCTTCAAGATTCATTTTAGAAATATTCTTTTTCATTGTAGTAAAATTTTAATGTTATATAGAGAATGCGTTTATAAAATTTCTGTTACATTTAATGTACTCACCTAAGATATCAGTCAATTATTAATTTGTTCTTTTAGTGTCTATGGAAAAGAAATCCAAATTTAATTAATAATCTTAGGTGACATGATTTCCAATCTGTTATAGTTTTCTTAATTTAGTAAATTTTATAAATAGTTTGGTTTTAATTAATTGACTTAATTAGAAGACAATAAGTGAACAGAGATTGAACTTTGTTTATCTTACTTAAACTTGAAATATACTTTATAAGAAGATAAAGGAGAGCCTCAAATAAGGTCTCCAGCTATCTTGCTAGAAGATCACCTTTTACTAATTGTATAATTATAAAAAAAATCAAAGGCATCAATCAAAAACTTAGAAGTTCTCCAGAAGTTCCAAGAATTTATGACTAAGACCTCAAAAGCAAATGCAACAAAACCAAAAATAGACAAATGGGACTTAATTAAACTAAAGAGTTTCTGCACAGCAGAAGAAATAATCAAAGGAGTAAACAGATAACCTACAGAATGAGAGAAAATATTTGCAAACTGTGCATCCGACAGAGGACTGATATCCAGAATCTACAAGAAACTCAACAAGAAAAATCAAATAACTCCATTAAAAAGTGGGGAAAGGGCACAAACAGACACTTCTTAAAAGAAGAAAAACAAGTGGCCAAACATGAAAAAACTGCTCAATATCTCTAATCATCAGAGAAATGTAAATCAAAACCACAATGAGATACCATCTTGCACCAATCAAGATTTCAAACAATTCTTTTTTTTTAGGTTCATTTCATTTGAATTTAATTTTATTTATTTATTTTTTATTTTTATTATACTTTAAGTTCTAGGGTACATGTGCACAATGTGCAGGTTTGTTACATAGGTATACATGTGCCACGTTGGTCAAACAATTCTTTAAAAAATTAATTATGTACATTAATGACATGTAGTTAGAAAATAAATAGATAAAATAACAAAAGACTGCATAAATGGATAGTGATTTGTCTTGAAACATAAAATGTATATTAACAGAATATGATAAAACTTTAGTAAGAAATACAGAGGAAGATACTTACCATTATAGACTAACTATAGTAAAAATGAGAATACTGTTTAAGTTAAACATAGATTAAATGTAAATATTCACTAAGAGCCCCAATGGAATATTTTATGCAATGTGACAAGTTAATAATAAAAATCTCCTGGAAAAACCAGCAAAGAAGTACACAAAATAATTTTTTTGTGGTAATGATAATTGGCTTACTCTATAAAATTTCCAACACTTCATAGAACTTTTGTTAAAATTAGTAACTAGAGAACAATACTAAAGATGATAATTAACATTTAAAAAAATTAAGAAGGAATTACTCTGATAAAGATATTTTACTCCCCAAATATAATTTTACAGATGCTTATATCATGTAAGACAATTAATGCTAAAACACTTTTACCGGAACTGACCCTGGTGAATGCCACCAATGCATAATCAAACCCTGGTTCTTAATATGCAGGTTAGAAGCCCTAATTAGAGTTATATTTTTCTACTTAGAAAAAATTTTATGCAATTCTGCTTTATGTTAAAAAATAAAAGAATTAAGTTAGAAATGTGAATCACTTAGAGAAAAAATGGTTATACATTGTTTCCTTGACAAGACATAATTTTGCTATAAAAATTTTAAATAGGATAAGCAATAATCTGAGTTGATTTAGGAGGTATTGTCTGAATGAAGGATAGGGGATGAACTCAGAAAGTCTGCAAATTTCAATTTTCTTTCTTTTAAATAAGGAATGAATAAATCCTAGCTATCAAAACTCTAGCTATCTGAATACAGAAACCTAATAGACTTGCATAAGTGGTATCTAAACTCTCATAATCCAGACTCAGGAACTGAATTAAGATAATAATGAGATATACTATGATGGATTTAAGCACAATTGAAAGGAGAAAGGAGTCTATGAAAACTGGTCTACTTTTGCCAAGAGCAGAGCGGTCTATGTAGGTGAAAAATTGTTCTGTCTCCTGGGCACAGAGCTAGACTACTTTTCCTAGCCTGCCTTGATGTGACCGTCTGGGTGCAAGTGGGTTCAGCCCTCTGAGTTTGGCCTTTAGAAATCTTCTGTGATCGCCCATACTCTTCTTCCATCTCTGAGATCCATGCAGAGGAATTGGCCGAGAACTCTAGGAACCTAGGGGATGGCAGAGCCGCAGATGGAAGGCGTCTGGACCCTTTAGCTGCTGCCCACCTCGAATATTTGTATTTAACTTTGCATGAGTGAAAAACAGATGTGTACTAAGATCATGGGATTTGTTACTTGCTCTAATGCATGTTACCAACTTTTTATTTCTATTTGTCAAAATACATTTTTTCTTAGTTGAAATTAATGTATGAAGCATATTTTATAGTCTGCTTTCTTCTTTCAACCTTTGCATCAACTTATTTTTGTATGTAAAGAATGTTGACATGCTAACAGTTTTGAACACCTATATTAGTATTTCATGTTGTTAATATTCTCTTGAATTACCCAGCCTCAACTGTTTTCCATTAGAATTCCACTTTTTCACCATAATAAATTATGCTATTCAATACTTTTGTACCAATTATTTGGGAAACTTATCCAAAATGAAATTATCTGGCCAAATAAATGAATGGTTGAGAAAGATAAATGTGGTCAGTGGCCATTACACACTATATAAATTCCTGAAAATCACTGAGCTGTGCAAAATAAAGCAATAAAAAGTATGATCCATGAAAACAATGATAGGTTGTACCTTATTAAAATTAAAAACTTCTGCTCTGCAAAACACACTGTTTAGGGAATGGAAAGACAAGCCAGACTTTGAGAAAATATTTGCAAAACATATATCTGATAAAGTACTGGCATACAAAATATACAAAAACCTCTTTAAACTCAACAAATAAGAAAACGAACAACTTAATTTAAAAATGGGCAAAAGACCTGAACAGACACCTGACCAGAGGAGATATAGAGATGGCAAACAAGCGTATGAAAAGAGGCTGAGCCTACCTCATTAGGGAATTGCAATTAAAAAAAGGTGCCACTACACATCTATCAGAATGGCCAAAATACAGAACACTGACAACACCAAATGCTGGCAAGGATGTAGAGCATCAGAAACTCTCATTCATTGCTGGTGGGAATACAACTTTATACAGTCACTTTGGAAGACAGTTTGGTGGTTTCTTATAAAACTAAACATACTCTTACCACATGATCCAGCAATCACACCCCTTGTTGTTTACCCAAATGGGTTGAAAACCTGTTCACACAAAAACCTGCACATGGGTGTTTATAGCAGCTTTATTCATAATTAGCAAAAATTGGAAGAAACCAAGATGTCCTTCAGAAGGTGATTAGATAAATAAAATATGGTATATCCAGACAATGGAATATTATTCTGCAATAAAAAGAAATGAGGTATCAAACCATGAAAAGACATGGAGAAATCTTAGGTGCATATTGCTAAGTGGGAGAAGCCAATCTGAAAAGGCTACATACTGTAGGATTTCAACTATATGTCATTCTAGAAAAGACAAAACTGTGGAGATAGACAAAAGATCAGTGGTTGCCAAGGATTGGGGATGGGGGATAGGAAAGGAAAGGATTAATAGGGGGAGCACAGGGAGATTTAAGTGAAGTGAAACAATTCTTTATGATACTATCATGATGGATACATGTCATTATATGCTTGTCAAAACCCATAGAATTGCAACACAGAGTGAATTCTTTTTTTTTTATTATTATTATACTTTAAGTTTTAGGGTACATGCGCACAACGTGCAGATTTGTTACATATGTATACATGTGCCATGTTGGTGTGCTGCACCCATTAACTCGTCATTCAGCATTAGGTATATCTCCTGATGCTATCCCTCCCCACTCCCCCCACCCGACAACAGTGTGTGTGATGTTCCCCTTCCTGTGTCCATGTGTTCTCACTGTTCAATTCCCACCTATGAGTGAGAACATGCAGTGTTTGGTTTTTTGTCCTTGTGATAATTTGCTGAGAATGATGGTTTCCAGCTTCATCCATGTCCCTACAAAGGACATGAGCTCATCATTTTTTATGGCTGCGTAACATCCCATGGTGTATACGTGCCACATTTTATTAATCCAGTCTATCATTGTTCGACATTTGGGTTGGTTCCAAGTCTTTGCTATTGTGAATAGTGCCGCAATAAACATACGGTGAGTTAATTCTAATGTAACTATTGACTTTAGTTAATAATGTATCAATATCGGCTTATCAAGTGTAATAAATGTACAGCACTAATGCAAGATGTTAATTAATAAAAGGGAAGCAAATTATATGGGAACTCTCTGTGTTTTCCATTCAATTTTTTCTGTAAAGCTAAAACTGCTCTAAAAAATGAAGTCAATTAATTTTTAAAAATACACACTAGTGGCCGGGCGCGGTGGCTCACGCCTGTAATCCCAGCACTTTGGAAGGCCGAGGCGGGCGGATCACGAGGTCAGGAGATCGAGACCATCCTGGCTAACACGGTGAAACCCTGTCTCTACTAAAAATACAAAAAATTAGCTGGGCGAGGTGGCGGGGGCCTGTAGTCCCAGCTACGTGGGAGGCTGAGGCAGGAGAATGGCGTGAACCCCGGCGGGCAGAGCCTGCAGTGAGCCGAGATCGCGCCACTGCACTCCAGCCTGGGTGAAAGAGTGAGACTCCGTCTCAAAAAAAAAAAAAAAAAAAATACACACTGGCAACAACAATAAAAACTAGCAACAAACACACATCACAAGGCTAGGTGTGGTGGCTCACACCTGTAATCCCAGCACTTTGGGAGGCTGAGGCAGGTGGATCACCTGAGGTCGGGAGATCGAGACCAGCCTGACCAACATGGAGAAACCCCGTCTCTACTAAAAAATACAAAATTGGCTGGGTATCGTGGCACATGCCTGTAATCCCAGCTACTCGGGAGGCTGAGGCAGGAGAATCGCTTGAACCCACGAGGTGGAGGTTGTGGTGAGCCGAGATCGTGCCATTGCACTCCAGCCTGGGCAACAAGAGCAAAACTGTCTCAAACAAACAAACAACAACAACAACAACAACAACAAAACACATCACAGGGCAAAAATGAGATTACAGGCCTGACACTCAAAATACTTCATGAGTGGCACACATTGATTTGACTCATAATGACTAGGAAGTAAATATTTTAAGTAGTTAACAGCAAATAAAAAAAAAAAACCTGAAATGACTAATGTTGGTGTGACAAAGAACACCAGGTGTATATATTCAATGCTGCTCATCTTTTAGAGTAATATGATGTACATAATAAGGGATGTGAATGGGTGTGGCTCACATGCATGGTGAATGGAGTTAGCTAGTAGGAATTGGAAGGGGGTATGTGTTTTGTGTATTCCTACAATTTAGTTCAGTTGGATGAAATATTCCTAGTGTTTCTTGCAGACAAAATCATGCATAAGAAAATGGGAAATTTGAGTAATTTTCCCAAATGAATAAGTTAATTAATTGTGCCAGGACAAATTTGGTTTTCAAAGCAAGCATCATCACACAACTGACTGTAGTATTAAAAGGCTTATTAAAACAACGGTCTTTGATTTCTTTCATCAATGTCTTCTAGTTTTCAGTGTGCAGGTCTTTCACTTCCTTGGTTAAATTTATTCCTAAGCATTTTCTTTTTTTGCTATCTATTGTAAATGGGATTGACTCTTCATTTCTTTTCAGATAGTTTGTTGTTAGTATACATTATTATACAGAAATGCTACTGATTCTTGTGCAACTTTGTTTATTAGTTCTAACAGTTTTTATTTGTGGAGTCTGTCTGCAGGTTTATTTTTTATTATTTTATTTATTTATTTATTTATTTTGAGATGGGGTTGCACTCTATTGCCCAGGCTAGAATGCAGTGGTGTGATCATGGCTCACTACAAACTCTGCCTCCCAGGCTCAAGCAATCCTCCCACCTCAGCCTCCTGAGTAGGTGGGACTACAGGTGTGTGCCACCACACCTGGCTAACCTTTGTACTTTTTGTAGAGGCAAGACCTCTCCGCATTTCCCAGGCTGTTCTTGAACTCCTGAGCTTACGTGATCTGTCCACCTTGGCCTACCAAAGTGCCAGGATTACAGGTGTGAGACCCAGTGGCTGGCTGGGTTTTGTCTATATAAAATCATGCTGTCAGCAGACAGTAACAATTTCACTTCTTCCTTCTCCACAGTGAAGGTAACAGTGGAGACAACCTACAGAACTGGCTGTTGTGAATAATGATGCAATGAAGGTGGGAGGGCAGACATCTCTTCAACAAAGTGATTTCAAATCTTTGAGGTAAATGCCCAGAAGTGAGATTGTTGGATCCTCCTTCAGAATGGGAGACACAGAGACAATCTATAGAATGGGAGAAAATAATATTTGCAGGCCATACATCTGATAAGGGGTTACCACCCAAAATACATAAGGAACACAAACAACTCAGTAACAAGGAAACAAAAAACCCAATTAAGAAATGGGCAGGGAACCCTAATAGACATTTCTCAAAAGAAGATATACAAACAGCCAACAGATGTATGAAAAAAATGTTCACTATCACTAATCATTAGGAAGCTATAAATCAAAACCACAATGAGATATCATGTCACACCTGTCAAAATGGTTATTATAAAAAAGACGAAAGATAACAAGTGTTGTCAAGGAGATGGGAAAAAGGGAACACTCATACACTATTGGTGGGAATGTAAATTAGTGCAGCCATTAAGGAAAACTGAATTGAGATTCCTCAGAAAACTAAAAATGGAATCACCAGATGATCCAGCAATCTCACTTCTGGGTATGTACCCGAAATATTTGAAATCAGTTTGTCAAAGAGATGTCTACACTCCTGTGGTCATTGTAGCATTATTTACAGTAGCCAAGTAATGGAGTCAACCAACGTGTCCATCAACAGATGAAAGCATAAAGAAAATGTGGCAGATATACACAATGGAATACTAGTGAGCCATTAAAAAGAAGAAAATCCTGTCATTTGTGACAACATGGATGTAATTGGATAACATTATGCTAAGCAAGATAAGCCAGGCACAGAAAGACCAATACTGCATGTACTCACTAAATGTGGAAATTTAAACAACTGAACTCAGAAGCAGAGAGTAGAATGGTGGTTACAGAGGTGGAGGCTGGGAAAGGCGAATTGGGAGATGATTGTTAAAGGGTACAAAATCTCAGTTAAACAGGAGGAATGTGCATTTTTTTAGTATTATTGCACAGCATTGTGAATCTAGTTAATAATAAAGTATTGTGCATTTCAAAATTGCTAAGAGAGTAAATTTCAAATGCTCTCATCACAAAAAAGTTAGGTATTTGAATTGATGGATATGTTAACTAGCTTGATTTAATTATTTCACATTGTATACATAAATCATAACATCATTTTGTACCCCATAAATTTATGTAATTAAAAATTGTCAATATACAGTTAAGAAAAATAAACAGCCTTCTGGGCTGGGTGAGGTAACTCATGCTTATAATCCCAGTACTCTGAGAGGCTGAGGTGGGAGGATTGCTTGAGGTGATGAGTTCAAGATCAACCTAGGCAACATAGGGAGATCTCATCTGTATTAAAATTAAAACAAAAAACACCATCTGCTCCACCATTTTTATGCCACAAGTCCTGCCTCCAGAGCAATAAGTCACCTCTTTTTGTTTCTTCAGGTAATTAGGTCCATATTATTTTTAAAAATGCTTCACTTGCTATTCCTTAGCTATAAGTTTTACACATTAACAACTGACATCCACTTAATTTTTGTATTCCTCTCGTGCTCACTTACCTACCACAATCCCCACTGTGAAGTTGGTAGACACTCTTTATTGTTATGTCTTTGTAAATATTGCTTGTCAATAAGTCAAGTAATTGATTATGAATAGCTTTCCTTTCCTGCATAATTTTTTTTCTTTAACCTTGAGTCTTATTTATTTGTATTTATTATGATTGATTTTACAGATGTGTAGTGATAACTGAAATTTGATTTATATTTCTTTCCTATCTCCAGTGAAATTTGAGCAGTGATTTTATTCAAGTTTTTAATATGTTTAGAATTTGAAACTTCTATTAGCTATGTTGTCAATTTTGGAATTTCATTGGTTTCTTTTAAAAATTTTATCCTTGTTATTTTACAAATTTATTTTTCTATTTTACTGGACACATAGTTTTCAGTGTGTGTTTCACGTTTAACTCATTTGGAATTTATTGTGGTTTATGACATGACATTTATATCTAATTTAATTCTTCTTCATACAAACATCCAATACTCTAAACATTTCATTTCCAGTCATTTTTTTCTTCATTGGCCCTGTTTTGTTTGTTTTTAGAATTATGTGTTGTTAAATGTTCATGCCATTCATTCTCTCAAGACCTGCATCATTGCCACAGAAATTCGTAGTTCTTCTATAATATCTATAGTGGATTCTCCTGTCCAGTTGAATTTTATTCCCTTGAGTATCGCTAGCTCTTTTCATTTCCTCTGGTATCTCTATCATTTGGGGGTTGGAGTACTTCATTCTTATTCTCTCTGTCTCTCTGTCATTATCTGCTTGTGTCTTTAGCTGTAAGTTGACTTGGTTGTGCCAGTTTATCTTAAGCACAATTCTACTCATGAGAGTATCTTCATCATTTTCCTCTTTTCTGCTGTTTACCTCAAGGAGGCAAATAGTTTAATGGAAGCTTAAGAGTTTTTTTTTCTAATATTCATAGTTTCAAAAAATACATTTGTGTTTTGTTATTTTTATTATATTTGTTTTTGGGTTTAGCTCAAAATAGGCACTATGGATTATTTCCACAACTATTTAGAAGTGTTAATACGATGTTTTATTGAACATGATGTTAGTTTTACTTGACCCTTGCAAAAGAAGGTGGGAGACTGTGAAATCATGTGAATAGAGTGGCCTACTAATTGATTTTTAAATGATCATATTCATGATCAAGGAATTTGCCCAGGGGAATTACCAGAAGGTGAAGCTTGTGCTTCTGAATCACAAAGCTCAGTGTTGCTAATATTTACCTTTCTGGAAATAATTACTGACATTCCTGGCCCAAAGTGATCCTTTGATGCCCAGCATTTATTGTCTCTGCCACTTCTTAGTCATTTGTATTCTGCTTGTTAGAGTTATCATCTTTCTATGTATTTTTGGCCCAACTAAGTGACAAGCTCCTTGAGAATGGTTTTCTAGTAAATTCCTTCTCTTCTTTGTCTTATGTGTCTAGACAAATTTTTCACATAGGTAAGTATTAATTGACAGAAACTTAGTCAATAACTTTTGATTATAGTTCCTTAGTGTATTTCCCTCATGTAAAATATTATTAATAAGCTACAATTTCTATTACTGTGTTGTTAGATACACACACTGATATGATTTGGCTGTGTCCCCATGCATATCTCATCACAAATTGTAGCTCCCTTAATTCCCGTGTGTTGTGGGAGGTAGCTGGTGGGAGGTAATTGAATCATGGTGGTGGGTCTTTACCATCCTATTCTCATGACAGTGAATAAGTTTCACGAGATCTGATGGTTTTATAAGGGGAGTTCCTCTGCATATGCTCTCTTGCCTGCTGCCATGTAAAACGTGACTTTTATCCTCCTCATCTTCTGCCATGATTGTGAGGCCTCCCCAGCCATGTGGAACTGTGAGTCCATTAAACCTCTTTTTCTTTATAAATTATCCAGTCTCGGATATGTCTTTATTAGCAGCATGAGAACAGACTAATACACACACAAACACACTTTTTTTTTGAGGGGCGGGGGGTCAGGTATTTTTGCTGACACACTTGATTTTGTTACCCTCTGTTTTGCCAGATCATAGGTGACACAATATTGCTAACTGCCACCTAAAAGGAAGTCTCAGAAGGTCATGAACAGCATGTGTCTGCTTCACAGATTGCTTGCCTTTTTCTGTTTTGCAGAATTGTATTTTTTAGGGATGTTTTTCTTCTCATAGCAAGACACACAGGAAGTTCAAAAATACATCTATAAATGTACTTCTCAGAAAATGTTTTGGTGTATAGGATTACTGATTGGAAGCAGGCAGCTCTACTGACTTCAAGAATATCCTGATTAGATGCCTTTATTTCCTTTGTAGCTTAAATAGCCATGTATTAATCAGAATTTGAAACCATTGATTCCAACCTCTTTGTTAAGTTGTTAGAAATTGCTAACCACTAGCTTAGTAACAAGACTAATGCCAAACTTGCTGTTTGTTTTTTGAGGTTGCAGAATAAATGAAACTGCAGAAACTGAAAGATAAATTTGGCTCATTTTGCACTGACCGATGGAGATTGCTCAACCCAGCAGTATCAGGAAGAACACACAGGTCGTAAAGATGATATACCATGGGTATGATTGCACACATTACTTCACCACAGAGAAAAACTTTTCAGGGTCAGACTATAGTTTCATAAGCATCCAGAGTAGGGTTATGTTTATAGGGAGTCTATTCATTGTTATTTAAGGAACGAAGATCTGTTTGCCTTAAAAATCTATTTAATTACTTAGCAAAGTCTTTGACATTCTAAAGAAAGATCTTATCACAACATCACGAAGAAACAGATTTTTCTAAGACCCCTTTTGTAGACAATTTTGCAACTTCATTAAAATTGACAGTCTGCACTTAGTGTGTAATATGTATTTTAATGGATTAAATTATTATTAATTGGATTAATAATTTTTGAGGTCTAATGCTATGCCTTTAAAACAGCTGCTGCATTAGACCAAAAAGGACAGCAATACTATTGTGAAGTGGTTCCTATGTTCTAAATGAAGCAGGATTGTCTATTGTTTAGTAATTTATTCTTTTGATGGTGATCAGAAAAGAGAAAGAGCTGCCTGCTTCATTGCTTGAGAAGCCTCAGGAAGCATTGAGTAGCGTATTGGTTCTTGGATCTGGGATATTGCCAACTTACTGGGTAGACTGTGTTAAGCCTGAAATGTGAGCACTAAAAATGTTTTAATGGGAAGCATTATAATGATCCCACTTTCATAAGACTCTCCTTCCTCTCCATTCTCCAATAATGGACCAATCTCTTCTGCTTTCTCTAGCCAAGGTCTCACTGGCACCAGTGAAAAGCTTGCACAAAAGAGGCAGAAGGGCTGGAATTCATTGAAATGGTAGTCGTTTTGTACATATGTAAAAATTGCATCCGTTTATTTTGTCACTTCGGTGGCTGGTTAGTGAAATAGTAGAGATATAAAAAGTAAGAATAGTACAAAGCTGAATTTTGGCATGTACAGAAGAGCCAGCATCTGTTTAGACCATCTGAGTGGTTTAATCTTGGTTAGGGTTATACATGAAGTTTAGAAAGGAATGCTTTCTTGTGGGTGCACAGAAACAAAGGGAAACTCTAACCACTAAGAAGTACTTTAAATTTTTATATAAAGAGAGTGGTATTGAATATCTGCTGTTAATAAAGTTAGAGGCTTGTACACAATTAAATGAGTTGGTTCAACATAGGTCTCTTGAATGTCTACCAAGAGGCAGCACCCATCCTAGGCACTAGGGGTATAAAGACCAATTAAGCTGGGATCCTCTTGTAAGGAACTTGGAGTCCAGTGCAAGGGGTAAACACCATTGTATTCAGAACACCACTGAATCTTTAATATTTTCTTTTTATTTGTTTGGTTTTTATTGAGACAGGGTATCACTCTGTTGCCCAGGCTGCAGTGGGAGTGGCATGATCATGGCCCACTGCATCCTTGACTTCCCGGTGTCAAATGATTCTCCCACATTAGCCTCCTGAGTGGCTGGGAGTATAAGCATGTGCCACCATGCCTGGCTAATTTTTGTATTTTTTTGTAAGAGATGGAGTTTTCCTGTGTCGTCCAGGCTGGTCTCAAACTCCTGGACTCAAGCAATCTTCCTGACTCAAAGTGCTAGGATTACAAGAGTGAGTCTCTAATACTTTATTGAAATCTGTGATTACATCTCACCTTTCAGACACACTTATCTCTATATAGTTCTAGTATTTTATGTGTTTATGTTTGCTTTTCCATTTAAAATTGAATGTGTAAATGACCACATTAAAACTAAGTAACATCCAATTAAGGATATATGTATATCCTTAATCTCTATACATTAATCATTTTTATGTTGTCTTATTTATATTTTTCTTAGTATCATCTTATTTTCTCCATTTCCATCATTTCTTTAAACTTCAGAGCACTATTCTAGTAATTCCATCCCAGACTGAATGATCAAGATGGTTAATCATACAAAAGTGCAAATGTTGTTCGAGAGACTGTGCACCGCACCATGGCTTCAACCATGCTTTTAGAAGCTGATGTATGAATACTCAAATTGGTGTATAAAGTACTTTGGGCATGAAATAATCACAATTCTGCTTGCAAAAAGGCTAATAAGGCTGGGTGTGGTGGCTTACATCTGTAACCCCAACACTTTGGGAGGCCAAGACGAGTGGATAACTTGAGCTCAGGAGCTCGAGACCAGCCTAGGCAACACAGTGAGACCCTGTATGTATGTTTTCATTTTTTATTTATTTATTTATTTATTTATTTATTCATTCATTCATTTATTTATTTATTTATTTATTATTATTATACTTTAAGTTTTAGGGTACATGTGCACAATGTGCAGGTTAGTTACATATGTATACATGTGCCATGCTGGTGCGCTGCACCCACTAACTCGTCATCTAGCATTAGGTATATCTCCCAATGCTATCCCTCTCCCCTCCCCCTACCCCACAACAGTCCCCAGAGTGTGATGTTCCCCTTCCTGTGTCCATGTGTTCTCATTGTTCAATTCCCACCTCTGAGTGAGAATATGCGGTGTTTGGTTTTTTGTTCTTGCGATAGTTTGCTGAGAATGATAATTTCCAGTTTCATCCATGTCCCTACAAAGGACATGAACTCATCATTTTTTATGGCTGCATAGTATTCCATGGTGTATATGTGCCACATTTTCTTAATCCAGTCTATCATTGTTGGACATTTGGCTTGGTTCCAAGTCTTTGCTATTGTGAATAGTGCTGCAATAAAGATACGTGTGCATGTGTCTTTATAGCAGCATGATTTATAGTCCTTTGGGTATATACCCAGTAATGGGATGGCTGGGTCAAATGGTATTTCTAGTTCTAGATCCCTGAGGAATCGCCACACTGACTTCCACAATGGTTGAACTAGTTTACAGTGCCACCAACAGTGTAAAAGTGTTCCTATTTCTCCACATCCTCTCCAGCACCTGTTGTTTCCTGACTTTTTAATGATCGCCGTTCTAACTGGTGTGAGATGGTACCTCAGTGTGGTTTTGATTTGCATTTCTCTGATGGCCAGTGATGGTGAGCATTTTTTCATGTGTTTTTTGGCTGCATAAATATTGTCTTTTGAGAAGTGTCTGTTCATGTCCTTCACCCACTTTTTGATGGGGTTGTTTGTTTTTTTCTTGTAAATTTGTTTGAGTTCATTGTAGATTCTGGATATTAGCCCTTTGTCAGATGAGTAGGTTGCGAAAATGTTCTCCCATTTTGTAGGTTGCCTGTTCACTCTGATGGTAGTTTCTTTTGCTGTGCAGAAGCTCTTTAGTTTAATTAGATCCCATTTGTCAATTTTGGCTTTTGTTGCCATTGCTTTCGGTGTTTTAGACATGAAGTCCTTGCCCATGCCTATGTCCTGAGTGGTAATGCCTAGGTTTTCTTCTAGGGTTTTTATGGTTTTAGGTCTAACGTTTAAGTCTTTAATCCATCTAGAATTGATTTTTGTATAAGGTGTAAGGAAGGGATCCAGTTTCAGCTTTCTACATATGGCTAGCCAGTTTTCCCAGCACCATTTAGTAAATAGGGAATCCTTTCCCCATTGCTTGTTTTTCTCAGGTTTGTCAAAGATCAGATAGTTGTAGATATGCGGCGTTATTTCTGAGGGCTCTGTTCTGTTCCATTGATCTATATCTCTGTTTTGGTACCAGTACCATGCTGTTTTGGTTACTGTAGCCTTGTAGTATAGTTTGAAGTCAGGTAGTGTGATGCCTCCAGCTTTGTTCTTTTGGCTTAGGATTGACTTGGTGATGCGGGATCTTTTTTGGTTCCATATGAACTTTAAAGTAGTTTTTCCCAATTCTGTGAAGAAAGTCATTGGTAGCTTGATGGGGATGGCATTGAATCTGTAAATTACCTTGGGCAGTATGGCCATTTTCATGATATTGATTCTTCCTACCCATGAGCATGGAATGTTCTTCCATTTGTTTGTACCCTCTTTTATTTCCTTGAGCAGTGGTTTGTAGTTCTCTTTGAAGAGGTCCTTCACATCCCTTGTAAGTTGTATTCCTAGGTATTTTATTATCTTTGAAGCAATTGTGAATGGGAGTTCACTCATGATTTGGCTCTCTGTCTGTTGTTGGTGTATAAGAATGCTTGTGATTTTTGCACATTGATTTTGTATCCTGAGGCTTTGCTGAAGTTGCTTATCAGCTTAAGAAGATTTTGGGCTGAGACGATGGGGTTTTCTAGATATACAATCATATCATCTGCAAAAAGGGACAATTTGACTTCCTCTTTTCCTAATTGAATACCCTTTATTTCCTTCTCCTGCCTAATTGCCCTGGCCAGAACTTCCAACACTATGTTGAATAGGAGTACTGAGAGAGGGCATCCCTGTCTTGTGCCAGTTTTCAAAGGGAATGCTTCCAGTTTTTGCCCATTCAGTATGATATTGGCTGTGGGTTTGTCATAGATAGTTGTTATTATTTTGAGATACGTCCCATCAATACCTAATTTATTGAGAGTTTTTAGCATGAAGGGTTGTTGAATTTTGTCAAAGGCCTTTTCTGCATCTATTGAGATAATCATGTGGTTTTTGTCTTTGGTTCTGTTTATATGCTGGATTACATTTCTTGATTTGTGTATATTGACCCCCCCTTGCATCCCAGGTATGAAGCGCACTTTATCATGGTGGATAAGCTTTTTGATGTGCTGCTGGATTCGGTTTGCCAGTATTTTATTAAGGATTTTTGCATCAATGTTCATCAAGGATATTGGTCTAAAATTCTCTTTTTCGGTTGTGTCTCTGCCCGGCTTTGGTATCAGGAAGATGCTGGCCTCATAAAATGAGTTAGGGAGGATTCCGTCTTTTTCTATTGATTGGAATAGTTTCAGAAGAAATGGTACCAGTTCCTCCTTGTACCTCTGGTAGAATTCGGCTGTGAATCCATCTGGTCCTGGACTCTTTTTTGTTGGTAAGCTATTGATTATTGCCCCAATTTCAGCTCCTGTTATTGGTCTATTCAGAGATTCAACTTCTTCCTGATTTAGTCTTGGGAGAGTGTATGTGTCAAGGAATTTATCCATTTCTTCTAGATTTTCTAGTTTATTTGCATGGAGGTGTTTGTAGTATTCTCTGATGGTAGTTTGTATTTCTGTGGGATCGGTGGTGATATCCCCTTTATCATTTTTTATTGCGTCTATTTGATTCTTCTCTCTTTTTTTCTTTACTAGTCTTGCTAGCAGTCTATCAATTTTGTTGATCCTTTCAAAAAACCAGCTCCTGGATTCATTAATTTTTTGAAGGGTTTTTTGTGTCTCCATTTCCTTCAGTTCTGCTCTGATTTTAGTTATTTCTTGCTTTCTGCTAGCTTTTGAGTGTGTTTGCTCTTGTTTTTCTAGTTCTTTTAATTGTGATGTTAGGGTATCAATTTTGGATCTTTCCTGCTTTCTCTTGTGGGCATTTAGTACTATAAATTTCCCTCTACACACTGCTTTGAATGTGTCCCAGAGATTCTGGTATGTTGTGTCTTTGTTCTCGTTGGTTTCAAAGAACATCTTTATTTCTGCCTTCATTTCGTTTATGTACCCAGTAGTCATTTAGGAGCAGGTAGTTCAGTTTCCATGTAGTTGAGGAGTTCTGAATGAGATTCTTAATCCTGAGTTCTAGTTTGATTGCACTGTGGTCTGAGAGATAGTTTGTTATAATTTCTGTTCTTTTACATTTGCTGAGGAGAGCTTTACTTCCAAGTATGTGGTCAATTTTGGAATAGATGTTGTGTGGTGCTGAAAAAAATATATATTCTGTTGATTTGGGGTGGAGAGTTCTGTAGATGTCTATTAGGTCCACTTGGTGCAGAGCTGAGTTCAATTCCTGGGTATCCTTGTTAACTTTCTGTCTCGTTGATCTGTCTAATGTTGACAGTGGGGTGGTGAAGTCTCCCATTATTAATGTGTGGGAGTCTGTCTCTTTGTAGGTCACTCAGGACTTGCTTTATGAATCTTGGTGCTCCTGTATTGGGTGCATATATATTTAGGATAGTTAGCTCTTCTTGTTGAATTGATCCCTTTACCATTATGTAATGGCCTTCTTTGTCTCTTTTGATCTTTGTTGGTTTAAAGTCTGTTTTATCAGAGACTAGGATTGCAACCCCTGCCTTTTTTTGTTTTCCATTTGCTTGGTAGATCTTCCTCCATCCTTTTATTTTGAGCCTATGTGTGTCTCAGCACGTGAGATGGGTTTCCTGAATACAGCACACTGATGGGTCTTGACTCTTTATCCAATTTGCCAGTCTCTGTCTTTTAATTGGAGCATTTAGTTCATTTACACTTAAAGTTAATATTGTTATGTGTGAATTTGATCCTGTCATTATGATGTTAGCTGGTTATTTTGCTCGTTAGTTGATGCAGTTTCTTCCTAGTCTCGATGGTCTTTACATTTTGGCATGATTTTGCAGCGGCTAGTACCAGTTGTTCCTTTCCATGTTTAGCGCTTCCTTCAGGAGCTCTTTTATGGCAGGCCTGGTGGTGACAAAATCTCTCAGCATTTGCTTGTCTGTAAAGTATTTTATTTCTCCTTCACTTATGAAGCTTAGTTTGGCTGGATATGAAATTCTGGATTGAAAATTCTTTTCTTTAAGAATGTTGAATATTGGCCCCCACTCTCTTCTGGCTTGTAGAGTTTCTGCTGAGAGATCCGCTGTTAGTCTGATGGACTTCCCTTTGAGGGTAACCCGACCTTTCTCTCTGGCTGCCCTTAACGTTTTTTCCTTCATTTCAACTTTGGTGAATCTGACAATTATGTGTCTTGGCGTTGCTCTTCTCGAGGAGTGTCTTTGTGGCGTTCTCTGTATTTCCTGATCTGAATGTTGGCCTGCCTTGCTAGATTGGGGAAGTTCTCCTGGATAATATCCTGCAGAGTGTTTTCCAACTTGGTTCCATTCTCCCCATCACTTTCAGGTACACCAATCAGGCATAGATTTGGTCTTTTCACATAGTCCCATATTTCTTGGAAGCTTTGCTCGTTTCTGTTTATTCTTTTTTCTCTAAACTTCCCTTCTCGCTTCATTTCATTCACTTTGTCTTCCATCGCTGATACCCTTTCTTCCAGTTGATCACATTGGCTCCTGAGGCTTCTGCATTCTTCACATAGTTCTCGAGCCTTGGTTTTCAGCTCCATCAGCTCCTTTAAGCACTTCTCTGTATTGGTTACTCTAGTTATACATTCTTCTAAATTTTTTTCAAAGTTTTCAACTTCTTTGCCTTTGGTTTGAATTTCCTCCCGTAGCTTGGAGTAATTTGATCGTCTGAAGCCTTCTTCTCTCAGCTCGTCAAAGTCATTCTCTGTCCAGCTTTGCTCCATTGCTGGTGAGGAACTGCGTTCCTTTGGAGGAGGGGAGGCGCTCTGCTTTTTAGAGTTTCCAGTTTTTCTGCTCTGTTTTTTCCCCATCTTTGTGGTTTTATCTACTTTTGGTCTTTGATGATGGTGACGTACAGATGGGTGTTTGGTGTGGATGTCCTTTCTGTTTGTTAGTTTTCCTTCTAACAGACAGGACCTCAGCTCCAGGTCTGTTGGAGTACCCGGCCGTGTGAGGTGTCAGTCTGCCCCTGCTGGGGGATGCCTCCCAGTTAGGCTGCAAGGTGGTCAGGGGTCAGGGACCCACTTGAGGAGGCAGTCTGCACGTTCTCAGATCTCCAGCTGCATGCTGGGAGAACCACTGCTCTCTTCAAAGCTGTCAGACAGGGACATTTAAGTCTGCAGAGGTTACTGCTGTCTTTTTGTTTGTCTGTGCCCTGCCCCCAGAGGTGGAGCCTACAGAGGCAGGCAGGCCTCCTTGAGCTGTGGTGGGCTCCACCCAGTTCCAGCTTCCCGGATGCTTTGTTTACCTAAGCAAGCCTGGGCAATGGCGGGCACCCCTCCCCCAGCCTCGCTGCCACCTTGCAGTTTGATCTCAGACTGCTGTGCTAGCAATCCGCGAGACTCCGTGGGCATAGGGGCCTCCAAGCCACGTGCAGGATATAATCTACTGGTGCGCCATTTTTTAAGCCCGTCGGAAAAGCACAGTATTCGGGTGGGAGTGACCCGATTTTCCAGGTGCCGTCTGTCACCCCTTTCTTTGACTAGGAAAGGTAACTCCCTGACCCCTTGCGCTTCCCGAGTGAGGCAATGCCTCGCCCTGCTTCAGCTCGTGCATGGTGGGCGCACCCACTGACCTGCACCCACTGTCTGGCACTCCCTAGTGAGATGAACCCGGTACCTCAGATGGAAATGCAGAAATCACCCGTCTTCTGCGTTGCTCACGCTGGGAGCTGTAGACCAGAGCTGTTCCTATTCGGCCATCTTGGCTCCTCCCTCTGATCCACACCTTTTTTTTTTTTTTTTTAAGACAGAGTCTCACTCTCTTGCCCAGGCTGGAGTGCAGTGGCATGACCTCGGCTCACTGCAACTTCCGCCTCCCAGGTTCAAGCAATTCTACTGCCTCAGCCTCCCAAATAGCTGGGAATACAGACTCATGCTGCCATGCCCAGCTAATTTTTTGTATTTTAGTAGAGACAGGGTTTCACTGTGTTGCCCAGGCTGGTCTCCAACTCCTGAGCTCAGGCAATCTGCCCACCTCAGCCTCCCAAAGTATTGGGATTGCAGGCGTGAGCCACTGTGCCAAGCCTCTGTTTTTTTTTTTTTAAAGGCTAATGATTTGTAGTTAAGTCAGGTCCTAAATGACCTATAAGTCAGGTCATGTTAGTTTGGAACAATGTGGTAGACTGAACATTAGAAACATGTATTGCATCATGTATGACAACAGGAAAAAGGAATAGAGAAAATAAATTTTATTAGAAAACTAATAAAAATTTCTAATCTCAAGGAGTTTAACATTGCAATAACAATTCATTGATGAGTGGACTAAAGGCAAATAGAAGAGGTCAATAAGCCAAAATCAATTTTTGGTGTTCCAGCTTGTCATGAATTTGAAAGTTTGGCTTCTAGGTAAATGTTTGGAAATCCATTTTTTGTTGTTGTCTATCATGCAGTTTGGGGGTCCCCAAACTTCTTAAGTATGAGGACACCCTGACTGCTAGTAATGGTACTATTATCTCTTCAGTCTACAGATTCTACTTGGAATAGATGCTACTAGATGTGAGGATTTTGTGTGCTAGTTCTTTGGCTCACCCACATAGACCATGGACCTTCAGGTAGAGATCTGGTTCGGGAATGGGAAAAGCAGAGGCCTGAGGCTCATTTGTGTGTCCTCCTATCCTACTTTTCAACTCTAAATTCTAATTGGATTTCCCCTAAGAATCCCAAGAATTTGTGGGAAAAAAATATGTTTCAGGGGGAGATAGTTTAAAGTCTAAGAACTACACAGATACTGTGTGGGATGGAAATAAAACAAGAGTTCATTACTGTGTATAAAACATTGCAAGGAAGATATCACCTGCTCTTGCTTGTTTTGGGAGTCATCAATTATTAATCTTTTGTAAGACTTGACATAAGTATGACAAGAGAGTAAGGGATTTCCATTTTAGCAGGTCATAAGTGTAGTTCATAGCGATTTATCCCACTAGCTCTCTGTTTGTCTCTCTCCCCGTTGAGTTTCTCAGCAGAACCACTTCTGGGAAATTAGTGCTAATCCCTTCTCCCTACCATTCCTCCTTCTGTAAGCATTTATTGAGCACCTACTGGCTTCAGAAGTTCCGGCTAGGTGCTCAGGATAAATGGAAGGAAAAAGCAGTGTAAAATGTGTAAATGATCTAAATCTGAAAAATTCTAAAACTACAAGAAGATAGAATAGTCTATTCCTTCACCTCTTGGATTTGAAAAATGCTTAAACAACCATAGAGAAACAAACAAACAAACAAAAACTATGTCAAAACCAAAAACTTCTGTAGAGCAGTGAAGTGATAATTAATAATAGTAATTACTAGGCACTGGTTTACGTGTATCAATTCATTTATTTCCAGCAAGCCAACGTGGTGGTTACCATTATTCCAGTTTTACAGATGAAAAATATGAGATTCATAGATGTTAAGTGACTTTCTTAAGGTCACACGGTTAGTACATGGCAAACACCACGAGCAAGGTTAAAAGACAAGCAACAGATTGACAAAAGATATTTGTAAATTGCATACCAAACAAAGACTAATTTTCCAGACTATGTAAAGAACTCCTACAATTCAAGAAAAAAGACTGGCTGATTTAAAAATGAACAACACAATTTGAAGGCAAGGAAATTCAAAAGTTTACTATGCAAATGAAAACATGCTTAACTTCACTGGCTAGTGGGAAAATGCAAATGAACCACTGATGAGATGCCACTTTTTATCTCTCTCATATATAGGCATAAATTAATATGTTTGGCAATATCAAGCCTTTTAAAGGCCTAAAGATGTTTTAGAGGCACTGCTTTCATATACTGTTGAGTGGGAGTAGACGGTGGTACAGCAAATTTGGAGGCATCCAGAAAAATGAAAATGATCACACTCTAATAGTAGCAATTCTATTTCAGGCAATATACACCCAGTGTGTGTGGGTAAATGTGTAACAGCTGAATTTTCCAGTGCAGGGTTAGGGGGTACTTAATTTGTAGGTTTGCCCTTTTCTACTGTGGAAATGCTCCCATCGTGGTCATATTCTAGTTATATAATGTCACTGAAGCCAGATAAGAAAGAGATCTGCACCATTGGTTCTCAAGAGTCATCAGAGTCAGGTCCAGCACAGTACTGTGAGATTTTCTGGCACAAAAACACAAGACACGTGAACAAGCATATTCACTTAAGATTGTTTACGACAACAAAAATTTGCAAACAAACTAAATAGTCATCAATAAAGGAAGGAATAAATTATATGATAAGTTGTAATAAGATCATACCACAGTTAAAAGAGATAAACTGTTGTGTCATATATCACTATGTAACTGTTCCTGCATGTATTGGATAGTTCTTAAAACATAATATGGAGTCATACAAGCAAATTACACAAAAATATTGTTATATTCTATAATATAAAAACACATGCAGTATATTAACAGATATTTTAAATTATATCTATGAAATGGAAAACTATATACCAAAATGGATAAATGGAATAAATGGCTATACACCTATGTTATACTTACTTTTGGAGTGTGGGAGGAGATAATGGCCTGGGGGTAAGATAGTATGATGATTAAAGTCTATATTAGTAAGATCTGTAATACTGCTTCTTTTCTCACAGTGTCTACTCTCAGCCTTTTTGAATTTTGTGAGGAATAGCTATAGAAAGTTCCTACTTATTTCATTTAATAATTCATCAATTGAAGAGGCATTTTTTTTAAACAGAGATTGTGATTATACCTACTTATGGGGTACAATTTGATGTTTTGATAATGCATATATTATATGATAATCAAATCAGGGTAGTTAGTATATCTATCACCTCATGTATTTATCATTTCTTTGTGATGAGAACATTCAAAAACCTCTCTTCTAGCTATTTTGCAATGCCTGAATGTTAAACCATAGTCACCCTACTGTGCAATAGAACAACAGAACTTATTCCTCCTAACCTGATTGTAACTTTGTAACTGTTGATGAACCTCCTCCTTTCCTCCTCTCTAAAATCTCTGGTAATCACTGTTCTATTATCTACTTTTATGAGATTAACTATTTTTTAGATTCCACATATGGGTGAGATCATGTGGTATTTTTCTGCATCTGATTTCTTTCACTTCACGTAACGTCCTATAGGCTCACCCGTGTTGCAAATGACAAGATTTTATTCATTTTTATGGCACAATAGTATTTGATTGTGTATATATATCAAATTTTCTTTCTTCATTCATCCATCATTAGACACTTAGTTTGATTCCATATCTTGGCTATTTTGAATAATGCTGCAAGAAACATGGGAGTGTGGATATTTCTTTGACATATTGATTTCATTTCTGTTAGATATATCCCCGGTAGTGGGATTGCTGAATCAGATAGTAGTTTTATTTTTAACTATTTGAGAAACCTCCATGTTTTTAATAATGGCTGTATTATTTTACATTCCCACCAACAATGTGTAAGTGTTCCCTTTTATTCATATCCTCATCAACATTTGTTTTCTTTGTCTTTTTTTTTTTTTTTTTTTTTTTGAGACTGGGTCTTACTCTGTCACCCAGGCTGGAGTGTGTGACATGATCATGGCTCACTGCAATTAAACTCCTGGGCTTAAGCAATCCTCTTGCCTCAGCCTCAAAAGCAGCTTGGACTGCAGGTGCACCCCACCACACCTGGCTAGTTTTTAAAAATGTTTTGTAGAGATGGGGGTCTTGCCATGCTGCCTAGGCTGGTCTCAAACTTCTGACCTCAAGTGATCCTCATGCCTCAGTCTCCAAAAGTGATGGGGTTACAGGCATGAGTCACCATGCCTAGTCTCTTTTGTCTTTTTGGTTAATAACCACTCTAACTAGAGTGAAGAAGCATCTCACTGTAGTTTTGATTTGTATTTCCCTGATGATCAGTGATATTGATCATTTTGTTGCATACCTGTTGGCCATTTGTATGCTTTCTTTTGAGAAACATCTGTTGAAGTCTTTTGCCCATTTTTAAATTTGGAGTTTTTGCTATTGAATTTAGTTTCTTATATAGTCTGAATATTATTAGTCCCTGTCAGATGTATAGTTTGCAAATATTTTCTCCCATTCTGTAGATTGTTTTTTCACTCTCTTGTTTCTGTTGCTGTGCAAAAGCTTTTTAGTTTGATATAAGCCTATTTGTCTATTTTTGCTTTGGTTGCCTGTGCTTTGAGGTCTTATTTAAAAAATTCTTGCTGAGTCCAATGTCATGAAGCCTTTTCCCTACATTTACTTCTAGTAGTTTTGTAATTTCAGGCTTTACGTTTCAGTTTTTAATCTATTTTGAATTGGTTTTTGTATGTGGTGAGAGGTCACCACTGTCTAGTCTAATTTTTCTTCATGTGAATATTTAATTTTCCCAGACCAATTTGTTGAAGAGACTGTCTTTTCCCTACTGCGTGTTCTTAGCACCTTTGTCGAAAGTCAGTTAACATTGTGTGTGTGAATTTATTTCTAGTCTCTTTATTCTGTTCCATCACTCCATGTCTGTTTTTATGCCTATACCATGCTGTTTTGTTACTATAGCCTTGTAATATATTTTGAAGTCTAGTAGTGTGATACTTCTAGCTTTGTTCCCCCTCCCTACAACCCCTCAGGACTTATTTGGCTATTTGGGGTCTTTTATGGTTCTGTATAAATTTTGGAATTTTTTTTTTCTAATTTTGGTGAAGAATATCATTGGTATTTTGATGGGGATTGCATTAAATCTGTGGATCACTTTGGGTAGTATGGACATTTTAACATTATTAATTCTTCCAATCCATGAAAACAGGATATCTTTTAATTTATTTGTATCCTCTTCAATTTCTTTCATCAACGTTTTATAGTTCTCAGTGTAGAGACTTTTTTCACCTCCTAGGTTAAGGTTATTCCTAATTATCTTTTTTGCAGTACATGATATTTTTTCTTGACTTGTTTTCAAATAGTTTATTATTAGCATGTAGAAACACTATTGACTGTTCATATTGATTGTGTATCCTGCAACTTTACTAAATTTGTTTCTTGGTTCTAACAGTACTTTGGTAGTGTCTTTGGGTTTTCTACATATAAGATCATTTCATCTGTTAACAGAAAATTTGACTTTCTCCTTTCCTATTTGGATGCCTTTTTTTTTCTCTTAATTACTCTGGCTAGAATTTCAAGTACTGTGTTGAATAGAAGTGGTGAAAGTGCACCTTAGACAAAAACTAACTTAAGATCAATTAAAGACTTAAATGTAGAACCCCAAGCTATAAAAAACCTAGAAGAAAATTCAGGCAATATCATTTGAGACATAGGCATGGGCAAAGATTTTGCCTTTGCAACAAAGGCAAAAATTGAAAAATGGGATCTAATTAAACTAAAGAGCTTCTGCACAACAAAAGAAACTATCATCAGAATGAACAGGCAAGCTACAGAGTAGGAGAAAATCTTTGCAATCTATCCATCCAACAAAGGTGTAATATCCAGAATCTACAAGGAACCCAAACAAATCTGCAAAGTGAACAAAATAACCCCATTAAATAACCCCATTAAAAAGTGAGCAAAAGACATGAACAGACACTTCTCAAAAGAAGACACTCATGCAGCCAACAAACATATGGAAAATAGCTCAACATTACTGATTATTAGAGAAATGCAAATCAAAACCACAATGAAATACCATCTCACGCCAGTGAGAATGGCCATTACTAAAAAGTCAAGAAACAGATGCTGGCGAGGTTGTGAAGAAATAGGAATATTTTTACACTGTTGGTGGGAATGTAAATTAGTTCAACCATTGTGGAAGATGGTGTGGAAATTCCTCAAAGATCTAGAACCAGAAATACTATTTGACCCAGCAATCTTATTACTGGGTATATATCCAAATGAATATAAATCATTCTATTACAAAGATACATGCAAGCATATGTTCATTGCAGCACTATTTGCAATAGCAAGGACATGGAATCAACTCCAATGTCCATCAATGACAGACTGGATAAAGAAAATGTGGTACATATACACCATGGAATACTATACAGCCATAAAAAGGCATGAGATCATGTCCTTTGCAGGGACATGGATGGAGCTGGAGGCCATTATCCTCAGCAAACTAATGCAAGAACAGAAACCAAACACTGCATGTTCTCACTTGTAAGTGGGAGCTGAACAATGAGAACACATGGACAGAGGGAGGGGAACAGCACACACTGGGGCCTGTGGAGTGAGGGGAGGGAGAGTATAAGGAAAAATAGATAATGCATGCTAGGCTTAATACCTAGGTGATTGGTTGATAGGTGCAGCAAACCACTACGGCACATGTCACCTATATTACAAACCTGCACATCCTGCCCATGTATCCCAGAACTAAAAATAAAAATAAAAAAAAGTAGTGAAAGTGAACATCCTTGTCTTGTTCCTGATCTTTGAGGAAAAAGCTTTCAGCTTTACCCATTCAGAATGATGTTGGTTCTGGATGGGTTATATATAGCCTTTATGTGTAAAGGCACGTAGCTTCTATATCTAATTTGTTGAGAGTTTTTATCATAAAGAGATGTTGACATCTTTCAAATGTTTTTCTGCATTTATTGAAATGATCATATAGTTTTTGTCTTTCTTTTTGTTAGTGTGGTGTATAACATTTATTGATTTTGTACGTTGAGCCATCCTTGCATCCCTGGGATGAATCTGCTTAATCATAGCGAATGATCTTTTTAATGTGCTGTTCAATTTGGTTTGCTAGTATTTTGTTGAGGATTTCTGAATCTATGTTCATTGGGGATATTGGCCTGTATTTTTTTTCTCTTATGTCCTTGTCCAGTTTTAGCATCAGGGTAATTCTGGCCTTGTAAAATAAGTTCGGACATATACCCTCCTCTACAATTTTCTGGAATAGTTTGAGAAGAATTGGTATTTATTTTTCTTTAAATGTTTGGTAGAATTTAGTAGTGAAATCCCTAGGTCTTGGGGTTTTCTTTGATGGAAGACATTATTATTGATTCAATTTTCTTACCCCTTATTGGTTTGTTCAGGTTTTCTATTTTTTAATAATTTAATCTTTGTAGGTTATCTGTGTCCAAAAATTGACCCCTTTTTTTCTGGATTGTCAAATTTCTTGGCATGTAGTTTCTCCTAATTGTTTTTTATGACCTCTTGTTTTTCTGTGGTATCAGTTGTAATGTCTACTTTTCCATCTATGATTTTATTTATTTGAGTCTTCTCTTTTTTCTTAGTTTGTCTACCTGAAGGCTTATTGATTTTGTTTATGTTTTTTAAAAACACACTCTTTTGTTTATTCTTTGAGTTGCTTTTCTAGTCTTTATTTTATTTATTTCTGCTGTGAGCTTTATTATTTCCTTTCTTCTACCAATTTTGGATTTCGTTTCTTCTTGTTTTTCTAGTTACTTGAGGTGCATCATTAGATTGTTTATTAGAAATCTTTCTTCTAGGCTGGATGTGGTGACACATGCCTGTAATCCCAGCACTTTGTGAGGGTGAGGTGGGTGGATCACCTGAGGTCAGGAATTAAAGACCAGCCTGGCCAATATGGTGAAACTTTGTCTCTACTAAAAATATAAAAATGAGCCAGGCAAGGTGGAGATTACGTGCCTGTAATGCCAGCTACTTGGGAGGCTGAGGGAGGAGAATTACTTGAACCCAGGAGGCGGAGGTTGCAGTGAGCCGAGATGGCACCACTGTGCTCCATTCGTCCTGGGTGATAGGGTGAGACTCTGTCTCAAAACAAACAAACAAACAAACAAACAAACAAAAATCTTCTTTTCTTGATTATAGGCATTTATTGCTATAAACTTTCCTGCTACAACTGCTTTTCCTATGTTTCATGGGTTTTAATATGATGTGTTTCCATTCTCATTTGTCTCAAGCATTTAAAAACTTCTCTTTTAATTTCTGTATTATTTACTCATTGGTTATTTAGGAGCATGCTGTTTAATTTTCATGTATTTGTAGTTTCTGAAATTTTTCTTCTTGTTGATTTCTAGTTTTATACCATTGTGGGCAGAAAAGATATCTGATATGATCTCAGCTTTCTTAAATTTGTTAACACTTATTTTGGGGCCTAATATATGATCTGTTCTGGGGAATGTCCCATGTGCAGTTGAGGAGAATGTGTGTTCTGTAGCTCTTGGATAGAATGTTCTGTATTGTCTTTTAGGTTCATTTGCTGTATAGTGTAATTTGAGTCTAGTGTTTCTTTGCAGATTTTCTGTCTAGATGATGTGTGTATCATTGAAAGTGGGGTATTGAAATTCTCTAATATTATTGTATTGCAGTCTGCCTCTCCCTATAGATCTAAAAATATTTGCTTTATATATTGGGTGCTCTGTTATTGGAGTACATATCCATTTTTGTTATATCTTCTTGTTTGCTTAATCTCTTTATTATTATATAGTAACCTTTTTGTCTTTTTTGTACAGTTTTTGTCTTAAAGTCTATTTTTTCTGATGTATATTAATATGGCTACTGCTGCTCACTTTTGGTTTCTGTTTGCATAAAGTGTCTTTTTTTATCTTGTCACTTTCAGTCTATGTTGTCTTTAATGATAAAGTGATTCTCTTGTAGGCAGCATTAGTTATATCTTGTTTTTGACATCTGTTAATTGGAGACTTTAATCCATTACATCCACAGTTATTATTTATAGGTAAGGACTTATGTCTGCCATTTTACTATTGTTTTCTGAATGTTTTGTGGATCCTTTGTCCCTTTCTTACTCTCTTGCTGTTTAACCCTGTGGTTTAGTGGTTTTCTGTGGTGTTAAGCTTTGATTCCTTTCTTTTTCTTGTTTGTATATCTGTTATAATCTCCTTCTTTGTGGTTACTGTAGGACTAACACATAGAGTCTTTAGTTATAATAGACCTTTTTAAGCTGATAACAGCTTAACTTTGTTGATTAAAAATACTCTAGACTTCTCTCTTCCCCACAATTTGTATGTTTGTTGACTTAATTGATATCTTTATCTATTGTGTGTTCCTTAGCCTGTAAGTGAAGCTGCTATTGTTTTATACTTTTAACCTTTATGTTAGAGAACTGAAAGATTTACATAGCACCATTACAGCACTGGGCTATTCTGAGTTTGATTATTAATTTACCTCTACTGGTGAGTTTTATACTTTCATGTGTTTTCATGATAGTAATTACTGTCTTTTTGCTTACAGTTGTAGCATTCCCTTAATCACTTCTGGCAAGGCCAGTCTAGTGGTGATAAATCCCTTCAGCTTTTGCTCGTCTGGAAAGGTCTTTATTTCTCCTTTATTTTTGAAGTACAGTTTTGCTGGATATAGTATTCTTGGCAGACAGGTTCCCTGCCCTCCCCCGCCACCCCACCCCAACCCTGTCCGTTTGACTACATTATCACATTCTCTCCTGGCCTGCAAAGTTTCTGTTAAGAAATCTCTTAATAGTCTAATGGAGATTCCCTTATATATGACTTGAAGTTTTTCTCTTTTAACTATTGGAATTCTCTCTTTGTCTTTGACAGTTTGATTATAATGTGCTTCAGAGAAGAACTTTTTGGGTTGAATCTAATTGGAAAATTTTGAGCTTTCTGGATCTGGATTTCCATATTTCTCTCAAGATTTGGGAAGTTTTCATCTATTATTTTGTTAAATAGGTTTTCTAAGCTTTCCTCTCTCTCTTCTCCTGCTGACATTCCTATAACACAGATTTTTGTTCACTTAATAGCATCACATAAATTCCATAGGCTTTCTTTATTTTTTTATTCTTATTTCTTAATTTCTTCTCTGACTAAGTTATTTCAAAAGATCTGTCTTCAAGTTCAGAAATTATTTCTTCTACTTTATGGAGTTTCTTGGTGAAGCTCTCAATTGTATTTTGTATTTTGCACTTTAATTATTGAATTCCTCAACTCCAAAATTTGTTTGATCATTTTTTACAATATTTACCTCTGTTGAACTTTTCATTCAGATCCTGAATTGTTTTCCTGATTTCGTTGCATAGTTTTTCTGAATTTTCTTGTATCTCACTGAGTTTCTTTAAGATTATTTTAGATTCACTTTTTGGCATTTTGTATTTCATTTTCTTTGAGGTCTATTACTGGAGAATTATTGTGTTCTTTTGGAGGTGGTCATATATCCTTTCTTTTTCATGTTTTTTATGTTCCTATGTTGATATCTTGACATCTGGTGGAAAAGCTACCTCCTCAGATTTTATGGAGTAGCTCTCATACCTTTTCTTGTAGAGGAATTCTAGAGTGTCAGTTGGGAACTGTCCATTGGCTTCAGTCCTGGATTGACTCAATAATGTGGCCTCTGTTCAGTGTTTTTAGCTGTAATTTTCATCAGTTACTCTGCAATTGCATCAGTGGCCTAGATTTCAGGAGTTTGTGATGGTGGTGATATGGTTTTGCTAGGGGCAGAGGCGCTGGGCTGGCTGTTAGGCTGGGCACATGTGGGGATAGTGGGCTGGCCACCTGTGTGATGGGGTCTCTGTAGGGCATATGTAGGCATGGTGGGCCAGAGAGCTGTGCAGCTGGCTCTCCAGAAGGAAGGGCCACACCTATAGTGGCTATCAGGTTTGGCACAGGCATGTGTGAGCATGACTGACTGGCCAGCTGTGTGTCAGCTTCCCCACTGCGCAGGTTCACTGGTTCTCTGGGGGGTGGGTGCCACACGGGTTTCAGTGCTGCTGTCTGGACCATTCCACTGGGCCTAGGCTTCAGGCAGTCAAGGTCACAGTGCTGCAGCCACGTGAGTGTGGTGGAATGATGGTGGGGCCTTAGGAACAGAGAGAGGCAGTTGCCCACTGATCCCCAGGGCAAGATGCACTCTAGCAGTAGGCCCAGCTTCAAGATGGTAGTGTGCTGTAGGAGCTTAGGCCACAGGGGTGGGGTAGTGTATAATATGGGCTTCTACTCTGGAGCAATACTGTCTCATTATCTCCAGGCAACTCTACAGACACTCTACAGACTGGATTTGGGGCCTGTGACCGTCTCTCCCTTAGCAAGGGGTGCAGGTGTCTGTGGTGGTAATGGAGACCAATGGGATGTCCATCTTAACCTTTTCCCATAAAAGGAAGTCTCTCATGGCTCTTAGCAGATCTTGGTGGGGGAGATATTGTGGCAGAGACGGGATGCCTTGCTACCTTCTCTGTGGTGCTATCCTGGGTTTCTGTGCTCCGCAGGGACTTTGCCATGCCCCTGGTGCTCTTCAGCCTACTTTCTCTGTCACTTCAGCTAAAACATAGTTGTTTATGTTGTTTTGGTCCCTTTTTGTGGGAGGGATGAGCATCAGGCAGTCAATGATCTTGCTGATGTCACTCCAATGCATCTTTAATAGCCACTTTTCTGAAATCAAAGGAACATTATCACATTAAATACACGTGTCTATTGTAACATATATCTCAACTTCAGAAACATCAAGATATTTATTCAGGTGTGCTCACCATGAAAAAATATGATAGTTCAGCTGCCTGGGATGGTTTACCAGCTGCAAGTCATAAAATTCCATTACTTTTGATAACAGACATATGATTTGCAAAATAATACAATAGTTCTTAATGTATCTGGAGGTATATTAACGATTCGATATTTTAAATAAATATCAATATTTATTAAATACATTGTATGTACACAGGACTTGGGGATTACTTGAAGACATATAACAGAGTGCTCAAGAAATTGCCAATCTCAACTACCTGGAATGTAAGTGGCAATGCAGAAGGAAGTAAAAATGCCTCTGGGTGGCAAATTCCTCTTGATTTGTAATAGGATGCATGCCTTTCCTAACAAAATTGTATATAAAGTAAGGGAGAAGATGGGAAACAGCAGCAAGGAGAAATGATGGCCTGTGATAGCTAATGAGTGATGACAGCAGCCAGAGACACAGAGTACTGTAAAAACACCACAGCCAGGGCCATTTAGTGAAATGGTCATTCTCTGTATCTCAATAGCTCTTGAAGCTCTCCAAAGTACAAAAATTTTTTCATTCTTTCACTTTCTTATTAACGTGTCTTGTGTAGCACAGCACAATAACCAATAATTTTATTGTTGCCCTAGAATCATCAAGAAAATGAAAAAAATATACTTTTTCAGTATGCTCAGAGATGCAAGATTTAGAAATATTTCTGTAAAGCCATGGCTTAATGTGAAACACTCTCCGAATGCCAAGAATGCCAGGAAAATGAGGCATCATTTTATTGAAAAATAGAGTTTATATTTATATGGGCTCTATGTTCTTTTCAGTCCTTCAGTGAAATAGGTATTTTATAAATTAGTGATGTAATGTTTTTCTACCAGATTTTTCTTTTTTCAGAGTTTTCATATTAGTCTTGTAATATTCTTTTCAGTTAGCAGAGGCTGGAATTGTTATCTGCTACCAAATGATGAAACACCTGGAGCCACGGGCATCTTGAAATGACTTGCACATGTCTACACACCATGTCATTAGTAGAGCCAGGAATGAAGTCCAGGTTTTGCGAAGACTAGCCTAGCCACCTCTCATTCTTTCTATGACCTTGATATGGTTTGGCTGTGTTCCCATCCAAAATCTCAACTTGAATTAGAATCTGCATAATTCCTATGTGTCAAGGGCAGGACCAGGTGGAGGTAATCCGATCATGAGGGCAGTTTCTCTCATGCTGTTCTCATGATAGTGAGTGAGTTCTTAGGAGATCTGATGGTTTTATAAGGGTCTTGCATTTCCCCAGCTTGCACTCACTCTGTCCTGCCACCCCGTGAAGAAGGTGCCAGCTTCTCCTTTTCTTTCCGCCATGATTGTAAGTTTCCTGAGGCCTTGCCAGCAATGTGAAACTGTGAGTCAATTAAACCTCTTTCCTTTATAAGTTACCTACTCTCTGGTAGTTCTTTATAGCCACATGAGAATGGACTAATACAGACCTTATGTGAAAACACTCTAAGACGGTGTAGACCTCTCTTAGGGTAGGAAGTAATTTGATCCATCCTGAGAGATTTTATTAACAGAGCTTCCTTTATGTCAATATTTGGGAAACTATGCTACTATCAACAACCCACAGAATGAGGATGCTGGTCCCTGAGTGGCCTTCTTATCTTTGGAACAGCTGGGAAATCATCATACGTAATCAAATACAATATTCTGAGAAGTTTTTTTTTTAAAAAATCTTCAATATTCACCTCATGGAACTTGAGGAATCCTAAAATCAACTTGAAATTTCCTTCTTGGGAAATGTGGATGGAAATTACCCTGCTTTTGAGCTAGTATTGCCAGATGAAATATAGGATGCCCAAATTTAATATTTGGGACATACATATTGAAAATTATTTGTGGTTTATGTAAAATTCTAATTTATTCTGGTATCTTATATTACTTACTAAATTTGGCAACCCTATGTCAGTGATACCTTCCCCATCCCTGCCATCAACAATACCACTAACAAATGCAATTGGCAAAATAAAAGAGGCTTGCAAGAGAAATCTCCTTTCTCCCCGATGAAAGATGGTAGGCAGAGGAAAACATCACACCTTCCTCTTCATTCCTTGATGATTAAAGAGAAAAGAATGAGAAAGAATTTTTGGACAGAGTGATCCAAAGTTATATATGATATATATAAAGTGGCATATATATTTCTATTTGTATATAGATTTACATATTTATATGTCCTTTATTTGGAATTATACTTTCAATACAAATTAGTAAAACCCTTATTTATCCTGGGGCATAATTTATTCAGCATCTATGTCCCAAATGTGTGAGGTTTTGGAAATGGAGATAAGACAGGCATAGCCCCTTCTGTCCTGGAATTTAGAGTCTCACAGAGGTAGTTATACAATTTACAAACTTTGCTATAATGTGTGGTTAATAACATGGTGGGGAAGTACAGGACATTTTTGGTTAGAAAACCATGTGGACCTGACAAAGCACATTTTCTAGGATTTATTTTGACTAGGGGTCAATGTACTTTTAAACATTCATTCTTTGTGCCTCCAGGAAGAACTCTGTAACAAGGGCAGTGGGAATTGGAGATACAAATCAAAAGTCAATACATGAGGGCCATATGTGTGTGTGTGGGGTTATCTGGGTGCCCTTCGTTTTATCTGAAACTCATCTATCAGATTACTAATAAGATTATTTTAGGCATTAAGACAAAAATGAAAGCAAATAATTTTCTTCTTTGTAATCTAGCAAAAGGAAAAAAATCTAGGAATTATAATCCAGTTAGGATCTTGAAGAAAGCAGTTTAATTAAAAAGCACACAAGTTAAGCTACAGGGCTCCAGTTACGAAGTGTGTGTGGGCACATGTCCTGTTGAGAAATGAAGAGATGCCTGCGGATGGTAGAATGCTAATATTATTTGCTCTGCTTCATAGACTTGATCTTGCCTGGGGATTGTCCTTTGTTACAACACAGTGATTTCTTAGAGCGGGGAGAGATTAAAGAAATGATATCTTGGCACTATAATTAAGTAAAACAGTTCTGTGACTAGAGTCTGAAGAGCAATTCATGGAGTCCAGCTCACATTAGCAAAAACAACTATGGGTCGCTCTGGCCAATAATTCTTTTCATTCTTTTTTCTTTAATCAACAAAACAAGAGTTTGACTGTGATTGCTGGAAGATTGAGTCAGATTATTGAGTGCACCTCCAATAGCCCTCTTCTAATTGACCTTTGTCAAAATAAAATCAGAGGTTTGCACACATGAACTACATCCAGAAATATTAAATAAAAGCTGCAATTTTGTTTTCATCTGACCTTGTTAGGGTGTAAGCACTTTAGGTCATTTCCAATTACTTTAAGAAGTTACATTATCATTTCTGTACTAGAACCTTGTAAAATGTGAAAGTATCATTATTCCAAAATGAATTTATTTCTTTATTCATTTTCCCAATGAGACCACCTCAATACCAAAGCAATACTATATATTTGTGCTAGCTTTTCCTTGCAACAGCTTATGAAGATCTAATTACCTTGGAAAAAAAGTTTTTGGTACCTGTTAACTGAAAACTGGTTAAATCCTTTTATAAACACACGCACACACACACAACACACACACATGCATATACAGTTTAATTAACATAAAATTTTATTACAAGAAAACCATTGCTTGGAATTTATTCACTTTCTACAGGACCCAGGGATAAAAAGTAAGAGCTTAGCCCTGAGTGTGCATTCATTCATTAGAGAGTTTTCCACCAAGGCAGAAACACCTTTTTGTCTGCTTTGATCACTGCTGTACTCATTATCTACAATAGTGACAAGCACATAAAAGGCACTCAATATTTGTTGAATAAATTCTTAAAAAAATAAAAGATGTATAGCCAACCCTTGAACAATGTGGGGTCTAGGGGCATTAACCCCTGTGCAGTCAAAAACTTAAGTATAATTTTTGGTTCCCCTAGAAGCTAACAACTAATAGCCTACTGTTGATCGGAAGCCTTACCAATAACATGTGAAGTTCAAATCCGTGTTGTTCAAGGATCAAGTGTATGTGGGAAAAGGAAATGAAAGGTGAGAATAATGCAAAGGGCCTTTTCTTTCCTCCCTTTTCTTCCCTTTTTTTCTCTTTTCCCTCTGTATATTCAATAAATATTGAATGGTTACTATATGCCAGTCCATGTGCTATGGTCTAGGGAAGTAGACCAACATCATCTCTGACCTTTGGCACACTAACTGGCTGGAATAACTCTGTATATTATAATTTACATGTTTTCAAGAGAAAGGTATATGGGCTGCTGGCAACAGTAAGGTTGGTGGCACATAAATCCATCCAAGGGGCTGGATAGAACTTCCACAATTTTAGCACTAATGTACACTACCAGTGACCATTGTGTGGACAAGAACCAGATAACTATGTAAGATTACCCAGGATTATTCATTCACAATCATTTGTTGTAATCAGTGAATAAAAGAATTTTTCATGATTGCAAAGATATCAAAATAACTTTATTACATAGGACTTTTTGTTTATTGTAGTAGTGTCCATTGTCTTTGACTATTAACTGTTTTATTGTTACATTCAAGTCAGCTCTCATTTTGACTTCAATCCATCTGCCAAATGTTCTCCCTAACTCCTTGAACTATAAACACCATATCCCCAGAAGGTTCTATTTTTCCCTGAATATAACTTGCTAAATCTTCTCAAGTTTTATTGTGTAGCATTTGCATACAAAAAATGTACAATGTGTGCATGTATGTTTTGAAGTATAGCAATGAAATGATATACACTCCTGTTCCCCAGCTTTGGGCCAAAACATTGCTATTACCCTACCTGTGTGTTGCCCTTTCATTCTTGCTTCTCAGCTTTTGCTTGCACTATCCAGCCCTGCCTGGAATGCCTTCCTTGACGTCTCCATGTACCAAAACCTTCCTTCAAAGCTCTGCTCAGGTCCTATCTCCTGTAGGGAGATGTTCTCCATGCAGCCTATAATTTTCCTTTTCCCTGAGTTCTTACACTACCTTCAGGGCATATTGCTCATTGGACCATTTCAATACATGCTGCTTTTGTCATGTGGTGTGATATAGTTTGGGTGTCCCCCGACCAAATCTCATGTTGAGATGTCACCCCCAGTGTTGGAGAGCGGGCTGGTGAAAGGTGTTTTGTTCATGGGGGCAGATCCCTCATGGCTTTGTTCTGTTCTCACGATAGTGAGTGAGTTCTTGTGACATCTGGTTGTTTAAAAGTGATTGGCATCTTCCCCCTTGCACTCTCGTTCCTGTTCTCACCCTGTGATGTGCCTGCTCCTGCTTCACCCTCTGTCATGAGTAAAAGCTCCCTGAGGCCTCCCCAGAAGCTAAGCAGATGCCAGCACCATGCTTATACAGCCTGCAGAACCGCGAGCCAATTAAACCTTTTTTCTTTATAAATTACCCAGCCTCAGGTATTCCTCTATAGCAATGTAAGAGCAGCCGAACACATGGTACTTTCTCTGTGCTTTGGCTGTCAAGTAGACAAGTGTGAGCTTCAGAGGTAAGAGTTCTTGTTTCTCCCACAGTGCCCTTGCACTTTGCAGAGGCTTAAGATTTGGCAACTACTCTAGATGAAAAATTCTATTGTCAAGAGAATTAATGCAATGGATAGGAAAATTAATGGGATTTCAAAACTTGTGTTTAATTCCAGATCGCTAACCCCTACTTGGTGTAACCTTGGGTAGCATAATTAATCCCTTTGAGAATTTCCTGATTACACACACACAGACAACACATGTGCATACACACGCATCTGATGGCACCATTGTGAAAATTAAATGAGGTGATGTGACTGAAAATCTGGTATGTATTGGTATGTTTGCTTATCCCACTCATATGATATTCCAAAGATAGTGGATATATTATTACTTTGCAGTATATAAAAGATATTATTGGCAACAAAAAGAAACATTTGCTCTGACATATGGAACAGCCTTGAGCTCTTGGGCAAGCATCCCTCATGCAGTCATATCTTTATAATTTTTGAATTATGGATTAGAGCTTGTATCCTCTTAATTACTTTGGGGTAATAGGGATCTCCATTTCAGTTTAATTGAACCATATAATTTAAATAATTAATAAGTTAAGCAAATTGAATAGGAGGTCTGGTTCAGGCATTCACAGTTTCTAATCAGGCAACCCAAACCAACAGGAACAGAATTCCAAGGAAAGGATTGAGACTAAACACAAACGAAACACAACGTAAAGACAGATGACTCTCACACATTACATTGATTACATGGAAGGCCATTGCTATTATGAAGTAAAATTCCTTTAAAAACTTCTCAAATAAAGGTTGCATTTACATATCTACAAGACAATATTCATGTTTTTTCAAAATTTTATTTGGATTTCAGAATCTTTAGGCTGAAGTGGACTATATAGATTCTTATCTCTTGGATTAGTTTTGAGATGAGGAAATTGAGGCCCAGAGAGTTCCTGTGGTTTGTCCAGTGTGACAGGTCCAGTTAGTAGCAGAGCCTGAACTAGATCGCTAGTAATTTGAGCCCTGGCTCTTTTCCATGAGATTCTGCTGTCTTCAGGTTTCTATATTTTTAGCATAGGGATTTTCTGAGTTTTGGAAATCATGAAATCTCTTCGTCAGATGACCACTGTGTAAAACAGCTAAAACCATACCTTCTGTTTTGGGAGGTTTGAAGAGTTGGAACCCTTAAACCTCCTTTGCTCCCCACCCTGAAATTAGTGGCAGTCATGTAACTCCAGGGCTCAGCAGAAAAAAATAATGTCTGATTTGGCCTATTCTTTCTTTTAGTACTAGTAGATATTAATGTATATATTTAAAACACATTTGCAGGTTAGGATAAATAAACATAGTTTATTTATCAATCTTACCCGGTCATATCTGGGTAAATTTGGTCACTTAGGAAAATGAAACAAGAAAATTATTGACTGTGCAAATGTGGCCACATGGGTGTTTTTTCCACACATTTATGTCAGCATATCTTATTTGTATTTTAAACACTTCTTTTCTAATGCTGGATTCTTGCTAGTTATGGGGAATTGTGACAACATTTGCAATATTTTCAAACAGCAATAGAAACTTTGAAAGAATATCTAAGGTGGCCAACAGACAGTAAAGTTTACTTCATCTCCATTATATGTTGCTACCATGCCTCCTCCATGAAATAAATTGTAGCATTTATTTTTATACAGTTGAAGATGCAGTATTCACTTACCACTTGTCAGAAGTGTTTCTTGATATGCTGCCCCTATGTGTTATCACGTCAACTCCATCTGTCCAGAACGCTGTTACTGTTTGACGCCATTGGGAGTTGGAAGATAGCAAAATAAGTCACACATTCTCAGGATGGGGCAGATTTGCATAGAGATCTAATCATTACGGTTATCTGAATCGAAGCCTTGTACGTGGGTCCCCTAAACTCGACAGAAGAAAGCAGGCAGCACTGTGAGAAGACAGTGTTTCTATGCCAGCCTGTCATTGCTTTTCCTGCTTTTATGTCTCTTTCAAATTTTTCATTTGTTAAATAATTGAATTCTTACTTGATATCAGCTTATCATGTTAACTGATGGCTATATATTTTAATGCAAAGGAGAAAACCCTCCAACCTGTTTTGGAAGACAGAGTTTGAAAATTATTCATACAGTATACTATTTCCAACTTACTTTTCAATTTTGGAAAACAGTGAAAAAAACAAAGGATAATTCATATTTGTATTAATTCATTCAAAAAATATTCACTGAGTACAAATTATGTACCAGCTACTGGACTAAACCCTGGGAGTTGAAAGATTTATTTGGTGTGAGCATATAATACAGAGGTGAAAAATATGCACAATTAAAATACTTACAATTCATCATGACTGGGGCTGTTTTGGTGCGAAAAATGCTTTGGGAATATCAGAGGAACCTTGGGAAGAGAGAGAGATTTTGAAAAAGAAGCTGGTATTTGAATTGGATTCTTAAGCATGAGAAGGACTTTGCCATAATAACCACAGCTGTGGTGAAAAATCATGTCTGGGAAAGAAAATAGATGTGCTGAGGGCCTGCAAAGTCAATAAAGGGGTTGAGGACACACTGTGGGGAACAGAAGCTGGCAGGCGAACCAGGTGTTCGGGGCAATGGAGTTAGGATCTCGGTGTACTTTTGTTGAGTGGAATAAATGCCTGTATGATAAGAATAAACTATTGGAAGTATCCCAAATATTCAATGCTGGGGGAATGAATAAGCAAAATGTATATATGGACAATGAAATCTTAGTCTTTAGGAAAGGAAGGACATTCTGACACATGCTACAACATGGATGAACCTTGAGGACATACTCAGTGAAATAAGCCAGTCACAAAAAGGTAAATACTATATGATTCCCCTTATAGGAGGTACCTAGAGTAGTAAAAATTATAGAGACATAATAATAATATAATGTAGAATGGTAGTTTCCAGGGTCTGGAGGGAGGGGAGTTATCATTTAATGGGCACAGAGCTTCAGATGAGGAAGATGAAAAAGTTCTGAAGATGGATGGTGGTGGCAGTAGCACAATATGAAGGCACTTCTTACCACTAAACCATATATGTAAAAATGGCTACAATGACAAATTTTGTGTTATGAATAAATACCACAATAAAAATACCTTGGATCATTAAAATAAAAATAACTTGGCCGGGCGCGGTGGCTCACGCCTGTAATCCCAGCACTTTGGGAGGCCGAGACGGGCGGATCACGAGGTCAGGAGATCGAGACCATCCTGGCTGACACGGTGAAACCCCGTCTCTACTAAAAATACAAAAATTAGCCGGGCAAGGTGGCGCGCGCCTGTAGTCCCAGCTACACAGGAGGCTGAGGCAGGAGAATGGCGTGAACCCGGGAGGCGGGGCTTGCAGTGAGTCGAGATCGCGCCACTGCACTCCAGCCTGGGCGACAGAGCGAAACTCCGTCTCAAAAAAATAAATAAATAAATAAATAACTTGGATAATTAAAAAAAGAGAAATAGCTATTAAATGTATCATTCCTCATGGAGGTTTTAAACTCTGCGGAAACACTGATCATGACTTTGCTAGATATCAGCATATGTGAGATTTACATAGGGGCTTAGGTGACTGCTAATTCAATATGGTGGTCATTAGGTTTTCAAAGAAAAGGAAAATTATACTTAAATTTTCCTAGTCAGGAAGATGGCTATCTTCTCATCATATCATCATATGGTGGAAAGAGGGTGAGAGAGCTCTCTGGGGCTCCCTTTTATTAGGACACTAATTTCATTCATGGGAGGTCCACTTTCAGGATCTACTCACCTTCCAAGGCCCTACTTCCTAATACCATCACATTAGGGGTTAGAATCTCAACCGGTGAATTTGGGGGCGACACAAATATTCAGCCCATAGCTCATAAATAGCTAGGACATCTTCGAAACAAGTAAACATCACCCACAAGGAAATGAGTAAGAAACCTGAAAAACAAATCCATGTTTTCAGCTGGCAATGCAGGCTTTAAACATAATTAAAAAGAGGAGTAGGAGAATGAATGGAGGAGACAACTTGAGCTAGGCTGGTCAGGAGAGACATCAAAATCCAAGTGTTCTTTTCATTGATACTCCTCAGTAGGAAGAGATCATTCTCTTCTACTCCATTGGGAGAACTGGACTTGGGTGGGCCCTGAGACATAACATCAGTGCCTGGCACCAGCCTTCCTGGGACAGAATGAAGCTTTCCTCCAGGACCCGGATCTTCAGACCAGTGCCTCCTTCTGATTCCTGGCACACAGGCAGCATTCTTCCCAGACCCTTGCATCACATTGTGGGGAAGCCACAGTAGCACCAGACCTTTCCCCACGCTGTGGCCTGTGCCTGCATCCCATGGCTCACCTAGACCCCTTTCCTACAGTTGTTCAGAGATGCTTTGTGATTTCCCAGCCCTCATTTTTATTTTGAACATGGTCTATCCGTTAGAAGGTTAGCTTTTTTCCTTTTATGTTCCAAGAATTTTACATGGGTGTAATTCTTATTAATGATAAGGTCATCCTAACTATAAGTTTGGACACAATCATAGTGTTTCTGTCAAACATTTTAGGCTTGTGCTGGACTTCTGGTTTTCATATTTTGGCACACTAGTTTCTGATGTGTGAAATTGGCATGGTCTTTGATATGAGAATTCTATCTAACATGTCTATAAGGACCATTTTCAACCTCCAGGAATATGTCAAATGTTCAACCTATGTTCCAGTCTCTAATTTTATAAGCAACTCAGCTCACTATGGCCTAGACTCTGTATATAACTTAAATATATACAATCTTCTCCAATGAGGCTATTATACGCATGACTTGTGTGTGTGCGTGTGTGTGCGCACACACACACACACACCACACCACTCACACACTGTATCCTAAGTCCACATCCTTAATTGTGTGCTTAACTTGCCTGTGCTTCCCTTTCCCAACACCTCAGTTCTCCTTCCATCCCACCCCTTTGCCCTTTCTCCTTGTTGTAGCTTGCACTTGTTTCTTAGACCTGTTGCTCCAAACTCCTCTCCCACATTTAACTGTATATCACACTTATCCTCATATTTCAGCACTTTCCAGCTGCCAGGGAAAGCTACCCTTCCCTGTGGGGCAGAGACTGTGGGGTGTTCCAGCTGCAAAAGGCTTCAGATAATAAAATTTGCTAACTTATAAACAAAAGTACATTTTCCCTTGTTTAAATACACAACATATATAACTTCCGAATGTTATAAAAGACAGATGAGGGAACATTGCTCTTATTCAAAAGAATTTTTTCATTTACAAAATAATTCACCATAGAATTTTTCTCATTTAGGTATAATTTAACTAACAAGAATTTAATTTATGTGAAACTTTCAGTAATACACGGTGTGAAAGAGTACATTTCTATTATTATACCTTTCAAATTATTATTATTAAGGCTGAGTGGTAAGTGTTGTATACTTTGGCATATATAGCATGGATTGGCATTTACAGCATGGTTTATAAATATAGTACACTCAATAGAATGTTTGGCTATTTTTTATTGCAGAATAAATTTTTTTCCTTTTTTATTTAGAATAGAAAATTTTGAGATGAAACAGCTTAGAAAGTTTGGGGATGATTAATTAGAAGAAGCTGTCTTTTGGGAGAAGAAAATGCCTCACGATTAAAATGACGTATTCTTGGAGTTTTAAAGAACAGCACCAGAAAAGTTTGTACCAATCTCAATCTACCAATTTTTTTTTTTGCTTAATATGTCTTCTTTTATTATGCTCTTGAATACTGATAGAGGGTTGACTATCGTTCGGTGGGCTATGGGCATCCACTTCCTATAATGTTCTTAATTGCTAAACTAATAACTAAAATGTGACATTATCTGAAAGTGCTTATGAGTGACATATTTAGAATATACCACACTGTTTTTCTTTCAAGTTGTTTTAGTTTTCAGGAATTCCTTGTGCTCTTGTTTCCTTGCAAGATGAATCAGCAGCGACTTGCTGCTCCTTTCACCAATGGTACTCAAGCGCGATCCTAAACAAGTAAAATGATTTGACAACAACAACAAAATACCCATATAAGGTAACAGAAGAGGCATTACCTCTTGATAACCCATTTGAGCTAGCAACAAATATGCAAATATGCAGAAAGCACCAGTCTCAAATTGCAGTGCATCTGTACCTTAAGCTAAATTTCTAGTGTACTTTTGGATGTGTCATAATCTTTTCCATCTGTCTTCTCCCACATCAAAATGCCCTGATGATGTGTTCAAGCTGGGGTCGTGCTCTAGGATCATATTCAGGTGTGCATTAAGATGATACGGCAGCCATAGCTACGTTTGCAGCTCTGACAGGAGGTCTCCTAAAGCCATTTGAACGCAGCAGCGCTGTCCTTTTGGGTTTGCCGATCTCTCCTGCGGTGCTGCGGTGTTCCAGCCTGCTCCCGACAGGCATGCATCTTGAATGAAGTCCCAGCTCTAACCAACCATTTGGCGGCTGCCTTATCGGTAGTGCCGTCTGTTGGCCCCACACCGGGCAAAGACCCCAGAGAATGTCCCTTAGGTTTTCTTGTTTAGTCAGGAAAGCAAACATAGAGAAATTGATCTTATCCCGTAATATTTTCCTCCGAATTACTGCCAGAATTTATTTCTGTTTCCACAGTAATCAGCTGCTGCCGTTGCTTTCGGTCAAGTCACTATTTCCTTCCCGCCTTTTAAGGGAAATTACAGTTTACAAGTTCTTCATCTTTTGATTTGTGACTTTGAAATCTTTTACTGATTTACTGATCGAACAACATTTTTGTTTGTTTGTAAGAGTTTCCACCTCGGACCATTTAAAAATATAAACAGTACATAAGACAGAGCAGCTGCATTTAGAAGGAATTCAAGTTTAGACATTTCTCCACCATTGTACTGTCAAGTTTCTCCTCCGTCTCGCTTAAAGCATGGCCCTCTTAGTTAGTTAGCAGAAAAAAAATCCTGTCCATTAGATATCAGCTTCATTTTCCTTCTGTTACTTAAACAGTTTCTATGCGTTCTTTCATCCTTCCTTGTAGCATGAGAGTAAGAAAACACCACTCTCTTTTCTAAGGTTAGCCCCTCTAAATGTTAGCTGGACCCCACGCCTGAATCATGTATGCAACAATTACTTACGAGAAGCCTACCATGTGCTGGGTTTTTGCTAAGGAGCTGCGGGCAAATGTGAACAAGTCAGGCTGGCCCCTCCCTTCACGGAGCGATTACCTCTCTAAGATCTGCCTTGCTCTACAAGTTACTCTCTCAACCACAACCACGCCCCCAAAAGCTACCTAGCGTTTAAATTTTCTGCTTATTTTTGACCCCTTCTCCTCTCCCTTAAATATTTTCCTATTTCGATAAACAATACCGCTTATTCCTGATGCCCCATTTCACTCCTCTCTGTTCTTCGTTTCCTTCCTGCTTGCTCATTCACTGCTCCTTCTGTGGCTTTCAGAAACTTGCCTGAACCAGCACTAGATATTTTAAAATGATGCTTGCCTCATCACAAAAATCAAAAGAGGAACTTGTTACAATGTTGGTTCCTTAGACTGTCCTTGGAAGACTGTGCCACATCTGACACAATATGTATGGGTTGGAGCCAAGGAATATGTAATTTTAATATGCCAGGTAGACCAGGGGTCCCCAACCCCTGGGCGGTGGACTGGGTACTGGTCCTTGGCCTGCTAGGAGCTGGGCGCATAGCGGAGGTGAGCGGCCAGCAAGCATTACCACCTGGGATCCACCTCCTGTCAGATCAGTGGCAGGATTAGATTCTCATAGAACTGCAAACCCTATTGTGAACTGCACATGTGAGGGATCTAGGTTGTTTGCCCATTATGAAAATCTAAGTAATGTCTGATGATCTGAGGTGGAACAGTTTAATCCTGAAACCATCCCCCACCCCATCTGTGGAAAATTTGTCTTCCATGAAACTGGTCCCTGGTGCTAAAAACGTTGGGGACTGCTGAGTAGATGACTCTTAACATCACTCAAGTTTCCATAACACTGAGCTACAACCTGTACAACCAGATTATCTTCCCATCTGGCTCCTTTGCCTGATGTGCCACCTCTATGTTACACCCTCCAGCCCTCGTTGTTCTTTCCTTACCTGCTCTCTGCCAGAGGCCCACCCAGCTACAAAGGCCCCAGCATCATGATCTGACTTCTGGTCTATATCCAGGACCTGAATCTTTGTAATCATTTTATTTCCCAGAATTTGCTTCTATTTTTTCATGTCTAGTGGGTATTTCCAACGTTCGTTTCACCATCACTCAAATTCAGCAGGTCCAAATGAACTTGTCAGTTCCCTCACCCCAGACAGGCTTCTCTTCTTGGCTTTCTGTTTTCTTCATAACTATCTGCATTTTCACCCAGATGCCAATGTACTACTTTTAAAAGGAGAAAGCCCTCTGCCAATGGGACATTTGCATGCTGTGGCCAGGTGGGCTGTTTCTCAAAGGGCAAACTACATGGGAAGCTAAATTGTAATCAGAAGGATGATTGGTGTGTATAGCATCAGAGCAGGGGAGTTAAGCTTAAAATTGGACTGTCTAATGGTATGAAGAGAGTTAGCTGAATATACCTGTGTCCACAATGAAGATGGCATACCACTCAGACTAGCCACATCATGTCCTCATGCCATCCTCTTCCTGGGCAGAGCTTGCATGAACCTGCTGACAAGGCTTCTGCAAGTCTCATTGTTCTGTGCCTCCATGACTGACCCTTCATGAGCCGTCCCTCAGAAGTATCTGCATATCTACTGAGTTGCCGTAAAAGTAGGTGGCCTGGGAGCCATTCTCTCATTTGTGCTGCCTTTAAGTGTTCTTACTCTGACCTTGGACATATTAATTATAAATTTCATTCCTGAGTGGTGGCCTAATTTTCCTTACTTATAAGTTCTTGGCAGAAGATAGAATCCCAATAGTCACCATTTACCAACAATAGGAATACAATCATATTGCATAAAAATAGGAATAAATCAGCCACAATTCCATACTCTAATATGATTATTAACATTTTTGTTCATTATCCATCTTAATATGCATTTTATGCCATTGTAATTATAGTATAATATCCATAGCTGATGCTATGTTTTTCATTTCAACTTTTCCAGATAAATACAGTAAAATGCTGAAAATAGAAACTGAGAGGCTAGAAAACAAAAGCTGAGAATAGAAGGATTAATATGGGCAAACATAATGAGGAAATAATGAGGTAAAGAATTAAAAACAAACTGTCCACAAGAGTTTGCATGAGAGGTGTGACTGCAGTGATTGGCAAATTCTTTTCATAAAAACAATGACAAAACTGGATAAAATTGTCACAAACATTTCCAGGCTCTGGAAATTGACCAAATAAACCCCAATAAATTGAGAAACATTTATTGCTTAAAAAAAACTTCTGAATTTCAAGAATGAACAGTAAAAGTGTGGCATTCTTGTCTAGGGATGTTCCCTTTCCAACCCAAACCCTTTTGTGTTTGGAGGTTTTGGATGGTCCTAGTTGGCTAACTTCCCCAAGGGTTACTTTTCATCTTTGGTTTGATTCATGTCAAAGATAAGTCTTAGAAACCACATGATGCTCAAGCAGTGTTCCGGCAGTGCTCTTGCAAGATGGTTAGTAGGAGCATGGGCCATTTACAGTTGGGGTCAGACCAGCTGACTGGGAGGCTCCTCCTCCAGAGATCATTCTAAGGGTTTGGAAGATCCTTCTCCCTTTCATATACCTGGATTCAGTCTGGGTCAGTTACCAGATGTTTCTTTCATAAAGGGAGTTTAAGTTACTCATGTGAGGGTAAGCTTTGTTTTAAGGGTTATGAAAATTACATCTGTGCTGAGGTGGCCTTGTCTCCTGGAAATCTCCTGGCCAGGTTGTATCATATTGCTAAGTGGCACATATTAGCCCTGTGAGATGCTTAGGTGGACCTTATGGTTATCATTGATCTTAGCCACAATATGTCTCTTTTAGTATACTACACACCACCAGCTCAGGAGGTACAGCAATTCTACCAGGATGGGGCTTGACAGCAGGTAGTTAGATGGGCATGAACAGGGCAGGAGAGGGCTCCCCTCCCCACCAGGATGTCAGGGGACCATCAGGTGACGGTTCAGCAGTTATGACACTGCCTCTCTAAAAATGATAGCTGGTTGCAGGCGCCAGGGAGAGGCAATTTCCCAAATAGATAAAAACATTTGAAATTGGTAGTCAACTTCCAATAAGATCTCAGGAATTGGGTGAGTGAGCTTGAGCACATGCATTAAGAGACAAACTGGCAGAGTATGACCTTCGGGGGGTATTCCACCAGAAAAGGGAAGGAAGCCTCAGGGGGGCATGCATGCAACTTCCTAAACACACTGTGCATGCTCACCTCTCAAGTGTTAGCAGACCACCGCATATGCGGGTGACCCACTGCAAGGGAAGAATCCAGGGAAAAGGGACACAAGACACCAGAAGCATGCCAACAAGTCAATAAGTTAAACACCATATTTGACCTTCACAGTGCCTGCTTGGATCTCTCCCAAGTGTACTTCCCTTTCTTTCCTGCTCTAAAGCTTTTTAATAAACTTCCACTCCTGCTCTGAAATTTTCCTCAGTCTTTTTTTCTGCCTTATGCCCCTCAGTCAAATTCTTTCTTTTGAAGAGGCAAGAACTGAGGTTGCCACAGACCTGTACAGATTTGCCGATAGTAAACCAGATATTTGCCACCCCTAACAGGGCTGGTCATGAAAACCAGGAGCTTCTCCATGAGGGAGAGCTAATTTGATTTAGGGTGAAAGGAGAAAAATCTGTACTCAATGGCGTTGTCAGTAAAAATAGCCAACTTGGTAAGAAACGAACAGGGCAGACTTCAGGTTGCAGTACTGGGAGTGGCAGATTGGTAGACTAACCAGAAACTTAACAGGGAGATCCTAAAGCTCAGAGGTCATAGAGGGGTAGATAAGCTCTTTTCCTTTCTACCTGGCTGACTGGGAGGCTGAGTACATGTGCGGGGGTGACCCAAGACATTTGAAGCTCTCCACATACATCTGGCTGACTGGAAGACTGCACGCATGCTGAGGGAAGATGGGAGAGGGGCCTGGGAGAAAGCAGAAGTGAGCAGGATTGGAAATGCCTGAGTATTCTCCAAACCACACGAGGATCCAGCAACACAGGGTGAAAACCTTACTGGCCTGAGGTGTTTGAGCACAATCTTTAATCAATCATTGGCTGACTACTAAGCCATGCAGTCACATGAGTAAACCCTAGAAAATAAGACTAGAAAGTAAAACTAAGAATGCAAAAATAATCAGAGATCTTAGCGACTGTACATCATGGAGGATACAAATATAGCAGATTAAGTCTAGAGAAGTTACTAAATAACAAATCAAAACAAAACAAACAGAAAAACCCAGCAACAACAATTCTCATGCATAAAAATTAGAATCAAAAGCTACTACAACATATTATCTAAAATGCCCAGTTTTCAACAAAATATTATGCAAAGACATGCAGAGCAACAGAAAGTGTAACCCATACTTGGGGGAAAAGGTGACATCATAAATTTTCTCTGAATAGGCCCAGGTGTATTTAGCAGGCCAAGATGTCAAAGCAACTATTATAAACATGTTTAAAGAACTAAAGAAAACCATGCTTAAAGAATTAAAGGACAAAATAGCCAATATTTGGAAGCAACCCAAGTGTCCATCAGCAGATGAATGGGTAAAGAAAGTGTGGCACATATACACAATGGAGTACTATTCAGCCATAAAAAAGAATAAGATCCTGTCATTTGCAACAACATGGATGGAAATTGAGGATATTACATTAAGTGAAATACGTCAGGCACAGAGAGACAAACTTTGCACATTCTCACTCATTTTGGGGAGCTAAACATTAAGACAATTGAACTAATGGAGACAGAGAATAGAATGATGGTTACATGGGTATAAAAATGTAGTTAGAAAGAATGAATCAGTTCTAGTATTTGATAGGACAATAGGGTGACTATAGAATTTAATTGTACATTTAAAAATGTCAATAAGAATTTAATTGTACATCTAAAAATAACTAATAAAGTATAATTGGACTGTTTGTAACACAAAACATGAATACTTGAGGGGATAAATACCCCATTTTACATGATGGGATTATTATGCCTTGCATGCCTGTATCAAAACATCTCACACACCTCATAAATATATACACTTACTATGTATCCATAAAAATAAAAAATAAGGAATGCATTGAGAAACACTTATAGCTTTAAACACATATATTAGAAAGGAATATCTCAAATCAATCATTTAAGCTTCTATCTGAAGAATTCAGAAAAAACAATAAGCTCAAAGTAGGCAGAAGAAAGAAATAACAACAAAATAGAAACCAATGAAATAGAAAAAAATCAATAACAGAGAAAATTGATAAGTTGATCGGAAGTTGATCTTTGAAAAAGAATTAATAAATCATCAGCTGAATTGATCAAGAAAAAAGTGAGAAAACACAATTTATTAAACTAGGAATGACACAGGGAGCGTCACTCTAGACCCTAGAAATTAAAAGAATTATAAGAACAAAAAAGACAGAAAGAAAGGAAGGAAGAAAGGGAGAGAGGGATGGAGGGAGGGAGGAAGGAAGGAAGGAATGACGAAGGAAGGAAGGAAAGAAGAAAGGAAGGAAGGAAGGAGGGAGGGAGGAGGGGCATCTATATTTGAAAGGAAGTAAAACTATTTTTATGGTTTTGTTTTCAGATGACATTATATTGTATGTAGAAAATTCTAAAGAATCTGAAAAAATTACTAGAACTAATAAATTAATTTAGTAAGGTTACAAGATACAAGATCAGTATGCTAAACCCAACTTTTAAAATGCTGTAAGTGAACAATCCAAAAATAAAATTAGGAAAACAATTTCATCCACAATGGCATCAAAAACAATAAATAGGAATATATTTTAAGAAATAAGAGTAAAACTTGTATATTGAAAACTATAAAATATTGCTGATAGTAATTTAAAAATAAAATAGAGCAATAGTCCACATATATGGATTGGAAAAAATAGGACATCGATTCTTCTCAAATTGATCTATAGATTTAACATAATCCCCATCAAAATCCAGCATATTTTTTGTAGCTATTGATCTATCTGATGATTCTAAAATTTTTATGAAAATGCAATGGAACTAGAATTGCCAAACCAATTTTGGTAAATAAGAACCAAGTTGGAGCATTTACACTGCCAACTTTCAAAACTTATACAATAAAGCCACAGTAATCAAGAAAGTATGGAATTAGCACAAAGATAATTATGTAAATAAGTGGAGTAGAATTTAGAATTGAGAAAAAAATTATATTTCTAGTAAGTAGATTTTTTATAAGGAAACCTTTTTTTAAAGATAATTGTAGATTTACATGCAGTCATAATAAATAATATGAAAAGATTCCATGTATTCTTTACTCATTTTCCCCAATGATAACATCTCATAAAACTATAGCTCAATATCACAGCCAAGATGTTGGTATTCATATAGCCAAGATATAGAACATTTCCATCACTGCAAAGGTCCAACCTGTTCCTTTTTATGGCTACACCACTTCCTTTACCTCTCATCATTCTTTACCTCTTGCAAACCCAATCTGTTTTCTGTTTCTATAATTTTGTTATTTTAAGAATGTTATATAAATAAAATCCTACAAATGGCCATTTGAAATTGGACTTTTTTTTTCACTCAGCACAATTCTCTGGAGATTAAACTGTTGAGTACATGAATAACTTTCCCTTTTTACTGCCGAATAGTATTCAATGGTTTGGATGCAGCAACAACTTGTTTAGTCAATCACCTGCTAAAAGACATTTTGATTGTTTCCAATTTTTTGCTTATTACAAAAAAAACCCTGCCAAGAACATTTGTGTATACATTTTTGCATGAACTTAAGTTTTTATTTCTCTAGGATAAATGCCCAAAAGTGAAAATGTGGGGTTGTATGTTAGTCAAATGTTTAGTTTTTTTAAGGAGTGCCAAAATATTTTCGAGAATGGAAATACCATTTTACATTCCCATCAGTAGTGTATGAGTCATCCAATTTCTTTGCAACCTTGCCAGTATTTGGTGTTGTCACTAATTTTTATTTCAGCCACTGTGAGAGGTGGGTAGCATTACCTCATTGTGGTATTAATTTGCATTTCTCTAGTGGCTAGAGATGTGGAGAATCTTTTCATTTGTTAGTTTACTGTTTGTATATCCTCTAGTAAAATGCCTGTTCATGTATTTTGCCCAGCTTCTAACTGGATTTTTTTTTTAACTATTGAGTGCTGGGAATTCTCTACATATTCTAAATACTATTCTCTTGTCATATATGTTGCTTGCAATATTTTCTCTAACTCTGTAGCTTGTCTTTTCATTCTTTTGATCAGATCTTTCATGAGCTACATCATTGTCATTAGAGAAATATGTTTTAAACCACAATGTGATACCACCACACACATGCAAATGGCTGTAATAAAAAAGACCAACAATACCAAGAATTGGTGAGGATGTGGAAAATCTGGAACCCATATACATTGCTGATGGACATGTAAAATTGTACAACTACATTTGAAAATAGTTTGGCTTATTCCTCAAAAATCAAACATACATTTACCCTACAATCCAGCTATTCTTCTTGGTAACTACCCAAAAGAACTAAAAATTAATATCCACATAAAGACTTGTGCTGATGTTCACAGTAGCATTATTCATAAAGGCCTCAAACTGGAAACAATCAAAATGTCTATTAACTGGTGACTGGATAGACAATGTGGTATATTCATATAGTGGAATACTATTCAGCAAATAAAAAGGAAAGAACTACTTTCACATGCTGCAATATGGGTGAACTTCAAAAATATTATACCAAGTAAAGGAATCTAGACACAAAAGACTATATATCTTAGATTACATATTTATGAATTTCCCATAAAAAAGTAAGTCTATGTAGAGAAAGTAGATCCATAGTTACATGGGAGAGAGGATAGGAATGGAACTGACTGCAAATGGAAGGGAGGGAAGTTTTGGGGGGTGATAGAAGTGCTTGAAAGCTAGATTGTGGTGATAATTGCACAAACTTCCAAATTTACTAAAAATTACTGACTTCTACACTTACAATAGATGAGTTTTGTAGTATGTAAATTTTTCCCAATGAAGCTATTGAAAGAATAAATTGTGTGTAAAATGTCATACTAATCCTTTTTTTTTCTAAATTTTTGTTTTTACAGCACCAGTTTAACAAGTAATCACCAACTTTCCACCTTGCTTTTAGGAAAGCCATATTTTGAGAATAAGAGGAAGAAGAAACACCGAAGTTATTTAGTCCTAGACTCTTCTTACATGTCTCCAAGAATAAGTAGACACTGACTATTTTAAGAATTCTCTTGAGTAATAGAAGTTAGTGAACTGGAAGAATGGAGCCAGACAGATACCAAAAGATCATTATTTTTCCCTAAAGTGAACTTTAAAAGCTGGCATTTTTTCTGCAGCCAAGCATTTCCTAAAAGTGCTCTCAGTCAACTGTGCTGAACTATTGAGTAATTGCCATGTCACTGTACCTCCCCAACTTGTGATGTGTGTAATAATATAATGCAAGTGATTATTTTTGCCTTGAGAGCTTTAACTCTCATGATGAGCAAATGATATTCTTAGACTTGAATCACAACTATTTACAAATTAATTACATATCTATTCTCTTGCTTGAAGAGCTATCATTTGACTCAAGAAAATGTGTGACCATTTTTTACCTGTATTAATTCAGAGCACAGTTGTGTGATCATTAGTTTGAGTCCCTAAGACAGAATAATCAAAGTTTAGTCAGTAGCAAGAAATTAACATGCAATTCTTGTCTTCTTCAAGCATAGTCTATATTCTGTTGGTAATAAACTGTATCCTGTTGGCAATAAATTAATTGCTCAACAGCGTGAATGCAGTAGATTATTTTCTTTTTATATCCATGAAATTTCTGTCTCTAAGATTGATCAGTGTACATTTCCACACAGAGCCACGAGTGCTTATATAATAATTGTCTGTGCCCAATCACTTAAGAGTGACTTTGCTGATGACCTTGTCAGAGGCATTCTGTTTGGCAAGCAGAGTTGATCGACTCTTGGCCAGCGTGCAAGCGACAGAAAACACTTCTGTCATACTGAATTCATTTTTTTTTGACAAACAGAGCTCACATTAGAGAGCCAGTTGGCAAAACTGATATTCTGTAATACAGCAAATTATAATTCTGTGTCTCTGGCTCATTTCTTCCCAAGGGGTTTTGGGTGGCCACTTGTGGCTAAGTTTAGCAGAAGGAGTCTTATTAGAATGACATAAGGTAATTCCATAGTTGAATTTTTAGCCTGATTTCAATGTCCAAGTGACAGTCTTTTCCCTTTTTGCTGAAACCTAACTGATTATATTTACAATCTGTTTATTTGGCAGGTCATATTCATAGGAACCCTTTCCAAAGAAGGAAGGGGAATATGAAGAAAGTTAGGAATGAAGACAAATCTATAAACTGCAAAGGCTCTGATGTCAGTAATTGTGCTGTCAAAACTGCTCAGGCTCTGATGAGTCAGGTGATCACAGTCAAGTCAATTAATCTCTCCGAGGCTCATCTGTAAGTTGGGGATGGGTTTCTTTTCTTTTTTTTCTTTTAAGACTTTCTCTTTTTAAATTAATTAATTATTTAAAGTTTTGGGGTATATGTGCAGGATGTGCAGGTTTGTCACATAGGTAAACGTGTGCCATGGTGGTTTGCTGCACATATCAACCCATCGCCTAGTTTTGTTCTTTTTGCTTAGGATTGTCTTGGCTATGTGAGCTCTTTTTTGGTTCCATATGAATTTTAAAATATTTTTTTCTAATTCTGTGAAGAATGTCAGTGGTAGTTTAATGGGAAGAGCATTGAATCTATAAATTGCTTTGGGCAGTATAGTTATTTTCACTATACTGATTCTTTCTATCCATGAGCAGATGGAATGTTTTTCCATTTGTTTGTGTTCTCTCTGATTTCCTTGAGCAGTGGTTTGTAGTTCTCTTTGAAGAGGTCCTTCACTTTCCTTGTTAGCTCTATTCCTAGGTATTTTATTCTCTTTGTGGCAATTGTGAATGGGAGTTCATTCATGATTTGGATTTCTGCTTGCCTGTTGTTGGTGTATAGGAATGCTTGTGACTTTCGCACATTGACTTTGTATCCTGAGACTTTGCTAAATTTGCTTATCAGCTTTAGAAGCTTTTGGGCTGAGACAATGTGGTTTTCTAGATACAGAATCATGTCATCTGCAAACAAAGACAATTTGACTTCCTCTCTTCCCATTCGAATATCCTATATTTCTTTCTCTTGCCTAATTGCCCTGGCCAGAACTTTCAACACTATGTTGAATAAGAGTGGTGAGAGAGAGCATCCTGGTCTTGTGCCAGTTTTCAAGGGAATGCCTGCAGCTTTTGCCCATTCAGTATGATATTGGCTGTGGATCTGTCATAAATGGCTCTTATTATTTTGAGGTATGTTCCTTCAATGCCTAGTTTATTAAGAGTTTTTAACATGCAGGGATGTTGCATTTTATCAAAGGTCTTTTCTGCATCTATTGAGATAATTATGTGGTTTTTGTCTCTAGTTCTGTTTATTTGATGAATTATGTTTATTGATTTGCATCTGTTGAACCTGCCTTGCATCCCAGGGATGAAGCCGACCTGATCATGGTGAATAAGCTTTTTGATGTGCTGCTGGACTCCATTTGCTAGTATTTTATTGAGGATTTTTCCATCTATGTTCATTATGAATATTGGCCCAAAGTTTTCTTTTTTGGTTGTAACTCTGGCAGGTTTTGGTATCAGGATGACGCTGACCTCATATAATGAGTTAGGGAGGAGTCTCTCCTTTTTAATTGTTTGGAATAGTTTCAGAAGAAATGGTACCAACTTTGCTTTGTATCTCTGTTAGAATTCAGCTATAAATCCCTCTGGACCTGAAATTACTGCCTCAATTTCAGAATTTGTTATTGTTCTATTCAGGGATTCAGCTTCTTTCTGGTTCAGTCTTGGAAGGGTGTATGTGTCCAGGAATTTATCTATTTCTTCTAGATTTTCCAGTTTATTTGCATAGAGTTGTATATAGTATTCTCTGAGGGTTGTTTGTATTTCTTTGGGTCAGTGGTGTTATCCCCCTTACCATTTCTGATTGTGTTTATTTGAATCTTCTCTCTTGCCTTCTTTATTAGTCTTGCTAGCAGTCTATTTTCCCTATTGATTTAAAAAAAGTTTGTGGATTTGTTGATTTTTTGAAGTTTTTTTTGTTTCTATGTCCTTCATTTCCTCTCTGAAATTATTTCCTGTCTTCTCCTAGCTCTGGGGTTTGTTTGCTCTTGGTTCTCTAGTTCTTTTAGTTGTGATATTAGGGTGTCTATTTGAGATTTTTCTAGCTTTTTGATGTGGGCATTTAGTGTAATAAATTTCCCTCTTAACACAGTTTCAGCTGCATCCTAGAGATTCTGATACATTGTCTCTTTGTTCTCATTGGTTTCAAAGAACTTCTCGATTTCTGCCTTAATTTCATTATTTACCCAGGGGTCATTCAGGAGCAGTTTGTTCAATTTCATGTAGCTGTGTGGTTTTGAGTGGGCTTTTAAATCTTGAGTTCTAATTTGATTGTGTTGTGGTCTGAGAGACCACAACTGGAATCTTATGATTCCAGTTTTTTAATTTTTGCATCTGCTGAAGAGTGTTTTACTTCCAATTATGTGATCAATTTTAGGGTAAGTGCCATGTGGCACCAAAAAAATCTGTTGTTTTAGGTGGAGAGTTCTGTAGATATCTATCAGGTCCACTTGGTCTGAGCTCAAGTCCTGAATATCTTTGTTAATTTTCTGTCTCAATGATCTGTCTAATGCTGACTGTGAGGGTATTAAAGTCTCTCACTATTATTGTGTGGGGGTCTAAGTCTCTTTGTAGTTCTCTAAGAACTTATTTTATGAATCTGGGTGTTCCTGTATTGGGTGCATATGTATTTAGTATAGTTAGCTCTTCTTGGGGAATTGAACACTTTAATATTATGTAATGCCCTTTGTCTTTTTTGACCTTTGTTGAGATGTGTCTCTTGAATACAGCACACTGATGGGTCTTGTCTTTGTATCCAGCTTGCCATTCTGTGTCTTTTAATTAGGACATTTAGCCCATTTACCTTTAAGTTTAATATTGTTATGTATGAATTTGATCCTGTCATCATGATGCTGGCTGTTTAATTTTGCAGACTTGTTAACGTATTTGCTTCATAGTGTCACTGGTCTCTGTACTTCAGTGTGTTTTTGTAGTTTCATAGATAGAATAGGTTTTTCCTATCCAGGTTTTAGTGCTTCCTTCAGGAGTTCTTGCAAGACAGGGCTGATGGTGACAAAATCCCTCAGCATTTGCTTGTCTGAAAAGGATTTTATTTCTCCTCCACTTATGAAGCTTAGTTTGGCCAGATATGAAATTCTGGGTTGGAATTTCTTTTTCTTAAGAATGTCGAATATTGGCCCCCAATCTCTTCTGGCTTGTAGGGTTTCCACTGAGAGGTCCACTGTTAGTCTGATGGGCTTCCCTTTGTAGGTGACCTGTCCTTTCTCTCTTGCTGCCCTTAACATTTTTTCTTTCATTTCAACCTTGGAGAATCTGATGATTATGTGTCTTGGGGTAGAACTTTTGTGGAGTATGCTACTGCAGTTATCTCGATTTCCTGAATTTGAATATTGGCCTGTCTTGCTAGACTGGGGAAGTTCTCCTGGATGATATCCTGAAGTGTGTTTTCCAACTTGGTTTCATTCTCCCCATCTCTTTCAGGTACTCCAATCAGTCATAGGTTCAGTCTTTTGACATAGTCCCATAGCTCTCGGAGGTTTTGTTTGTTCCCTTTCATTCTTTTTTCTCCAATCTTGTCTTCATGGCCTATTTCAGCAAGATAGTCTTCAGGCTCTGATACTCTCTCTTCCACTTGGTCAATTCAGCTATTGGTACTTGTGTTTGCATCACAAAGTTCTTGTGCTGTGTTTTTCAGCTCCATCAGGTCATTTATGTTCCTCTCTAAACTGGTTATTCCAGTTAACAGCTCCCATAATATTTTATCATGGTTCTTAGCTTCTTAGCATTAGGCTAGAACATAATCCTTTAGCTCAGCAAAATTTGTTACTACCCACTTTCTAAAGCCTACTTATGTCAGTTCATCCATCTCAGCTTCAGCTCAGTTCTGTGCCCTTGCTGGAGATGTGTTGCAATCATTTAGAGGAGAAGAGGCATTCTGGGTTTTGGGATTTTCAGCATTTTTGCATTGGTTTTTCCTCAACTTCATGGGTTTATCCACCTTTTTTCTTTGAGGCTGCTAATCCTTGGATAGGGTTTTTGTGGATTCTTTTTTGTTGATGTCGTTGTTGTTGCTTTCTGTTTGTTCGTTTTTCTTGTAACAGTCGGGCCCCTCTTCTGCACGTCTGCTGCAGTTTTCTGGGAGTCCACTCCAGACCCTGTTTGCCTGGGTATCACCAGTGAAGGCTGCAGAACAGCAAAAATTGCTGCCTCCTCCTTCCTCTGAAAGCTTTGTCCCAGAGGGGCACTGACCTGATGCCAGCTGGAACTCTCCTCTATGAGATGTCTCCCAACCACTGTTGGGAGGTCTCACCCAGTCAGGAGGCACAGGGTCAGGGATCCTCTTGAGGAGACAGTCTGTCCCTTAGCAGAGCTGGTGTGCTGTGCTGGGGGAATCCCCCTCGTTGAGATCAGCAGATTAAGTCCGCTGAACTTGAGATGGTGGCTGCCCCTCCCCCGAGATGCTCTGTCCCAGGGAGATGAGAGTTCTGTCTGTAAGCCCCTGACTGGAGCTGCTGCACTTTCTGCAGGGAGGCCCTGCCCAGTGAGAAGGGATCTGGAGAAGCAGTCTGGCCACAGTCACTTTGCTGCACTGTGGGGAATTCCACCCAGTCCAAACCTTCCGGTCTTCTTAGCGCTGTCAGGGGAAAACCGCCTACTAAAGCCACAGTAATGGCGGTCACCCCTCCCTCCACCAACTCCATCGTCCTGGGCTGACTCCAGACTGCTGCGCTGGCAATGGGAATTGCAAGCAAGTGGTTCTTAGCTTGCTGGGGTCCCTGGGAGTGGGAACCGCAGAGTGAGACCGCTTGGTCCCCTGGCTCCAGCCCCATTTCCATGGGAGTGGATGGTTCTCCTGTTTCCTTGGCGTTCCAGGCACCCCTGGAGCATATAAAAATTCCTGCGGCCCAGTGCCTACCTGAACAGCTGCCCAGTTTTGTGCTTGAGACCCAGGGCCCTGGTGGTGTAGGTTCATGAGGGAATCTCCTGATCTGCGGATTGCAAAAATCCGTGGGAAAAGCGTGGTACCCCTGGTGGGTAAGACAGTCCCTCTCCACTTGCCTTGGCTGGAGGAGGGAGGTCCCCCCTACTCCGTGCACTTCCCAGGTGAAGCAACACCCACCCTACTTCTGCTCACTATCCGTGGGCTGTGCCCACCTTTTTTTTCTTTTAGCACAAATAAGATATTATACTATCTTATTATAATAAGATATAATAGGACCTATTGTATACATAGGCCCTAGCATATAATAAATGCTCCATAAATGTTAGTTATAATTAATATAATACAATTATTTAGTACTAGTAATAAATATTACTATTAACTTTTTTGTATTTTTACATCCATGATGACAAGGTGTTTTCAGGCCAAATTATTTTCTTCACTAAACTTTAAAACCATAAGAATAGTAATAAAGAATGTGCTTTGCCTTTTGACTTACCAGAGCATTAAGCAGGAACTTCTACTTAACTTGATACGTTATTTACGATGTGCCTACATGCTGCTAAACCACAAATTTTGGAAATTTGATTAATGCATTGCCTGAATGTATTTAAAAATTGATTTAGCTACTTTAGAAGACTTGAATTACCTGATTTAACTGGCATCGTGAAAATGTAAAGCAAATTTTTCTTAAGTTTTAGTTTCCTCATCAGTAATGTTGGATTAGTAGTGTCTGTCACATACTACATCAACGAGTGCACTTATGATAGTGTCAGAAGACTAAACCTAACCTGCTTTTTAGCATAATTTTGGAGATGATCAGTAAGTATAACAGCCAAAAGAAAATGCCATGGTTCTAGCCCGTTTAAGACCAAATTTAAGCACAAGTAGCAATACATCCCATAGGAAAAAAAACAAAAAAACAAAAAAAAACAAAAAAAAAAACCACCACCAACAACTAAAAAAGCAACTTTTTTTCCTGGATAAATTTCCTTCTTTGAGGTACAAAGGCAATGGCCTTTGATGTTCGTCTTGCAATATTGCTGGAAGTATTCGTTAAACACCTGATGCTGAAGGGCTAATACTCTTTTCTACTAGATAGCAGGTGGTTTCCATTTAATTCTACTTATTTTAGTTGAACAGTTTTGAGCATAGCATATGTTTCTGGAACTATAAATCCAATTCTCCAACATTAAGTGCTATAGGACATCCTTAGAATAATTATTTTTAGGCTTTTTCTTTATGGAAAACAAGAACCTGATAGAGACATAAAACACTTCCCATGAAATTACTATGGGATATAAAGATTACATTTAGTTCATGATGCCATTTCATGGATCATTCTACCAAAGGTTTTCTGACTACCCGTCTCAGAATTTTAATTGAAAAAATAGGAACAACAACTGAAAATAGTAAGGAGATGTCTGAGAAATATGTGACAAAGAGAAAGGTCCTTGTGGGATTGTAAGGACTGATTTAAACATTCCCTTAAAGGACTGAAATACTCAAGTCAGTAAGAGATAATTGATAACATCCAAAAGTCGAATTGCTTTTTTTAATTTGAGTAAGCCCAGTGAATTAGCATCCCAACAGTATAAAAAAGTTAATTTACCAATACCTTCCCAGAGGAATTTACACATGGGAAAAAATTAATTTAGGGAAAGATAAAATGGTTTTAAAATTATTAAACCCATAATAAAAACAGACAATTATCATAGGATCTTAGTTTTTAAAATGTATTTTTTTAAAATTTAGGTAAAACTTACAGACGATGAAATGGTTAGGTCTTCAATGTAAAATGTGATGAACTTTGTTTACCACCACCATGATAAAGATATAGAGTACTGCATTATCACCAAAGTAAGTGCCCTCATACTCCATTGTAGTCAATCTCCAACTCACTTAGGTAACCAGTGTTCCAATTTCTATCACCAATTAGTTTTGCCTGCTCTGAATGTCATATAAATAAAACTACAGTACAGGTTGAGTATCCCTTATCCAAAATACTTGGCACCAGCATTTTGTATCAATCTGTTTCAATTTCAGATTTTGGAATATTTGTATATACATAATGAAATACCTTGGGGATGGGACCGAAGTCTAAAATGAAATACATTTATGTTTCATGTACACCTTATACACATAGACTAAAGGTAATTTTATAGAATAATTTACATAGTTTTGTTCATGAAGCAAAGTTTTGGCTATAACCTGTCACGTTGGTTATGTATGAAAATTTCCACTTCCAGTGTCATGTTGATGTTCAAAATGTTTCTGATTTTGAAGCATTTTGATTTTTGGATTTTCAGATTAGGGATGCTCAACCTGTATGTATGCTTTTGTTGCTGGCATCTCACTTTTCTGTTGTGTGTAAAAATAGTTCTTTTTATTACTGAGTAGTTTTCTACTGTGTGATTATACAACAAATTATTATTTTATGCTACTTTAATAAGCATTTATGTTGTTTCTTGTTGTGATCCATTTGAATAAAAATACTATAAATGTACTGATAACTACTTTTGGTATGTACATGTTTTCATTTATCTTAAGTAAATATCTAGAAGAAGAATTGTTAAGTCATAGGATGGATGTATACTTAAACTTATAAGAAACTATCAAATTGTTTTGCAAAGTAAATTGTACCATGATTTACTCCCATTGGCGTGTAAGAGACTTACAGTTGCCCCACATCCTCACCAAGATTTGTGGTTGTCAGTATTTTAATGTTAGCCTTTTTAGTGAATATGTCATGACATCCCATTGTGATTAAATTTGCATTTCCCTGATGACTGACAGTGATGAACACTTTTTTTCTGTGCTTATTGGCCATTAAATATAATTCATGATGAAGTGTCTCTTTAAGTCTTTCTTTTTGTTAACTTGTCTTCTAATTATTGAATTCCGTTTGTCATATATATGATTTGCAAATTTTTCTCCGAATTTTGGATCTGCTTTTTTATTTTCCTAATGGTGACTTTTGAAGAGCAACCTTTTAATTTTGATGAGGTTCAGCTTATCTTTATTTTTCCCTTTGGTTACTGATGTTTCAATCCTCTCTAAAAAATCTTGGTTTGCAGCAAAGTTGTAGAGATATCCTATATTTTTTTCCAGAAGATAAACAGGTTTAGCTTTTATGTTTAGGTCCATGATCCACTTCAAATTAATTTTTGTGTACAGTTTATTTCTTTTCCCCATATGTTTATCCTGTTGTTCCAGCATCATTTTCTGATAAAGACATTTGTTCTTTTCTCCATGGACTTACATTGGTGTCTGTTGGTCTGTTGGAAATCAGTTTCAACATGCACGCACACACATATACACACACACAGGCAGATGTGTATTTTTGGACTCTAGTTCCATTGATCAAAATGTCTGTCCTTATGCCAAGCCAACACTGCCTTGATTACTATAGCTCCACTGTAAGTTTTGAAATGAGTTAGGGTAGTTCAATTTTGTTTTTCTTTTCCCCTTAAGTTATTTTGGCTATTGTAGAACCCTTATATTGGAAATACATTGTAGAATCACTTAATCAAATTTTACAAAAATCCTCCTGGTATTTTCATTGGGATTACAGTGAATCTATAGATAAAATTGGAGATAATTGATAATCTGACATTTCTGAATCTTCTAATATAAACCAATAATATCTCTCTGTTAAGGTTTTATTTTCTCTCAGCAAAATTTGAAGTTTTCGGTGTACAGATCTTATATGTCTTGTTACTTTTTTTTTGAGACAGAGTCTTGCTCTGTCGCCCAGGCTGGAGTGCAGTGGCGTGATCTCGGCTGACTGCAATCTTCGCCTCCCGGGTTCACACCATTCTCCTGCCTCAGCCTCCTGAGTAGCTGGGATTACTGGCTCCTGCCAACATGCCCGCCGAATTTTTTGGGTTTTTAGTAGAGACGGGGTTTCACCGTGTTAGCCAGGATGGTATAGATCTCCTGACCTTGTGATCCACCCGCCTTGGCCTCCCAAAGTGCTGGGATTACAGGCATGAGCCACCACGGCCGGCCCTGTCTTGTTACTTTATCCCACAGTATTTCGTGTTGTTTAATGCTATTACATGGGGCATTTTTCAAAAACCTTTTTTAGCTTTTTTCTGGTGTATAGAAATGCAATTATTTTGTGTATTGACTTTGTTGTCCTACTAACTTGCTACAGGCACTCTTAGCTCAAATAGCAATTTTAGGGGGTAGATTTTTAAGTATTTTCTACACACAATTTTGCCATCTTCAAATAGAATAAGTTTTACTTTTTCTTACCAACCTTTTTGTTTTTAATGATCTTTCTTATCTCCTTACTCTGGCTGTGCTCTCCAGCAAAATGCTGAGTAAAAGTGGCGAGATGGACTACTTGTCATATTACCCAACACAGAAGCAAACACTCAGTCTTTCACTAATGATATGATGTCAGCTGTAGGCTTTTTGCAGGTGACCTTATCAGGGTCAGGAAATTCTGTTTTAATATTTTATACCGCTGAGAGTATTTATTATGAATTGATGTGGACTTTTGTCAAATGTCATTTTTTCTAAATCATAAATTAAAATGATTACAGAGTTTTTCTCTTTATTCTATTAATATTGTGATTACATTGATTTTTAAATATTAAATCAATCATATAATCCAGGGATAAATCTTGCTTAGCCACAATATGCTTTTTATATATTACTATATTTAATATTTTAATACATTTAAAAGATTTTTGCATCTGTGTTTGTAGGAATATTGCTTGTAGATTCCTCCACTGTAAATCTTTGTCTGGTTTTGGTATCAAGACAGTGCCAGGCTCATGATGTAACATCTATCTATATTTTCTGAAATATTTTGTAGAAGATTAATAATATTTTTATAATATTTGGTTCACCGGTGAAGTCATTGAAGGCTGGAGTTTTCTTTTGTGAAGTGTGTTTATGATAAATTCAATTCTTTACTAGATATAGTATTATTAAGATATTATATTTCTTCTTGTGTCAGTTTTGATGATTTGTGTCTCAAAGAATTTTTATGTTTCATTTAGTCAAATTTTTGACAATTTTTTATTATCTTCAATGTCTGTAAGATCTGTATGGAAGTCTCCTTTTACTTTCCTGATATTGTTATTTGTGACTTTTTCCTTGATCAGTTTAGTTAGAGTTTTAAAATTTTATTGATCTTTTGAAATAATCAGCTTTTATTTTTATTCATTTTCGCTATTGTTTACCAATTTTCATTTAATATGATTTATTGTATCCTGTATTATCTTGTATTATTTCCTTTAATCTATTTAGTTTGGATTTAATTTACACTTCCTTTGCAGATTGTTAGGGTGGATGCTTAGGTAATTGATTTTAGACTCTTCTGTTCCAGTATAGCATTTAAGGATATGAACCAAACTCTAAATATTGCTTTAACTTCATTCCATACATTTTAATATGTTGTGTTTTTATTATCATTCACTCACAAATATTTTCCAATTTTCCTCATGATTTCTTCTTTGAGCCCTAGATTACTGAGGTATGTTTTAAAATTTCAAAATATTTTCACATTTTCAAGATATCTTCTTATTGATCTCTAATTCTGTTGTAGTCAGAGAACATACTCTATACGATTTAAATACTTTTTAAATTGTAGAGGCTTGTTTTATGGCTAAGATATGATCCATCTTATTAAATGTTCCATTTACATTGGAAAGTGTATAGCCTGCTAATTTTAAAATACTGTCCTACAAATATTAATAGGTCATGTTTGTTGATAATTTCTTTAAGTCTTCTCTATTTGTACTATTTTTAAAATCAGTAATCAATTACCCAAAAAGGTGTGCTAATATCTTCAGCTATAATTGTAGATTTGTGTACTCCTTTCGTTTCTGTCAATTTTTAATTAACATATTGTAAACCTCTGTTATTAGATACATAAATACTTAGAATTGTTATGCTTTTTTGTTGAATTTTTTTATCACAATGTATTATGCTTCCATATCTCTGTTTTTCACCTTAAGTGTTCTTTGTGTGGTACTAATATAGCCACTTCAGCTTCCTTATGATATGTTTTTGCAAGATATATCTTTTTCCATCCTTTTACTTTTGATTTGTGACTTTATAGTCACAGTAGGTTTCTTGTAGACAGTTCATAGTTAGGTGACGCTCCTTTGCATTGTTATTGGAATATTAAACTCTTTTAATACGATTATTTATGTGGATAGATTTATGTCTGCCATCTTGCTATTTTGTTTTTTATTTATCTTTTTTGTTCGTATTTTTCCTATATTGTCATCTTTCAGATAAATTAAGTGTTTGTAGCAACATATTTTATTTCCTTTACTGGAATATTAGCTATTTTTATCTGTTTCATTGCTTTTTTTTTTTTTTTAGTGATTTCATGATGACTATTATTTTTATGTTACCTTAACCAATTTTCTTTTGGAGTAATGGAAAGACAAAGCAATTGGTTTATATTACCCAAATATTTACCATTTCCAGCACTCTTCTTTCTTGGTCTAGATCATAATTTTCATTCTGGTAGCATTTTCATCCTTGCAATGCAGATCTGCTAATGATTAATGCTTTCAGCTATTTTCTTTCTGTGAGTTTTCATTTTGTCTTCATGTTTGAGGGATATTTTCATTGAACATTGAGTTATAGATTAGCAGGGTTTTTATTTCTCTAAGCACCTTAAGTATATCATTTTATTGTCTTCTTGGTGTATTGTTTCTGATGACAAATCTGTGTATATGTCTTGATTTTTATCTTATGTAAGCTGTCTTTTTTTTTCTTTTACCCCTCTAAATAATTTTTAGATTTTCCTCTTTGGCTTTTGTGTTTAATACTTTGACCATGACGTGTCTACACTTGTTAGTTGTGTTGCTCTTTATTTTTCTTCAGCTTAGAGTTTCCTAACTTCATTGATCTGTAAGTTTGTTTTTCACTAAATATAGGTAATTTTGACTCTAATTTCTTCAAATTTTCACCCCATTTCCTTCTCTTTTTGTAGAATTTCAATTACAGTTAGGTTACTTATTGCTGTACCATAGGTCACTGAAGCTATGTTTGCTTTTTCTAATCTTTTTTATTTCCGATCTTATCATATAAGTTTCATTGATCTAGATTTAAATTTAAGTAGTTATTTGTGTTGTTTAAAATCTGCTGTTAAACCTAACGTGAATTTTTAATTTCAGGTATATTTTTAAATTTAACAATTTACTGTTGATTTTTTCCCCATAGTTTTCCATTTCTCTGCTAATTTTTACCACTTGTGCATTTATTATGACTATCTTTTCCTCTAAGTCCTGGAATATAATTATAATCATATCTAGGTCAGGATAAAATGTTTCTATTAATTTCCCCCCGATTATATGCCATGCATTATTACTTATGTATGTCTAGTAACTTTGTGTTGCATATTGAACAATGTGGACATGTTGCATGTGGTCTGGATTACATCACCTTTTCTTAAAAAGTGTTGAATTTTGTTTTGGTAGTCAGTTAAATTAATGATGAGTCCTTTGTGTCCTGAAAGTCTTTTGTTTTGAACTTTGTCCTAACCCATGGCCCTTACTCAAGGATATTGTTGCTTAGTCAGCTCTCTCCATTATGACTGGACTGGAACTCCAATATCTCTCAGTACTCTATAGCCTCTGGTATCACCATACAAGTCTCAGCCCCAGAGCCAGTAATCTCTGCTAGATGTTTTAGAATCTTGTCCTGCAGATGCATAGCACAGCCCTTGGCCAAAGACTTAAGGTTTATGATGATTTATGGAGCAAACTTCTGTGCTGCTGTCACTTATTTAATATCCTGCCCTACAAATTCCAGCTACTTCAGCAGTCTGTAACTCTGTTCTCATGTTGGTTCATTGAGACTGGTGTTTTGCTTGGGCTCCACCTCCATGTGCTGCAGAAGGAATATGCCTGCAGGCAGAAAATTGAGGTTGTTATGCAGTTTATTTTGTATGTTTTGCTTCTCTCAAGGATCATAGTTCTGTGATACCTATTTTTCAATGCCTGAAAAAAATTGCTTTAAATATTTTGTCCAGTTTTATTGTTGATTTTGGTGGGAGGGTGTATCTCCCAGTTACTCTATCGAGGATGGAAGTGGAAGTTACATATTTAACTTTAACATTCTGATTCCAGATTATATACAGTAAGCTTTAAATTGCAACATGATTTATCCTGACACCTTTTTATTTGGGCTGCCTCCCATTCATTGTGAGTGTGCTCAGAATAAAAGAGTAAAAAAAAATCTTTTTTTTTTAAAAATTTTTTTATTTTTTTATTTTTTTCACTTTTTTAAAATTACACTTTAAGTTTTAGGGTACATGTGCACAATGTGCAGGTTAGTTACATATGTATACATGTGCCATGCTGGTGTGCTGCACCCACTAACTCGTCATCTAGCATTAGGTATATCTCCCAATGCTATCCCTCCCCCCTCCCCCACCCCCCAACAGTCCCCAGACTGTGATGTTCCCCTTCCTGTGTCCATGTGTTCTCATTGTTCAATTCCCACCTATGAGTGAGAATATGCGGTGTTTGGTTTTTTGTTCTTGCGATAGTTTACTGAGAATGATGATTTCCAATTTCATCCATGTCCCTACAAGGGACATGAACTCATCATTTTTTATGGCTGCATAGTATTCCATGGTGTATATGTGCCACATTTTCTTAATCCAGTCTATCATTGTTGGACATTTGGCTTGGTTCCAAGTCTTTGCTATTGTGAATAATGCCGCAATAAACATACGTGTGCATGTGTCTTTATAGCAGCATGATTTATAGTCCTTTGGGTATATACCCAGTAATGGGATGGCTGGGTCAAATGGTATTTCTAGTTCTAGATCCCTGAGGAATCGCCACACTGACTTCCACAATGGTTGAACTAGTTTACAGTCCCACCAACAGTGTAAAAGTGTTCCTATTTCTCCACATCCTCTCCAGCACCTGTTGTTTCCTGACTTTTTAATGATTGCCATTCTAACTGGTGTGAGATGATATCTCATTGTGGTTTTGATTTGCATTTCTCTGATGGCCAGTGATGGTGAGCATAAAACAAAACTTAAATACAGTATTTTTCCAAGAAAAAAACAGTTGACAAGATAAATCTATAAAACATTATAAATATCAAAGTAATAACTTTTGTTCTGTTTTATTTCTTGGCTCCTATATATGATTAATAATTAACTTTTATACTAAATATAATTTCCTGTATCAAGCCATTATGAAATGACAGTCTTTTTCTTCCTTCCTTCCAGGTTTGATAATAGAACTTCAGTCAGAGGCAGCTTTAAACATCTACTCACATAAGTATTCAATTAAATGGATGCTGTGACACAAGTTACATGGTACTATAAGACAACTAGATTTTATGTAGGTCAGAATTGATAAGAATCTTGGATTACCAAATCAATATCTGTTGTAGATTTTACCTTCTAGGATCAGTAATGGAATACATTGGCTTCCCAGAGTTTCCAATGAAGGTTGTAACCAGCTGTTCTGGTTAATTATGTCCTTTTTATGTCTAAGAGAGATAGGATGCTAAAGCTTTAACCTCAAATTAATTTTTGCACCTTTCCAATCACACCAGGACAAAAGGTTGAATTTTATGCAAATTTAGTGCATCGGTATACTAGATCAAACATATTTTCATATCGTTTGAAATGCAGATTTGCCGGACTTTTACTTTACAGCTCTCTTTTTATATGAGGCTTTTAACTGCACACTCTCCTTGGTTCATTTCTCATATGTGCTTTTGGGTCAATTACAACCCTGCCTCACTGCTTGCCTTGTTCTCTGGCAGCAAGATAAACACTGAACAGAGCCTTTTATCTTTGCAGGGCCTCTCCAGATACAGCACTAGAATGACTTTTCTCTCTTCAATGTATTATTTATGGGATTTTAAGTTATTCTTTCTTCGGTGTGAAACCAAAACTTTCTTGTGCACTGCAGCAGATGCGGCAGTAAGTACACATGATTACCCATCTTCCTGTGATTTAGTCTGTGGTACTTCCTTTGGCTAACCACTTTCAGCTGTTATTTTCTGCAGCTAGCATGATGAACTTGGGTTTACAGAACCTTGAGACTGAGGAAAATTTTAAACTCAGGCATATTGAAGGGTGACAACTTTTTTGGACAGAGGCTGTTTATGGTAACAACAATTACAGATCTATTTCCACTTGCATACGATTGCTCATGCTGCCTTCTGCTTTCTGGTGAATGTTCCCTAGATGGTGCTTCTCACGACTGTCCATCACCCAACTTCCTCAGAGTCATCCTGGGTGTTTGGTCCACACCCTGCACCAGGTCTTTGGGGTTGAAGCTTGGAATTTGCATTTTAAACAAGCATCCAAAGTGGTTCCCATGCATACAAAAGTTTCAGAACCAGTTCCTTGAGGGGAGATTTTTTTTTTTTTGAGACGGAGTCTCGCTCTGTTGCCCAGGTTGGAGTACAGTGGCCCAATCTTGGCTCACTGCAAGCTCCGTCTCCTGGGTTCATGCCATTCTCCTGCCTCAGCCTCCCGAGTAGCTGGGACTACAGGCATCTGACACCATACCCAGCTAAGTTTTTGTATTTTTTAGTAGAGACAGGGTCACCGTGTTAGCCAGGATGGTCTCAATCTCCTGACCTCGTGATCTGCCCACCTCAGCCTCCCAAAGTGCTGGGATTACAGGTGTGCGCCACCACGCCCGGCCGAGGGGAGATATTTTAAGATCCAAATTGGCAAAATATTTAGTAATTAAATCTATGATCTGATGAATTCATATATTAGATGATTTAGCATTAAATTTCACTAGAACTTTGCATATATACCTATTTTACTTTGTTGCAGTAAAGTTTTTTGCAGCCTGGGCCAAAGATTTCAATTTGAATTAGCAGCCACACCATTTCCCTACTTTTAAAATGGATGTAGCAAAGCCACCTTTATGGTGCAGGTCCTTCCTTTTAGGATCATCCGTTTTCTGGACCAAATTATTATTGTATTTGTTGCAAGTGGTCATGGCATTGTCTCTCTTGGATCTGAGACTGATGATGTCTCCTGGGCTTCTTGTAACTTTCTGCAGATATTCTTGCTTATATTGAAATAATAAATAGGATCTTCCAATGGATGTTCTGATTCCCTGATATGACAAAGGAATTGCTTTGGACATTTAGCAGGCTCCACACTGCTTCCTGGCTTACTTTCTAGACAGTGCAGGGTCAGAAGCCTAAATTGGCCACTCACTTTCTAGTTGGTCTCCTTACTGGTGCTCTTACTCCCAACAATCATTTTCAGTGTAGCAACAAGAGTGTTCCTTAAAAGTATGATTCCAATCATGCCATTTCCTTGCTCAATACCCCCTAATAACTTCCCATAGCAGATGCTCTGTTGCACTGACCAGATGTCTTTAGGGCTGAAGCACCAGTTTTTCCAGATACCCATTTTTGGGGCTGAAGCACTAATTCTTCCAGATGATAGGACTGTTGACAGTCTTCTGCTAAGTCTTTCTTTAGGACCTGCCTCTCTTGAAGAGAGTTGTCTCACCCATGGTTTCCTTCATGGCAGCTCACACCTATTGATGGTCGATGCAAGTATATATGGCCTGCAGTGAATTGGATGTTCTAACTTCAGAGCTCCCAGAGGGAGAGGCTGTGTCACAGTTCAACTTCTTCCTCTGCTAAATCTTGCTTCCTTCACACTTCTGTAGGTATAGATGCCTGAGATCCCGTCTCAAAAACTCCCTGCCCATACATTTTCACCTCATTGTCTGTCCCAGGGAACCTAGCCGGCAACACTTCATCTCACCCAGAAGAGATCCAGACTCCTTCCTTGAGTGGCCTGGGCCTGCTTCCTCCTCCCTCTCTTCTCTCCATGAACTTCATTACAGCAACTCGGGTTTTTCTGCTGTTCCTCAAATATTCCAAGTTTGATCCTGCCTCAAGGTTTTGCACTTCCCTCTGCCTGGAACAGAATCCTTGCCCAGAACTCTGCAGGACTTGCCTCCTTATCTCCATTCCAACACAACCCCTGAAGAAAGGCCTTCTCTTATGATTCTTTCGTTTTTTTTCATATCACATGTTGCTTTTAATGGCATTAAATTCACTGGGAAAATAGTGAGTTGGGAAGCAACTCACTTTTACAGATTATGCTTCAGTTTCAACCGCAAGTTGGCTATGGATACAAGAGTTCTGCAAAACTAAAGTATTCTCTGAGAATCAATTGGCTCTATGGAATTAACGAAAAAGAATATTGCTCATTTTATTACTAATTATAGATGAGGTCCTGCAATGCTTCATATCAGTAAAATTGATGATGAGTACATGTATACGTATACGTATACGTATATGTATATGTATATGTATATGTATATGTACTCCTCCCCAGCCAGCCGCTTAACATGGACCATCAGCCTGACCTTTAGGGTAAGTGGTTCCTGGCTTTCCTTTATAATTTAGTCACTTTTCAATTTTCCTCTTACCTAGATGTGACCCAGGCACCTCAGAGCCTGGAGAAGTCTCTGGCACATAGTAGATCTTTAAAAGATGCTGCTGGAGTGGATAAACTCCTGAGGATTGCTAATTTTACAGAGCAACCAGCAGTGACAATACAATTCTGAATCTTTCAATAAAATGGCAGAAAAAGCCAGGGAACATTATGTTTTCTTGTTTTTTAATCTCTGTAAACCTCCTTAAATCTTTTTAGAGTCAACACAGTATAATTTTTTTTAAAACAACAACAACGATAATAAGAACTACCATCGACTGTGTGCTTGGGAAATGCCTAATAAATAGCATTTTTCGTGTAGAATCTCATAAGTACAATCTCTAAGAGTAGGTGATACAATAAAAAACGTAAAACACTTTTGATATGTACAAAAGTTTGTTTTATCTTTTAGTAATTCAATTATAATTAAAACTATTATATTTAAATAAATTGTTGTTTTTACCCTTTGTTCATTTATTTATTGAATGTGCATTGAACATTTTATAAAGCCACTGACGTGGGCACACTAGTCCCTACCTTTAACAAACTTACAATCCAGTTGAGGAGGCAAGTCATGGGGCTCTGGAGCAGAGACAGCCCCTGGGCCCCACCTGGTGCGTGGACATCCAGTGTTCATCAAAACAATGCTGTGCAAACCCAGCTTCAGGACCCACATGGACCTTGGCGGCTCCTCGCAGCCTCACCTTTGAGTCATGAAGACTCCACTCAAACTGGCCTCCACCCGTCACTCGCACACAAAACTGCGGGCAGGTAATCGCACTTCCTCAGGCATCCGGAGGATGGCGCTGCTGCTCTGGAAATGGGAACACGCAGTGCAGGGCTCCTCCGGGGAAGGGCAGGCCGCGCTTAGGGGCCTTATCACATGCGCACCACGTGGCGGCCCCTAACCCTCTTCCCCTTCTTCCCCACCAACCCCAACCTCCCTTCTGCACCCGTGGACACACAGCGGTAGGGATTCCTTGCTGGCCACGCCATGCAGCCAGGAGTCCCAGAGGAGAAGGCAGGGACAGTCTCCCTGCCAGCATCCCTGTGCCTGCTGACCTCTGACATCCAGTCCATTTTTTTTAGGGCTACCCCTCTCCTGTGGCTGAATGGTGTGGTTTATAGACTTAGGTCCTGGTAGGCCTGAAACCCCAGGTTGGCAAATTTACACAGGAGAAGCGGAGTCCTCGGCGTGAGTACCTGGTGTCCTTTCTAAAGTGCACCCCCTTCTGTCAGCTTCTGTCCTTTAACCCAGTTTGACTTCTTCAAAGAATTTATCAAGCTAACATTTTATTATATATTTATTTGTTTCTTATGTTTTCTTTATGTGAATGTAAAGCCTATGACTTCAGTCATTTTCCTGATCAGGGAGCAATGCCTGGCATGTGGTAAGCACTCAGTAAATAGTTCTGAATGGAAGTGAATGCATGAATGTCCACCAGTTGACCCAATTCTCTCACACAAAACAATAGGGATAAGAATGCATATCTATTTTGCTCTCTGCTTTTCAGTCTTCATTTCTAACAGGCATTTTCACATATTATTTATTTTATGTGCTTTTCTTAGCTCTGCTATCTATTGGCTGTGTGACCTAAGCTAAGTTACTTTACTTCTGTGTGTCAGTTTTCTTATCCATAAAATGTAGATTACAGGGTTATTGCCAATGAAAGTGCCTAGAATAGTGCCTAAAGTGTGGCAACTACTTTGTTAAGTGATAGAGTTATTTTTCAAACAATTACTATATTATTCAATTTAAAATTAAAATTTAAATACTTAAAAGTATTCTATCATAAATATATTTACTTAATGAAGTACTTTTGTATGACTCTTAGGTTGTTTCCAAGTTGCTTCATGATCATAAATAATACTGTAATGTATTATTTATGTACATGAATTTTTTTCGTATCTGTATTTCCTTGGATCAGTGCCTACAAGTAGAATTGTGGCTACAACACTACACACTTCTGTTAGTCAGGGTGTGCTATCTGCTGTAACAAGTACACTAAAAATGGATAATGGTAAAATACAGCGAAAGTTTCTTACTCAGATTTCAATGTGGGTATTGCTAATTGCCCTCCTCTAAGCTGTACTGAGCTCTACCATCTTCAGGACATGGCCTCCGGGGTTATCACACTAATCTGCTTCAGGCCAGTGGAAGGAGGAACAGAGGTTGAGTGAGGAAGGCACATTCGTTATGCTCCTTGGCACAGAAAAGATGCTCCTCATATCCACTCTCATTCCACAGTGAGAACGATGCACATGGCCTTGCAGAGATGTCAGGGGAGCTAGGAAATGACTCTGGCTGGCTTAGCCACTCTACCCTATGGTAAAGGGAAGCATGAATTGTTGGTGGACTCATAGCTGTCTCACCCACAGCACATTTTTAATACTGTTGATAAATCATGTCAAATAATCATCAATCAACAAAAAATTATTATATCCACGTGGTACCCTAACGAGTCAAAATTCATATTTCTCAAAGCAGAGATGATGTAGTCAAATAAATATTTGTTAAAATTTGTAATATTTCTTTATGGTATTGCCCTCTTATATGAAATATACAAGTGTCAAACAATTAAATCCCTGTTTCCCTTAACGTTCTGAACCAAATTGAGAAATACACCCAAAAGTAAGGTGAGGATTGTAACATGGTAAATCCGGTGAGTTGAAGAGAGACTATGTTTGGGCCCAAAGTCAAAAGAGTGCTTTCAACTACTTCCTCTCCTTCCAATCTAGACTTGGAGGCTTGTTCCTGAAAAGAGTTATGTCTGAAGAGTGCCATTTGTGAGGGCACTTACCCAAAGGGCTGCCCTGAAAATGGCAGCCTAAGTTGTATTCATTAAGTCCAGGAAAGCAGAAGCCAAAAGAAATGGCTTCCAGGTCTATCCAAAGAAGGTGGGTCTGACTCCTGACCCAGGTATATTCATTGGCTAGGAGGAGGGGTAACTTAATAAAAAGGTGATGTACACCTTGAGGGTAGGACAGTATCCATAATGAGAGCCACTGGACTAGGCCAGGCATGAAGAAGGAATCTTGTGCCCAATTTTACCAATCATATAAATCATTACCCTTCCATTTGGAAGAATGAGATCTTAGAGGGTTATTAAAAATTTTTGAATTGGGAGACCATTAGGCTGGCGCAGCTCTGGCACTTTCAGTTCCTATGTGAGCAAGCTGAAGCCCAATGTAGACCATAAAACAAAACTAGAGACTTTACCAATCACAAACTGCTAACTAATTTCTAGTAGGTGCTTTCCATCCTAACCAATCCAATATGTTTTTTGTGTGTTTCTTCGACATGCAGCCTATTAAAACTTGCTGCCTTGCCGCTGCAGTGGAGGTCTCTGAACCTCTTCTGGTTCTGCATGTTGCCCAATTCATAAATCATTATGTGTTCAAATAAACTGTTAAATGTAGTTTGTCTAGATTTTTTTTAAAGGCGTGGATGCTTCCTCTCTAATACCTTGTGAACATGTAGAAGTCCCAATTCTATTAGCCAAGATGGAGGTAGGCTCCCTGTTCTGCTCACACTAATCCCTCTGGAAAAAGAAAGGGCACTGTCTCAAGGCTCAGGCTCTAAGAAAATAGCAGATCTCAGTTTCCCACATTGAATTGTTGAGAACTTAGTCATATGGCCGCACATAGCTGAGAGAGAGAGGCTGCGTAATATACCTTAGCTATTACTGCAGGGAGGACCACCGAGTTCTTGGCTCTTGTATAAATAGAAATTAACACCAGTCTAAACGTAAATTTTTCTCAGGGAAGTTTTAATAGGCTTGTGGCTCGAGTCAGGGAAAGAGGTCCTGACTCCCTGAAGGGCTTGGCTCTGGTCATTTTAAGGAAGTTGAGGTGGGAAAAGGAGCGACATGCAGGCCTGTAGAGGCAGATAACCTTTAGCACCTGTGCAGTTTGATAACATGTCTTTTCATGGGTCACATGTCTCATAGCATGTTAATCTCCACCCCTGTGTGTGATTTTTAGTATTATAATGGGATTATAATGCAGAAAAACTCAGTGAAAGGTCAGTGCTGGAGTCCATCCTGTCTTGAGTCGGCTGGATCCGGTCCGGTTCTTATCGGGAATGCCAGAGTCTCGCTTCGGTAACCTTGGAAGATGGTCAGGTTCAGGGATGTTTGACTCTTGCTTTAGCAACCTTGAGGGGCATTAGTCAAGGAGATAAATGGTTAGACTCTTCCTCTGATGGTTAGAAATTTAGCATAATCAGCAATGTTAGGAAGGGACAGCTTTCTGCTATGTGACTTGGGTCATCTTGGGAAGGGAGGAGGGAGTATACCAGATGTATGAGGCCATGGGATCTCGGTGCCTGTGTCTCTTCTTTGCCAGGGCTGAGTGTCTTCTCTATACTATCTTGGCCACATGCTCAAAGGTGAGAACAGATTTTGGTGGATGCTCATCTGCTTCATCCATCTCCTTAACCTCAATACCATCCTTACTCCTATCTCATTGATTTACCCTTCAGAGTTTCCCTTCAGCAAATTCTGCCCACTCAAGATTGGCACTGTAGTGAGAAGAAAGACAGCATTGCTCTTGAATCTTAGAGTAGCTTCAGTATCGCTTCAAGATTGGGGATGGTGTAAACCGGAGGATGCTGCGGCGTGTTGAGTCCCTGGTGTATCTACTAGATTGGAAGGTGTGGACTGTGTTTGGCAGGCCTGTTAGTCCTTTCCTGTTTTTCTATCTCTTTAACTTACAGGTGTGTGGTCTGGAAATGCTCAGTGCCATAAGTCAGTTGCCTCACGATTCATCTGTGGCCTATTTGTCAGCCATGAAAATTCCTGGAAGAACTGAGAAGTGGTCATTTACTTACTAGCACATTCTAATGTATGCATTGATAATGATTTAGATGAAACCTGTGGTAATTAAGAATTTATTAAAAGCTGGGCAGTCAATTCCAACCAGAATTCTTGGCATGACTAGGGAATTCCTGAGAAACTTGTAAACAGAATATGGCCTTTGCTCTCAAGTAGCTTAGAATCTAAGTCAAATGAATGGTATATGGAAAGTGTGGAAAAATAGCCTGTTTTATAAATTATAAAGCACATAATCTGCCCCTACCTGAAGGTCTCAAATAAGGCTAATTTGTTTGTACTTTTCTATTTTAACTGGGAACAATAGCCATGAAAAATTGTATGCCCTTGAGCATTTCAACCACTCACACAGATGTCTCCAAAGATAAGATTTTATTTTGGGCAGAGGATGACTGAATGATTTGTAAGCCTCAGGCCCATGTTCAGTAGGATAAGCTAAAAGTGCTAGATATATTTTAAACTGTGAAATAAACTTTTATGATTTTAATTTGGAATCATCCCCCAAGCTTATTCCAAATATCTCCATCATGAAAATTAAATATTTCATCTATGAGTAAAGTTACTTCCTAAATGTAATTTCTTCTAAAAACATAAATCTCATACTCAGCACACTTTTCAAAGCTATTTAAAATGGTAAATCCTCTCAAACATCAAACAATGCTCACAGGCATGTTGTCATTGACTGTCCCAATTACAACCTTATGCTTCATCAGTAAGGACCAAATCTATCTTACTTCTGCCAGAGAACAGGTTGTGGTGAACTCATTCACAGATGCTGCTGATGAAACACTGGGTTAACTGTGACTTGTGTTGTGTGTGGGCAGCTCTACTGTGTGTCTTCAGACTCCAGAGCCAATCTAAAGGCACAAACCAGGGTGGAGCAAGAGTCAGGGGCACAGTGAAAAAAATGCAATCCCATGAAGCCTCTGCTTCCCGTTAAGACCCAGAGTGCTTTGTTCTGACACTCAGGACTAGAAAATGCCTCTATCTATGGTCGTACTTGACTTTGAAGCCATGTCAGAATATTTTAAGAAAGCGTGTTCAGTGGGAAGAAGGAAACTTTTGGAGTGTGTCAAAGGATAGACTAATGGTATAACTTAGGATGACATGGAACATATTTGGCCCACAGTTTTCCAAATATTTAATGCAATTAGTGTTTCAAAAGATGTCTTGTTTGTACACAAGAAAACTATTTGATATTTTTCTTGAGTAATTAAATTACATTATACTTATGTAGCATGTAACAATATATTGAATCTTTTGTTCCATTATCCAAAATTACTTACTGAATTTTAGAAAATGAATTAGTATTGGACTATTAAAAATTTGAGCAATATTGCAGCCCTCCTTAACAAACTTTGGTCACTTTTCAAATAATAGTGTTATCTGTGCCATATATGTACTCAATTTTGAATTATTTCTAGGGCGCTGTTAACACATGAGAAATATGGGATTTACATAAGTTGAATTACATAACATTACAATTGGTGACCATGTAGTTTACTATTCAGTCTGGGATACTTTTGAGAGTAAAAGGGGACAGAGTAATAATTATACTGAGACAATAGACATACACTGAGACTGTCCTGTTCCATCTGGAACAGGAGTCACCCTTTACTCTTTGTGTCAAATTACTTTGTCTGCATGTATGAGATGACTGACTTGGGTTAGACCAGGGGTCTGTAAACTATAGCCCACAGGCCAAATCCAGCTTGATGCACATTTTTGTAAATAAAGTTTTATTGGAACACAGCCACATCCATTTGTTTGCATATTTTCTGTGGCTGCTTTTGCCCTATACTGGCGGAGGTGAGTTATTACAACACAGACTGCTTGGCCCCCAAAAGCCAAAATATGTACTATCTGGCTCTTCACAGGAACAATTTTTCCTGTCCCTGGATTAGATAATATCTAAGAGCCCATGCACCTCTAACATTTTGTGATTATCATTCTTGTTACTTTAACTCATATATTGTTTGTCGAATAAAGAAATAGCCACATTTAGCAGATTTTACTTCAAGATTGCTAGGATAAGCCTTGGTGCAAAGCAGCTGTGAGATATGTAAGCCCAGAAGTTAACCTGGTGTGGATTTGCTGATTTTTTTCTGGGAAGCTGTGGTGAGGCACAGTGCGTGGGATGAAAGGTAGATGTGGATCTGAGAGTTGAGGGTAGAACTCTCAGAGTCCTGGAAGAAGATAACCTAAACAACTGGGCTCAGAAGGATCCCATGATCTCAAGGGCTCTGATAAGTATGTCTCTCTCATAAAATGTTAGAGCTGCATAGGCTCTTAGATACTATTTAATAGAGGGACAGGCAAAATTGTTCCTGTAAAGAGCCAGATAGTACATATTTTGGCTTTTGGGGGCCAAGCAGTCTCTGTTGTAATGACTCACAAGTAAGTCCTAGGGCCACTAGGGTACCTGGCAGTCATTCATCAAACTTAGTCTCTTATCAGGCCATGTAGATTAAAAAATCCTATATGTCATGAAAACACATGGACACAAGGAAAGGAACAACACACAGCAGGGCCTGTCAGGGGGTCAGGGGTAGGGAAAACATCAGGATAAATAACTAATGCATGTCGGGCTTAATTCCTAGGTGATGGGTTGATAGATGCAGCAAACCACCATGGCATATGTTTACCTATGTAACAAACCTGCATGTCCTGCACATGTATCCCAGAATTTTAAATTAAATTAAATGAAAAAAAACAAGAATAAAAAAGATCCTATATGCCGTGCTCATTGATTTAAATTCAAAAACCTTTTCTTTGTTCTAAAACTTTGTGTTTGAGTTCTAATCTTCTGAATGCACTTAAATAATGGGATTATTTTTCCAAGTCTGAGCCTTGAATAACTCAGTGTCACGGAGGTAGGTTTGTATGTGCGTCGGTAGCAGATCATGTAGATCCTTGTATAGGCTTTGGCTTTACTCTGAGTGAGATGGGGAGCCACTGCATGGGTTCATATGGAGAAGTAACACATCTGACTTATGTTTTAAAATGCTAAACACAGCCAGTATGTGGCAACCAGAATGAATGGAATCAAGATCAGAAGCAGGTAAGGGAGAAAGTTATTCAAGAAGCCAGGTCAGAAATGATATCAAATTGGATGAGGGAGGTGGCAGCTGAGATTATAAAAGCAGGTACATTCCAGGTATTTTTGGGAGGTTAATTTGATAGGTGCAGAGTGATATGGGGGTGTAAGTGCAGAGGAGAGTCAAAGATGACTCCAAGGCTTTGGGCCTGAGCAACTTCTTCCATGGGGCTGCCATTTACTGAGATGGATAGAATTTCAGGTATCCTCCATGTTTAAAGGAAAGAAATATCAGAACCTCTGTTTTGGAAATGTCAAGTGTAAGATGCCTACTGGACATCTAAACATTGGAGATGTTGAGAAAATAATTGGATATATGAGTTCAAGTTGCAGGATAGAACTCTGACTGACCTGGAATGAATGTATTCCAGTGGAATAAATATGGAATGAATGTATATTCATTCCAGGTCAGTCAGACTTCTACTCTGATTGATATGTGTGTATATACACACACATATATTTCAAGGAATCAGCATAAATGATATTTATGAGCATGAGACTAAAGATCACAAAAAGAGTAAGTGTAGGTAGAAGTTGGAGACCTAAGCCCTCAAGGCAGAATCCAGAAAAGGTGATTAATGCACAGTGGCGGGTGAGGGAGGAGGAATATCAGGCATTGTGGAAGCAAGGGAAGAACTGTTATCAGTAGGAAGCTGTGATCTGTCTCAAATGCTACTGATGGGTCCGGTAACGTGAGAACTGGAAAATGACCACTGGATTTAGCTGGGAAGTCACTGATGATGACAAGAGCAGTTTCGGTGACACAGTATGGATGAAAGTCTGATGCGGGTGGGTTTAAGACAGAGTTGAAGGAGAGAAATGGAAGTCTTTGGGAGTAGACAATTATTTTGGCTCTCTAGCCAAAGACCACTAAGAAACACTATAGCTGAGCAAGTTGGGTTCATTGCTCAGTGAAAGGGGAAGATGACACATCAGGCAGAACAGTGGCATCTCAGAAAGAGATGGGGACTTGGGGAAGGTTTGTAGAAGAGAATCTTTGTTCTGGATTGGAAGCTGTCCAGAAGCAGGGATAACTCTATGACTGACTATCTTAAATGTTAACAACAGAGCAGGAAGACTAGAGTGAGTCAAAGCCATAATTAGTAAAGAAGTAGTGGTCACTCATATTAGGAAAGAGGGTGTTTGGCAGTTTTGTGGTTTGCACAGTGACCTTGTTGTTTTTATCTATGCTTAGACAAAATTGTGAAGTGGTCTTGTTTTTTGATTCACTTCGTCATGGTCACAGAGTGACCTTGTCTGATGTGATGTTCTGTGACATTGTTTATGTTCAAAGGGGGAACAGCAAGGTCTAGCTGTGAGTGATGGTTAGTGGACCATCACTGAGCAAGGGCTCAGCGGGACTCAGCAGGAAGGGCTGAAAATAACTGAATGTTATTGTGATCCTTTTCTTGCTAAAAAAATGCACATGCTTGGTTTTGTTTTGCTTTCTGTGTCATCTTTTCAACTGTCAGGTTTCATGTTTGGGGGATTAACATTTACTGAGGACATGGCTTTGCAAGTTTCATAAATTGAGTCTACATGTTGTGCAACAGGCTCATTAGCTTTCTTTGGTCATAGAAGAAAAGATATTTGCTTCAAATTGATCAATAAAACATCTGAGAATATTTACTTAAATATATCAAGGTCCAAAATCTTTGGTTGTGTGCTCTTCTAAAACCGTGTTCTCCACTTTCTTCCTTATTGCAATTCTTGCTTGTGAGAGATGTGCTACATTTCCTGTGTGAGTGGTAAGTAAAGGCACTTAGGCTGTGGGTTAGTTTCTATTAGCTGTACTAAATGTTATTGAATATTGAATAGTTTCTTAAAATGGTTTTTATTAAATTAACTGGTGATACCATCACATTAATAGTAATTCTGGAAATAGAAAAGTTTTTATTTTCTTAATATATTTTTGTGCGTTTGGTGAGAGAATGTAAAAACTATATTCAAAAAGTAAGAAAGTATAAATTTGCATAAAATTAATTCCATGGAAGGCTTAATTTTGTCTCTCACAGTTTAAGTGATTTTTTTTTCCAGCAGTTTTCTGGTTAGTTGAACCAAAAGAAGCTACCATAACAACTGTGGTTATTACCACCGATATAATGGTGGTACCAGTATAAAGGTACAATGAAATTTTACAAAAATGAAAAATTCACAATGTGAAAACAAAGTATCCTTCATACTTTGTTTAAAGTACAAACAAATCTAGTTGCCAGGTGCCCTAGTGACCCTAGGACTTGTCAGAGCCCTTGAGATCAGGGAATCCTTCTGAGCCCAGTTGTTTAAGTTATCTTCTTCCAGGACTCTTGAGAGTTCCGCCCGCATATTTCATACTTGAAAGGCTCTTCTTCCAGCCATCTAGGACCCATTTCTAGATATATCTGTGGTTATCAGCTTCTTTTATAGCATTCGGAGATATTCAATGCTGCTACAAGAATTTACAAATGTATCCCTTTTCCTTTACACAAATAATCTGTGTTTGTACTTTCACTTAACAATATTTCTTGGGGGATTTTTCCATTACAACATACATAGAGCCAACTCATTCTTTTAGGCCGTTAGCAGTGATCAATTTTACAAATATATAAAGGTTATTTTAATAATCCCCTGTTACTGGAAAGTTAGGTAATTTTCAGTCTTTTCCTATCACAAATGATTCTTCATTGAATAATCTTATACATACACTATGTATCCAAGGGACAAATTTCCAGAGGTAAAATTTCTGAGTTAAAGGTCATTGACATTTTAAAAATTAGTAGCTATTATCAAATTTGTATGTATAGAAATTTTATCAATTGCCACTCCTACTAGCAGACTACGAGAATACCTGTTTCCCATACTACTACCTAAGTGCTATATGAACAAACCTTTTGGTTATTACCAATCTGTTGAAAGAAAAACATTAATCTAATTTTATTTTTCTTTTGGATTTCTAGGCTTTTTCTTCTTGCTATAAAACTGAATTGTTATGTTAGATATTGATATGGTTTGGCTCTGTGTCTCCACCCAAATCTCATCTTGTAGCTCCCATAATTCCCACACGTTGTGGGGGGTGGGAGATAATTGAATCATGGGGGTGGCTCTTTCCTGTGCTGTTCTCATGATAGCGAATAGGTCTCATGAGATCTGATGGTTTTAAAAATGGGAGTTTCTCTCCACAAGCTCTCTTTTTGCCTGCTGACATCCACGTAAGATGTGACTTGCTCCTTCTTGCCTTCTGCCATGATTGTGAGACCTCCCCAGCCATTGAACTGTAAGTCCAATAAACCTCTTTCTTTTGTAAATTGCCCAGTCTTGGGCATGTCTTTATGAGCAGCATGAAAATGGACCAATACAGTAAATTGGTACCAGGAGTGGGGCATTGCTGAAAAGATACCTGAAAATGTGGAAGTGACTTTGGAACTGGGTAACAGGAAGAGGTTGGAACAGTTTGGAGGACTCACAAGAATACAGGAAAATGTGGAAAAGTTTGGAACTCCCTAGAGACTTGTTGAATCGCTTTGACAAAAATGCTGATAGTGATATGAACAATAAGGTTCAGGCTGAGGTGGTCTCAGATGGAGAAGAGGAACTTGTTGGGAACTGGAGCAAAGGTAACACTTGTTATGTTTTAGCAAAGAGACTGGTGGCATTTTGCCCCTGCCCTAGAGATTTGTGGAACTTTGAACTTGAGAGAGATGATTTAGGGTATCTAGTGGAAGAAATTTCTAAGCAGCAAAGCATTCAAGAGTTGACTTGGGTGCTGTAAAAGGCATTCAGTTTTATAAGGGAAGCAGAGCATAAAAGTTAGAAAAATTTGCAGCCGGACAATGTGATAGAAAAAAAATCCCATTTTCTGAGGAGAAATTCAAGCTGGCTGCAGAAATTTGCAAAAGTAATGAGGAGCCAAATGTTAATCCCTGAGACAATGGGAAAAGTGTTTCCAGGGCATGTCAGAGGTCTTCACAGCAGCCCTTCTCATCACAGGCCTGGAGTCCTAGGAGGAAAAAGTGGTTTGGTAGGCCAGGCCCAGAGTCCCTGTGCTGTGTGCAGCCTAGGGACTTGATGCCCAGCATCCCAGCCCCTTCAGTCATGGCTGAAAGGGGCCGGCATAGAGCTTGGACCATGGCTTCAGAGGGTGCAAACCCCAAGCCTTGGCAGCTTTCACATGGTGTTAAGCCTGCAAGTGCACAGAACTCAAGAATTGGGGTGTAGGAACCACTGCCTAGATTTCAGAAGTTGTATGGAAACACCTGGATGTCCAGGCAGAAGTTTGCCACAGGGGTAGGGCCCTCATGGAGAACCTCTGCTAGGGCAGTGTAGAAGGAAAATGTGTGTTGGGAGCCCCCACACAGAATCCCTACTGGAGCACTGCCTAGTGGAGCTGTGAGAAGAGGGCCACCATCTCCAGACTCCAGGATGGTAGATCCACTGACAGCTTATGCCGTGTACCTAGAAAAGTCACAGGCACTTGATGCCAGCTTGCAAAGGCTGCCAGGAAGGAGGCTATACTCTGCAAAGCCACAGAGGTGTAGCTGCCCAAGACCATGGGAACCCACCTCTTGCATCAGCGTAACCTGGATGTGAGGCATGGAGTCAAAGGAGATCATTTTGGAGCTTTAAGATTTGACTGCCCCACTGGATTTCAGACTTGCATGGGGCCTGTAGCCCATTAGTAATTTTAGTTGAGTTTCTCCTATTCAAACTCATGGTAAGTTTTTCATTCATTCAGTTCTTTTCTTTCTTCTTTTAGTTGTGTTTCAGAATACTGTCATATAGATTTTGAACAATTCTTGTTAAGCATATCCCTATCCCTGTTGTGTTGGATCCCTTCTTCTGTTAGATTCTCTTGTTGTTGTTTTTATATATGATAGCTGTTTATTTCCATGTACTAATTTTGTACGCTGTCATCTTACTAAACTTTTTTATTATTTGCAATAATTTTTAAGTTATTCTCAAGTATTTTCTAGCTATACAGTTATATCACCTATGAATAATGATTATTTTATTTACTCTTTTCCAGTTGTTATACATATTAATTGCTTTCTTTTTTGATTGCTTTGGCTGGTACTTACCAGCTTGTTAAATAATAGTGGCAGGAGTAGACATCCTAGTCATGTTTCTGAATTTAAGGAAAATGTATTCACTATTCATAGATGTGCATGTGTGGGTGTGTATACACATACATATATCTATTTTAAGTAAATACCTATTTATATTAGATATTAAAAAAACCCTTGTTCCAATTTTTTTTAAAAAAGGATATCAAATATTTTTTGGATGTTAAATTTAATAAAATGTTTTTACAGCCTGCATCTATTGAGTTTATTCTTTTTTTTGAGACATGGTCTCACCCTGTTGCCCAGGCTGGAGCGCAGTGTCATGATTTCTGCTCACTGCAACTTTCACCTCCTGATTCTCCCACAATACTCCCATCTCAGCCTCCCAAGTAGCTGAGGTTACAAGTGTGTGCCACCATGCCTGGCTAATTTTTGTGTTTTTAGTAGAGACAGGATTTCACCATGTTGGCCAGGTTGGTCTCAAACTCTTGGCCTCAAGTGATCCTCCTGCCTCAGCCTCCCAAAGTGCTGGGATTATAAGAGTGAGCCACCGTGCCTGGCCCAAGTTTATTCTTAATGAAAATAATCCTTGTATTAGTAGCATAAACCCCACTTAATCAGATGCAATATTCTTTTACTTGTAAGCATGGATTCTGTTTGTTAAATATATTTTATAAGGTCTTTTTCATGAACATTTATAAGTGAGATTGATCTCTAGATTTATTTTCTAGTGTGGTTTTTATGGGTATCAAGATTTAAGAAAACATTTTGCTTAGAACAATTGGGAAGGTCTTCTTTATGTTATATGCAGGAACAGTTTAAAATCACATTAGAATTACCTGGAGAGTTTGCAGAATTCCCCTATGAAAACACCTGTGCCTGGTGCTTTTTAATAGAAAGAAGCCTCTAGATTATTTCCCTTATTTCTTCTATGAAAAATGATGTATTTATATTTTTGCTATATATCCTGAGATCAGTGATAGTAAATTATCTTCTTCCAGAAAAATATACATTCTGAATCTTAGAGTTTGGTTTTCTGAGTTTGTAATTGACGTTTGGTTTTATTGTATTATTGGCACGTATACTTAAAATGAAAGGGAATTCTCTTTACAGTATGTGTTTTAGTAACTAAAGCTATCTGATCATGTCATTTAAGTTTTTTAATGTCTTTGGTTTTATCTATCTGATAAAAATTAAAATCAAGGGAACTGATTAAAGACTCCCACTATTAATTTTTTCATCTATTTTTCATGCATTTTATCTGTTTCATTCATCTTATTGCTGTGTTGTCTGGCAAATAGGTACTCATAAACATCAGCTCTTTGTTGTGGGCTCTATGTTTCATCAAGTTAAATAGTATTTTAATTTTGTTGTTGTGTGAGTAAGTTTCATTGTCTTTCTGTTTTGTTCTCTGTAATTTTAATACTACTGCCAATATTATGACTTCTTAATTATTATAGCTTGAAAATAACTCTTCATATCTGGTAGAACAGTTTCCACCCTACCCTACCCATGTCAATAATTTTTCTTTGAAAATTTCTTCTCTCTTTTTGGTCATATGCTCTTCAGTGTAACTTTTGGGAGCAAATTGTCATGTTTCAAGATGTGTATATTGGAATTTTATTTAGAATTACATTATATCTATGAATCGCTTTGGGATCAATTGATAGCTTTACAATATTAGGTATTCCTGTCTATGAATACAGATCATCTCTTCAATTTGTTAAGTCTTCCTTAATGCCTTTCAGTAGCATTTTCTAACTTGCTATGTGTGGGTCTAGAGCATCTTTTTTTAGGTATATTCCTAGGTATTTTGTTAATATTCTTGCTATAATAAATAGTATCTTTCAAACTCATGTTTTCTAATTTGTTGTTGCTGATATGTAGAAACATGATTGACTCTTATACTGGCTTTTAATTTTTCCACTTTGCTGAGCTCTCCTCATATTTCTAAAGTACCATACTATCTACAAATAATTACATTTTTATTCCCTCTTCTAGACCATATGCCTTTTCCCCCTTTTTCTTGGCTTTGTGCTGGCTAGAACCTCTACTTCAAGCTGACTAGGAGTTATGTTAGTAGACATCCTTGTTGTATTCCTGATTTTAAGAGTTTGCTTATGATATTTTCTCATTTAAATAACACTTTTTAAAATAGTGTACTTTATCAGGTTAACAGGCTCTCAATTAATTAAACATTTTAGTTATGTATCGTTGTCAAATCCTTCAAATGCTTTCTTTTTGTCGGCTTTAACTGATTTTTAAAAATTCACTTTATAGACAATGATGAAATTAGTATATTTCAACTAAATCTATCTTTCTCGAACTTCTCTGCCACTGATTTTTAGTTGATATTATTTAATGTTTGCCTTTGTGTTTTAAAATATACTTATCCTACTTTTAACTTAGTCTTTTTATCTCTTTTGAACTTGTTATATTAAAGATGAGAAAGTCTGTATACTTAAACTACCTTCCGTGTTCTCTTTATTCTTTTACCAAATATTTTTATTTGTATTTATTCATCATCAGTCTTTTAACAGTCACATTTCATTTTGTAACTATAATCTTTTGATTTATTTCAGTATTCAGGTAATACTTACATTATATTACAGTTAAATAATCATATCCATTCCCTTTCCATCGTTTCTACTTTCACCTTTTAGCTGGCTGAAATATATCCTCTAGTACTTTTTCAAGAAGGGCCCTTTGCAAGTATGTTACCGCTTCCTTTTTTCTTTAAATCAGTGTTTAGCTGGGTGTAAAATTCTTGGTTTAAAGTTTTTTCCCTTAAGATAAAGTTAGTTTATCATAGTTTTAAATTTTAACAGTGGATATTATTCTGGAGAAATCTGAGGGTAGCCTGGATTTTTGCAATTATAGGTGTGAAACGGTCTTTCTGCCTAGATGATCAAAAGATTTTTGAGTATGTGTCTTATTCTTTATCCCCAGCATTTTATTTTGAAACATTCCAAAACTACAGACGATTTGTAAGAATAGCACAATGAATATCCATATATCCCTCACCTAGACTCACCAATTTTTAATATTTTTGTCACATTTGCTGTAATGTTTTTGCTGTCTATATATAGTGTCCACACATGCACTTTTTTTGGTTGAATCATTTGAAAGAAAATCAAAGATAGAAAACTATACCCGTAAGTACTTCAATATACACCTACTAAAAATAAGGATATTGTGCATAACCACAAGACTAATATAATGTTCAAGAAATTTAACATTAATGACAAAATATTTTCTAATAAACAGACTATTTGTAAAGATCTGTCAGGAAAGACATTTCAGATGCCTACTCTGTAATCTATCCTGGTGGCTAGCAACTTCTTTTAAGACAGTGAAGCTTCATATTTCAGATCTATGGCTCATTGAAAATTCTGATTCTCCTGAAAAATGTCTGTGTGGGAAATGACACACTCAGGACTTCATGTGAATTTAAAAGGTCCACAAAACCTCTGAGTCCATGTGTGAAAACACCTCTTGGGAGGAGGAGGGCCATGAACTCCAGCTGAAATTTTCTTAATGCCCCACCTAAATTCTTGCTTTTTGTTTATCTACCATTTCAAGATCATGGTACTTAGAAAAGATGGAGAGAAATTGCTCTTATATCCACCAACATTTTGTTCTCATGCTTCTTGCAGGGAATGTGGATTCTGCTGCTGCTGTTGCTTCTTTGCTTCTTCCCCTCCCGGCTTCTGCTTCTCTTCTTTTCCTTCCCTCTTCCTTTTTCCCATTTCCCTCTCCCTCCTCCTGCTCTCCTCCTTTCTTTCCCCTCCACCTCCTCCTCCTTCTCACTTTTCTTTTTCTCCTTTGTATAATTAATATATGGTTATACATAGTAAAATGCACAGATCTTAAAACTGTATAATTTGATGAGTTGACGAATATAAACAATAAGATCACCAAATCAGTATAGAGATGCAATGTTCATCATTTTAGAAAATAGAATCAATTTCGCACGTCTCCAGAGGCAACCACTATATTCATTTCCGCCCTTAGAGATTCTGTTTTTGTTTTCTCAAACTTCAGATAAATGGAATAATAGCATACGAACTCTTTTTTGTCTGGCTTCTTTAGCTTAACACAATATTTCTGAGATTCATTTATATTGTTATAAATATCAGAAAGTCATTTCTTTTTATTGCTGGATAGTATTTCATTGTATTAATAAAACACAATATGTTTAACCATTCTTCTGAGAATTTGAGTTGTTTCCAGTATTTTCATAGCTAATATTAATTAAGCTGCATTTGACTTCTTGTGTAAATATTTTTTGTGTGAATATATATTTTTATTTTGGGCAAGTAAATACCTAGGAATTGAATTGCTGAATCATAAGATAGGTATATTTAATTCTAAAAGAAACTGCCTAAAATGTTTTTCAAATACTATCAATACTCCCACCAAAAATGTATTATATTTCCTGTGACTCTGCTTCCTCTTCAACATTTGGTATTACAAATCTTTTAATTTTAGCCAGTCTAGTAGGTATGTCGTGTTATTTCCTTTTGGTTTAAACTTTCATTTCTTTTATGACTAACAAAATTGAGTGATATTTTATATGCTTATTTTGCATTTATATTATTTACTGAATTTTCTATTCCAGTCTTTTGCCCATTTTTATTGATCTTTTTGAATTTTATTTTTAGAAGTTATTTATATATTCTGAAGACAAATTATTTGATAGATACACATACATGATAAAAGTGTGTATATTTATATATGTGTGTGTATATTTATATATTTACTATATATTTATGTATATATGTATATTTATATGTAAATATTTATATATTTAATATTTACATATAAATATACATATATGAATACTTATATATACATATATAAATGCATATATAAATATACACACATTTATATACACACATGTATAAATTCATACATATACAAATACATATATAAATATACACACATGTATATAAATGTATACACGCATATACACCCATGTGTATAAATGTGTGTGTATATATATACACACACACGTATAAGTACATACATATACAAATATAAATATACACACATGTATATAAATGTGTGTTTATATATAGTTGTGTATATATATATACACACACACACAAACACATTTATAAATACAGTGGCTTCTCATGTATATACACACACATTTATCTCATATATACACACACATTTATCATTACAGTGTTTTCTCATTATTTCTGGATTCAACATTTGCAAGTTTTTCTACTTGCTAAAATTTATTTGCTACCCTCAAATGAATACTTAGGGCACTTTTGTGGTCTCTTGCAAGCATGCTCAGATTTGAAAATCTTGAGTTATCTGATGTGCACTTTTCCAACTTAAGTCAAAAAAGTGATGCTCTGCTTTCTTGTTTCAGCTCTCATACTGTCAACAAGTGTCCTGTTTTGTGCCTATGTAGTGCCAAATTTTGTATTTTTGCCCTTTTCGTTGATGATTTCACTGTTTATCATGACACACAGCATAGTGCTCTCTAGTGTTCCTAAGCACAAGAGGCTGTGATGTTCCCCATAGAGAAAATACATGTGTTAGATGAGTCTCATTCAGGCAGGAGTTACAGTGCTCTTGGCTGTGACTTCAGTGTTACTCAATGATATATATTAAGTAAGCTGTTCTTAAGGAAAAACATATAAAACAATGACATATATTGATCAGTTGGTGGAAATATTGTGACCAGAGGCTTGGGAACCTAACCCTGTACAAGTCCTCAACTAATGCTGTCTCCTTCAACATCATTTTGTTACAGACCACAGGCTCTCAGGCTACCCTTGTAATGGAAATTAACATAGGGTCCAACAGATTTCCCGGACAAGGCTTTTATCTCCTGGCTTGTGCTGGAGTGCAAGGGAATCAGCAGAGTCAGCAGAGGCACAAGGATATTCCAACTGGTTCCCTGAAAGCAGCCAGTAGGGATTTTTCATTAGGCAAAGCATGAGAATTGATATCAGGGGTAAGGTATGCAGGCTGGGCTGGGGGAAGCACGTGAGAGTTAGGGTATGCAGGTTAGCAAGTCTGGTTCCGATGTTTCTCTTGAGTAATGGGTCACCTGGTGGTCTGGCCAGAGCAACAAGGCTGTAAATCAGTTGTTCAGCATTCCTTCCAAAGTGAGCACACTCTGCAACCTTTGTTCAGTATTTGGATCTCCTAAGGCCAGTTTCTGGAATTCTTTAAGTGGAAGGCATGGTTAAATATTATGACAGCACAGAAGACTAGCTATTTTCTTTGTGTGGTTAAAGCTTCAGGGCTAGCAGGTATAGTATAGGCGAGGTAGTGGTGTGGGTTTTGTGAGGAAAAGAAGGAAAAAAGAAAAAATACGTGAAGGAGGAGCTACATCCCTCTCCTGTTCTATCTCAGTTTCATTATAATGTTGATAAAAAAAATTGCTTCCTCCCTGGGACCACTGTCTGTGTGGAGTTTGCATGTTCCCCTCACATCTGTGTGGGTTTTCTCTGGGCATTCAGTTTCCTCTACATCTCAAAGCTGTGCGCTTAGGTGAACTGGCATGTCCACACAGTCCCAGTGTGAATGCGCTTGTGTGTGTGAGTGTGAGTATGTGTGTGTGTGTGAGTCCGCCCTGAAATGGGATGATGGGATGGCATCATGTCCAGGCTGGTTCCCACCTTGCACCCTGAGCTGCCAGTGTTACTGGAAAGGGTCCCAATTCAGACCCCAAGAGAGGGTTCTTGGACCTTCTGTAAGAAAGAATTCAGAATAAGTCCATACAGTAAAGGAATAGAAGAATGGCTACTCCATAGGTAGAGCAGTGGCATGGGGTGCTCAACTGGGTATATTTACAGTTATTTTTTGGTTAAATACTAAACAAGAGGTGAATTTTTAAAGAGTTTTCTGGGTAAGGGGTGGGCAATTCTCGAAACTGAGGGGTCCTCCCCTTTTTGACCATATAGGGTAACTTCTGGACATTGCCATGCCATTTGTAAACTGTCATGGTGCTGGTGGGAGTGTCTTTTAGCATGCTAATACATTATAATTAGCGTAAAATGAACAGCGAGGACGACCAAAGTCCACTTTCATTGCCATCTTGGTTTTGATGCGTTGAATATGAATTCTAAATTTCTCTTCAAAGAATTAGTATGTCAGTATGTTCAATTCTTTGCCTTCTACTTTTAACTTCCTCATGAAGCAACCTTTTTCAATTGCCTACCCCACCCTGACCCATCCCGATCACCTGCTCCACCCTAACTCATTCTGATCACCTGCTCCACCCTAGCTCATTTGGATTACCTGCTACCTGCTCTGCCCTGACTCCCGCCAAAGCGCTCACCCCGTCATTCTCTTTAAATTAGCCAATGGGAATTAGTTTAGCCTGTGCGGTCTAATCCTAGCCAACAGGGGAACGACACAGCAGCAGGGGCCCTGTGTGTCAGGGATAAGAATCCTTTCCCCTCTCTTGTCCAAATGTGTGACCACCATTGCTCCATCGGTGAGAGTGCACCCTTCTATAGAAGTACCTTGCCTTGCTGAAAATTAAAAAGAAAATTTTATATTCGAGTGCTATTTCTTTTGCGGCACCTTAACTTTATTTATAACAGGTGGATTTTAGCCAGCTTCTTTACCAAATCCTGTTTTATCAGCAGGGTTCTTGTGACCTGTATCTTGTGCTGACCTCCTATCTCATCGCATAGACTAAGAATACCTAACCTCCTGGGAGTATAGCCAAGTAGGTCTCAGCCTCATTGTACCCAGCCCCTATTCGTGTTGGAGACACCAGGATAGACTCTGCCCATCTGCAACCCTAAACTGGAACAAGTGAGTTAGAAAATGAATTAATGACTACAAATGATTGTGAAATAAATTTTCGTAAGTAGATGATGATCATCCAAATGCAGAACAATAAACAACGCAAGCCAACAGTGCTGTGAGCCACCATGTTTGCAATGGTTTTTGAACTGCATGATGGGAGGCGTTGCTCCTGCTAATTTTCACTTTGCAAACATTTATTTCTCGATTTAACTCACCACCGCTGTGACTATTGTTGCTTACTGCTTCACTAAAAATTGGGTAAGTCATTATCTTACTTGTTTTTATTAATATTTCTTAAATGTATGAATTGCTCACATTTATTTCAAAGGTTAATATTAGAAATATTTTGGGTCTTTATTTAGAAGTTTGGTGATGTTTTTGTGACTAGAAATATGTCATAGGAGTGAAACTCTTGTTTGTATCCATTAGCCTACAGTAGAATTGGTTTCGGTGTATGATTTTGTTTACAGTCCCAGTTTCCAAGAACTGTGAACCCAAAATATCCGAGACAGGTCTCAACCAATTTAGAAAGTTTATTTTGCCAAGTTTAAGGATGCGCTCATGACACAGCCTCAGGGAGTCCTGACGATATGTTCCCAAGCTGGTCAAGGCACAGCTTGGTTTTATACATTTTAAGGAGACATGAGACATCAGTCAATATACATTGGTTCGGTTGGGAAAGGCAGGAAAACTGGAAGTGGGGGAGGGAGCTTCCAGGTCATAGGTAGATAAGAGACAGATGGTTACATTCTTTTGAGTTTCTGAGAAGCCTTTTACTGAATAGACAATTTACATGCGAGAAGAGGGTAAATAGTCACTTATGCCTTAGTCTGGCTTAGTGATACATACTTGTCTCACAGGAGCCTCAGAGGAGTGACTGAGTTCTGTCTGTCCTTTGTCTGCAAGGAATTTCCTTGTGGGCAAATTGTGAGGGAGGTAAGTAGCTTTTTTTTGTCTTTGTAGCGATCTTATTTAGGAATAAAATGGGAGGCCGGTTTGCCTGACATGGTTCCCAGCTTGACTTTTCCTTGGCTTTGTGATTTGGGGGTCTCCAGATTTATTTTCCTTTCACGGAAACTGTGGAAGACTTACTGTATTCCCCTTAACAGTTCAGTGTTCATTAATCCAGTGTTTATGGTGACTTTATAGAACAGAACTACTCTGAATAATGACAATTAACTATATATATCTTTGTCTACCTATCTTTTATCTATCTAAATTTTCTACCAGTCTGTGGCCTGCCTTTTCATTAGCTTACTGGTAACTTTTGAGGAGCAAAAGATTTTTCATTATAAGAAGTACCATTGATTATTTTAAAATCAGTATTACTCTTTGCAATTTATCTAAGAAATCAAATCTTTGCCTATTTTTAATTTTCAAAGATATTCCCCTCTGCTTTCATCTAAGATTTTTATAATTTTAGTTTTACATTTGTATCACCAACCGAGTTAATTTTTGTGTATGGCGTGAGGAATGGGTCATGACACATATGGATGTGACCCTCCCAGCTTTTTATGCCATTTATGGAAAATACTTTTGTTTCCCCATTGAATTTCATGGGTGCTTTTGTTGAAAAGCAATTGACTACATTCGTGTAGGATTATTTCTGATTCAATATTGTTCTGTTCATCTTTTTTTAAATGCTTATGCCAGTAGATTACTATTATAATTACTCTACCTTTCTAATTAAGTCTCAACATCAACTTCTGTGAGCCCTTAAACTTTGCTCTTCATCATCAAGATTGTTTTGGTTATTCTGTATCTTTCCAATTTCCATGTAAATTTCAGTATCAGCTTGTCAATTGCTACAAAAACATTTACTGGAGTTTTCATTGGAATTGCATTGAATATATGGTTCACTTTGGGAGGAACTTATATCTTTACATGATTTATTCTTCCAGCCTATAGACATGATATAACTCTCCATTTGTTCTCCATTTTTAGAATTCTTTTCATGTTTTCCCCTGCAATGTTTGTAATATTCAGTGCATAGTTCTTGCTCATCTTGATGTAGGATTTGCCTTCTCAGTCACTTTGCAAGCCAGGGACCCGAGCTGGCAATGCCCTGCCCAGGCCTTCCTCGGCCATGCTAGTGTGCCCCAGATCACCTGTGTTATAGCTTGTACCCACATTTAGCGGTCCTGAGCTCTTTTATTGCACCCAAGAAGAATGAGGATATGCTGGACATTGAAGGGTAAGAAAGGTGGAGAAGAATGTTATTGAGTGAAGGAACAGCTCTCAGTGGAGAAGGGATGAGGGGGTGTTTCCCCAGCCCTGCAGTTAGGTGGCTCTCTCCTCCTGGTGTGGTTGGGTCCAGGGCTTTTTAGGGCTTCAGAGTAGGGGAGGGGCAGGCTGTAGATAGTATTGGAAGAGGCAGCATTTGATTGGTTAAAGGGCATGGAACAGAAGTTCTCACTCTTGGTTGTGGGTTTCCTCCAGGACCGGCAGTGAGGTCTTTCAGCCTTCAGGCTGTTATTGGCTTGAAGGTGGGGTTTCACGGGGACCCGGCCCTATCTGCCAAGGCATTTGGCTGCCTCCTGTCACTATCAGTCTGTTGTTGAATGTATTCCAAATGGCTATACCAATCAATACAAAAAAGTAACAACCAATGTCAGAATAGTAAAAAGACATCATTATCAGACTCTCGATTTATTAAGTAGTTAAAAAATTTTGATAAGCAAATATAAATACATTCTTAGAAACATACAACTTACAAAAATACAAAAGAAAATTAAAAATACAAATATTTGTATGTCTATTAAAGCAATTGAGTCTGTAATTAAAAATAGTTTTGTAACAGCCCAGTGGGTTCATCTTGCTGGCTGCCTAAACAGAGCCAATTTATCAAGACAGGGGAATTGCAATAGAGAAAGAGTAATTCACCCAGAGCCAGCTGTGCAGGAGACTGGAGTTTTATTATTACTCAAATCAGTCTCCCTGAAAACTCTGGGATCAGAGTTTTTAAGTCTAATTTGGTGGGTAGGGGACCAGTTTATCAGGGGTGCTGTTTGTTTGGTTTGGGGATAAAATCATAGGGAGTCTAAGCTACTCTCTTATGCAGAGTTAGTTCCTGGGTAGGGGCCAAAGAACTGGTTGGCAGGTCCAAGTGGGGCCGTTCAGTGGTTAGAAACGCAAAACTTAAATGGACATTTCAAAAGGCTGATCTTAGTTTCACAATAGTGATGTTACCTTCAAGAGTCTCTGTCACCCAGGCTGGAATGCAATGGTGTGATCTCAGCTCACTGCAACCTCTGCCTCCCGGGTTCGAGCAATTCTCCTGCCTCAGCCTCCCGGGTAGCTGGGACTACAGGCGGGTGCCACCACACCTGGCCAATTTTTGCCTTTTTAGTACAGACAGGATTTCACCATGTGGCTAGGCTGGTCACAAACTCCTGACCTCAGGTGATCCGCCCATCTCGGGCTCCCAAAATGCTGGGATTACAGGCATGAGCCACCGGACCTGGCCTAGGAAGGTGCGAATCTTATGACCTCTGGAATAATGGCTGGTAATATTTAGAATTCCAGCCTCTCTCATTCTAACTTGGTGGCTGGTGGCCTTTCATTTGTCTTACAAGAACAGTTTAACTTCAAACTGTAAACTAATTTCCGTCCCAAGGCTAGTTCAGCCTACACCCAGGAATGAACAAGGACAGTTTAGAGGTTTAAAGCAAGATGGGGTCAATTAGGTCTGATATCTTTCACTGTCATAATTTTCTCAGTTATGATTTTGCAAAGGTGGTTTCAGTTTTACAAGGCAAACTCTAGGCCAGAGGCTGTATTGGTGAATTCTGTCACTTATTAAAAGAATAATGCCAATTTAAAAAATAAATTCTTCCAGAAAACAGAAGAAAGAGAACTTCCCAACATATTATGCGAGGTCAGCATAATGCAGACACTAAAAATGGACAACACTTTATCATAAAAAAAGTTACAAGTCAATACCACTGATGAGTAGTGATGCAAAATGCTAGTCAAAATATAATCTAGTCCAGGCATGGTGGCTCATGCTGTAATCTCAGCACTCTAGAAGGCTGAGGCAAGAGGGTTGCTTGAGCCCAGGAGTTTGAGACCAGCCTGGGCAAAATAAGGAGACTCTGTCTCTACAAAAAAATTAAAAATAAAAAATTAGCTGGGAGTGGTGGTGCATACCTGTGGTCCCAACTACTTGGGGGGCTGAAGTAAGAGGATTGCTTGAGCCCAGGAGGTTGAGGAGGAAGTGAGCCAAGATCGCACCATTGTACTCCAGCCTGGGTGACAGAGCAAGACCCTGTCTCAAAACAAAAACAAAGCAAAAACAAAATGGAATCTAACAATCTATAAAAAATAAAAATGTGGCCAGGTGTGGTGGCTCATGCCTGTAATCCCAGCACTTTGGGAGGCCAAGGTGGGTAAATCACTTGAGGTCAGGAGTTTGAGACCAGCTTGGCCAACGTGGTGAAACCTATCTCTACTAAAAATACAAAAACAAATTAGCCAGGCATGGTGGTGTGCACCTGTAATCCCAGATACTCGGGAGGCTGAGACAGGAGAATCCACTTGAACCCAGGCGGCAGAGGTTGCAGGGAGCTGAGACCAAGCCACTGCACTCCAGCCTGGGCGACAGAGCAAGACTCTGTCACACACACACAAAAAATAAAATAAATACATAAAAAGAAAAATACATTAAAATAAAATTGGATTTGTTTCTAAAAATGCAAGGTTAATTTCATATTTAAAAATAAAATTCACCTCATAAAAAATATAATGAGAAAAAATTATATGATTATTTCAGTAGATGCAGAAAATACATTTGTTAAAATTCAACATCCAGTCATAATAAAGCCTATTAGCAAACTAGGTAAAGCAGGGAGCACCACTAACTCAAATCTTTGAATAAAAGAACTTCATTGTGGCATGTTAAAAGCTTTCTCTTTGAACCATGATGAAACACAAGTATGACTCAGTATGATCACTTTTAAAAACATTGTATATTGGTGATTCTAACCTGTGTGGTAAGGCAAATAAACAACTTAATTAATGAAATAAAAGTATAATGACTGGAAGGGAAAAATTAACTATTATTTATTCACAGATTACATATAAAAAGAACCTTAAAAATTAAAGAGAATCAAAGGAAATTAAAAAGAATCTGCAGATAAATCATTAGAATTAATAGATAATTTAAACAAGATTATAATTATATAAAGTCAATATACAGAATTAATTTCTGTTTAATGGTAACAAACAATAAGAAAAAAACATCAAAAGATGCCACTTGCAGTAGCATAACATACTAAATACTTTGGAGTAAAACTAACAAAATATGTGTAACACCTTTATGCAGAAACTGATTATTGGGGAAAAAGGAAAAAGTACTTATTTTTTTTTTAGGAATTCTATTTGTGTGAAAGATTCAATATTTAAATAAGTCATTTATTACTAAACTGATCTATACAGTCAAAGCAATTTTAATCAAAACCATTGTGCATGTGTATTTGTGTGCATGTGTAATTTGATGAGCTGGTTCTAAACTTTATATGGAAGTGTAAAGGGCCAAGAATAGTCCAATTATGACTGAAAAAGAACAAGGTAGGAGGACCTATGTTACTGGAAATCAAGAATTTTTACAAAGCCGCGGCAGTTAGAACAGGGTGAAGTTCTAACTGTGTGGATCACAGATAGCCTCACAGATCAATGGAAGAGAACACAGAGCTCAGAGGTCCCCCATGTATGATATGCACATGGGATTCATGACTAAGTGGAACTACAATATACCATGCTGCTCCCGCCTCTAAGAAGTAAGCACAGTGTCTGGTAGGCCTTGGCAGGTTCTAAAGACAGCATATTTCACATCTAATAAAACCGTTCCATCCTGCACACAAGGGGACACAGAGGGGGTCATCTCTGAAGAGCCAAAAGAGCAGAGGCCTCAGAAGCAGACATCCATGCTAAAGGACACATAGCCTTGCCACTTGGGTCATATGACCTAGCTGACTTGGCCTATCATAGTGAAGTCATTGGAGTCATTACCATAAATGAACCATAGTGAAGTCATTGGAGTCGTTACCATAAATGCTGTGTGGCATTTATGGTAATACTCACAGAGAAAATCACTACACAGATGCCTAGGAGTCTAGGTCAAGGCTGTGTCATATGCAGCAGAGAATTATAGGCCTTTTGATAAACAGCTCCAGGCTTGATACTGGGCTCAGGTTAAGATAGAGTACCTGACTGCTGGCAGTAACTGGCTGTGTTCCCCGAGGCTGCATAAGTAGGAAGCCCTGGCCCCATGTCATATGCCCCTGCCATACCATCGCCTCTCCCTAGTGCTCACCTGCCACCCAGTGAGATCCCTAAGAGCAGCTGATGGAGAAGGAAGAATCCCAAGGTTTGTTCATGGGTGCATTGGCTTGGAATGTGTGCGTAAGAAGAAAATGGATGGTGCTATATTGGCCAGCACTCAGGGATAGCCCAGAAAGGTGGCCATGGGAGAACCTCCCACCACAGGCAGAACATCCAGGCAGGCACCTGTCATCTGCTATTCTATTTTATTTTATTTTATTTTTTCTGAGACAAGATCTCACTCTGTCTCCCAGACTGGAGTGCAGTGGCACTATCATGGCTCTTTGCAGCCTCAACCTCCTGGGCTCAAGTGACCCTCACACCTTAGCCCCACAATTAGCTGGAATTATAGGCATGTGCTACCATGACCAGCTTATTTCTCTTTTAATTTTTTTGTGGAGACTGGATCTCACTATGTTGCTCAGGCTGGTCTTGAACCCCTGGGCTCATGCTCGTCTGCTTTTTGTGGAGTGAAAAACTGTCTGAACTTGTAAAACACATATGGACTCAGGAGCCATGGCAAATGGCCTAGCCAGCTGGTCAGGGACTGAGAGAAAAAAGATTAGAAGGTTGCAACTCATTTTGCTTTTCTTATTCCAATAGAGAATTTTATACTTTTATTTGTTTCACCATCAGGTCAACACAACTCAAAGCCCTCTTCTACTTAAAATAACTTCAGTGGAAAAAAAGACTTAAGAGTTGACTTTGTAATAACAATCCCCAGATTGTTTTTAGCCAGATTATTATAATTGTCAAATAAATATTATTAAAGAAAGCCAATTTACATTTACTGCTTCATCACATCAGATACTCATAATGCTCTATGAATCTCCTGTGTTATTTTCAATAACAAGATTATGCATGTGAGAAGAATAGACTTTTTCTTGTCCTCTGATGTCCTCTGGCTAGTCTCCAGAAGCAGAGGATATCTTGCTATTTATCTCTGTGACAAGGTAAATGCTCTAATCAAATACTCCTCTGAGCAGTCATGAGTATTTGTTCTCTGGTGGCTTTATAAGCAATGCATCAGAAAAATTTACTTATAAAGCAGGAACATTAAATTTTGGTTTATTACATAGCTTTTGGAAGCTAGAATATAAAATGTAAAATGAAGGAAAGGAAATAATGATATGTTGTTAAAACAACACTCAGTGTTTCATATTTTTACAATAAATTATCACCTTGATCTGTATGTTAATAACTAATAGTTTCTGATATTTGGAGTTTTTGTATCAGGAACATTTCTTGGCCTAGACCTGCACTGTCTGGCACCCACTAGCTGCCTGTGGCTACTCTGCACTTGAAACGTAACTTGTCTGAATTGGGTTGTGCTGTAAGTGTAAAATACAAACTGGATTTCAATGACAAAGTATAAACAAAAATGTAAAATATTATATTAATACTTTTTGTATCCATTACTTTGGAATAATATTTTAGATATATTGGGTTAAATAACATATATTATGCAATGTAATTTGATGTGTTTCTTTTTACTTTTTAAATGTGGCTACTAGAAAATTTAAAATGGCATATGTACCTCCCACCTGTGGCCTGCATTATAGTTCTATTGAACAGTGCTGGTTTAAAGTAATATGGTTAGAAAAATTGTCAGGATATCTGAACACATGGGTTCCATGAATAGTCTCTTAATTACAGATAATGGTAGGAGTTTGCATTAGAATCCTAGGTTCTGGAAACTCTAAAGGGTGTCCAGTATTTGTTTGGAGCTGCATAAGATCTGTGTTATTGAATAAGTGCCTATAATTGACATTAATTGTATTGTCAGTAGAGTAAACAAAAGCATAATGTATACTCCTGCACACATGGAGTTCCAATTATGATACTGTTAATCAACAGAGTATACATTCTTTTCAGGACCACACACCTATTCCAAAATTGACCACATAGTTGGAAGTAAAGCACTCCTCAGCAAATGTAAAAGAATAGAAATTATAACAAACTGTCTCTCAGACCACAGTGCAATCAAACTAGAACTCAGGATTAAGAAACTCACTCAAAACCGCTGAACTACATGGAAACTGAACAACCTGCTCCTGAATGACTGACTGCTGGGTACATAACAAAATGAAGGCAGAAATAAAGATGTTCTTTGAAATCAGCGAGAATAAAGACACAACATACCAGAATCTCTGGGACACATTCAAAGCAGTGTGTAGAGGGAAATTCATAGCACTAAATGCCCACAAGAGAAAGCAGGAAAGATCTAAAATTAACACCCTAACATCACAATTAAAAGAACTAGAGAAGCAAGAGCCAACACATTCAAAAGCTAGCAGAAGGCAAGAAATAACTAAGATAGAGCAGAACTGAAGGAAATAGAGACACAAAAAACCCTTCAAAAAAATCAGTGAATCCAGGAGCTGGTTTTTTTAAAAGATCAACAAAATTGATAGACCGCTAGCAAGACTAATAAAGAAGAAAAGAGAGAAGAATCAAGTAGACGCAATAAAAAATGATAAAGAGGATATCACCACCGATCCCACAGAAATACAAACTACCATCAGAGAATACTGTAACACCTCTATGCAAATAAACTAGAAAATCTAGAAGAAATGGATAAATTCCTCGACACATACACCCTCCCAAGACTAAACCAGGAAGAAGTTGAATCTCTGAATAGACCAATAACAGGCTCTGAAATTGAGACAATAATTAATAGCTTACCAACCAAAAAAAGTTCAGGACCAGATGGATTCACAGCTGAATTCTACCAGAGGTACAAGGAGGAGCTGGTACCATTCCTTCTGAAACTGTTCCAATCAATAGAAAAAGAGGGAATCCTCCCTAACTCATTTTATGAGGCCAGCATCTTCCTGATACCAAAGCCTGGCAGAGACACAACAAAGAAAGAGAATTTTAGACCAATATCCTTGATGAACATTGATGCAAAATCAATACAATACTGGCAAACCGAATCCAGCAGCACATCAAAAAGCTTATCCACCATGATCAAGTGCGCTTCATCCCTGGGATGCAAGGCTGTTTCAACATATGCAAATCAATAAACGTAATCCAGCACATAAACAGAACCAAAGACAAAAACCACATGATTATCTCAATAGATGCAGAAAAGGCCTTTGACAAAATTCAACAACCTTCATGCTTAAAAACTCTCAATAAATTAGGTATTGATGGGACATATCTCAAAATAATAAGAGCTATCTATGACAAATCCACAGCCAATATCATACTGAATGGGCAAAAACTGGAAGCATTCCCTTTGAAAACTGGCACAAGACAGGGATGCCCTCTCTCACTACTCCTATTCAACATAGTGTTGGAAGTTCTGGCCAGGGCAATCAGGCAGGAGAAGGAAATAAAGGGTATTCAATTAGGAAAAGAGAAAGTCAAATTGTCCCTGTTTGCAGATGACATGATTGTATATCTAGAAAACCCCATTGTCTCAGCCCAAAATCTCCTTAAGCTGACAGGCAACTTCAGCAAAGTCTCAGGATACAAAATCAATGTGCAAAAATCACAAGCATTCTTATACACCAATAACAGACAAACAGAGAGCCAAATCATGAGTGAACTGCCATTCACAATTGCTTCAAAGAGAATAAAACACCTAGGAATCCAACTTACAAGGGATGTGAAGGACCTCTTCAAGGAGAACTACAAACCACTGTTCAAGGAAATAAAAGAGGATACAAACAAATGGAAGAACCTTCCATGCTCATGGGTAGGAAGAATCAATATCATGAAAATGGCCATACTGCCCAAGGTAATTTATAGATTCAATGCCATCCCCATCAAGCTACCAATGACTTGCTTCACAGAATTGGAAAAAACTACTTTAAAGTTCATGTGGAACCAAAAAAGAGCCCACATTGCCAAGTCAATCCTAAGCCAAAAGAACAAAGCTGGAGGCATCACGCTACCTGACTTCTAACTATACCACAAGGCTACAGTAACCAAAACAGCATGGCACTGGTACCAAAACAGAGATATAGACCAATGGAACAGAACAGAGCCCTCAGAAATAATGCCGTGAATCTACAACTATCTGATCTTTGACAAACCTGAGAAAAACAAGAAATGGGGAAAGGATTCCCTATTTACTAAATGGTGCTGGGAAAACTGGCTAGCCATATGTAGAAAGCTGAAACTGGATCCTTCCTTACACCTTATACAAAAATTAATTCAAGATAGATTAAAGACTTAAATGTTAGACCTAAAACCATTAAAACCCTAGATGAAAACCTAGGCATTACCATTCAGGACATAGGCATGGGCAAGGACTTCATGTCTAAAACACCGAAAGCAATAGCAACATAAGCCAAAATTGACAAATGGGAGCTAATTAAACTAAAGAGCTTCTGCACAGCAAAAGAAACTACCATCAGAGTGAACAGGCAACCTACAGAATGGGAAAAAAATTCTTGCAATCTACTCATCTGACAAAGGGCTAATATCCAGAATCTACAATGAACACAAACAAATGTACAGGAAAAAAACAAACAACCCCATCAAAAAGTGGGAGAAGGATATGAACAGACACTTCTCAAAAGAAGACATTTATGCACCCAAAAGACACATGAAAAAATGCTCGTCATCACTGGCCATCAGAGATATGCAAATCAAAACCACAATGAGATACCATCTCACACCAGTTAGAATGGCGATCATTAAAAAGTCAGGAAACAACAGGTGCTGGAGAGGATGTGGAGAAATAGGAACACTTTTATACTGTTGGTGGGACTGTAAACTAGTTCAACCAGTGTGGAAATAAGTGTGGTGATTCCTCAGGGACCTAGAACCAGAAATACCATTTGACCCAGCCATCCCATTACTGGGTATATACCCAACGGATTATAAATCATGCTGCTGTAAAGACACATGCATACAGATGTTTATTGCGGCACTATTCACAATAGCAAAGACTTGGAACCAACTCAAATGTCCAACAATGATAGACTGGATTAAGAAAATGCGGCACATATATACCATGGAATACTATGCAGCCATAAAAAATGATGAGTTCATGTCCTTTGTAGGGACATGGATGAAGCTGGAAACCATCATTCTCAGCAAACTATCGCAAGGACAAAAAACCAAACACCGCATGTTCTCACTCATAGGTGGGAATTGAACAATGAGAACACATGGACACAGGAAGGGGAACATCACACTCTGGGGACTGTTGTGGGGTTGGGGCAGGGTGAAGGGATAGCATTAGGAGATTTACCTAATGTTAAATGACGAGTTAATGGGTGCAGCACACCAACATGGCACATGTATACATATGTAACAAACCTGCACGTTGTTCACATGCACCCTAAAGCTTAAAGTATAATAATAATTAAAAAAAACAAATTGTGATACTGTTTTTTCACCACATCTCCTGCCCGTCTTAAGTATTAACTCAAATTTTTATAATGATCACAGTTTGTATCTTTATTCTTTCATTCACATGCCAGAACCACCACTGTGTTAAGTGAGATTTATGGGAAGGGCTGAAGGGTAGTCAGTGAATAGGACAAAAGCAACAACCAAAAAGTGAAGCATGTAGCTCTAGTTCAACTGTAGATAATATAGAAACATAACTATCACCCAGGCACCCATCTAGAGAGCTAGAGTTCTCTTCTACTCTTCGCCTTCCTACCCTCCATAGTCAACATGCCTTCTATTCTGGCTCCTAAATAACTCTCACACCTGTTTCTTCTTCCTCACATCCATGGCTACTGCCTTGGCAAACCCCCTTATGACCTTTCCTGTTGCAGTGCCCATGGCTTGGATCCCTAATCCAATTTACTTTGACTCCTACTACTCATTCTTCAAATATGAACCAACTGGTTGTTTTTTTCCTAAATGGCAGTCTGTTCAACTCTTTTAAAAGTTCTGCAAAAATCCAGACTGCCCACATGATAAAGAGCATAGTGCTTAGAAAGCATTCAAGGCTTTTCCTTCTGGCCACCTTACACCACATTCTCCTCTGTGTAAACACGTTGGATCATTCTGTGCTCCCCTGATGTGCTGTGTCTGCCTAAACCACTGAACCTGTGGCCTAAGCCTTTGAACACTGGTATGTTTGCCAGGGATGCCCTCCCTTTTCTAACTACCTTCCACCTGGTCAATCCTATCATTCTGGAGGCGTTATGGACTGATTGTGTCCCCTACAAAAGCATATGATAAAGTCCTAACTCCCAGTGGGACTCTATTCAGAGATGGGGCCTTTAGAAGGTAATTAGGTTAAATAAGGTCATAAGGGAGGGGCCCTAATCTGATAGGTTAGTGTCCTTATGTGCAGAGACACCAGAGAGTTTGCTCCCCACCTCTTTCTAGCTATGTGAGGACACAGCAAGAAGGTGACCACATGCAAGCTAGGATGAGAGGCCTCACTAGAACCCAACCATACTGGCCCCCTGATCTCAGACTTCCAGCCTCCAGGACCATGAGAAAACAAATGTCTGTCATTTAAGCTTCCCAGTCTACAGTATTTGGTTATGGCAGTCTGTGTTGACTAATGCTGAAAGCTCTGCTCAAAACTCAGTCCCTGGAGAGTGTGCTCCAATGTCTGAGGCTGGGTGCCTTTTTTCTGCTTACACAGAATCCCTGATACTTTAATCAGGGTCCACACCGTATTGTTGTTGCTCTTATGTTTATCTTCTGTACAACTCTGTGAACTCTTTGAGGGCACAGAAAGCCTTGTATTCATCTTTGTTTTAACCCTTCAGCACTCAGTTTGTTTAATATTGCAAGAGGTGCAGGGTAGAGGTGATATTTTGTTGGTTGAGCATATAGGAGTGTTTTGTAAAGCTCTTCCAAAGCAAATAAATAGTGTTGGGGAGAACAAGTGTTTTCCTGGGTTCTCGTAAGTAATTTCCAGCTTGAAGCCATCTGGACAGAAGGAGCAACAGGAATCCTGCTCCAGGCAGCTGGTGTGGCTGGGGAGACCACAGTGAGCCCTGTTTCATGGGAAAGGTACCAGCCACCACACTTAGTTAATGGTTAATGCTCTCACGGAGGTGAATGTGGTGGGGTGGTGGGGGTGTTATCAAAATGAGGCATTCATGAAAAACAGATTTGCTCTCTTGTCCTGTGACCACAGATGCAAAAGATTAATGGCAAGCGAATAAGAAGGAATCTCTAGTTGTCAAAACACTTAAACCAATCCCTCAAAGAAACACCAGGGATTGTGTATTTCAGATGGCTTGGTTTCTACAAGCACTACTACAGTGGTTCAGGTTTCACACTTTCCCATTGCAAAAGTAGCAGGGGCCAGTTTTCACATGTTTCACCAGGGCTGTATCATTCATTTCTTCTCTCAGATTAGTTTTCTGAACTAAGTCAATTCTTTGCTATTTCACAGGAGCCCAGGTAGCAGAATATAATATAGTATATGCTCTTTATCTGTCTTTTCCTCTCCATTTGTGGCTAATTTTCCAGGTAGGTGGTGTTAAGTTGATTGTACAAATTAGACCTGGCAGATTTTGAGGGTGTCGTGGAGAGTTTTTGGGGTGGAGGGTAAGCATCTGAGGGGGACTGCTCAGTAGCCTACTGGAAGAGTTAAAAGCCATAGTTTATTCATCAGAATACATGGAATTGGATATAGAAAGTTCTGGGTTAGAATTCTGACTACTATTTACTTGCTGTGTGATCTTTGATAAGGTGCTTGACTTCTCTATGCCTGACTGCCTGTAAAAATGAAAAATAATGGTGCTTACCTTGTAGTGTTGCAAAGATGAGAGACAATATGCATAAAGCACTTGGTGAATGTGAGCACTCAATAAATGTGAACTATCATTAACAACTTCCCTGTGTGTTCATCGTCCTTGGAAGCCATTTACCTCTGTTGGCAAGGAAGAATTAAAGATGACTAAGGCATATTGGAATTCTGGGACAGTAAAGGACCTTAGGAGGCTGCTATTTTCATCTAGATTAGTGTCCAAATCAATCATGATGGATAGTTTTGATTCTGTTTTAATATCTCTGGAAATGGAGACTTTAACACTTTGTAAGGAACCTATTCTAGTGTTTCATCATCATAATGGTTAAGAAGTTCTTCCTTATAAGCAGCAGAAATCTATCTGGTTTTAATGCGAGCTCATTTCCTCACATTCAGCCCTTAGGGGAAAAGGAGAAAAGCTGTTGAGTCTCTCAGTTGAGAAAATCTTTACGTGCTGAATACCAGAATCATCACTCCTTTTCAGTTTCTCCCTGAGGCTAAATGACCACAGGGCCTGTAATAGTTCCTCATGGATACAGTTGCCACTGCTTTGCCATCTTTGATCCTTTTATTTGAGGCAAGTTTATTGCTTGGCATGTGGTTAAAAATCTGTCCTACACTTGGCAGAGCCAAACTATTACAGAATATAAGGGAAAAATGCATTCTCAAGCCTACAAAATATTAAAATTATTTTGATGGTATGCTAACAAATCCCAGGCTCATCATTATAAGCAGGAGATTTAGAAAGGATCCTGGCATCTTCTGTGATGAATCTTACTAATGTAGCATGGTGAGTAAGACATGAATTCTGGAATCACAGACTTAGGGTTGGAACTCCAGCTCCTCAGCTTGCTAAATATTTACTTCCCCCAAGCCTCAGTTTTCTCCTCTATACAAAGGGACAACACAAGTACTAACCTCATATGGGGTTCCCAAGGTGACCACGTGTTCCATTTATCCACGCATTGCTCATTAGCCCCAAGCTCCAGGCACGCTCTGCTGCAATGAATGACATTCTTCCACATCTCTCCTTCACAGTGAGCCCAGGGTCACTTTCCTCAGGAGAGCATGTGGAGGGATCCTGCAGGAGGAAACGTTCCCTGCTGCACAGTGCATCAGTTGGGTAAGGGTGAGGAATCTATGCAGCTCCACCTCAGTCTCATGGCCAGAATCTCAGCCTGGCCTGGTGGCCTTTCCATGCCCTACCAATATGGAGACCAGTGCCCTGAAGGCCGCCTGCCACACTGCACCTGATTCCTTCTGCAGGCCTGTGCATGGCTCCATCACAGACAGCCTTCCCTCTGAACACCCACACTGCTCGTAATTGCCTGTGCTCCAGAGGGCTGCTTTCTGCTTGCTGGGTCACAGCATATCAGCCCTAGTCAGGACAAACCAGCAAATTGTTCCCACTATTCAAGGACTGAACTGTGCTTTCTGCAGCAAGGTGTGAACCCCACAGCCCTTTTGAGTCTGTCCTTCCTTTTGTATTTTACCTAAGCTCTGGGGTACCATGCAGAGTGTCTTTGTAACTTGTAGTCACTCTTTTTTATTAGAGTTTAATGGTTTTTTAAATTGAACTTCTCCTGTTTAATTCCCCATATGGATTATCTCTCCTGATTGGACCCAGACTGATAAAATAGAAAAGCACCCCCTTGAGTCTCTGACTGCAGGAGGTGCCATGGACTGAAGGTCAGCCCAGCTGTGGTGCTGACACATCCCAGTGTCCATGCCAAGGCCCTGCTTCCCGAGGCTCCTCCCAGCCAGTAATGGGGCATGGCAGGGATAATAAGGCAGCTTGTTTTTGGGTGATGTGGGTGTCTATGATAGGCAACCTTGACTCGAGGACTCCTGATAGGCTTTCTTAAAAATTTGCAGTGTATTCTAAGACTTTTCCCACCCAACCTTCCTTTTTTCCCAATCTTGTCCACAGCAGTTGGACCTGCATTACCACCTCTCCCAGCTACCCCCGCCATTTTCCCTCAAATCTTTTCTCCCATAAATCTCACACAGATTTCACCCCATAGTGAGTCAGCTTTCCGGAGGACCCAAGCAAATACAGTTGCTACAGGAATTTATTCAGATAAAGCAAACAGTAGGTGCTTGTAAATGTTGGCTATGAAGTTGCTGAGGATGATGATCATTAGCCAAGGTTCAGAATCCCTGCCTACCAGGGTGTCAATGCTGAGTGACAAATCTTGGTTTTGTTTTTTGGTGAGGAAGTAATAACTCCTGTGCTGGATAAGCCCCTCAATGGCCTTGACAACTAAGCTCTTTCTCCTCTTGTCACTTTTACCTCTCAAGAATGTGCTGGGACAGCCACATCCTGAGATAAAGAAGAACAACACAGGCTCCGTTCCAATTCCTTAGAACTGGATGTTGTCCTGCGGTGCTTATTTGTCCAGCAAGTCCAGTTGCTCCTGCACATGAAACCCAGATCAGATCATGCTTTTGGGGTCCCTCAGCTGCAGTGCAGCATAAGACACACACAGTGGCCGGATGTGGTGGCTCACGCCTGTAATCCCAGCACTTTGGGAGGCCAAGGTGGGTGGATCACTGAGGTCAGGAGTTCAAGACCAGCCTGGCCAACATGGTGAAACCCTGTCTCTACTAAAAATACAAAAAATTAGCTGAGCATAGTGGTGACGGGCACCTGTAATCTCAGCTACTTGGGAGGCTGAGGCAGGAGAATCACTTGAACCCAGGAGGCAGAGGTTGCAGTGAGCCAAGATCATGCCATTGCACTCCAGAACAAGAGCGAAAACTCCATTCCCTCTCCCCGCCCCCAAAAAAAGACACACAAAGTGAGACTCAATCCACCCAGGGCAGTCTTCCTGAGCCTTGGGGGACTGGCTTGCCATAAATCCTAGGCTTCTATTGTCCCTTGCTGACTTTCTGTAAGTAATAAAGTTGCTCTGCTTAACACGTGTGAGTTTTCTGTCTCACTGGACCCATGCAAGTGGATTGATACTGATATATGATATTGGCAAGGTGTTTAGCATCTTCTTCTGGGACTGATATTGATGCACAGTGAACCTGCTTCATGTATTGTTCTTCTGATTACTATCCATCAGGGACACAGATGTGCTGTTTGATCACTCCCTAAGGGGTGACATTTCTAAAACTTTAAATTCATCTTCCTTCTCTGAATCTGACAATAAGCACAGTGCCAGCAAAAATCCCCAATTAGCAATTTGGAATTCTGTGTTTGGGTGTCTGTACTCATTAACATTTTATTCTAATAAATTGAAGAAATATGTAGTAACGTGGCAAGATATCAGCTTTGTATGCCACAGGCCACTCTTTTCATCTCATAAGCCTTTTCTAATTTTTGCACCTGTAATTCAAACCTAGCAGAGGTAGCATAAAAAGATATACAGGTTCTGATCCACTCTTAGGCTCCTATAATCTTGATCTGGCATCCCTAGATGCTAAGGAATTAGTGTTTTTCTATTACTATAACTGGCGAGAAAAAAATGTTAGTTGTTCATAACATTTTTAAAATTGGCTTTAAAAATCACCTATTTCAATGATTGTAATTCAGTTAATGGAATCTTTCCTCATCTTTGGAAACTGTATACTGATCTGAGAATCCCTTTTGCATGTGATGGAAAGAGTTTGTCCTACCACAGGGGAGGAAAAATAGCAGATAAGAAATCTGAGACAGGTGGTTTCATCCTGTTTAATGTGAGTTTGATACATGACACTGACTAGTTTATCATTCCCAAGACTTCTCCTCCTTTGGCTCTAAAATACTCTTCAAGGACCTAGGCCACTAAAGGATGTGCAATAGCTCTCCCTGCCCAATGCTGACATGATTTGTTGTATTTACCACCACTGCACAATATTCGGCATGCAGTGCTTTGGTGGCCTGTGTGTGTGATGTATGGTATGCCATGAATAACTGGTGCCAATTTTCAACTAAGGAACCGATTGCAAAAACTTTTACTGCAAGTGAATGAGGAACACTTTTATAAGGTTTGATTCATTTGATGCATTTGGAACTTTCCACATCAATTCAGAGGCAGAGCCAGAAAATGTGGCTAAACATTTTGGCTGATTCAATCACAGCCTAAGTGTCGTGATTGGCAATATATAATCTGTAACCTTTGATTCAAACAGCAAAAATTTAACCTCAGAGAGGTAACCTGAAGGGGGTGTGCTGTTAGGATAATTTATTCTTTCAGTTATATTCTTGTTTCAGCAGAAGAAATGAATTTGGTAATTGGGAATATTTCTAAACTTGTATGCTTAGACACATACACCATTAACATAAATGCTTCTTTACACTCAGGCCCTGGAAATAGTAGCTGTGATTAATATGCTCATCCATATGCTTTTTTTATAGCCTTTAAATGCAAAAGATGATTTTTAAAGAATTAAGCATGGATTGGAATTCATTCTGTAATCACATGAACAAATGGCATTTTAAAGGATATAACAGAAAAACATTGCACTAAGCAGAAATGGAAGCTAGGAAATTGATTTCTTATGACAAAGAGAAGCTTTTTGCCTCCTCATTTCAATGAAATAGGAAAAGGATCCTAAAATATGCAATATAATCAGGCTCCTTCTTGTCTTTGGCTGGAAGCCAAAACTATAGTTTTACATTGTCGCATGAGACTCTCCTCTCATCCTCTGCTCCCATCCTGCCCCTGTCCAAACCCACCCCGTGGTGATCCCCTCTCTCCCTGGCAGAAGCATGTTGGGCTTTGCAGGGACACCCCCTCCCCATGGCTTAACATGACTAGCACACAGCTACAGATGTTTCCAAGCCACACAGGAAACTGCTACCCTCTGGAAATTTACACTCTCTTCAGTTAGCTCAGCCTATGGGGAGCTCAGTGGGGGAAAAGAGTGGCTCAGTGATTCTCAAGTGCCTCTCAGAAGCCCACAAATGGACTTGTGCTGAAACATAGTTTAGATGGGCAAACCACATATTAAAAATGGAGTTAACAGAGTCATCCAGTAATATATTCCCAAACATATTCTTTCACAACTTATTTTATGCTTGGATAAGCCTGTGTGCTAGTTTGCTGTTAGGATGACATATTCATGCATTGCTCATTTCTAAAACATAATAAATTATAAAAGATACGTGTTCTTAGAAAGGTGTGAGTTAAAAGAAAAAAAGCTGAAAAGAAGTTTCTCAATTTAGATGGATAATATATTACAAATGGGGAATGTGTTTTTAAGGGATATTATTTTTGTCATATCCTGATATGAGAATGTATGTGATTTTTTGCTACATGGAGTGGGAAGGGACAGGCCAGACCTCACAGGAGAACACAGGAACAGACAGAAGTTGGAAACAAGGATCCAGCTACATGTGTGCAAATTCTAATCTGGGTTTGCAGAGAATAGTATCAGCTAAAAGTTTGTCAGAAGGTTTCGGCTGAGCCCTGCTCCCAGGTCTAGATGAGCTCTCTTTGTACCCTGTGGCCCTCATTTTATGACAGTCGTTGTGTTTGTCATTACCTGCCCAATATCAGTCATCCCTGGCAGATTGTAGTCCTCATGAAGGCAGGGCTCTGATTTGCCTGTTGCTGAATACTCACAACTAACATCTGCCCCCACATTGTAGGTGCTCAATCCATGCTGAATAAATGACATTAATATCAGTTTGGAGAGACTAGTGGCAATCAGTAGGGGAGGAGAGCAGAAGGACAGAGGAGAAGCAAGTTGCCTGCCCTCAGACAGGCCATGTGGTGGTAGCAGCCACCTGGGGCCTCTGGGAGGAAGCTACCCAAAGCACAGCCAGAAGTCCTTGCCCTGGGGATGTCTGGAGCTCCAGATGCAGGCAGGGGCTGCCTCCAGGCTGTGTCAATGTGATGGTCCAAGGCAAGGCCAAGTTTACAAGTGGAGTTTAAGGAGGTCTGGCTATGAGGGAATAAGGAACATGGAAGCTGGGATCCGAGCTTAAGTTGATGCTCTGCCTATAATGAGAAAACTTACCTATAATGAAAAAATTAGTGTTGCCACACTAATTATCAACTGATAGCAACAGTGATCTGTTTCCTCTGCTATGAGTCATGTCCCCATCCCTTATGATAACAAATGGGTCAGTTAGCCACTCCAGTTTCAAATTGCTCCATGGAAAAATGTTTACAGTAAAGCCTTTCTAGCCAAATAAAACAATAGCTTATTGTCTATTATCAAGACCATGTACAACGTGAAAAGAAAAATTACATATGGGAAAATAAACCATTAACCATGCTTGACTCAAGCATTCTTTTGAAGCCCCAAATGGGTCTGAGGTCAGTTCTTGCAGGGTCACCTTGGGAAAGTTGCCTTCTTTATCTCTATCTCCCATCTTCAAGTGCAAAGTTAAACCTTGGAATGCATCCTGAGAACCTCAGGGGTAAAGAAGCAAGACTGTGAAAGCATGCACAGCCCAAAGGTTGAGCCATATTCCCAAGGACCTGTGCAGGGGAGATCAGGCCCTGGCAGGACAGAGCACCTTCTGGCCTTGCTCTTCTGTGTACCGTTGACCTCTGCCATTCAGCCAGAGAGGAGCTGAGGAGAAAAGGCCCATTGCAGGCAAAGACAGAGGGGCATGGAGCCTATTCCTGTGCTCCTGGGTGCCTCCTTCCACAGCGACTTCTCTGAACCCATCTCAATCCTTGCCCCGTGTGGGCTCCCCTTCAGCGTCCAGGGGCTTGCAGCTTTTTGCTTGCCAACCTCGCTCTCCCTTTGGGACATTCTGCTTCTCATTCCTGCGCCAGGAACAATGCTGCTGTGAGTTGGATGAGAACGTGTTTGGGAAGAGGGTCCTAAATCAATGATGCTTCATGTCAGCACAAAAGTCACGTAACACTTTTTAGCCACTCTGCACCTCCTGGGAGCCCCCAGTTTTTTTTCAATGGGCTAGAACGATGTATCTAAGCCCCAGCCTGGAATACTCTCCTGTTTTGTTGTGTAGCAGACCCCTTAGCCTTCCTCAGCTCAGCTGTCATCTCCCTAGAAAAAGAAAGGTGGTGGGTGGTGATCTGAGTCTTGGGATGCTTGGCCGGCATTGCTGTTGGTGGTTGGTGATCCTGGCCCATGGAACTCTGCCCATCTTTCAGTGGACCCTGCAGTTCTGGCCACTGGGCACGTCAGTGCTCAGAGACACTTTCCCTCTTTCCCAAGTTCCACAAATATTGATGAAACCTTGCTACATGCCAGGCTCTATGGTAAATCTTAGTCATATTGTTTGAAGAACAGCAGCTGGGTCCCAGTTTCACACAATACCAGCAAGGACCCCATCTTTGCTATTTTAGCCCTGTAGATTCAAGGGGACAGATGAAAATGAGATTAATGTCTTGGTACTTTGATAAATGGAAGCTTGGATTTGATTTCTTTTCTTTCTTTTTTTTTTTTTGTTGTTTGTTTGTTTTAGAAAAAGAAAGGATTAGATATTTCTCACAACCAGAGCTGTGGGGTAAAACACATGCCTGCCAGAAATGTGAACTTTGTGAGGGCAGGACTTGCTCAGAGGACTTTCTCAAGTCCATGGCTGTTGTCCTATCACCAGAGAAGAGCCTGGGCCCCAGTAGGCCTCCAGGAGGTAATGTTTGAATGAATGAATGATGCAACATGTATTGAGAATTTGCTAAGTACCAGGCAGTATTGAAATCACTTTGCCATAGTAGTTCACGAAACCCTCACCAAAGTCCTCGGTGGGAGATGCTGTCATCACCCCATTTTGTAGAGGAGGGTCCCCTCCATTTGATAGAGGAAGAGGGAGACCCAACTAACATTCTTGAGATCCCATCAGCCTGACACAGCCAGGAGGCAGAGCTAGGTTGCCTGGTTTTGGCCACCTGATGTTGCCTCTGAGAAGGGGAGACTCCCCGAGGGTTCAGGATTTATTTTCCCATTCATTTGTTCACTCACTTATTCCACAAATATTGATGAACTCCTTCTATGTGCCAGACTCTATGGTAAGCCTTGATGAAACAGTTTGAAGAGCAGCTGGGTCCCAGTTTCACCAAGCACCAACAGATACCCTGTCTTCTCTGTGTCCTAGGCCTGGACAGCGCCCTGCACTTTGGTTGGCCATCTCCTATCTCTTCTCTTCAGGGACTCTCGCTTATTTATGCTCTTATTTTTGGTTATTTTACTGAAGGTTTTACCTCTTTTATATATTCATATACACACTCTTTAATTCTCCCCCTTCCTTTCCAATTTGTGCTCAGATACCTGAGGAAAAATCTCTTTCCAACACTTTTACCGAGAGCTGATACACATAAGGAGATCAATGGTGATGCACTCTTGTCAAGGGGCAAGAAATCCATATAAAATAAAGGGGAACAATACTTCAAAGTCCCTGTAATTTAATAAACAGATTATATTTTATTAATACTGTTTTACTAGCTCTGATTAATTTCTTCCTAGTTCAAGAACCAGCCTTCAAGATAAATAGTAATAATCTCAAATACAAATTTATTTTTTTTCTATTTTGTCCTATTTTTGTTCCATTTAAAATACACAGTATTTTGGTGACTCTGTGACTGGTCAAGGGTTTTAGGGCTCACCAAGTGTCATTTATTACATTTGTTGAATGGAAAAATATGTTTTAAATTTGAAACGCATGCCAGTAGCTAGCAGGATTTTTAACTCATTACAGAATAAATGTCGAAATTTATTTGGAAAGTCATGGTTATAAATCTACAAAATACTGGCACTTTCATGGTATTTTAAAATATCTTTCTTTCATGTATTAGTTCTTCTGTTTTCACATTCCGTGGACTTCCTCAGGCTCCCCATCCTAACAGCTGGGGCAACAGTAAGCTGTGGGAGAACATAACATTCTAGAATACGGTTTTATTTTTTTTTGAAATTTCAAAATGCAGTCTGCCAAAGAATGTCCCTAATGCCCTCCAAAAAGCAACAGCTGGCTGTGGGCTAGACTTTCTGAATTAATTCGAACCTGTATCCAACAAACCTAGTGTACAGAATTTTCTAGCTTTTTTTGTGTTTCTGTCTTGCAAATAGATACTTAGGAACTCTATACATTTTTGTTCTTTCAAAGTTGAAAGAATAAGCGGAATTTTTGAGTCTCAGAATGCCCACCAAGACATAGCTTTTATTTAACAAACAATTTAAGACAGGAGAGACACTGAAACAACAAAAGCTTATCTTCTGGAGTTGTCATCATTCCTTCTTTCCAGATGGATCCCAAAATATTTGCCAGGAATACTGCTTTATTTATGACTTAGAATAGGAATACATAGAGAACCATAACAATTGTCACTGCACTCAAACTATTTTCTGCAATTACCAACGGAAATAACAAAAACACTAGGAAACACATTTTCATCAAAATAGCAGATTTTTTTCTTTGTGAGCTGTAATTAGTCCCTGTGCCAATTTCCATTATCTGAATTGCATGCTAGATGATAGGCATTTTTTTTTCTTTCTTCTTTTTTTTTTGGTGAGAGGAAAATGAATGTATTAGCTCATAAACACATCCTGACCAGATTACAAATTAATTCCTCTGGAATTTATCAGTAAATAAGCAGTCTTTCCAAAAAAGAAGTCTATTTGTCCAGAAATGTTTACTTGGAAACATTAGTGTCCACTCTTCACATATCTACTTATATTTTTTGTGTATGTCTTAGCCCCTGCAATATCATGAAGAATTATACCTTCTCTCAATGTAATACACATGCCTTGCATGGTAACAGTAGTCATTTCAGGTAAATTAATTATTCCATTGCATGGCCAAGTGCGGTATAATCCCAGCACTTCGGGAGGCCGCAGTGGGTGGATCACTTGAGGCCAGAAGTTTGAGACCAGCATGGCCAACATGGTGAAACTCCGTCTCTACTAAAAATACAAGAAAATTAGCCAGCCATGGTGGTGCGTGCCTGTAATCTCAGCTACTCGAGAGGCTGAGGCACGAGAATCATTTGAACCCAGGAGGCAGAAGTTGCAGTGAGCCAATATCACACCACAGCACTCCAGCACAGGTGACAGAGCGAGACTCCGTTTCAAAGAAAAAAAAGAAAAAAAATTATTCCATTCCAGTAAACTAGAATATATAATCAATGTGGAAATTTTTGATTCCTTTCAAAATGTGTACACAAATGCTGATACTCCAGTCACACTTTTTACACTTTACTTTTTTTCACTTAAAAACACTGTACATTATGGCAATTGCTCCAAGTCAGTGTATATAGAATTGCTGTCTGCACAGTATTCCATTATTTGGAGAAACCACTGATACATCTAACCAATTTCTTACTGAGGGATGTTTATTATGTTGCCTGTTCTTGCTATGGCAAACCACGCTTCAAAGACTATTCTTTTCCATATTATTTTATACATGAATGAGTATATCTGCAGGCTAACTTCTTAACAGCCCTCCAGCAGCGATTCACACCCTTCTCTCACATGGAAATCACGCAGGCATCTGAGAAATACTAATGGCTGGGTTCCACCTCAAAGATTCAGATTGTCGCCTGGGCATTGGGAACTTTAAAGGTCTTCAGGTGATGCTAAGGGTTGAAAACCTTTGCCTTCAAGAGCCATCAGCTGCCCAGGTCCTGGCTCTGCCAAGAAGGATCTGTGTATCTCTGCCCTGCAAAAGCCAGGGAGCTCCCTCACTGAACTGTTGTCCACCTGACAAGTAAGAACCCGTGTGTCGTGGTAATTTTTTTTTTTGAGGCAGAGTCTCACTCTGTCACCCAGGCTGGAGTGCAGTGGTATGATCTCGTCTCACTGCAACCTCCGCCTCCTGGGTTCAAGCGATTGTCCTGCCTTAGCCTCTTGAGTAGCTGGGACTACAGGCACGTGCCACCATGCCTGGCTAATTTTTCTATTTTTATTTTAGTAGAGACGGGGTTTTGCCATGTTGGCCAGGCTGGTCTCAAACTCCTGACCTCTGGTGATCTAGCCACCTCAGCCTCCTGAAGTGTTGGGATTACAGACGTGAGCCACTGTGCCCGGCTGTGTCATGGTAATTCTAAATTGCATTTCTCTTATGACAAATGCAGTTGAAAATATTATATGTCTAAGACCATTCACACTTGCTTTTTTTGTGAGCTATTTCTTATTTGGGTCATTATACTGTTGTTCTTTCTCTTTATAAATTAAAGAAATTAGCTCCTTGTGGAAGGAAGTTTTGTTTGTTCATTTTTGTTTCATTTGTCATTGTCTTAACTTTTTTTGTGACATTTTTCTCTATGAGAAATAGTTTTATGTTATCAAGTTTATCAAAAAGTCCTGGCTTCTGAGTTGTGCATCAGACTGAGAAAGATCCTCCTTAGTCTGAGATTATTAGTATTTTTTTAATTTTATGACTTCTTCTAGAATTTTAAAGGTTTCATTTTTGACATTTAAACTTTTACTCATCGAAAACTGTGACATTTATTTTGGCATCAGTTGTGTGGTATGGATCCAACTTTATTATTTTTTCTAGATGCTCAAACACCATAAACTGAATTATTAATCCTCTCATTGATTTGAAATGCTACTTTCATCATATACTAAATTACTATATATACCAGTTCCATACTATTTTTTATTATATTAGAGAACAATGATAGAAATTTGTAATATGTTATAATAAATTATCCCTTATTACTCTTGCTTTTTAGAAATGTTCTGGTTTTTATGCTTTATAGTTTTCATTATTAATTTTAGAACCAGCTTTTCTAGTTCCAGAACAATCCTATTGTATTTTTATGGGGGATTATGTTGAATTCACTTAATTAGAACTGAGCACACATTCCATCATGGCCCACCTCCCGCTGACTTCTACCCTCATTTCTGTTTTCCCCCTTTTACTGAAAATTCCAGCTCTAACAGTATCCTTGAAGTTCTACAGACACATCATGTTCCATCTTTATCTTTCAATCAGCTGAGAGGCTTGGAGATAGGCTCACGGAACCCTCCCCTCTCCCAGCACCCTTCCCAGGTCGATGCCTACCCTCCCACTATCAGCTTAGATCTTCTCAGAAGACTTGGCAATTCCCCAAGGGCACCCTAACACATTGTGTTGCAACTGCCCGTTCACTGGTGTGAGAGAGGAAGGTCAAAATGTGCGTGCTCAGACTCAGGGGCAAAAAAATCATCAAGTGAAACTTTTTCTGTAAAGGACCTCATGTTATTTTAAAATTCTCATGTCACCTACAAATGGGTGGAAGAAAACCCTTGAAATTGCTATCCCGTGTATCACTTTTAATTTAAAAAATCTTGAAAATATTTAGTCAATTCAAAGCTCCATCTCCCTTCAGAGCTGCCTCTGGTCTCTCAGGGTTCTTCTCTTCAGGATCTCCTTGTCTCCCACAAGGCATCTGAGCCTAGGAGCACTTTGTGGTTGTAGCAAAAGGGGTCTCTGTTCTGAATCCTGCCTCTTCTGGGCATCCTTTGTTGTCCCTTGAGGTGTGGCTGGTGCCTTCTGCATGGTTTGAGCCTTGTGCTGGGGCTCAGTGCTGACTGTGCCCACACAATGCCCTTTGTGAGGTTTCTGCTCTCTGTGGCCTTCTTGTCCCAACCTCAGGCCTCCACATGTGACTTCTGCACCTCATCTCTGGGATGGTTTCAGTGGGTCCTAGATTGCTTTCTGTGCTCCCTGGGACAGTTGGTGGCACTCTGTGAGACTACTCTGAGGTACCCTTACAAGCTACTCTTAATTTTCCCCGCTGTTCTGCTTGTTGGACATGGCATCATGCTGCAATGTTAACAGTCTTTCAAAGCTAAGCGCGGAGGATGTGATTCCATCCCTGGCAGTTCTTAGATTCCCTGTAAGTGCCCAGGCTTCTTCACTCTCTGATCTTGGTCAGGTTACTTAACTTTCTCTTCCTGAATTTCCTCAGCTGTAAAATAGGAATGAAAGCGGTACTGAAATCATTGTGCCATTCTGCAGATTAATTGCCAGCACTCAATAAATATTTGCTCTTTTATTATTATAATTATTCTACTGCCTCCACTTTTAAGTGTAAGCAAGGATTACCTACAGAAGCTTCACCACCCAAGTCCTTATTAATTGATTTGTTATCTTTACTGATTTCTTTCAGCAAGTGAAAAAGATAGCACTTTTAAAAAACTTCCTTTCTTCTGTTGTAGTTGGATTACAGAAGTGATTTTTAAAGACACTATTAATAGAGGTATTTTATCTTGGTACAAAATTATTTAAAAAATAGACTTAAACAGAGACTTCCACTTATGGGTATAATAGACTAAGACCCTGTTGGATGATTTCTTCACCCTGCATACAACAACTGTGAGACTGCACGTAATCATATGATAGTACTGGAGACTGAAGAGAAGATGACAGGATCTAATGGGGGAGTCCATGCTTGCTTGAAGGAGGAGAGATATGGATCTGGACAAGTAAGTTTTCAACTCCACTGCTTTTAGCCTGGGCTAAGTGTTGTCTTCATGGCTCAGACAGCAGTGGCAGTGGTCCATTAGGAAAACTTAATTTTTCTGGTCTGAGAAATCAAAATGAAGCCAGAAAATTGTAAATGTTGGAGAGAGAGTGGGGTAATATTAGAAGGGAAAGAGGCAGAGAGGGGATCCCTGGTCCTGTCCATCATCAGAGAGGGGATCCCTGGTCCTGTCCATCATATCACTGACTGAATCCAGAAGCATATGGCATGGAAAAGACACAAAGCAGCTCTGGTAAAGATCTGAACTGAAACTGAACTGCTGTCAAAAATCAATATTCAGTTGAAGACCAACTAAGAATATTACCTGCAAAAAGAAAAAAAAATGCTCTATCAGATAAAAATAACAGTATCTAGGATCTGTTAACATCCATGATACTAACGTTCTGTCCAAAATTATCCAACATGTAAAGATCCAAGAAAATGGAAAATATTCTAAGGAGAAAAAAACATTAATTGTGTTCAAGCTAGAGATGAACCAGATGCTGGAACTGACAGATAAAGAAATTAAGACAGCTGTTATAACAATAGTCAATGAAATAAAACAGAACATGATTTCAGTGAATAGAAATCTTGGCAGAGAAGTTGGAAATGTCAGCAGAAAATTAAAAACAATAAAATAGGAAACAACTGGAAGTTATAGAACTAAAATTTATAATTATGATAAAAAGTCGGTGGAAAAACTTAATGGTCAAATAGAACAGAGAAAGAGTAAGTGAACTCAAATATAGAGCAATAAAGATTGTCCAAGGTGAAAAACCTGATTATGGGAAATTAACAGTGTCCTGTTAGACTGGATAAAACAAGAAAACATACATATAATAGGAATGCCAGAAGGAGATGAGAGAATGATGTAGAACAATATTTTTTAAAGAAATAATAGCTGAACATTTCCCAAATTTGGTGAAAGATAAAAATGTTTAAATACTAGATGCTGCACAAACAATACTCACAATGAACGCAAACAAGCTAAAGCTAAGGCACATCATATTAAAGTGTTGACAGCCAAATATAAAGAGTAAATACTGAAAACTAACATATTAAATACAAAGAAACAATGGTAATTAACAGCCACTTTCTTATCAGAAATCATGAAAGACAGAAAAGACGAGAATAATATTTTGAAAACGCTGAAAGAAAACAACTGCCAATGTATAATTCTATATCCAGTAACAATATTTTTTAAGAATGAAGGCTCCAGAGCAGCAGCACACTTATACACACTTATACTCTCTCAGACTTCACTGGGTAGCCTAGCACATGGCCAGACATTGTTTCAGAGATAATAGAGAGGTGTCTTGGAACTCTCCTTATGATGATGTTCCAATTCCACGGGGCATTCTGTTATTGGGATTGTCATGGGTGAAGGGCTAAATGCACTATTCAGGACGACCAACCTAAAATAAGAGAAGAGATAGGACTGTATATGTAAGTAAAGGAAAGATGAAGGAATGCACAGACCTGGAATTGAGGACATCAAAGTGACAGCACTGAAAAATCACATGAAAAATGTATTAATGGGGAGAATCACATAATTGAATCAAACAACTGCAAAAATCAGTTGCAGGCTGGAATTCTAAGTAGAGGGTAAATCAGCTTGAAAGTAAAAAGAAATGTCCAGTTAAGATTTACTCTCACTTAGGAACATTTGTGTTTATGGTGTATTCTCTTCCTACTTAAAATTTAATACATGATTGTTGGCTGCTTGTATGTATTCTTTTGAGAAGTGTCTGTTCATGTCTTTTGCTTATTTCTAATGAGGTTATTTGTTTTTTGCTTGTTCAAGTGTTTAAGTTCCTGAAAGACTCTGGATATTAGATCTCTGTTGGAGGCATAGTTTGTGAATATTTCCTCCCATTCTGTAGGGTGTCTGTTTACTCTGGTGATAGTTTTTGTTGTTGTTGTTGTTTGTTTGTTTGTTTTGCTGTGCAGAAGCTCTCTAATTAGGTCCCACTTGTCAATTTTTGTTTTTATTAAAATTGCTTTTTTGAGGACTTAGTCATAAATTCTTTCCCAAGGCCAATGTCCAGAATGCTGTTTCCTACATTTTCTTCTAGGATTGTCATAGTTTAAGTCAAGCTTGTCCAGCCTGTGGCCTAGGATGGCTTTGAATGTGGCCCAACACAAATTTGTAAATGTTCTTAAAACATTATGAGTTTTTTTGCATTTTTTTTAAGTTCATCAGCTATCATTAGTGTTAGTGTATTTTATATGTAGTCCAAGACAATTCTTCTTCCAATGTGGCCCATGGAAGACAAAAGATTGGACACTCCTGGTTTAAGGTCTTACATTTATATCTGTCATCCATTCTGAGTTAATTTTTGTATATGGTGAAAAGTAGGGGTCCAGTTTCATTCTCCTGCATATGGCTAGCCAGCTATCTCAGCACTATGTATTGAATAGGGAGCCCTTTTCCCACTGCTTGTTTTTGTCAATTTTTCCCAAAGATTAGAGGCTATAAGTGTGAGGCTTTATTTCTTGGTTCTCTTTTCTGTTCTATTGGTCCACATGTCTGTTTTTGGACCAGTACCATGATGTTTTGGTTATTGTAGCCTTAGAGTTAGAAGTAGAGTGACGTCATTGCTTGGCTATTCAGGCTCTTTTTTGTTTCCAAATGAATTTTATAATGTTTTTTTTCCAATTCTGTGAAAAGTGATGATAGTTTGATAGGAATAGCATTAAATCTGTAGATTGTTTTGGGCAATATGGTCATTTTAATAATATTGATTATTCCAGTCCATGAGCATCGAATGTTTTTCCATTTGTTTGTGTCATCTATGATTTCTTTTAGCTGTAGTTCTCCTTTTAGAGATCTTTCACCTCCTTGGTTAGATGCATTCCTACAAATTTTTTTGTGGCTATTATAAATGGGTTGTATTCTTGATTTGGTTGTCAGCTTGAATGCTGTTGATGTATAGAAATGCTACTGATTTTTTGTATCCTGAAAGTTTACTGAAGTTGTTTATCAGTTGCAGTAGCCTTTTGGCAAAGTGTTTAGTGGTTTCAAGGTATAGAATCATATTGTCTGTGAAGAGAGATAGTTTGACTTCTTCTGAAGTCAAAAAGCAACAGATGTTGGCAAGGCTGTGGAGAAAGAAAACACTTAAACACTGTTGGTAAGAATGTAAATTAGTTCAGCCACTATGGAAAGCAGTTTGGAGGTTTCTCAAAGGACTTAAAACAGAACTGCCATTCAACCCAGCAATCCCATTACTGGGTATATAGCCAAAAGAAAACAAGTCATTTTACCAAAAAGACACATACACTCACATGTTCATTACAGCACTATTCACAACAGCAAAGACATGCAATCAATCTAGCGGCTCATCAACAGTTGATTAGATAAAGAAAATGTGGTGCATGTACACCATGAAATACTACACAGCCATAAAAGAGAATAAAATATTGTGCTTTGCAGCACCATGGATATAGCTGGAGGCCATTATCCTAAGCAAATTAATACAGGAACAGAAAACCAGATACCACATGTTCGCACTTACAAGCGGGAGCTAGACATTGGGTATTCCTGGACAAAAAGATGGCAACAATAGACACTGGGACTACTGGGGAGGGGAGAGGAAAGGAAATGTTGAAAAACTGTTGGGTACTATGCTCAGTGTCTGGGTGATGGGATCATTCATACACCAAACCTCAGTATTACACAATATTACCTAGATAACGAACCTGCATATGTACCCCCTGAGTCTAAAATAAAAGTTTAAAAAATCCTAAAAATGCCAAAAGATTTATAAAAACAACAACAAAAAGACATTACATGGGGTTTCCAAATTGATCTCTTAAAAATCAGAAGTGGGAGGAGGGTGAGTATCAAACAACTACCTATTGGGTACTATGCTTATTACCTGGGTAATGAAGTAATCTGTACACCAAACCGTCATGATACACAATTTTCCTATGTAACAAACGTGCATATGTACCCCCTTAACCTAAAATAAAAGTTGGAAAGAAAAAAGTTTAAAAAATTAAAATTAAGAAAATAAAAAACTTGGTACTAACTGAAACATGTGTATATAAAATGCTACAATTTTTATTTCTGATAACAAAACAGTTAATATTTAGAAAATTGTATTTCATCATTTGTAATAAAATGGAACATTCTTAAAGCTGTTAGAAATAAGATTTAATAAATACTATATAAACATACAGACTAAGAAAACACAGGCATATCTCATTTTGTTGCACTTTGCTTTACTGAAATTCTCACATACTGTATTTTTTGCAAATCAGAGGTTTGTGGCAACCCTTCTTCGAGCAAGTCTGTTGGTACCATTTTTCACAGTGTGTGCTTACTTCATGTCTCTGTGTCAGATTTTGGTAATTCTAAAAATTTTTCAAACATTTTCACTATTATTATTTCTGTTATGGTGATATATAATCAGTGATCTTTGATGTTACCATTGTAATTGTTTTGGGGCACTATGAACCATCCCCATATAAGGCAGTGAACTTATCTGTCAATGATGTGTGTGTTCCTACTTCTCCATCTCTCTTCCTCTCCCCGGGCCTCTCCATTCCAAAAGACGCAAGAATATTAAACTAGGCTAATTAATTATTCGACATTGACCTCTGAGTGTTTAAGTAAAAGAAAGAGCTGCATTTCTCTCACTTTATGTCAAAAACTAGAAATGATTAAGCTCAGTGAGGAAGGCATGTCGAAAGCTGACATAGACCAAAAGCTAAGCCTTTTGTGCCAAATGAAGCTACTCAATAATGTCTGAGAGAGTATGAATGTACTGATGTTCTGGGGCTTCACTTTTTTTTTTTTTTTTTTTTTTTTGAGACAGGGTCTCACTCTGTCACCCAGGCTGGAGTGCAGGGGCACCATTTCAGCTCACCGCAACCTCCACCTCCCGGGTTCAAGTTATTCACATGCTTCCGCCTCCTGAGGAGCTGGGAATGCAGGTGTGTGCCACCAAGCCTGGCTAATTTTTCTTGTATTTTTAGTAGAGACAGGGTTTCACCATGCTGGCCAGGCTGGTCTTGAACTCTTGACCTCAGGTGATCCACCCGTCTCGGCCTCTCTAAGTGCTGGGATTACGGGCGTGAGCCACCATGCCCAGCTGGGGCTTCATTCTTAAAAGATATTGACATTGAATATAAAATTCTGTGTCCACAGTTTTTTCTTTCAGCATTTCCAAAAGATTGTTCTCCCTTTTTCTGTCCTTACAGTTTCTGATAAGAAGGTGGCTGTTAATAATCCTTCTTTCTCTGTATGTGATATGTTAGTTAGCCAAGTTGGGAATGCAAAGGAAAAGTTCCTTTGTTTTGTTTTGTTGCTTGAGGCAGTTTCACTTTGTTGCCCACGCTGAAGTACAGTGGTATGATCATAGCTCACTGCAGCCTCGAACTTCTGGACTCAAACAATCCTCCTGCCTCAGCCTCTCAAGTAGCTGGGACTACAGGCACATGCCAGCACACCCAGATGATTTTTTAAAAACTTTTTTGTAGAGTCCAAGGTCTTGCTGTGTTGCCCAGGCTGGTTTCAAACTCCTGACCTCAAGTGATCCTCCCACCTCAACCTCCCAAATTGCTGGGATTACAGGTGTGAGCCATCACACTCAGCCCTGGAAAAGTTTTTGATGGAAATTAAAATTCCTACCTCAGTGAAAACACAAATGATAAGAAAGTGAAACACCTTTATTGCTGACATGAAGGAAGTTTTTGTGGTCTGAATAGAAGATCAAACTGACCACAACCTTCCCTTAAGTCAAAGCCTAACCCAGAACAAGGCCCTATCTCTCTTCAATTATATGAAGACTGAGAGAAGTTTAAAAGGCTCCGAAAAAAATTTAAAACTAGCAGAGGTTGGTTCATGAGGTTTAAGGATGGAAGCTGTCTTCATAACATGAAGTGTAAGGTGAAGTGGCAAGTGTTGATGGAGAAGCTACAGAAGATCTAGCTAAGAGAAGTGATGAAGGTGGCTACACTAAAAAGCATATTTTCTATGTAGATGAAACAGCCTTTTATTGGAAGAAGATGCTATGTAGGACTTTTTTACACACAGAGAAGTCAATGCCCAGCCTCAAATCTTAAAAGAACAAGATGACTCCGTTGAAAGCGGAGAAAGAGATCACATTAACAAAACTTTTATTACAGCATAATTGTTATAATTGTTCTATTAATTATTAGCTATTGTTAATCTTTTACTGAGCCTATGACAAATTAAACTTTATCATAGTTACGTATGTATAGGAAAAACACAGTAGACATAGGTTGTAGGCATATCCATGGTTTTCGGCATCCAGCAGGGGTAACAGAGCATATTGACTGTGGATATGTGTAGATCACAAACGTTGAGTAGACGTTTGTTAGGGACAAAGGCCAAAACTTGAATAATGACACAAGGATGGCTTCGGTTGTGTAGAACTGCATGTCAGTGCTAGAGGCTAAACTCTGAGAACTCCATCCTTCCAGCAGGAGGAATGAGAAAGAGAGTGGGGGGGTCAGAGATAGTAGGAGAAATCCCAGATTGCAGAGAGCTGGAGAAAAGCATCGCCTAATTCTGTGTATAAACTGGCATAAGTTCCAGAGTTACCCCTGAGCAATGTATGTGTGGATTGGACCAAAGACACATAGCAACAAGTTCAAGAACTGAACTCCATAGAAACCACTGCCAAGTCCCAGACTAACCTTTTATATGGTGCATATGCTGGGAAGACCCAAACAGCGTAGCAAAGACTTTGAATTGGAACCATCACAGATAGAAGCCAAGCTAGAATTTTTTGGATGACTTCCTGTTATCCAGAGTAACATTCTCCAGAGTAGGGTGGTGAATGACCAAGTGCTGTCTTCATCAGACCAGGTGCAAGGCCAGGATGCTTTCTCCCACGGCTCTTGTTCACATCATCCTGGAAGTCTCAGCAACTGAAACAAAGCAAGGAAAACAATTAAAAGGCATATAAATTGGGAAGGAAGAAATAAAACTGTATCCATTAGATTGGACATCTAAATGTCCAATCATGTAGACATGATTGTCTGCAAAGAAAATCCCATGGAATCTATAAAAAGCTCTCGGGACAAATAATTGAGTTTAGTGGGTCACAGAATATAAGGTTATTATACAATAACAATCATGTTTCTACCTATTAGCTGGAATAACTGGAAATCAAATTTGAAAAAGTAGTATTATTTACAATTATATCAAAAAATGAAACATTTAGGTATAAATCTAACAAAATATATACTGTATTTATATGCTGAAAACAGCAAAGTACTGATGAAAGAGATAGATGAAAATCTAAATAAATGAAGAGATATAACCTGTTTGTGTATTGAAACAATGATAGCGTGCCAATTTTTCCCCAAATAATCTATTGATTCAATGTAACTCCATTCAGAATCCCAGAAGGATTCCCTGTACATATTTACCAGCTGAGTCTAAAATTTATATAGAAAACCAAAGGTATTAGAATAACCAAAACAATTTTGACAGAGCAATCAAGTTGAAGGACACATGCTGCCCTATTTCAAGACTTACTCTAAAGCTATAGTAATCAAAATAATATGGTTTGGTGAAAGGATAGACAGATAGAGCAATAGAACACAATAAAGAGTCCAAAGATATATCCAGACAAATGTGGTTAATTGATTTTTACAAGGGTGCCAAGACATTTCACTGGAAAAAGAATAGATTTTCCAACAAATTGTGCCAAAACAATTGAACATCCATAGGCATAAAAGTAACCTAGAATTATATCCTGGAGCTTACACAAAAATTAACTCAAAATGAATCATAGACCTAAATGCAAAATGTGAAACTATAAAACTTTCAGAAGACAATAGAGGGAGAAATCTTTGTGACCTTGGATTAGACAAAGTGTTCTTAGATATGACACCAAAAGCAGGATGCATACAAGAAAAACTTAGTAAACTGGACATCATCCAAATTAAAGTCCTTGGCTCTGTGAAAGACACTCTTAAGAGAATGAAAGGGACAGGTTACAGACTGAGAAAATGTATCTAAATCACATATCTGACAAAGCATGTATATCCAGAATATATAAAGGACTTTCAAACCTCCTCAATATGAAAAAGTCTAGTCCATTAAATAATGAACAAATGATTTAAAAAGACAGTTCACCAAAGAAAATATAGGGTAGGCAAATAAGCACATAAAATATCCTCAAGATATTATTTAATCCTCAGTAACTTGCAAATTAAAACCACAATGATGTAGCACTACACACATACAAAAATACCTACAATAATAAATAGTGACAATATAAATGCTGGTGAGTGTGCAGAGTAACCGGAAAACTAGTACATTTCTGGGGGGAATGCAAAATGGTATAGCTGCTTTGGAAAATAGTTTGGGCATTTCTTAAGAAATGGAATATGTACTTACTATGATTCAGCAATCCTACTCTCAGGCATCAACCCAAAATAAATGAAAATATTCACATAAATATCTGTAGGTGAGGATTTACTTATAATCCCCTCAAATTGGAAACAGTCTAAATGTCCTTCAGCTGGTCTGTGGATAAATAAGTTGCAGTAGACCCAAGCAATGTAACACACTCAAGAATATGCAACACGTTTGCAAAGGCAAAATTATAGAGATGCAGAATAGCTCAGTGGCAATTAGAGAGAAGGTTTCACCGCAATGGGGTGGTAAGATGAATTTTTTATATAATGGTGTAACTGTCTTATGGTGGTGGTTACAAAAATTTATGCATTTGTGAAAACTCACAGAACTGTACACCAAAAAGGGTGAATTTTATTATAGAAAATTCAATAGGAGATGAGAGAGTATCTGCATTATGATTGAGTAAAAAAATGTCCATATGTTAAGCTTACCATGGTATGGCTTACAGACATTCATTGTACCATTCTATCTGAAGTATCCTAAAAATTTCCAAAAATGTTAAGAAATAGTCAAAATAGGAAGAACATGTCATGTGCCAAAAGTAAGTAAAGATAATTTTAAGTCTTGGCTCCAGATTTTATACCTATTTTGGAATTATTCTGAAGTCTGTATACATAGTATAATGGTACACTGCTGTCCTCTGTATTCTGTCTTATTTATGGCAATTTCTGTATTTCAGTATCTGAGATATAAAGTATGTGAATAATCTAGAATGACCACTGACATTGTCATCAAGTAATATGAAGATTCATGGCTTCAGAAATTGATTTAATATGTGGTCTTTGCCACTGAAAAACTATTTTTTTCTTAGAGAATGCCATCGAAATAGAGCTTTGTCTAAATAATGAAAAGTCAGGAATTTAAAACACTCACTTCCTATAACAACCTCAGAAATTTCCCCATGTTTACCTACTGCTTATGTACTTAGTTAAAAATAATCATTTCAAAATTACTTCAGTGGAGTCAAATAGTCATTTGAAAATTCTGCGTCAGCTGTAAGCTAGTTCGTCTGAAGGTGAGCATGAAAGTTGTGAGGGAGAGGGTGAAACTCCAATGCTCTTCTTCTGGTCTCCTCACCATGATGCACCTGGGTAAATTAGAGAGCGGTTTTGTAGACTCACAAATTCTCCTCAGGTCACTGCACAAACAAAAGAATGGCATTGCTATACACACTTCAAGATGAACCCAGAAGGTCCCCACTGGAGGACTGTAGAGAAGCCATCTCTAACAACGGCAGAACAACCATCTATACATTGCCTTCCAGGTCCTGTTTGCTGCTGGAAAGATGAAATGTGGCCCAGGAAATTCTGTAGTAATACAAGCACAGAGTAATCTTACTGTGATCCTTCTCCTTTGTGAAAGAAGGACAATTCTTTCTTGTATGTGTGTCTGTGTATGATTGTTTTTTGTATGTACATACATAAAGTATATATACTATACATAGTTTATATAGACACACTTCCACTATACATCAACCTAGACCAATTAAAAATAGTTTTAACATTTACTGAGCATTTGCTATTACTAAGCACTGGTCTAGCACTTTGTATTAACTCATTTAACCTTCACACAAACCATTATTCCCATTTATAGATGAAGACATTGACAGTCTGGTAAATAACTTGAACCAGTCCACATAGATGATAATTGGTTATGCCAAGACTTGAAACCAGGCAGTCTTCTTCCAAGCCTTCACTCTATTTTTTTTTTTTTTTTTGAGACAGGCTGTGCTCTCTTGCCCAGGCTGGAGTGCAGTGGTGCAATCAGGGGTTGGCGCAGCCTCTACCTCCTGGGCTCAAGCGATCCTCCTGCCTCAGTCTCCTGACTTGCTGGGACCACAGGTGCATGCCACCATGCCTGGCCATTTATATATATATATGAGATGGAGTTTCACCATGTTGTCCAGGCTGGTCTTGAACTCCTAGGTTCAAATGATTCTCCCACTTCTGCCTCTGAAAGTGCTGGGGTTGCAGGTGTGAGCCACCATGCCAGCCAAGCCTTCACTTTTAACTGCCACTCTGCTTAGGTTCAATATGCGTTTCAGTTTAGAAACCTCCCCCTCTCTCTTTCCCACCTACCTTCAAGCATGACTATAGGACAGAGAGGAGACTGAGAAACACAAGAAGCACCAGAGTGGTTGAAAGGAGCTGAAGGTTCAGACAGCAACCTGGACACTAAGGGTCCAAAGCCAAGCCCAAGGTCAAGTAGCTGGACAGAGAAACAGCTGCAAGCACAGACTTGGATCCTGACCTGATTTTCTGCAGAAGCAAGTCCCTGTTTAGCCTTCTACTGCCTCCTTTTAGAATGAAGCCAGGTATATATAAAAAAAAAAGAGGTACAGTTGAGGCTGGAATGTAAGATTTGAGATGGGGGAGGTAGGTGAAGAGAGAAGACAGTAAGTCTGTAAAGACAGTGGATGCAAGAATATGGCAGGGCTAGCTAATTTGGACTTCATGCTAGAGGAAGTAAGAGACTAGCAAGTTCAAGCAACGTACTTATAGTAACCCAGCAAGTTAGTGCAGAGCCAGCACTGTTTACTAAAATCTCCTCCCTGTCTGCCCATTGGGTATTCTTTCCATGAAGGCAGGCTGCTTCTTAATTAGTCTTTTCAGGCTCCAAAGGCCAATCAAAATTATATATGGAAATTTAAACTTGTATCACTGAAATGTTCCCTATAGAGCTGTTGTGCTACATAAAAAACATATGTAAAATGTATAAAGTAAAATACTACCAGCTCTAGAAATAATTTCTAACCCTTGAACACATACATGTACTATGTCCTAATGTGCTGGCCACTTGTTGTTTTGTTCCCAGACCAGTCCTTTCCATCATGGGCTCCTGTGGAAAATGACCCCAGCTCAGCTCAGTAGTTGATGGGACATCTGATTCAGGTTGGACCCAGCCCAGACATCTGATTCAAACAATATTCTTCTCCAGGAATTTTGTAACCAGCACTGGTAAAGGGAGGGAAGTGCTCCCCAGTGGGGAGAGCTGCAGAATGTGAGACTTGGAAACCAAAGGCCGCCATGTTTTCTGTCTCATGATGGAATCCAATCTTCTTTGGCGGGGAAAATAAATGAAGCCAACACCAGTAGGTATAAGAGAGATACAGAGTTGTAGCTGTGTCAAAACTCTGTTTCCCCTTGTTCTTGAAGTCCATATATGTGTTTGCCCTGTCTATGATTCAGTTTGATTGTATGCCCTGCCCTTTTCTTTGATCATATGGGATGCCCCAATGTGGTCTTTTTAGCAAATTCCCCTCTTTTATTGCCAACTACATAGAGCTGTTTTAGTTCCTTGGTGTATGTATTCAATTGTATTATTGTCACTATTTTTCACTCCTTCCTTTGAACAAAATATTTATTTATACACTTCACCATATGACTTGCCTTCTTTCTGATACGGAATGCACATCCCTGCTCCATTGACTTTGAGCTTAGCCATATGATTCATGTAGGTCAAATGTCATGTCAGAAATGATGGGGTGGCAGTTTGAGCAGAATCTTCAAGAAGCAGTATGCATTTCTACCACTATTCTTGCATTTCTCCCCTCCCTCATAAGGACAACATATATCAAGCAGGGGCCATTGCTCCAGCCTGACTCCAGGAATCAGCAGACAGCGCAGCCTCATTCTCCACCTGCTCCCTGCAGTACAGCCTCAGAACCACACAGTTGCAGCCAACCAGCTCCTGACATGGAACTTGAGCAACAAATGCCCTTTGTTTTTGCAAGTCCCTGAGATTTGGAAGTTGTTACACAGCATTCTCTCAGCCAGAAGTGACTGACATGGTATCATTGCAGTCTTGATCAATTTGCCCTATGCAAAGTGTTTTTATATGCCATGAATTTCTGAAGATAGAACTACTGTTATTCCCCATGCAGCAGCTGAGGAAACTGAGTCTTAGAATGTATAAACAACTTTCCCAAGGCTACTGAAAGTGATGGGAATCAAATATATCTTTGCCTAACTCCAGATCCCATGCTTTTGAAGATATTTATACTGCCTAAAGCTGTAACAGACTTTTCTAATAGTCATACATGGCATATTTAGTTGCTCTCCATGGGGAAATAATGACCTGACATGGAAAATATTGGTGTACTTTATTATGAGATTCTAATAAGCAACCATTATACATGTATATAATATATACATGCAACCTCTTAAGCTTATGCCATTCTGTATGGATGTTACTAGCTTGAAGAAATTCTAAAGAGTAGGGATATTAAAAATACTGAGCCAATAAAGTAGGATAATTTTTTTATTGTAGTCAATTTTCATTTATAATATTAAATTCTTGCACTCCCTTTCAAATGGACTCTGGGCTTTTTTTTCAGATAGAAAACTTTCCACACATGTTTAAAATGTTATACAATTTACAAAATTCGATTTGCATGTATTTTTTCAGAAATTATGTAAAGGTGAATTACGTCTGTAACAGGCTGAATAACTATGTCCACAGGGGAGGATTTATGGCAATTAACAGGTGGCATTAAGAAAATAATTGATGATTCAATAGCATTTCTAACTATTATTTTTGAAAGAGTTTTAGACATTTTAACAAGCAGTTTCAAGGGTAATTGTTACTGTTTTTATTTTTAGAAACATGGCACAGTCTAAGTAACAATTTGCTCTGCTATCTACATATTTGCCTAATTTTACAAGTGGTGAAATTTATCTGTCCTGGCTAGAGTTGTTTGTTGGCAGCATGTTGGGATTTAGGGAAGGAGGAGGAGGGAAAGGGAAAATTTGCCCAGGACAGAGCCCCTACACAATGCATTGGCTTGATGCCTGGCTCTCTCCACGCCCATTCATCTATGTGCTTCTTGGAATGAAAGCACAAACAACATGTCAAATGACTTTATATTGTGCTGATAGAAAGGCAGAATTCTGAAACTATATTTAGAATCCTCCACTCTTAAAATCTTTTTCCCAAGTATCAATTCTTTTCTGTTTATACCTCCTAAAGACTCTCTGTCTGTTTTTTCCTATAGGTCACTGAGAGGCTGACCCAAGGACAAAAGTTTTTTTTTTCTTTTTTCAAAAAAAACATGTATCCTTTACCTCTTATTGGCTGAGAGGATAGCTTTTTGATTGGCCTTTCAAGCTTCTTGATCCATTAGGAATAAAATCTTCAATATGTATAAGGGAAGTGCTAGGACTTGGTGATAAAATAATGCAAGTGAGTGAAGGTCTTGAGTCAGCAATCAGAAGGGCCCTCCTTCTGGGTACAGGCTGAAAATGTAGGAGTTGGGAGTTCTGATACTATCTATCTATGATTGACCTTTGCAGCTGGTGGACCAAATAGATCTGGGAAAGACATTCTTCTCAGACAACTCTCTGCACAATCACTGTAACTTGCTGTGGTCTGTGATCAAACTTTAGGCAAACAGTAGACAATGGAAATGACTGCAGACGTGATCACATGGTCTTTGTGGGTTACAGAAACAGAAGGAGGCTGCTATTTGATTAAGAACTGTAGAAATCTAGCTGCAACCACAAATGCTAACAGTAGCAGGTGAAAGATATTAGCAAAGCATGCATGAATTTGAATAAGATATGGTCGGGAGATGGAACTTAAGCATTAACACAAAGCCTTCCTTATTCCTTCTGGCATCTCCATTTGGGTCAGTTTAGGACTGTGCCAATTTTTCTCAATGGAGCTTTTTAGGATCGCACAAAATTTTCAGTTCGAACAACAAAATCAGTGGTTGTAATTTACCATTTTCAAGGTCACCTATAGAAGGTATTTACTTTCTTCTTTTACTTGAAGTAGGCTCTGTATCCCTGTAAGCAGTTTCATAAGATTTGTCACATTTAATTAGCATTTAGAGTTGAGTTTTAGAAAAATAACAAAAAGATTTTGAAAAGATTACCTTCATTAAAAGTAATATATTAAAAATATATTGTAGAGACATTTTCAAATGGTAAATTTTCAGGTTCAGTCAGAAGCTTGTTTTCCCACAACAAGGAAAAACGGTATTATCGTCATGTGTAAGTGTGGCCCTTTTGTCTTAAAAGACACCAAAACAATTCTGTGTCTACTGCTCTAGTGTGGAGCCCATTAAATTCTCTTTCCAATGTTTTCTAGAAGGCTTTGTTTGAATCTATGTTTATATCTAACTAAGCTGTGGTCTCACATATCATTAGTCTTTTATTGACAATATCAGGCTTCAGGAAAAGTGATCACTCATCACATACACAGTACAACAGCTTAACTGAGGCTGACATAGGAAATATGCAAGGAAACTAGTTCAAGTACAGACAAGCCCATGCCTGTTCTATTAATGGGTGACATTTTAAACAATAGAGCTGTCAAACCCTACTTCGAATAAAGGGGCTTAATCATGGCAGGAATTAGTGCACACGACAGGTGATTATGTGTTGGAATTATGCCAGAACAGGACCAGCTGCAATGCTTCGAATTATTTGTAATCTCAGTAATTACAGCTTTGGGAAAAAAATTATTTGGGATTGGAGAACCCAGAATTGGTGAGAGAAGTAAACAAAAACTACATACAACGTTTTTATTTCCACAATAGAGGTCTCTACAAATGGGAAAAGTTCAACCCACATTATAAATTTAAGTCCATCCCTCTTCTCTGCAATTCAACACCACAGCAATATAATCATGCCTTTTTTTTCCCTTTCTCAAAGTCCAATTATAGTGTCTCCTTGCAAATAAAATAAGCTTTCAGCCATCTACTTACTAATTTGAGCTGAGAATTTTTTCTAAAATTATTTAGGCTGCAATATCTAAAGCCTCTCAGGAAAACATGAGAACCAGCTGGAAAGGCATTTTCCCATGTTCCCACTATTTTGCTATGATAAATACTGTATTTGATTACCTTCTGTTGAAGTTTATAAAAAGAGATCATTCTTTAATGCTGAGGCCATTTGCGGAGAGTGATCCAGTTGGAACCAGTGATTTCGAGAATTCCAGACGTGAGAGACTGGAAAGCAAATCAGAAAAAAGACAAGTGACGAAGTTTTACAGTCAGGAAACAAAATTCTGATCTTTTGTTCTTGTTTACTTTCTATGGCAATGAAGCAGAATGCAAAAATCGGATCTGTCTTAGTTGTTGACCTCTAATTTTATCTACTCATTGTTTTTCAATGGAAATAAAACCTAAGTCCTCCTATTTTCTTTATATCCATATGGTTATTACCACAAAATGTAATCTTGGCACCATAGATTTTTTTTTACACTTTTTTTTGTAACTTTTAATTTAGCAATAGTTTTAAACTTTCAGACATGTTGCAAAAATCGTGTTAGGAAATCACTTATCCCTTTACTCATATTCACCAGTTGTTTATATTTTGTCCCATTGATTTATTATTCTCTTACTAAATATTTATGTATACATATTTTCTGAACCTCTTGAGAGTAATGTAGAGACATTGGGCCCTTTTATTGCTAAATACTTCAGTGTATTTCTTAAGAACAAGGACATTATCTTACATAACCACAGTACAGTTTTCAAAATTGGGAAATTTAACATAGACACATTACCATTAGTCAAGTCACAGAGAAATTTTGCCAGTTATCCCAGAGTGGTGCTTTATAGCTAATTTTATTTTTTCATGCTGAATTGAATCCAGTATTACAATTATACTTTGCTGCCAGGCTGATTTAGCAACCTTTAACCCAAAACACTCCCCAAACTTAAAAGAATCTTTATGAACATTGCCAGTTTGAAGGAGAATTGGGTATTTATTTTACAGAATGTTCCTCATTTTGGGCATGGCTATTTCCTCATGATTAGATTCTTGTTATGTGTATTGTCAGGTATGCGGTGTGTCAGGCACACTGACGTGACACTGAGTCTCTTTCAACACACAGTATCAGGAGGCATATGGATCTGGTTTGTACCAATATCGATGATGTTAACTTTGATTCCTTAATTGAGATGATGTAGTCCATGATCCTCCACTGTAAAGCTACCATTTTTCTCTGTTATTAATATTCTGTGAGGGGGTACTTGGTGCCTCTGTAAATATCTTGTTTCTCATGACCTTTATTGAGTTTTAGCATCCACTGATGATTTTTTAAACTACACCATTCCCTCTACATTTGTTAGTTCATATTCTACTTTAAGGAAGAATTTTTCTATCTATCTTCCACTTATTTGCTCATTTCTTTACTCATTTATTTATGTTAGTACAGACACATAGATCCTTACTTTATTCAATAAGTTATCATTCATTGCATATTTTGATGCCCCAAATTCTCATATTGGATATGTAGATGCCTCTTCAAGCTAGCTGCTATATCTTTTTGATTAGTTGTTGTTATTTTGTTCTCCCTTACTGCATCAGTTGGGGTTCCACCAGAGGAAAAAGAACAGTAGGCGAGAGAGAGAGAGGGGGAGAGAGAGAGAGAGAGAGAGAGAGAGAGAGAGAGAGACAGAGAGAGAGAGAGAGAGAGAGAGAAAGAAATGTATTGCAAAGAATTGACTTACACTATTTGGAGCTGCCTAAGTAAATTGGAAACTGCGGGCACTCTGGCAGGCTGGGAACTCCTTGCAGAATCTGAAGCTGTAGTCCATAGGCGAATTTCTTCCTTTTCAGGGAATCTTAGAATTTAGTTTTGCTCATAAGGCATTTTAACTAATAGGATTTTCCAGGATGCCTCCTTTATTAAAGTCAACTAATTGTGTATTACACAGTACCTTTACTGCAACACCTAGGAAAGTGTTTGACTGAGTAATCTGGGATAGAGAGCCTAGTCCATTTGTCACATAAAACTGACCATTGTGCTTATTTTCTGACTCAAAGTTTTCCAGTCTTATCTTGTAGTTTCTCTGCCAGTTCTGGATTCAGACTTTCCTCCAAGAAGGTTGAGCTTCTTTAACTTAAGTTAGCTTCTTTAACTGGGCAATGGTATTTACAAACCAAGATATAGGTGCCAGATGTACTCATTGCTTTGGTGTTCCAATGGTTTATACGCCTTCTGAGCCGACAGAGGTAGGAAATATGCATATGTGTTGGGTTGTGTGTGTGGGTGTGTGTGTGTGCACCCATACATGCATCTGCACAGACAGGAAGAAGGATAAGGAGAAACGAAGACAAGGAGAAAAAGGACAAGAAGGAAGAGACAATAACAAAGTTTTACACAGAGTTAGAAATACAGGTTCGCCCGGGCGTGGTGGCTCACGCCTGTAATCCCAGCACTTTGGGAGGCCGAGGTGGTGGATCACGAGGTCAGGAGATCGAGATCATCCTGGCTAACATGGTGAAACCCCGTCTCTACTAAAAAATACAAAAAAAAAAAAAATTAGCTGGGCATGGTAGCGGGCACCTGTAGTCCCAGCTACTTGGGAGGCTGAGGCAGGAGAATGGCATGAACCCGGGAGACGGAGCTTGCAGTGAACCGAGATCGCGCCACTGCACTCCAGCCTGGGCGACAGAGCGAGACTCCATCTCAACAACAACAACAACAACAACAACAACAACAACAAAAGAAATACAGGTTCATACTGATAAATCCAATTCCATTACGATAAAACACCAGAGGATAAATTCTAGTCTTTGTCTTTCTATATTTGTAACTCCTTTATTCAGCAGTGAGAAACTTAACTTTCATCATTCTCAATATAGTCATCCATTTACTCATTCCTATAATAAACAGAAAGTAGTTTGCAAATTGCTAACAGTACCAGCATATAAAGCAAACTTAATCACTAGAGTTTAATTTTTGTTTATGGGAGGGTTTTTTTTAACATAAAATTTACCTATGATGATATACACATCTTAAGTGCACAATTTGATGAGTTTGATAAATGCATATACATGTATAATATTTTATCCATAAATAGAAAACTTCACCCCAGAAAGTTAAAAATAAAAGTAATTAAATGTGTTTTATTAAACATATTTTATAAAACGTATTATAAAGCATTTGTCACATTTATTTTTAACTATTTTACTTTTGGTGCCATTACAAATAATGTTTTCTAAGTTTCACTATTAAGAATGATGTTAGTTGTAGGGTTTCTATAACTACCTTTATTAGGTTGAGGATGTTCTATTCCTAGTTTGCTAAGTTTTTATCATGAATAGATGTTGAATTTTGTCAAATGCCTTCTCTTTAGTGAGATTATCATACTTTTCCTCTTTAGAATTTTATTATGAGGTATATATTGGTTTTCAAATCTTGAAGTAACCTTTTATTCCCAAGTTAACTCTTAGTTGCCTTGTTAAATATTGCTGGATTTTATTTGTCAAAATATGTTAAGAATATTTATTTCTATCTTCCTAAGGGATATCAGTCTATAAGTTCTTATGTTGTCTCTTCTGTGTGTTTTTTAATCATAGTAATACTGTACTAATAAAATAAGTTAATAAGTGTTCCCTTCTCTTTTATTTTCTGGAAACATTTGTATAGAAATTGTATTAGTGATAGTAGCAGTATCAGTTCTTAAGTGGTTGATAGGTTCACCATTGAAGCCACCTGGATTTGGGAATTGTGTATGTGTGTGCAAACTTTTTAACAACAAACTCAGTTTCTTTAATGGATACAAAGATCTCTAGATTATTTTCTCTTAATTGGGCATTAAAAATTTATGTCCTCTAACAAATTTTTCCTTTTATCAGATCTCAGAATTACTGGTGTTGTAGACACCCTTCAGAGGCTAATGTTTGCATACACACACACACACAGACACACAAACACCCCGAATGGGTATGAAAAGGTTATTATTCACATAATGAGACTTTCTGTGGAGAGCAAGTCTCCTAAGCAGGTTCGAAATAACTTGAGAGAACAAGGAGAGGTGACTGGCTTGGGGCACTTGTGGTAGGTAGGGGTGAGGCCTGTGTGAAGGTTTCCACGTGTGGGTGGTGCTTATGTGTTGAATCTCCTGCTGATGCCAAAGTAGAAAACACTCTGGCCTTTTTTTTTTTTTTTTTTTTTTTTTTGGCCAGCTTGCCCAGATGTGGAGTGGAAGGGGAGGAACTGAGCTTTAAAAGTTGATAGCAGTCAAGTATCAAAAAACAGTGTCAGACTCTGTATTAAAATTGGCACCAAGCTGTTCTTTATATTTTCTACTGTCTTGTTAATGTCTGTAGGATCAGTAGTTATTTCTCCTCTTTCATTTCTGATATTGATGATTCTCTCTACTCTTTGTTTTCTGATAATTCAAACTAAAGGTTAGTCATTTTTTTTCTGCAGAGAACCACCTTTTGATGTCATTGATTTTTCTCTATTGTTCTATTTTCTACTCTTATTTTTACTATTTCCTTATTTCTGCTTACTTTGCATTTAATTTTCTCTCTTATTCTAATTTACTGAAAAAGAAGTGTTGAAATTTTGTGTCATTTTGGACTTATCTATTTCTTCTTTTAGTTTGATCAGCTTTCACTCTACTTATTTTGAAGTTCTATTATCAATGTATAGATATTTAGAATTGTTATGTATTTTTAACCCCTTTATCATTATGAAAAGTCCCTCTTTATGCAAGACACTATTTCTTGTTCTGAAATTACTGTGTTTGATAGTAATATAACCATTACAACTTTCTTTTCATTAATGTTTGTGTGGCATATACCTTTTCATCCTTTAGATTATGTTTTTATATTTAAAGACAGTTTCTTGTGGATAGTGTATTATTCATTCTTGCTTTTAAAAGCTAATCTCAGTCTCTGCCTTTTAATTGGAGTGTTTAGACCATTTATATATAAGAAAATTATTGATATGATTTAGTTTAAAGCTACTATACTGCTGTTTTTATAACATTTGATTTTTTTCCTCTTATCCTCTTTTCTGTTTAATTTTGGATTGAAATAATGTTATGATCTCACTTTATCTACATCACATGTTATTTGCTATATTTCATTTTATATTTTTAGTGGTTCCTCTGAAGATTACAATATACAACTTTAACTTATCACTATCTACTTTCAAATAATGATATATCACTTCCTGTATAATATAAAAACTTTACAATAGTATACTTTTATTTCCTTCTACCCTATCCTTTGTGCCATTGTTATTAGATATTTTAATTCTATTTGTTATAGACCTCCAATACATTGTTTTTATTTTTGTTTGAGACATAAACTATCTTTTAAAGTAACCAAAAATAAGAAAAATGTATCTAATTCATTTAATCACAATTTTACCAGTTTCAGTCTTCTGTTAGTGCAAACAGTTCTGTCCATCTAGTCAATAGGTAAGCTGAGTTTAGATTTTGTTGTTATTACGTTTATCTTATGAAGCTTAGTTTAGCAGAATATGAAATTCTAGGTTGGAAATTTTTTTCTTTAAGAATGTTGCATACTGGCCCACAATCTCTTCTGGCTTGTAGGGTTTCCACTAAGAGGTCCACTGTTAGTCTGATGGGCTTCCCTTTGTAGGTGACCTGGCTTTCTCTCTGTCTGCCCTTAACATTTTTTTCATCATTTCGTGCTTAGATAATATGATGATTATGTGCCTTGGGGGTGATCTTCTCATGGAGTGTCTTACTAGGGTTCTCTGGATTTCCTGAATTTGAATGTTTGCCTGTCTTGCTATGTTGGGGAAGTTCTCCTGGATGATATCCTAAAGTGTGTTTTCCAACTTGATTCCATTCTCCCTGTCTCTTTCAGGTACCCCTGTCAGTCACAGGTTTTGTCTTTTAACATAATTCCATAGTTCTTGGAGGTTTTGTTCATTTTTATTCTTTTTTTTCTAATCTTGTCTGTCTGCCTTATTTCAGCAAGACAGTCTTTAAGCTCTGATATTCTTTCTTCTGCTTGGTTTATTCAGCTATTGAACTACTTGTGTGCATTGTGAAGTTCTTATGTTGTGTTTTTCAGCTCCATCAGGTCATTTACGTTCCTCTCTAAACTGATTATTCTGGTTAACAGCTTTTGTAATGTTTTATCATGGTTCTTAGCTTCCTTGCAGTGAGTTAGAGCATACTCCTTTAGCTCAGCAAAGTTCATTATTACCCATCTTCTGAAGCCTACTTCTGTCAATTCATTCATCTCAGCCTCAGCCCAGGTCTGTGCCCTTGTTGGAGACATGTTGTGATCATTTGGAGAATAGGCACTCTGTATTTTTTAGTTTTCAGCATTTTTGATTGATTCTTTCTCATCATCCTAGGTTCATCTACCTTTGATCTTTGCGGCTGCTGAACTTTGGATGGGGTTTTTTGGTCTCTTTTTTGGTGATGTTGTTGTTGTTGTTTTCTGTTTGTTTTTCGTTTAGCAGTCAGGCCCATCTTCCATAGAGCTGCTGCTGCAGTTTTGCTGGGGATCCACTCCAGACCCTATTCTCCTGGGTCCACTCCAGACCCTATTCTCCTGGGTCCCTCCCTTCCCTGGAGGTATCATCAGTAGAGGCTGCAGAACAGCAAAGATGGCAGCCTGTTCCTTCTCCGGAGCAGGGAGCTCTGTCCAAGAGGGGAACTGACCTGATGCTGCTGGAATGCTCCTATATGAAGTGTCTGGATACTCCTGTCGGGAGGTTTCACCCAGTCAGAAGGAGTGGGTTCAGGGACCTGCTTAAATAAGCAGTCTGACTGCCCCTTGGCAGAGTAGGTGTGGGCACTAGGGGGAGCTTCCCTTGCCAGGGCTGCCCTGACTCTCCAGAGCAAACATGCAGAAAAGACTAAGACCACTGATCCATGATACCACAGCAGCCCCTCCTCCTAGGGTCTCCTCTCAGGGATTTCAGAGTTCTGTCCATAAGCCCCCGGCTGATCATGCTGAAATTCCCACAGGGAGGCCCCGCCCAGTGAGGAGGGGTGGATTGAGGTCCTGCTTAAAGAAGCATCCCGGCCACGAACTGTCCCAGCCACATGCTGCACTGTGGGAAATTGCTCTGTGTCCAAACCACCCAGTCTTGCTGGCACCAGCGGTAGGAGAAAACGCCTGACTGGAGCCACAGTGATGGCGGCCACCCCTCCTCCAATGGAACTCGGTCTTCCTAGGCAGTCTCCAGTCAGCTATGCTGGCTGGCAGGGGTTCCAAGTCAGTGGGTTTTAGCTTGTGGGGTTCTGTTTGAGTGGGACCTGCTGAGTGAGGCCGCTTGGCTCCCTGGCTTCAACCCCCTTCCCACGGAAGTGGGAGGATCTCCTGCCTCACCAGAATTCACAGAGCGGGAGTATGCACAAACTCCTGTGACCCAGTGCCTGCTTGGGCGGCTGCCCACTGAAGCAGCCACCGTGAGCCTTCACAGCTCTGTGCTTGAGACCCAAGGCCCTGGTGGTGTGAGCTCATGAGTGGACCTCCTGATCCGTGGGTTGCAAGGATCCATGGGAAAAGGGTGATTTTCAGGGAGCGGTAGCACAATCCCTCACCGCCTCCCTTGGCTGGGGAAGGGAGCTCCCTTTGCCCCTTGCAGCTCCCAGGTAGGCCCTAGATCGGCCCGGAGTTTCCTCACTCTCTGTGGGTCGCACCAAATGCCTAGTCAGTCCCAATGAGAGAACCTTGGTACCTCAATTGAAGATGCAGAATTCACTCACCATTTTCATCCTTCTCGGTTAGAGCCACAGAGTGCAGCTATTTCCATCCGGCCATCTTGGCTGCTCCCATATTTGTGGATTTTAAGATATTTTATTATTATTGGCTTCTACATTAATTTTATTGTGGTCAGGAAAAATAGTTGGTAAAATTTCATTCTTCCTTTTAAATTTCATAAATTTCATCTTCTCATTTTATGGCCCAGTTATAGTCTACCTTGAGAAATATTTCATGTGTACTTGGAAATAATATGTATTTTGCACTTGTTGGGTGTTGATGCTCTATAAATATCAGGCAGGTTAAATTGTTTAATAGTGTTCTTCAGGTCTCCTAAATCTTTACTTATTATTCTGACCATCAATTGTTTAGAAACGTATAAAAATCTACTACTGTATGAGTTTGTTTATTTCTCCATTTAATTCTGTCAAAGTTTGCTTTTTATATAAGTTATTTATTGCACAAACGTTATGATCACTGTGTCTTTCTGATTAATTAAGCTTTTATCATTGTAAGCTGGCCTTCTTAATTGCTGGCAATAGTCCTTGTTTTTTTGTATTTATCTATTTTTGTCTTCTGGTATTAATATATCTACTCAGGTTTCTTGTGTTTACTGTTACTGTGCAAAATATGTCACTTTCCATTTTTTTTTTTACTTCCATACTGTTTGTGCCTTTATATTTAAGGTGCATCTCCCATAAATAGCCTTTTAAAATATTCAGTCTTGGTTATTTTAACATATTGTTAGGAGTGCTTAATTCATTTATATTTGATACAATTATTTACATGTTTAGATCTAAGTCTTTAATTTTGCCATGCATTTTCTCTTTATCTCATCATCTTTCTGATTATATATTCTTCCTTTTCTGCCTTCTCTTGCCTTATTGAATAATTTTTAGTATTTTATTGCAATTCCTCTATTGGCTTTGTAGCTATGCCTCTTTGCAGTGTGTGTGTGTCAGGGGGGGCGGGGTGGGGGTGTGGTGGTGTGCATTTGCCCTAGGGATTATGATATAGACCCTTACCTTATCACAATTTCCTTAGTGTTTATATTACAACCCTTCATGTAAGATGTAAGAACCATGAAATGGTTTAATGCAATTTATTGACCTACTCTTTGTGCTATTGTTGTCCTATGTTTTACATGTAGTGCAGGACAAATTTTACAATATGTATTTATTCTTTTATTTTTGCTTTAAACACTCACATGGCTTTTAAATAAATTAGGAAAAGGAACAAATAGAGATATACACACATATTACACATACATACGTACAAACATACATACACAAAAAGGCAAGAAAGAATCTTATAGATGTACCCATATAATTAGCCTTCAAAGACTTCTTATTTCTTCTTTTAGATCCTAGTTTTTATCTGGTGTCATTTTCCTTCCAAGTGAAGGATTTTTATTAGTATTTCTTAAGTGCAGGTTTGTGGGTTAAAATTTTTCTTTCTTTTCCTTTATTTGAAAATTATTTTATTCTGATGTTATCTTTTATATTTTTACCAGAAATAGTATTCCAGCCATCACTGTTTCTGTTGGGAAGTCAGCCATCATTCATATCATTGCTCCCTTATATATATGTCATCTTTCTCTGTCTGCTTTCTAGATTTTTAAAAAATTCACTCTTCAGTCTTCAACAGTTTAACCCTGATGTTTTGACTGCCTTCCCTTCCCTTCCCTTCCCTCTTCCCTCCCTCCCTTCTTTCCTTCTTTCCTCTCTCCCTTCCTTCCTTTCCTTCCTTTCCTCCTTCCATCCTTCCTTCCTTTCTCTTTTTTATGCTTGGGGTTTGCAGAGCTTCTTGGGATCTAGCATAGTGTTGTTTCACTCCATTTGAAAACCTAATAGTCATTACTTCTCCAAATTTTGTTTTATTCCATTTTCATCCTTTTATCCTTCTGGGACTCCAGTTGCACATATGTTAATCAAGTTGTTATTGTGCCATAAAGCTCTCTTCACATCTTTTTCAATAATTTTTTTCTTCCTTTCATCTTTTTCTTCAAGTTCACTGGCATTTTCTTGTACCATCTCTAATAAGCTGATAAGCCCATCCAGTAATATTTTTAATTGCATAAACTTTACTTTTTATCTTCTATAATCCACTTGGTTCTCTTTTCATGGTTTCCATTAGTTTGCAGATTTCTCCTTCTGTTCATTTATAATGACCATGTTCTCCTTTAAGTCACCAATATAGTTATTTTACTTACTTTAACATTCTTGCCTTCTAATTCTAACATCTGTGTCATCTAGAAATCTGTTACTACATACATACTACCTTTCTCTTAACTAGTGCTCCCATTTTTCTGTTTATTTTCGTGTCTATTAATTTTTTTATTGTGTACTAGTTATTCTTAATGATTCATTTACTGCTAAAGACTGAGACTCTGGAATCTTTTTTCCTTATAACCGTAGATTTTTGTTTTAGCAGGATGCCAACTTTATTAGCATTAAACTTCAATCTCTATCTCCCCTGGAATAAACAGCAGCTGAAAATACTCAGTTCTTTTAATCTTTCAGCTGTTGCTTTTCACTGGGAAACTGGGTGCATCTTCCATGCATGCAAAATTCAGGCTTCAACCAAAAGGGGACAGAGGTTATATGCAGTTTTGAGAGTTTTCCTCCTGTGAATCACTAATTTCTGGGATTTCTCACTTATTCTCTATGCGCTGTAACATCTCCCAACTCCGTACGCTGACTATTTAAGCCAATAAGACCAGATGTGTTCTTTAGTTCTTCAGCTTTATGCCACACAGAGGGGATGTGCCCTTAGGCAAAAAGTCATATAAGCACTAATTTCTATCAGAATAGTTCTTGTCTTTCAAAGCTGGACTCCTCTCTACTTTCTGTGTGCTGTTGATCATTCTACACTACCTACAGATAGCTGTTTATTTTAAAAATATTTTAAAAAATTTTTATTTTTAGTGTATATTTGTTGTCATCTGTAGGAAGTAGTTCAATACCAAATAGTCTTTCATTATGAGAAGTGGAACTCTCATAATATAATTTTTAAAGATGATACGTTTGAGAGTTAAATAATGTATTCAACTAAACATACGAATCAAATATTACGTTATTATGTTTTAATAAAAATGTTTCACCTTTCCAATTATATTTAGCCCCTTGAGGGTAGATCTTCTGTCCTCTAGCTCTTTGTGGTCTTATGCCCTATCATTGATACTCAAGACAGATTTGATAATATTGAAGAAAGCTTATATTCGATAAGAAACCCACTTTCATAGCTCTAGTTTACAAATTGGCAAATTATAGCTAACAGGCTGACTCTGACCCACTGCCTGTTTCTGTGTATAAATTTTTATGGAACACAGCCAAGCTCATTCATTTATGTACTGTCAATGGCTGCTTTCATACTACAATGGCAGAGTTGAATATTTGTAACAGAAACTGTATAGTTAGCAATGTCAAATATACATAGGGTCTAGCCCTCTACAAATAAGGTTTATCAGTCTCTGCTTTAGATGAGTGTGAAACAATCACCAATACTTAAAAGAATCAGTTCAAAGTGCATGCTCTATTGTGTATGAATACTTTGAAAGACATCTTCCTTTCTTGGAAATATGCTAGACAATGCATTCATTGTGGTATGCAGAATAATGGCCTCGCAAAGACATCCATGGCCTAATCCCTGGAACATGTGGATATGTTACCTTACATGCCAAACGGACTTTACAGTTGTGATTAATGGTGCTGACCTTGAGATGTAGAGATTATTCTGGATTATTCAGATGGGTCCAATGCCATCAGAAGGATCAAGTTTTTAAGAACCTTTCCCAGCTGGCATGTGACAACAGAAGAAGGGTGAGAGAGATGTGATGTTTCTAACTTAAAAATAGAAGGCGCTCTGAGCCAAGGAATGCCAATAGCTCCTAGAAGCTGAAAAAGGCAAAGGATTCTCCCTTAAAGTCACCACAATGGAACATAGCTCTATTGACACCTTGATTTTATTCCAGTGAGACCTGTGCCAGACTTATGATCTGCAGAACTGTGAGATAAGACATTTATGTTATTTTAAGCCGTGAAGTTTGTAGTGATTTATTATAGCAGCAATAGAAAACTAATACATTCACATACTACAATGCACATGAGAATGGACTCATTTCAAAATTATTCAAAAAAATACACAAGTTAGCTAGCCACAGAACACAGCAGAACATCTCTTGCTGAATCAGCTTTATTTTTGTAGCAACATATTTGGAACAGGTACTTTTGTATCTGTTTCTGCCATCTGTGATGCCTGAAATCATTAGAAAAAAAAAATCGTGTGTGGAAGGAAGGAAGCTCTGAGGGATTTCATTGGGTTACGGTTGCCAGGGAAACCATTTGACTTGGTAATCAATATGTTCAGTATGTCTCTGTTGCTGTGTGCTTAATTCCTACTGATACCATTGCAGAGTGGATCCATGGAAAACACTGGGTAGGAAAAAAAGAAAACCTTGAAATATTAGCTTCAATGAAGGAAAATCTGGATAACTTATTCTTATGAATCTGAAACAATTTAAGAAAACAAATGACTGCTTGATTTTTGTGCCAATTGAATAGAATGGGATTCAATTTTTAATAGCAAGTTGGCATGGCTAAGTAAGGTCCCTGGGATTCTCTTGCAATGCCGTGAAAGCAAAAGGACAGCTCTCCTAACAAGAAGCCAAGGTATTCTTTAAAAATCTCTTTTTCCAGAATGTTTTCCCTCAGAATTGTCTTTCAATTATAATAAATGAAAAAATGAAACAGTCTTATAGTTTTTAAGGATCCAGCTCAATACAGAGGATTAAATTCTATTCACTGTCACATAGAATCACAGATTTCTTTACACAACTGAGGAAATGAAACCCTACAGGGAGCAAATAACTTACTACTGCTTGGAACTTCGGGAAATGGAAGAAGTGCTGCGGGAGGGACTTGGAGCACCAGGGGGCTGTGTTGCATGTCATGTTTTGAGGCCGTTAGAGGACTTTTTCTTAAAGAAGGTAAAGTTGACTCTTGACTACTCGGCTATAGCTTGCCTATCTCAGGTTAGCAGATGGTAATATGAAAAGAGCAGAAGTGGGACAGAGTGACATGATGACGCTCACTGTGGTAACACTTCCCAACTTATCAAGGGCTGGTTCTTGAGGCACATTTTTGTTTTAAGATCATATATGCTCAGTTCAAGTCTCAGAACCTGAGGGATTTAACACTTGCACATCAGTGCAGCTGCTTTTACTTTTTGCATTTAAATAATTTTGAGATATATTATTGTGAGAATGATTAAATTTGAAATTATCTTGGTAAGGGAGGTAGGCAGGCAACAAAATGACACAAAGTGATGAAATAAAGAGCAAACATAAAAAAAAGTGAAAATCCCTCTAAGTGGAGAATTACAAGTAGATAAACACATGTTATATTATCTATGTTTGTTCAATTCAACAATAATTTTACTTTTACGTTAGGTTTTTTTTTAGCTCAATGAAATTCTTGAACTGTGTTATGAAAGATGAAGTGCAGGGAAGAATATATTGATCTAATTTATCTTTCAAAAGACAACAGCTAATAAATGTAAAAGACTAAATTTAGATTTGTACATAAATGTACATAGTAAATGATGAAAAAATAATGTCAAAATATTTAAGTGGAGAAACACTAGCAATAAGATTTCAGGACCGTTTAAAGAGAATAAAAATTGCTTTAAAGATATCACTTAAAAGATACACAGTTATATAGTTCCCACATGGGCGTCCCCTAGTTTTTTCTGGCAGCTACAGCTTCTGAATTAAAAATCAGATGTTTCCAGATAATATTTCTGGTTCTCACAGAAGACAAAAGCTGTTGTTTGGACCCATAATGACTTGAAGATATGGCTCTAGTGATTGCATTCTTTGAATATTCACATGTGTCTATCACTTTAGGCATGTTGCTGCTTCTATAAGAGCTATATAAATCCACAGTTGGGAAGTGGCTTTAACTTCAATTCCCTTTGACTACATAATCCTAAATTCCATCCATTTTATCTTTACTCAAACACCATACTCATTTGCTGTAGTGGATATTTCCTTACCTGTCTTCTGGGACAGTAAGTTCTTATGAGTAGTATTCACTGATGAACTCTTTCAGAGAAGGATTTGTTGGTTGGAGAGTGGCTTCTCTGGGGCTCTGTTCTTACAAAAAAAGCCCACAAACTTACCTCTCAAACTTAGCTCTCTAGTGAGTCTTAATATCTCCTTTGAGACTGCTTCCAAAGCTTGAAAGAAGAACGGAAAATCAAATTATTGTATCTTATTATTTTTAAATAAAATTTATTTTTAGAACAGTTTTAGATTACAAAAAATTGTGGAGATAGTACAGAGAGCTCCTCTATATATAGTGTTCAGTTTACCCTATTATTCACATCCTAGTTTAGTATGGTACATTTGTCACAGTAAAACAACCAGTATGGACATGTTATTAACTAAAGTCCATACTTCATTCAGATTTCCTCAGTTTTTACCTAATGTCTCTTTTATATCCCCGGATTCCATCCAGGACATACGTTACACTTAGGTGTCATCTCCTCTTAGTTTTTTCTTGGCTGTGACAGTTTCTCAGACTTTCCTTGCTTTTGATGACTTTGACAGCTTTGAGGAGTCCCAATCAGGTATTTTTGTAGAATGTCCTTCAATTAAGATATTTCTGATATTTTTATTTTTATTAGACTCGGGTTATATGTTTTGGAGAGGAAGACTACAGCGCTGAAATACCATTTTCTTCATATCATACCACAGATACATAGTATCAAGACAACTCATCACTGCTGGTTTTTACCTTCATCACCTGGTTCAAGCAGTGTTTTTCAGTGTTCTCCACTATGAAGTTATTCTGTGAGGGTACTTCCAGAAGACACTAGCATTTGAGTTGATGGACTGAGTAAAGCAATTGTCCTCCCCAGTGTGGGTAGGCACCATTCAATCTGTTGAAGGGCATGCATTGAACAATTTTTTTTTTTTTTTTTTTGAGACGGAGTCTGGCTCTGTCGCCCAGGCTGGAGTGCAGTGGCGCGATCTCGGCTCACTGCAAGCTCCACCTCCCGAGTTCACGCCATTCTCCTGCCTCAGCCTCCTGAACAGCTGGGACTACAGGCGCCTGCCACCACGCCCGGCTAATTTTTTTTTTTTTTGTATTTTTAGTAGAGACGGGGTTTCACCGTGTTAGCCAGAATGGTCTCGTTCTCCTGACCTTGTGATCCGCCCGCCTCGGCCTCCCAAAGTGCTGGCATTACAGGCGTGAGCCACCGCGCCCGGCCACTAAGTAAGCTCTTTATTATGCTTATCTTTATTTGTGATAATTGTTGGTGTTCTGAAGTCTGCTTTATCTGAAATTAATATATCTACTCCAGTCTTTTTTAAAAAAATTAGTATTAGAGTGTTGTATCTATTTCTATCCCTTTACTTTCAACCTATCAGAGTCTTTATATTTTTTTCATTTTAAACGGCTTCATTTATTTCTGAGTTTTTATTATTAAAAATAATTTTGGCTGGGCACAGTGGCTCATGCCTGTAATCCCAACACTTTGGGAGGCCGAGGCAGGTGGATCCTTTGAGGTCAGGTGTTTGAGACGAGCCTGGCCAGCATCGTGAAACCCTGTCTCTGCTAAAAATACAAAAATTAGCTGGGCATGGTGGCACGTGCCTGTAATCCCAGCTACTTGGGAGGCTGAGGCACAAGAATCACTTGAACACCAGAGGCGGAGGTTGCAGTGAGCCGAGATGGCACCGCTGCACTCCAGCCTGGGTGAGGCTCTGTCTCAAAAGTAACTAAATAAAATAATAATAATAATAATAATAATAATAAAGTCACAACATGCTTGTATAGGTCTTCCTATATACATGTGTAAGACTTTTCTCTAGAGTTTATGCCCAGAAGTAAAATTATAGGGCATGAACATATTTAGTTGAATACTAACAAATTTGTTCAAAGGATGAGAGTTCCAACTTCACCAAACATCCCAATAAACACTTGATTTCGTTAGGCTTTAAAATTTTTGTCAATATATTTTGATAAAAATTGTGTCTCATTTTTACATTATATTTCTTGATCATTAATGAAATCTAATAACTTTTCTTATGTTTGTTAAGTATTCAGCTCTGGGAAAGTCTTTTTTTGTTAGAGAGTAGACTTTGTTAGAGAGAAACCTCTTGACTTACTTCATCATTGTTACTCTTCCCTTCACCCTGCTAGACACATCAAAGGGCTTTCTTGGGTTTTTACCGTGAAAACTTAGTGAGGTTCCTGGACTTAAAGAATCGAAGTGTCCTCCCCGGCCCAACCCCGCACAAGACTGTTGCCCCCAGGAATTTCTCACTCTCACATTAGACCATACTCAACCAGCCTCCAGCAATTTATCAAAGCTTTCATTTAAATGTTCTTTCTAGTTTCTGGCTCTTGTGGCTTCTGCTGTAGGTAAGCAGATCTCAGGTGTGACTCTCTAGATTCTCCTGTCTTTTCAGATTTCAGAGTAGGGGTTTGCTTTGCAACCTCAGTTCTCTGATGAGTCCAAGAAAGGTCATTCCTTTTCCATTTGTTCCATTTTTACTTATGTTAAGGATGAGAGTGGTGACTTCTAACCTCATTTCATGTCAGAGCTAAAACTGGAAGTGGTTTTTCTATCTCTTTTATTAAACCTAATCTTTGGTCGAAGTCTGTACCTATGCAATTGAAGCTAAAAAGAAAAGAAAATACTACTAAGTAATTATAAACAACTATTTTCAGTGACATTTTGAGTCACTGAAATATGACTAAGTCACAGTCATATTTTCTTATCTTCTTTACAGAAACCTACAAGGTGAAGTTTAAAGAGCTCTTGAACATGTCCCCTTTTTTCTTTCCCTCATTTCCACTACAGTTTGTGTCTTTGGTCTCTGGTTCACTGGGGTTTAAATTCAGAAAATTGACAGTTACTAGATTTGTTTCTGGTATTCATAGATTGCTACAGGAGGCTGAGGAGAGGAAAAAGCCCTTTTCTCATCACCATTGATTCCTTCAGTCTCCATGATTTCCTCTCAAGAACTGCCATTTGTTGCTGTAGATGGCCCAGTTGCAGACGTGCCTGAGTTCAGGTAATGCAATTTTTTTTGTGGGGGGGGGGGGCATGGGGGGCGGAGTCTCGCTCTGTCACCCAGGCTGGAGAGCAATGGCACAATCTCAGCTCACTGTAACCTCCGCCTCCTGGAAACAAGCGATTCTCCTGCCTCAGACTCTTGAGTAGCTGGGATTACAGGCACCCGCCACCACACCAGGCTAAGTTTTGTATTTTTAGTAGAGACGGGGTTTCCCCATGTTGGCCAGGCTGGTCTCGAACTCCTGACCTCAGGTGATCTGCCCGCCTGGGCCTCCCAAAGTGTTGGGATTACAGGCGTGAGCCACCGCGCCTGGCCAGATAATGCAATTCTAAATGGTCCTCTGTCACTTCCCCTTCACAGCATCTCTACCTTTGTGTTGCTGATGTACATTTTTATCTTAAATTTGGATGGAAATTTTTGAACAGTGAACTAAAGACAGTGTGTTCCTCCTTGAGAGCAAAGGCCTCTTTAATCCTCACTCTCATAATGAGATTTTCTTTGTGAGATGAAGTTTCCACCTTTTCACAAAAGTTCAAATTTCCCATGAAGAAATAAGAGTCCAAAGAAATGCCCTAGCTCAGGAGAAAGCCTAAATGTGCCGTGGCTCCCCCCTCATGTGATAGAGTGATAGAGCATCACTTAATGCTTCCACCCATTTCACCTCTCAGACAAACAATATCCAGTCTTTCCATTTTCTTTCTCTTTGTTCAGCCTGGACTGGCTCTCTGATATCATGTTAGAGACTCTGGCTCATTATGCACAAAATGAAGTGAAAGAAAACGGCTTATTGCAGAGCCTCCTTTGCTTCTGGTAAAAGTGTGAATTACAAAGGGCTGTCAAAAAATTAATCTTATATACATATTGCGAAGAAACTTGATGCTGAAGTGCTTATGATTAGAAATTCATTATAAAGCACATATTTGTGAGTAAAGGGACTTTCCTTTTAAATAGCATTAAATATAATTCAGTTCCCATTAACTTTCCAAAGCTGCTAAAAGTACATTAAAATATGAAAGTTCCTGGAGTGTACCTCAACTTCAGATTTTCAAATGCTAATGCCTGTCTTGGAGACTTTAGAGTATAGTCAGGCCTGAGGAACTTGTTACGATAAGGTTGAATAGGTTAAAAAGGTGATGAAAAAGGAGAGGGATAAGAAAAAATGAGTAACAATATGTTGTTATTCATCCAGAAAATTTCAAAGATGACTATGTCTCTCTATGACAAAGAATGTAACAGATGAATATGGTGATGACAATTATGAGTAACTGGGCTCACGATTTACACAGGACCTTTCTTCTGGTGACTTAGGCTCCGAATCACAACCACAGGCATCTTCCCAGTGTTTCCATGAGCAGAGCTGGGGCAGGTTGTCTCTCATGCTTGCAGCTGCAGAAGTGAAATTCTCCCTACAGGTTTGCTTATCAACCCATATTTTGGCTCTTGCAATTACATTTATCATAGCCCCATATTTCCTAATCACTGCTTTGCAAGCAGCACTGGTCCAAGATACAGTTTTCACACATCCTTAAAAAAAAAAAAACTAGTTTTCATGAAGCCAAATTCATTGAATTTGAAATGCTGATCTCTACATTGTGACTATGTTCTTTCTGCTTTTTTGATTCTATAAAACTGATTTTTTTTCTTGCTTAACAAAATAAAATACTTTTTTTTCTGGCTCTAAACTTTTTTTTTTTTTTTAATTCATGGGTCTTGAAATCCCAAAAACTATATTACTGGTCCTTAATCCCCAAATTGGAATATCAATACTGACTTGCCTCACAATCAGAAGCAAGTAATGAAACACGCAGAAAAATACCCACATGTATTAAATAGGTAACACTTGTCTTATTGATGTTTCTAAGGGCTTGGTTATTATTTGTTGGACTAATTTGTTGTTCTGGCTACTGTATACTGAATACTTGCCCTTGGCCAGGCACTGGGTTAATTGCTTGACCCAGTGAATTATCCCGTGTAATCTTAAACACCCCCGAGTGGAATACCACAGTTATCCTCAATTTATAACCAGGCAGCTACATGGAAGTTAACTGAGCCACATGGAGGTTAACCTTTCCAAGGCTGCACAGCTTGAAGTGGAGAAAACAGAATTCAAAAGCAAGCAAAATTCAGAACTTTCCATGATAACCACTATATGGTTGTGCCCTTTGATCTTTTTATGTGGGAGCTATTTGGAAGATAATATAAACAAACAACAAGTTCAGTTAAAACAATCAATTGGGCACATAACCTATTGCATATGTTTTCTTATTTTTATGGGTCTGTCAAATTCTGGCCATAGACTGAGTTAGGATAATAATAATAAATGTAATAATGTTTATGGAGCTCTTACTACCTGTCAGGTGCTGTGATGATCATTGCGAATGGATTGTCTGATTTCATTCACACAACAATGCCTTGGGATAGAAAACTTTATTGTCTCTATTTGCAGATAGAGAAATGGAGGCTTTGACAGAGTAATTTGACCATGATGCCAGTGAATAAAATAAGTGCCTAACACCCTGTCAACAAAATCCAGTGCTATTTTCTCATGTCAATGCAATTAGAATATTTAGAGCACACCAATCCTTGTGCATGTGATTAGAATAAGAAAAGTGAACCAAATATACCTTTTTGAGGGAGAAACTTGTTGATTTTTAAAAATTCTAAACTACCTCTTCCTGATTTCTTGCTTCATTCATTTTCTGTTCTAAGGTTACACTCAAATTGTGTAAAAGCAGAGTCCTACTTTAATCCCAAGTGCCGTACACAGGTATCCTTGTCTGTTTTCTTTTTTAATGATAAAAAATGCAAGAATTACCTAAATCTATGAATCTGATATATTTTACCCACTTTTGACCTTTATCATTAATGTGGTGGACAGAACCCCAGTGAACTCCACCTCCTGGTGCTCACAACTTGTGGAATTCCTCTCGTGAACATGGACAGGCGTGTGATTTGCTCCTGAGCAACAGTATATGGCAAAAGTTATGGATATCCCCCTGTGATTAGATTATACTTCATGGCAACAGTAAAGGGAGTTACAACATATATATGCCTCTCATATTTATTTATTTATATTTAATTTATTTTTTTTTGTGGCCTTAAACTGCCAAATTTGTAATAGTTTGTTAAGCAGCTATAGGGAACTAATACAAATAAAGACCTGAGTGTACACTTACTTTAGATAAATTCTTCTGAAACTAAAGAATAAAATTATGTTACCAATAATACTATAAATGAATTGTCCATGCTCCAAGGTATGGCTCACCTCTCTACTTTGTTGACTAGATCCAGTCCCTTCTGCCCTTCTCAAGGGCATTGCTTCAGTAATTCTCCCCTCTCCTGCATTATCATTTTATTCTCTCTGTTAGATCCTTGTCATCTGCTAATGTGGTGGACTGATAATGGCTCCCAAAGATATGTCCACGCCCTAATCCCCCAGACCTGTGAGTGTTACCTTATTTGGAAAAAGAGTTTGTGTAGATATTATTAAGTTAAGGATCTTTCGATGTGGAGATAATCCTGGATTATCCAGATGTGCCCTAAATGTAATCACATGCATCTTTATAAGACAGAGACAAAGGGACATTTGAGATAGACACAAAGGAAAGAGGAAATGTAACCACAGAGGCCGAGATTGGAGTGATGTGGCCACAAGCCAATAAATATTGGCAACCACCAGAAGTTGAAAGAGGCAAGGAACAGATTTTCAACTATTCCCTCTGGGGGAACAGGGCCCTGCTGAAACTGATTTTAGACTTTCAGCATCCAGACGAAATGGTGTGGGACAATCAAAGACTGCAGAGACTGAAAAAGCTTCAGGAGAGTTTATTAAATTAAGGTGATCACCAGCTCAGCCGGACATACGTTCAGAAAGTCTGAGCCCCGAATAAAGGGCTTTTCCTACTTTTAAACATCTTAAGGCAGGAATTATGTGAAGCGGGAATCGAGTTACAGAAGCAAGAAACAAAGGCAGCATTACAACATTTCTTACATCTTGAGAGAAACATGTCTTGCAACCTAAACTTACCGGTCTTGTGACCCTGCAGCCGTGCAGGAACTCGCTAGGTCTGTAATAAACTCTGAGGAATGTGGAGTTGGGGAGTATAGATAAGGTCCGCTGTCCGCAGAGAGAAGACAGGCTGTTAATATTCCCTTTTAACTTGAGTGTAAGGTGGTGGGGGGGTCACACTTTGCAGCAACTTTAAGAGGATTTTAAAATTTTTGTTACTACTACTGTTAGGTTATAGTTGATTTCATTGATTCCTTCTTCACAGGGAGACAATAAATTTCTCTCGTAAGCCACCCAGTTTGTGGTAATTTGCTATGGAAGTCACAGGACACTAACGCAGTTGACAAACTTGTTATTTCTCATCTCATAAGAAAAAAAATTGTCTTTACTTCCTCCTCTAGCAACCACCCTTTTATTTTTTGAAAAATCCCTTAAAACAATTGTCTCCAGTTAAAGGCTTCAATTTGCCACCTCTCATTCTCCCTTGAACCTATTTTGCCTCTCTGTTGCTACTGAAATTCCTCCTCAATATCGTCATGATTTCTGAGCTGCTAAATGTGGGCATCTGGGCCTCTTGGCAAGTTGACACAGTGGATTGCTCTTATTTGAAATTTGCTGTTCATTCAGCCTCCAGGAGGGGACACAGGCCTGGTTTTCCTAGTCTCTCTTTCTTAGTCTTCTGTGCTGGTTCCACTTCCTCCCTTCAGGACAGGGCACTCCAGGGCTTCCCCCTATTTCCACTTCTTCCTTTGAGATCTCACCTATTCTCATGGCTCTAAATAACATCTGTTTCTAATGACTCCTAAGTTCATATCTATGGCTCAGATCTTTTCCTTGCATTCCAAACTTCTATATTCAATTGCTTACTCAACCTGTCTACTCGGACGGCTGTTCAGCATCTCAAATATATCCTGTCCAGAACTGAACTCCTGAATTTCACCAAGCCTACTTCTTCTTTAACTCCATTACCAGCCTTGCAATTGCTCCTGTAAAAATCTCTGGGGTTTGCTTTGCCTCATCCCCTTCTCTTATATCTCACATCCAATCCAACAGCCCATCTTGTCAGTTTTTCCCTGCAAAATACACTTGGAATCTAGTAATTTCCCATCAACGTTGTTGCTCACACTGTGGGCCATGCACCACCTTCATTTTTTACCTGGATCACTGTGGTCATTTCTTCAAGGTTTCTTTGCTGCCACCCTAGCCCTTTCTACACCATCTACAACATGACAGCCACAGTAATCCCATGATACTCTGAGTCAGGTCGTATTATGGGGCTGAGCACTCAATGGCTTCCCATCATACATCAGTGTTCTACAACCTGGGTGACCTCTTTGACTTTACTCCTGTTCCTCTGCTCTGCTTCCTTTACCCCTGCAATGGCCTCCTCACAGCCCCTCCCTGCCTTTCCACACAAACTCCTCCTTCACTTGCTGTTCCATCTTCCTGGAAGCCCCCAACTCTGTAACTTCATGCCTTGCTCCCTCTTTCCTTCAGATGTCACCTCAAAAGTTGCATTCTTGATGAGTCCTTTCCTGGCTACTTGGTCTAACATTGCTCCCCTCTCTTTTGTTCTCCTTGGCACTTACCACTGCCTGATACGTTTTTATTTTACTGATTTATTTTCTCACATTCCCACTAGACTGGAGACTTCTTGAGGGTAAGGAATTGGCTTTCATTGCAGCAGTGGCTGGCACATATTAGCACTCACTGAATATCTGTTAAATAAATAAGTATATGAACATGTTGCATTGAGTATTTTAAATAGTATGAAAGTGTGGGCAAAATAAATGCATTGTAAATAGATAAATTAAGAACAATCATCACAAAGTCCAACAGAGCTAAAGTATAATTATCATGTAATCTGCATGATGATTACAAATAAGAAAAATTGGACTCACACTTCAGATAAAAAATTTTTTGCCTCCTATGTGATGTAAAGCATTCACAGTTATTATTTAATGTGTCTTCAGGGTTTCTCTGGGAGGTGGGCCAGGGGCTTTATTTTTATTTCCTTTATTTAATTCTTGGAACTCCTTAAAGTGCTATTTGAATCATTCAGATTGTGGCCTTGATTGTGCCTCGGTTTTTGTTGTAGAGTCAAGGCCACTTGGTTCTTAGTAAACTAAAAACTATCCTCATCAGGGATCCAGGTGACCCTTATAATCTTTTGAGCAGAAACGCCAATTCCTGTCTCAGAGTTCAAAGTGGTTTTCCACAGCTGAGAGATTCAGCCACACAACACTGCATCCTGCCAAAATCAGGCTGCTACTCTGCACCAGGCATAGCATTAGTAGCTGTTTAGTCAACAGAAACTAACTGCAGTTTCCAATTAACAAAGGTCAAATAAGAGTGAAACAGTAAAAATCAATAGGATCGGAACAAATATTGGAGAAACACAATATTGCCCGATTCTTATGAATATAGAAAAATTAAAAATAAACAAAAAACAAAGCGTAGTTGAAGCCATTAAGGATACATCCATTTGTTCCTTGTGCTAAGTGCCTGTAGTCAGACAGACTGACAGGGTGGGAGAACATTGGGCCCATGACGAGACATCTTCAAAGTCCAGCTGAGAGAAAACCAGTTCAGGTTTAATATTGTTAAACAGCTTTGCTTTTCTGAGCATCTTTTCTCTATGCTACATTCTAAAACATCTAAATGAGCACATAGAGACTAAAGTAAAATATAAATGATTTTATATCACTATGTCTCATCAGAAGATATAATTTTCAGGAATTATGTTTTATGATGCAAGCTATGAGCCAATTGGGCACACATTTTCTTTTGTGTTTGTTGTTTCTTTATATCTGGGTCTTGGGGACTAATGGGTTTATGCCACACTAAGGGTCCAAAATAAATGTAGACTGAGCCACCTATGTACATTTGGGCACATTTGCTCACATTCTGAGGGCTTGCTAGCAATTCTTTTGTTTTCTGATGCACCTTTGCTTACTATGTGTTAGAATAAATATGCCTGGATTGAATGTTAATGATTTAATATTCTGGGACAATTGCAGCATGATATAAAGGAAGAGGTTAGTAAGAGGTAGATTGTAAGCTCTTAAGGCCAAGAAATGTATCTAAATCCTGTTTGTCTCCCTCACCAGCCTGTGAGCAAAAAGCAAATATGAATGTTGTAATTTCAGTGAAGAGTGAGCTGTGGCCTCCTGAAGGGGAGAACAGTAGGACTCGGAAGGAAGAAGAATGTGGAGGAAGCACATTGAGAAAAGATGTTTCTGTGCAGGCACACCAGCTAGTCTGAATTATGAAAATCCAAACATGGCCGGGTGTGGTGGCTCACGCCTGTAATCCTAGGCCTTTGGGAAGCCAAGGTGGGTGGATCGCTTGAGTTCAGCAGTTCGAGACCAGCCTGCGCAACACGGCAAAACCTCCTCTCTATACAAAGTACAAAAATTATCCAGGCATGGTGGGAGGATCGCTTGAGCCCAGGAGGTCAAGGCTGCAGTGAACCAAGTTCGCGCCACTGCACTCCAGGCTTGGTGACAAAATGAAACCATCTCTCTCTCTCAAAAAAAAAAAAAAAAGCCAAATAGGCACTGGCAAGTTTCAACCTGATGAAATTTCATTGCCATTTCTGAGTGAAGAGGACACCTGAGGAACTGACTGTTCCACTTACCATGAGGCAGGTACCATCCAGTGCCTATCTGTGTTTCTATGCAGACAGTGGAGGAAGCTGGACGCTCAGGTCAGTTTCACTCATTATTGGTGTTATTTTCAGCATTGCAGGGAACTGAACCATGGCCCTCTCTGAGCTCCAGGATAAGTTTTGTTCCAGGAGCAGTGACTTTGTATTGCCAAAGTTATCAAAGGCATCTCTTGTCCACATGAGGTAGGAGTGGTTCTCGGCCAGCTCAGAGGGATCTGAAGTGTGAGGTAATGGCACCCATACTTCCACCTTCCTCTGTGGACAATTAGGGGAGAGGAAAGAAAGCAGTAGAATATGATCAACAAGGCAGACACCTAATAAGCAGGAATGAATGCGTGCGTGTTTGAGTGAAAGAGTCAGGGACAGATAGGCAGAGATAAAGCAGAGAGACTTGCAGCGCTAAGATTTATGATTTGATAAACTCGAGTGTTTCAGAGTCCTGCAATTCAGTACTGAGACTAGAAGCAAGACTCTAAAGTCCAGCTGTCCCCATAGCACTCCGGCTTCCATCCACACAGAACTGATGTGTTCAATTTCTCAGCTCAGTGCTGTACCAACCATCGTGGCCATGGTATATTTCTAAGGAGGGAAGACTGGGAAATGATGACACTAGCTACTAAACCTGCCAATACTGCCATCAGCTAGTGAGCTGATTTCTTCTTCCCTTCACATATCCATTTTTCTTTCAACACTTGGTAGAAAAGAGCAGGTCAACCATCCGGTTTGGGCAAAAAGCTAAAGTTTTCTGATTATCACAGTGCTTTAGGGTAAAAATACACATGGGCCCTAAAGAATTTCCCACCTTCTCAGTGACTACTTGCAAAGCTTTTACCATGTGCCAAGCATTGGGCCTAAGGTAAATGATGAAGAGCTCACAACCACCTTAGGAGATGGGTTCTTTTATTACCTCCATTTCACAGTTGAAGTAACTGTCTTGTCCGTGGCTCTAGAACAGGTACCTGGAAGAGCAGGACTGAGCCACAGGGCCTGGGGCCAGAAGTCATGCCCTTAGCCACCCTGTTCAAGGGCTTCTCCATCTAGCAGCTTTTAAAAAAATTAGAAAGCATGAATTTTTTAGAAAGTAAAACAACATTGGAATATGTAAAGAAAATGCCAGTATTATCCTCCACTCCCTTAACCATCCACCATTCTAAGTTAAGCTATAACAATAGGTAGAACAGTCTCTTTCTATACCATTTTTACTCCATTTTCTATGAAGATGAACAATTGTAGGAATTTTATTTCTGTTTTGGTTTCGCAGAATAGGATAATACAATATGCACGATATTGCAGCTTTCTTTTTTTCAGATGGAGTTTCACTCTTGTCACCCAGGCTGGAGTGCAATGGTGCGATCTCAGCTCACTGCAACCTCTGACTCCTGGGTTCAAACAATGCTCCTGCTCCAGCCTCCTGAGTAGCTGTGATTACAGGTACCTGCCACAACAGCTGGCTAATTTTTTGTATTTTTAGTAGAGATAGGGTTTCACCATGTTGTCCAGGCTGGGCCTCAAACTCCGGACCTCAGGTGATCCACCTGCCTCAGCCTACCAAAGTGCTGGGATTACAGGCGTGAGCCACCATGCCCGGCCTAGGCTGTGTTTTTTTAAGTTTCTTTTTTGTCACTGGAACAATACTGAAAGACAAATTCTTTGCCCATCTGTTCATGAGAACTAGGATATTTGTTTCTATATGTAGAGCCCACAAATTGGAATTATTAGGCCAAGTGGTATGAAATTATTATGGTAAAATGTTAATGGATATTGATATATTTATGGTCATTTGGTCTCTGTCAGCAATATACAAAAATGTCTCTTTCTCTACATTTTCAAGACAACCAATATTTTCTGTTAGCAGATGAATTTCTCTTGCCAGAATATTTTAATTACAACCAGTGCCATTTCTTTTTTGAGTTAACCAGAAGTCTTACTCCCCAGGTGCATCTCATAGTTGATAGCAAAGACATTTCCAACCCAGCTACCCCAAATAAACAATCTTAAAAGAAGAAAGGTGTGTCCACAACTTGTGGTCAAGCCCACCAGCCTTGCTTCAATGGGATTGCCCCTTCTCAAGGCCGTCATAAGTGGAAATTCTGGAGCTGCTCCTCATACCCTGATGGTTTGCTTGAAATAGTATTTATTTTAGTCTTTGAGCAACACTTTTGTCTATTTTAGATAGTAGATTAAAGAAGTTCTTATTTTATAAGACTATGTCATCTTGGTCTTGGGGGAAGTCTAAACAAATAAATTTTATTTTTTAATTATGCCATATCCAAACAAGGATTTGGAGTGGGAGAACCTTATGGCCCAGACCTGGAAGATGGAACATCACATTCCATTGAGAAGAATCCATTGTCTCATGGCTAACCTAACTGCAATAGCTAGAAATGTGATCTAGCTTGGTGCCCAGGAAAAAGCAAAAGAGTACAACATGGATATTGAGTAACACTAGCATTTTCAACCATGAAGAGAGTAGAGTCGTTGTGAGAAAAGTATGTAAAGTTATCGAGGTAATCGGTGATGAAACCCTGACATGGAATGTAAATTGCTTGTGGTTGAAGACAAAGGAGAGTTTTGTGTTGGCCAGCTGGGTTGGCAGATATTAAAGCAAAGGAAGAATAGATGGCCTTAGTGTTGAGCTGAGACTCTTCATATAAGCTTCTCATCTTGACTGGCACCATGATGTACTCTGAGCAAATAATTTCACTTCCATAGGCCTCAATGTCTTTAGCTGTATCTTTACTTGGAACAGAAATAGACATATGTACTCTAAGATCACAACTCTTGACTGCTTGTCTGCTAAAAGCATTCTTGTCATGTTTTTAGATTGTGATATTTTTGCCTTTTTGGAGAAATTTGCAGACATATATTCCACAGTTACAAATAACAGTGACCAGTTCAGTTCCCTATGCTTACTTCCTGTCATTTGTACCTTTAAATTCCATTCATTCAAGGCTTAAAATGACATTGCCTTTTCTGTTTAGATTATTCACATTAGTCTCTGATAATAATACCTACAATTTATGGAGCCCTAACTCTAGACCAAGTTCTTTACTTAATGTATCCTCACAATAACCATTGGAGGGAAGTGCTGTTATTCCCATCCTCAAGATGAGGGAATTGAGGTGAGGAGATTGGGTGGCCTGACTTAGCATGCCACGTAGCTAGGTTTACGAAACATTTTCTTTGACCCGGAAAGAGTTTTAACAATGAGCACTGTTATTAAAAGTTCAAATTAGCCTTTCTATTTCTGGGTCTTACATTTTATCATGTATGTATCTATTATTTGTATTTCTCACTAGTATTTTAAAAATCTACAACTCTTGCTATCCTCAATGCTATTGTGTATAGTTATTTACCCAACTTTCTCACCCTTGTTCATATAATATTCAATAAATTTTAGAGAGCAAGTAATAATCTTATTTAAATCATTACTCTAAATATAAATATAAGAACCTTTACCTTTAATAAAATAGAATTGATTGTCTAATTGAAATTGAAACTGATTATCTTAAAACTTTAGGAGACAAACATTCCTGAAATGAGAATGTAGATGTCATTGCCTTGCTTTTCCTAACAAAACTATTCTTTTTAGTACTAGTTTATTTAATCTGGACTCCAAAACAATTTCCAGATGAATAATGATCCTAAAGAAAACTGAAGCTTTGGTCTTTATATTCATGATTCCTTGGGGATATTCCCTATAGTTGTTAAAATTGTTCTATAAGAAAACTGAAACTATAGTTGAATATTTTCAATCATGTGGAAATGTTAGATGCCTTTTTGAGAAGTCTGGTGGAGTTTACATAATCAACTAAATAGCTTTTATTTGCATGCTTGGATATTAATGTATTGGTATTTTGAATACTGGTTGAGAAACAACAGCCAGTATATTAATTCTGTCTAAAAAAGATACTTGCTCATATTTTAGCACATTTAAGAGGTAAATTTATAGCTAATTTTCTGTATGAAGAATTGCTTTGGCTTATTTATTGATATGCAGAAGAAATGTTCATTTTCTTTCCTTTAGAAACATTCCAAGTAAATGACTCTATAAATAATGAATTGCCCATTTTTTATGATACTTTTCCGTAGCTTTACTTAAAGCATAAATATTACTTATAAGAAGATGTATAGTTGATGTGTATGTTGCATGTGAAGCTCATTTGCTAAAACTATCAAAGTTTGCAGATTTAATCAGCATTCTTATGTAACATTGTCTATGGAGCTTTATAATCAGCAGCACCATAGGATATATAGTTCTTGAAACTGGGCCAAGTAAAAAAAGTTTAAATTGAAATTGTCATGTCTTTAGTGAAAATATAATTTTCAGAGTCTAATTAGTATCATTAGAATGTAGAGTTCAGACAAGTGCTACAACTACCATCTATTGTTCTCATCCAGATTTTTTTCCAGGTAATATATTCCTTTGATTCAGTCACTTCCTTACCTGGAAAGGGAGCCAGCCAAAGAGCTGTTTCTGCTATTTTCAATGATCACAATCACACCCCCATAAAAAACTCAGATAAAAAACATTTTGACTATAATAGTGCCTCAAAAATGAGCTGCTAAATTGCTGTGTTCATTCATTTCCTGGCATGAGAGATTCAAATTACTTTCCTATACTTTAAAATCAGTAAGAATTGTGTTGTTGAAGGAAAAGAGTAGCACTCTATGTTTATGCTTTTGTTAAAAAAGCATAAATATCAGCAATTTTTATCTTTGGGAAAGAGATGATTAAACTTATGAGGTGTCATGGAAGAAACAGAATAAGCTTACAATCGAAAACTCACATTAATATTAATGGCTGTGTCCTCACATTTGTGTATGAAGGTCTCATGCACAGGCCTTCCATTGCCATCACTTCACAGCTCTCTGATGTCTACTTGGCTTCCAGTTACGGTCTGGTAGGTATTTGCAAATATACATTTAAAAACAAGAAGCTCTGGGTCCAATACAAGGAACTAGAAAACCCGAGATTATGTATCAGAAGAAATCTGAAGAATTTAGGGGACAGTAAAACTGTCTTCTTCCAAATCATTCCGGAGGGGAAGCCTGTATTTCTTGTTAGAAAACAAACACCCTTCTTCAATAATATTTCTTGGCAAGAGTGCTTTTCTAAATTCAGCATTTTTCCTCAGAGCAGTTCAAAGTATTGATGTACACACACACACACACACACACACACACACACACACACATATTTTTAAAGTAACATCTAACAGAAAAGGCAGAAGGAATAGGGGACAGGGCTTTTTGTTGTTTCTTGCCCCTCTCACTGGGGCAAGATTAGACTGGGAAGGTAGCTCTCAGTTTTTGGTTTCAGAAGAATTAAGACTTTTGAGATTAGACATTTTTAGGTGAATTGGGATGGTATGCTGGAGTATACTAGATGTACTGTGTGGTACAGTTTTCAGCCATTTGAAAAGTAGGAAGAAGTAGGAATCATAAGGACAATGGTTCCCAAGTGCTTGTCCATCCGCACAGGTTTCCACAGAAGGACCCATTATAACAAAGGAACCAAAGGCATGTGGGAGCGGGCCCACAGGAATCACTGGTTCTCTCATGTGCTGACACCCAGAGCAGCCGCCTGACAGTGCCTTGGGATAGCCCGCTGAGGGTGCTGGGCCAACTCAGGGCACAGAATACAATTGCATCAAATCCCTGAATATGGTTCTGTGTCCATGATAGGAAGAACACATGGGTCTCAGAAATGGGGACGTGAATTGATGAGGCTCTGCTTACCATCACTTTCAGTGACCACTTAGGGAGCTTGTGCTTCCCATTCCCACAACTCTAGGTTATGGAAGTTTAGAAGTCCTGGTTCTTAAAGATAGATTATTTCCACCCAAGGACGTAGCAAGTGTTCTAATGAATTAGGGGCTGCTACAGCCTCCTGGACATTTCAGACCCTTTGTGCCAAGGAATTCCAAGCAAGAAGGGGCATTGATCATTATCATCAGGAGGAGGGAGGACTGCTGTCACACAATAGGAAGAGAGGAAGACATTTGGCATACAGGTGACCCAGTTGGGTGCTCTTTTGTATGGCCTTGCTCAGCTTTGAGGTGAAGAGACAGTGCAGCAGGCATGGCCTGAGAAGTGCATGGGGCACCAGGCCTGAGGCTTCTCAGGGATAAGAGACTTCATCATGCCACCAGGTAAGTCACCGGGAGCAGCAGCAGTGCTGCCTAAAGTTGAGGGAAGTCTAGAATGCAGAGGGCAGAGTGACAGTATCAGCCGCAGCCCTGAGACCTTGGCAGTGGCAAGGCTGTAGCTTATGCCGCTGACTTTCCTATTCTAAGCACACCCAAAGAAGAGAAGCCCTCTGAAACCCGGAAGGAGCTGTTTCCCAGGCTGCTCTAAAGCAATGGATTCCTGTGGTGCACAGCGTGGATTGTGGTGGGCATGGAAAGGAACTGCCCAGATTACTGTTGAAAGAAGGATTTGTGTCCCAGTTGTCAGCACAGCCGCCAACTGTCAGCTACTAAAGGGTTTGCCTCACCTGCAGGGTTGCTTCTTTCAAAGGCCCATCTAAGAACTGATTGAGGCAAGAGCATAAATTCCAGCCATTTCATCCCAAAGCCAGTTGACTCTGCTGGGCCATGTATGCTGCAGAGCTTCTTACTGGCTGAGCTGAGGCTGTGCTACGTCTGCATGGCGATTTGGCCTCTCCTCCTGCTCAATTCACTTCCTTTCCCTGTTTCTTGTTCACAGATGTTGATCCCCAGGAAATATCCAAATGCCAAACTCTGTTTCAATGTCTACTTCTGGATAACCTAGCTAGGTCATGTCTACTGCAGGATAACCTGCAACAAGTACAACTGCCTTCACCAGTGGCATTTAGCGTCTCAAAAATGTTTTTTTTTTAATCCCTAGTGAAAATTTTGACTTCAAATGGCACCTGATTATCATGCCCTTAATATAGACTCTCTGGACTTCCCTTAATATAACCATGTAGATGTAGAAAAGAAAGAATGCACAACATTGCTGATCAAACTCTTGCTGTGTTAGGAAGTTTTGCTAACTGCAAGGCCAGTGAAAATCGATTAAAATATTGGAGTGGTACAATAGAAAACCTAGCACAGTTTCCTTGGTATAATTATGCCATAATGCTGATTCAGCTGATGGAGCTAGCGTTGTCATAGCACAATTGCTTGCTCACCGATGTCTCAGCTAATATTTCATGTTTACTAGATGAGTGAAATTATGAAATTTCTAAAATAGGTACATTACTAAGCCTCACCTTGCTAAGCACCAATTGCTAGTCCTGCTTCTGGGTTTAGAGAAAGGTACACAGTGAGTCACTTGTTCCTCGTAGAAGTTTATTATTGGGGACTGGGGGCAGGGGTCTGTCTTGGATCCCTTTGGAGATTTAGTAAATGCTGTTGAACTCATCAACAGACAAATGCACACTTTCACGTATGTTTACATAAAACTATGTAGTTCACCTGTGTCCCTAGTAGGGACCCATGAATTCCTGCTTAAAGAATGGTTGCAATAGGAATTCAATCATTTTTAGTGTAATTTCCCCTTAACAGATATTTTTAAAAAATGAATACTGAATTAAGCAATTGTCTATTAGATGCTATTTTCCATTTGGTATTTTCCAGCTATTGTTCCTGGATTCAAATCCTGGCTCTGCCATTAACTTATACCGTGACCTTAGGCAAGTCATTGAACTTCTCAGTGCTTCAGTTTCCTCAGCTATAAACTAGGGGGGATAATAGAAGAATAACTAAGCATTTCACAGAGCTTAAAACAATGTGGGTTCATTGGATGTTAGCCATTGTTGTGGTTGATGGTGTGGTTGGGTAACCCTCTGTTACTCCTGTTTTGTCACAATGAAGATTAAAATGTACTTTTTAAAATTAAGTACATTTGGATAATTTGTAGAGAAAAGGCCATTTTAAATTCCATACCTCACTAGAATGTTCCATTATTTGGGACAGTGTACAGATATGAGATAATACACACTACTGAGACGATGTAGTAAATAGGACTTTGTTATCCCATGGCAAACTGTGGAGGCAGGTTCTGTGAGTGTGCTCCTGCAAGGCTGTAAACTTCCTTGATGCAATACCAGAGAGTCCAGATGGATTGGACTTCACTTTCCATAATTCAAGTTAAATACTTTTGCAGAGGGAACTTGCAAGGATTCTGAAATCAAATTGACAGTAGGAGTGAGCCATTTTCTGAGCCCTCAAAGATTACATGAAGCTTTATAAGATGGGATTTAGGGGGTGGGTTCTCTATTTAATACAAGCCCTAAGAAACCTCAAATTTATCCTTGGGATAATGTGAAACAACACCATTAAGATACAGATGATCTTTTGATTGAAGAAAATCAGGATCAAGAAGGGAAGATTAGTTATATTATTAATAATATAGCCTTCGATTTTAAATATTTTATTTTGTTCTGAAAATAAAGGTTTACTACATATGATCTATAACGGAAAATTTGGAAATAAAACTAGGGGTTCCAAGGGCTTTAAGATTATCCAGGAGCACAGAAATAAAGTGGCAGAGAATACCATACCTCATTTTACATCTTGAGGTAAATGGAAAAGAAAAATTGCTATAATTGGATTTTCTGCAGACATATCAAGAATATCCCTTGTTTTTGCATAAATGTGCCTGGGTCGTTAATCATAACCTAGGAACTGCATCTCACCTGAAAACCTAAAGATCTTCCTTTGGCCATACACCAAATGAATTGCAAAGGCATAGAATATTTGGTTTTAAATTCCCTACGTGCTTGTTATTGACTCATCTCTGAACATATCCAAAAATAAATTCTACTTATCCAAATAGTGAGCATTATTTTACCCTAAAACATTTTTTTTTTCTTGGCATCAATAGTACAACCACTCTCCTCACATGTTCCCAATGGAAACCCTGGGACATGAAGCATCGGAGGCAGTGGAGGTCCTTTGAAAATGTTTCGGTACCAGGAGCTTGAGTACCAAGGGCCAGTGTAGTATTACAGCTGGAAGGTACCACATCTCTACCTTCCAAGGCCCCCAGATGTGTTCTGAAGAGATGTGACTGCCTGTCAGGTTATCTAAGGACCTTTTCAGTATGGGATGCTTAGTTAATTCCAGAGACCAAGACATCTGCTAGCCACAGGGAATTTGGCTGCTACCCTGTGTTTCATACCCCTTACAAGCGAGTGGCGCTGAATAAAGGAAGAGATGTTTTCACCTTCCATTAAAGCCTGTGGTGTATCCTGTAGGCAGCAGCCTATTCGATTCACATTTTGTGTATTTTTAAAAGCCACGTACTTTGAGCTCACTCCCAAATTTTAGTTCTAGATGATGGCTACAGTCTTTAGAATGAATACAAAACAAATTACATGGAACATTAAAGTGCATATTTTAGACAGATCTACTCTATTTCATAGTAGGGGCATTGGCTTTGCTTTATTATCCAACTTCTAGAACTTTCTATAGGTAATTTCATAATCATGAAATATTTTACAATCATCTCAGTAATTTCTCTGAATAATTTGTCAGGTTTTTTTGAGCTCGAGTAAACTGCATGTAGAACCAGAATAAAAGTTGTGCCTTTGAGCTTTTTTCCTTGAGATTTATTCTGCTCTGCAGGGAATTCCCAGCACATCACATTTTCCTACAGCTCATCAGAAAGTTCCTTCAAGAATATTTCTTCATGTCTCAAACTGAATTCCCCTACAGATCCATCAGGAGGGCAGCCATGAGAGAACATTTCAATATTGCACGTTTATGTTAAATATTATCTTCACAAAAGTCTGTAAACTAAACATCAACACAGATCTCCATGGGGTTTCTGGCTGTTTTGAGTGTATTGTAAGCAGTCATGAAGTTGCACAATGCTTTGCTCTAGTCTCTTGATAAACAAGAACCCAATATGTCAGGCAGCCTTGCCACACTGATATATAAGGAGGCAGTGTCTTTTAGGACCAGAAAACACCTAGCCCTGCAGTTTGAAAGGTGATGAAATGCTCTTACTCTAGGCAAGATTGTGGATTTATGAAATATGCTGTCTGTGCTCAGCATATCACTACAGAATGTGCAAAGCAGTGAAATAGAATTCTTCTATCCACCCCAGACAGACAAATGATTTCTTTCTGCTTTCTGGTTTGCAGTTTAACTACTTTATGTCAGATCAGACTTCAGTCTTGTATGTTTCCCAGCCAATGTTCTCTCAGTACAGGGATGATGAACAGCATTTATTCCAAGTCCCAAATAAATGTCAATCTCCTCTCCCCTGCATCAAGAGAGGCATTGCACTTTGGTGTCCAGTGTTATTTAAATGAGCCTTAAAATCCTCAGCTGTGTTGCTAATATGGGTCAAGATATTGATTCCCCTAGTTTGGCTGTGAGTGGCTTTTCATGAAAAGCATTGACTCAGCTGTTCAACTCAGCTGAACTACTTTACATGCTTAGAATGTGTTGCTTTTGCTGCTGAGTAGTGAAAATCAAAGAGGATCCTTTAGTCACTGCAAGTCTGTTCGGATTACTGTTGGGGTTTTAATTCCATGTTGCAGAGCTGCGAGAATAAAAAGAAAAATGATGGCTTTCATCATCATCATAGGGGACCTGCTTCATGCTCCCCCCATACAAAAACATGAGAACAGACTCTTGCATGTGTTATTTTAATGCAAGCTTTCACGAGTGGTGTCTACAAACCTTTCTCTGAGTCACTGACCACATAATTTACCACAATTCTCTCTTGTAGGTAGTCAGCTCAGCCGGGTAGAGAAACTGCTGTGACTTGTTTTGGCTGTGTCTTTTTGATCACTCAAAAAATTGGTGATTAGTTAGGGTACAGAGATCTTGATAAACATAATTTCACAATGTAAACACACGAACAAACCCAAACTATCCACTTTGAGGAGGCAGATGGTAAATTCCTTGTCAGAAATGGCTATAGTTAAAGAGACTCAGTAATAGCACGGTGTGTACCAGTGGGCTCAGTAAACATCTATTACTGACATCATGATCAAGCTGTTAAGTCCTAGTCCTGAGACTGATGGTCTCCTCTGAGGAGCCTGTAACCATCAACATTCTTGGAGAATCAAACCAGGGCAATACATTTTTCCAAAACGTTAAATGGGAGTATTGCAGCCCTGGACAGCGTAGATGACTAGATGATATCCCGGGGCTCCAGGAGTACATTCACTCTGCTTGGCTGAACATTTGACTGGCCTTAGAACTTCAATGACTTACCAACAACGTGAATAGTCCCTTTAGAATGTTGGAGAGGCTCATTTGCTATTTCTTTCATTATAAAAAATTTTTTTAGAGACAGGGTCTCACTCTGTTGCCCTGGCTGGGGGTGCAGCGGCACGATCACAGCTCACTGCAGCCTCGAACTCCTGGGCTCAAGCTATGTTTCCACTTCAGCCTCCCAAAGCACTGGGACTACAGATGTGAGCCACTGCACCCAACCTCATTTGTTGTTTATTATGGCGATGGCATGCTTAAATGCCCAAAGGTTTCCCACTCATAGTTCCCAACACAAGGTTCAGAAAAGTCCAAAATCCAATCTCAATTATACATATTTGTGTGGAGATATATATATATATATATATATATATATATATGCATTTCAAAACATAAAGAAATAATGGGCTTCAATATTCAAACTTTGCCATAGGGCCGGACAGCACAGGCTGGCAGACGTCTTGTGCATACCTTCACTTTATTGGAAATATAGCAGATACTCCAAAATTAGGGTAATTTTTAACTTGTTTAAAAATAATAGCTGCACTATCATAATCTACTCTACTGTACTTCCAATACTAGCAGCCATTTATTGGGATTGACCATATGAAGAAAGATTGACATAGAGTATTTAATTCTCACAAAATTCTAGAAGTTAGATATTATTATCTCCATTTTATTTTTTTTAAAGGATAGAAGTTAAGCCACTTGTCTAAGGCCACATAGCTAAGGCCATACAGTCATGTTTTGAACAACTATTCGTCTGATTACAAAGACAGGACTCTATGCTAAACCTGTGCTTACTGATTTGAGAGCCAATAAGCAATAATCACATGTGGCTTCTGAGTACTTAGAATGAGAAATATAGCTAGCCCAAGTTGAAATATACGGTGAATGTAAAATACACACCAAGTTTCAAAGACAGTGTACAAAAGAAAGAATATATAGTATCTCAATTATTATATTTTGGTTAGATGTTGAAATAATCATTTGTACATATTGGGTTAAATAAAACATATTATTAAACCTATTTCCACTTTTTTCTTTTTAAAATGCAGTTATTAGAAACTTTAAAAGTACCTATGTGCCTTATATTACACTTCCAGTAGACAGAGCTGTGCTAATCTCTATCCCATTTTAAGACATCATCAATTTTTACAAGTAAACATTGTTTTGGACTACAGAAATTTCTTTTCCTTTTCTTAAAAAAAAAGCCAGTGGTTGAAAATTTAAAAAAAAGTGATAGACAAGTTTTACAATTCACTGTTTATAAGACAAGGATGAAATACAGTTTTGCCTTTTAACTTCTCTCTTTTAAGACTGCAGTGTAATTATTTTTTGTTTTCTCCGTTTTCTTCAAGAGTCCACAGTTTGTTTGTCTGTTTTGGTAATTGACCTACAGGAGTGCAGGGAAGAGGTCTTCTAGTACAATGTTTTCCTCTTTAAAGTTCTTTTTTGTAATCCATTCATTTGCAAAATATCCACAATCAGATGGAGCCTCTCTGAAACCTGTACCAAAAAAAAGACAGAAAAATATAGCAGGTAGCTATGGCACTGCATCAAGTACTTAAATCTGCATTTCTCAACATTTAGGAGTATAAAATTTAGAATATTACACTTCTCTTTACACATCTCACAATAGAATTAAATATTGTTGTATGTATGTGTGATAGTTGAAATGGAGTTTTGATATTAGATTGCATGATAATCCCAGGAGGTTCACATTTTTAGGTCCTATCCCTGTTGGCCTTTCATTGCAGTCAAAGGAAGCACAGCACCTCAAAACTGAATCTCAACTACCATCTCAAAGCGTCAGATATTAGCATAGTCAAAAACCATGGCAAATTTTTCAGATCAGACCTCCCATTCAGTTCAAAGAAACGTAATCTTAAACCCTTGCTGATGCCACTGGGAAGATAGGCAATAAAGATCAATGAACACATTACACTTGTTTCTAAGTTGGACATTTTGTCTTCAGCAATAGTTTTAACCTATTTCTTGGAGAAGACATGTCCAGGATGAGGCACACCAATCGAGCATTGCTCCCTCATGCCAGGTCAGTCATGGACCTCTCTTCCTTCATTGGTTTTAATGTAAAGGAAGTTTGAGTTTCCTTATTTTTATGATGCATTTTTTTGTACAACGGATTGTTTATTATTGTTGATCAAATGATGTAATCTCATTCCAAATTCAGCTACAGAATCCAAGCCTAAGACCTCTATGACAATGGGTTTCCAAAGTTTCACAATGTATGACTTGCTCTTTAACAAGTCATGTGGATGAGGCAACCAAACCTGCTCCAGTACAAACCAAACCAAAACACTGACTCACTACCAAGGGTTGCAACCAAGGACGAAAGTGCTAGGTGACTTTCTAAGTCAATTGCTAATAATCATCTAACTGATAAATACAAAAAGGCATATATAAAAGCCATTCAATTAAATCTCTTCATTTAAGACACTATACTGGTTATAATTTCACTCTCCTATCTAACCATTTTATCACAGGGAAGGTTGAAATAACGGTTCCGCTGGTGCAGAAAAGATGTTTATAAACAACTTGACATTTGCATTGATCCTTTGGTTCTTTTTTTAGTTTCCAAGCAAAAGATAAAGCACTCTATTTGTCTATTATATATGCAACACACTGTAATTGCACTTGGCTATCCATTTGTATCCAAGGAGCACCGCTATTGGTTTTCCTTCTCAAATACTCTGGAGGAGACAATATACCATTAGAGTAGCTTTCTTGTCTGAATCTGACAGGATGCCTCTCAGTCCCACTTAAGAAAAGGTGCCTCTCACAAACAGAGCTATTTCCAAGTATCTGGACCCTTTAAAGTGGTATTTTTCTTTTTAGCTGATCATATGTGTGTGTGTGGGTGTGTGTGTGTATTTGCGTGTGTATGGTTATTTAGTCAAGCAGTGAAGCAAAATGCAATTTACTAAGCCACACATCCCGTGGAAGAATTTACAACACTTTCATAAGAAGAATGCTGTCATCCAAGAAATACGGTGTCAAAATGAATAATATTTACAGTATAAGTGTGATGAAGCACCCACCTGGAGAGACATAGAGTTTAAGACACCGTGATTTATGAAGATGAGGAGCAACCTTAAGCTTGTATCATTTATGTGACCCAGAGACAGCAGGTAAGCATGAAGGTTAAGTGCCTCACCTTGTAGATGTAAGCTCCAAGATGTTGAGACTCATGTAGATCAGCTCTCTTTGATCATTCCACTCTATGAAAACTCACTAGAAAATATCATTTTAAATATTAAACAGAATGGCTTTAACTATACACTCAACCTAGGGATAAGAGAGCCCTCTTGGAAACAAGGTGGTAGACACTTCTCCTTCTGTTTGTTTCTTTATCTTCTCCCTTCATCTGGTACTTAAACAATTTGTGCTGAGGGAGTTAGAGAAAGTGAGTTTTTCCAGATCTATGCTCTTAGCTTTATGGTATAAAGCCTTTTTATAACTTTTGCAGAAACACAACAGACTATAGTAAATAAATTAGAACAATTAACTTACATGACCTTACTTCAAAGTGGCTACATACTAAAATAATTCCATGCAAGTGTACTAGTTACAACACTTGCTTAATTCTTTCCCAAATATTAAAGTTAATAAATATATATTTTTAATTTGAAAGCAAAATAAAATTATTTTTGAGACTATTAGAGCTATCTGTTCATAGTTATACATCTTACTAACTATTTAAAGTCTGGATTTTCTCTCCCCATAAAGGTAATGACTGTTAGGTTGTCGAAAAAGTAGATTTCTTTTTTTCTTTTTCAACTTTTATTTAAGATTCAGGGGATTTGTTACTGGGTATATTGCATGATGCTGAGGTTTGGAGTACAAATGATCCTATCATCCAAGTACTGAATGTAGTACCTAATAGTTAATTTTTCAACCCTTGCTCCACTCCTTCTCTTCCCCTTCTAGAAGTCCCCAGTGTCTATTGTTGAAATCGTTATGTCCATGAGTACCCAATGTTTAGCTCCCACTTGTAAATGAGAGCATGAGGTATTTATTTTTCTGCTCCTGTGTTAATTTGCTTAGGATAATGGCCTTCAGCTGCATCCATGTTGCTGTAAAGGACATTATTTCATTCTTTTTTATGGCTGCATAGTATTCCATGGTGTACATGCACCACGTTTTCTTTATCCAATTCACCGTTGATAGGCACCTAGATTGACTGTATTAGTCCGTTCTCATGCCGCTAGAAGGAACAGCCTGAGACTGAGTAATTTATAAAGAAAAGAGTTTTAATTGACTCACAGTTCTGCATGGCTGGGAAGGCCTCAGGAAACTTATAATCATGGTGGAAGGGGAAGCAAATACATCCTTCTTCACATGGCAGCAGGAAGGAAAAGCACTGAGCAAAGGGGAAAAAGCCCCTTATGAAACCATAAGAACTCATGAGAACTCACTATCATGAGAACAGCATGGTGGTAACCACCCCCATGATTCAATTACCTCCCACCAGGTCCCTCCCATGACAGATGGGGATTATGGGAACTATAGTGGAAAATGAGATTTGGGTGGGGACACAGCCAAACCATATCAGTACCACATTTATTTATTTGTGTATGTAGAACCCTCCTTGCATCCGTGTTATAAATTCCACTTAATCATGATTAATCAGTCTACTGATGTGCTGTTGGATTCCATTTGTTGAGAATTTTTGCATCTGTGTTCATCAGGGATATTGGCTTGTAGTTTTTTTCATTGTTCTTGCCTCCTTTTCTGGTTTTGGTATCAGGCTAATGCTGGCCTTATAGAATGCGTTAGGGAGAATTCCATTCTTCTTAATTTTTTGAGAGTTTGAGGAGGATTAGTATTAGTTCTTCTTTATTTGTTTGGTAGAACTTGACAGTGAATCCGTAAGAGTCTTGAATTTTTCTTTCTTAGGAGATTTTTTATTACTGATTTAATCTTGCTCCTTGTTATTGGTATGTTTGGGTTTCCTATTTCTGCTTGATTTAGTTTTGGTGGGTTGTATGTTTCCAAGACTTTATCCATTTCCTCTATGTTTACCAGTTTATTAGTGAATAGGTTGTTTATAAGAGTTTCTAATGATCTTTTGTATTTCTGTGGCATCAGTTGTGACGTCTCTGTTTTCATTTCTGATTGTGTTTATTTGTATTTTCTTTCTTATTTTCTTGGTTAATTATGCTAGTGGGTTATCAATTTTGTTTATCTTTTTGAAGAAACAACTTTTCATTTCATTGACCCTTTGTATTGTTTTTTGTCTGTTTCATTTTGGTCTGCTCTGCTCTTCATTATTTCTTTCTGTCTGCTACTTTGGGGATTGGTTTGTTTTTGCTTTTCTAGTTCCTTGAGGTGCATTGATAAATTTTTTATTTAAAATATTTCTACCACTTTTTTGATGTAGGCATTTATTACTGTAAGATTCCCTCTTGCCATAGCTCTTGCTGTATCCCACATGTTTTGGTATGTTGTGTTTCCATTTCTATTGTTTTAAGAAATTTTTAAATTTCCATCTTAATTTCTTCATTGACCCAATAGTTATTCAAGAGCATGTTTAACTTCCATGTTTTTGTATAGTTTCCAAAGTTCCTCTTGGTATGGATTTCTAGTTTTATTCTATTATGGACTGAGAAGATAATCAGTATGATTTTGATTTTTCAAATTTGTTGAGACTTGTTTTGTGGCCTAACAAATGATCTATCTTGCAGAATGCTCCATATGCTGATGAGAAGAATATGTATTCTACAATTATTGGGTAAAATGATTTGTACATTTCTACCAAAAGTCCTCCACTATTATTGTATTAGAGTACATACCTCTCTTTAGATCTAGTAATATTTGCTTTATGAAACTGGGTGTTTCAGTGTTGGGTGCATGTATATTCAGAATTTTTATGTCATTTTCCTGGATCAGTCCCTTTTTCATTATATAATAACCTTTATTTTTTTCTACTATTTTTGACTTAAAGTTTGTTTTATCTGAATAAGTATAACAATTCCTGCTTGCTTTTGGTTTCCATTTGCATGGAATACCTTTTTTCATCTTTCTGCTTTAAGTCTATATGTAACTGTACAGATAAAGAGCATTTCTTGTAGGTAGCATATAGTTGGATCATGTCTTTTAATCCATTCACCTGGTCTGTATCTTAGAAGTGAATCTAATCTGTTTACATTCAAGGTTATTACTGATATGTAAGATTTTTCTTTCCTGTCATACTGTTAATTGTTGTTTTTTTTTTTTTTGTATATTCTTTGTTCCTTTTTCTCTTATTGTTTGTCATTGGTGTTTGGTGGTTTTCTGTACTGGTATGATTCAGGTCCTTTCTCTTATTTGTGTGCTTGCTTTACCAGTGAGTTTTATACTATTGTGTGTTTTCAGGTTAGTAATTGTTGTCTTTTTGCTTCCAGGTGTAAGACTCTTTTGAGCATTTTTTATAGGGCTGGTCTAGTGGTAATGAATTCCTTCAACATTTGATTGTCTGGGTAAGACATTTTTTCCCCTTCATTTTCAAAGAATAATTTTGCTGGATATAGCATCCTTGGCTAGCAGTATTTTTTTTCAGAACTTTACATCTATTATTTCATTCTCTCCTAGCCAACAAGGTTTCTGCTGAGAAGTCTGCTCTTTTTATTCTGATGGGGAGTCCTCTTATAGGTGACTAGACACTTTTGCTGTTTTTAGAATTCTCTCTTGTCTTTGACGTCAGCCAGATTGATTATAGTGTACTGTGGAGAAGACTTTTTGAATTATATCTATTTGGGGATTGCTAAGCATCCTGTATCTAGATGTCTAAGTCTCTTGCTAGACTTGGAAAGTTTTCATCTATGATTTCATTAAGTAGGTTTTCAAACAGTTTTGTTTTCTCTCCACTTTCAGGGATACTGATAGTTTGAATATTTGATTGCTTTATGATATTAATATATCAAGTAGGCTTTACTCATTCTTTTAAATTTCTTCTTTATGTTTGTCTGACTAGATTATTTCAAAAGACCTATCTTCAAGTTCTAAGATTACTTCCGCTTGATCTAGTTTTTTGTTTTTTATATTTCATTTAATACATTTTTCAGTTTCAGAATTTCTGTTTGGTGTTTTTTTTTATGGTATGTCTTTGAAAAATTATTTCTCATTCATATCCTGAATTGCTTTTCTTAATTCTCTGTATTTTTATTTTTTGGTATTCTCTTGTATATCACTGAGTTTCTACAGTATCAAAATATTGAATTCTTTTTCTGTGAGTTTATGAATTCTTTTTGATTGGAATCTATTGCTAGAAAATTATCGTGTTCCTTTGAAGGTGTCATATTTCCTTGCTTTTTCATGTTTCCTGTGTCTTTACATTGATATCTGTGTATCTGGTATAACAATTGTTTTTTCAACTTTTTGAATTTCCTTTTGAAGGGGAGGGCCTTTTTCCTGAAGATGTATCTATGATGTTGGTTGGATAGGGTATTTCAGCTTTGAATCTGAGTGTGTAACTTAGTGTAGTCTTTGTAGGATTTTTTTAGCTGTAAACACCACCAGTGGTATCCATGATTTCCTGTGTGGCTTGGGTTGCAGATGTTAGTTCAGGCTGTGGTGAAGTTTTGCTGTGGTCTGGGATGCCAATTAGGTCAATTTTTGAGCCCCAGAGGTAGCAGTACTAGGCAGAGTATGTCTGTCGTTGGGCCCTCAGAGTGACATACGTTAGTGCAGATGTTAGCAGGCCCAGGCAGACTGACTTTTGGGCCTCCAGATGGCTTTCTTGGGTGCTAGAAATGGCAGTGGTGGGGCAGGTGGATAGGCATGTTCTCGGGTTCCTGGGCAGTGGGTTTGGTGTGGGAAATGACAATAGCAGTGGAGGAACAATTTATTTGGGACCCAAGTGGTTTGTACTGGTGTTGGCAGTGGTTGCAATGGGTTGGATGTGCCAGTTCCCAGACCCACAGGTTGTGTGTTGGGGGGTGGGTGTCATCTATGTTGCTAGCAGTAAATTGAGTGGGCCCAACCCCCAACTTCAGGAGGAGTGTTCAGGTACCACCAGAAAGGGACTGGGCTGGGCCATCCCCAGGTGTCTGGACAGTGTGCTCAGGAACCGGGGGCATGTAGCCAGTTTGGGCTGTGACCTCAAGCTCCCTGGTGGTGCATAAAAATGCTGGCTTTGGTGTGCAGGTGTGGAATGAGCCCCTTGTTGCCAGTGAAACACTCAGGTAAAGGTGGCAGCAGCTGCATTGCAGCCCTTCTACTGGGGAAGGCAACATTACTTTCCCTAGGAGCAGCCATAGCCAACTGAGTTGTGTGAGCTTTGCTTATACTTTGTCTCAAAGAAGTTCCCAGCTGCAGTGGTTATGGGCAGTGGAATTTGTCCTCAGAGCACATGAGAATGTATAGCTGCCTCTCTGCAGGGGGCGGTGGGGTGGGATTGCTGCTCATGGCTGCTGCCTCTGCCTGATTGCAGGGTAGGATGCAGTCTGGTATATGTTGTTGCTGCCTCTGCCTGATTGCAGGGTAGGATGCAGTCTGGTATATGCTGTTGCTGCCCAGGACTCAGGGGCTTGTGGGACCCAGCATGAGCTCTTTCTCTGGAGCAATGCTTTCATAATTTTCAGAAAGCTCCCTGTGTTAGTCTTGGGGCCTATGAGAGTGGAGGGGCTCTCCCACGGTGAGAATTGTATGCAAAATTCGGTATTTGGTGGGAATGTGGACCACTGGGTATCTCTCACATACCCATTTCCTGAATTAGGATTTGGAGCTGATACCAGCTGAGCAGGCTGCCTCACTTCCTTCCCTTTTCTTGCTTTAGGTGTTTACTGTCACTTTTCTATTAAATTTCAGTGTTCTGTCTTGGATGATCTATTCAAAGTACAACTATATACTCACTATTTTGGTTCTTCTTAGTGGAGGAGGTGAATAAGAGATGCATCTAATCAGCCATTTTGAATCCCCTCCCATTTCTTAAGTAGGGATCATAATAATGCCTACCTCATATGGTTCTTGTGAAGATTGCATGTGTTAATATATGTAATGAGCTGAGAATAGTATGCAGCAGATGGAAAAGTGATCAGAAAATACTAGCTATGGTAATTTGTAAATTGGTGGTGAACTGAAAAGAGTTGAAAACTTCCTAAAACTTGATGGCAACATATCTATTAAAATTGGATATTAAAACATCTGTAGTTTCACAGGCTTCTTTGTTTCTACTGAAAGGTACCGACAAAATCTAGCAGCACAGTACATGGTTAGTATTCATAGACACACAAAGTAGAGGATGGATTCAATATTTGGGAAAGTCTGAAAAAATCAGAGGCCTGATTACCAGGTAATACAGTACTTCTATCATTTAAACATGAACTCACATAGGTTGTTGAATTGAGTACCTTATGAATATTAATGTTCTAGAAAATTTAGAAAATATAATTGTAATTTGTTACAGAAACTCATTTTCTTGGTTTATGTTTGATCTGACATGAAGGAAGATATTGTGTTCAAAAGATATGACAACAATAAATGAAAGACAAAAAGGCTTATTGATTAATTTAGAAAACAAATGAAAATTTGAAGGTAATTAAAGTAAAATTGGGAAAGCTCTCTCTTCTACAATATAAGAGTCTCTAAATCCCAGTTTAATTTTTTTCTCATGTAGAATATCCAGTTGCAATAAAAAGAGGAAATTTTCTAGTCTCTGTTTTTGCATACAAATTTTATACTCTCTTTCCTGTACTTTAAATGTCATCAATTAAATCACTAGCCAATTAAATCTCTATCCTCAAAGCAAGCATATATTTGTCTCAAATTTAACAGAATTTAAGGTTTAAAATAATAAACCACATAGTAACAATTAAATATAAAAGAGTAATTTATTGTATTTTATTAACAAAGTTGGCTAGAAAATGACTTTTTACAAAAGAAATTTTCCATTAACAGCAAAAACGATTTTCTAAGTAAGATAGACCCCATGCTCTGTTTAATGAGAAAAATTTTAATCATAAATGGTTAGGCATTTTATAGCTAAGTATTTTTTATAAACATCACTTTTAATTCTTCAGGGTTCAGTATAATTGAAAAATATTTAAATAGAATTGTCCTTTATATCCATATTGGAAGAAGAGGAATAAACCCAAGAGCAAAAATACAGGTTTATTCCTAGTGCTTCTTAAAGTAATAGTCATTCACAATAGCAAAGACATGAAACCAACCTAAATATCCACCAATGGTGGACTGGATAAAGAAAATATGGTACATATACTCCGTAGAATACTGCACAGCCATAAAAATGAATGAGATCATGTCCTTTGCAGTAACGAGGATAGAGCTGGGTGCCATTATCCTAAGCAAATTAAAGTAGGAACAGAAAATCAAATGCCACATATTCCCACTTATAAGTGGGAGCTAAACATTGAGTATACGTAACACAAAGGCAGGAACAATAGACACCAGGGCTTACTTGAGGGTGGAAGGTGAGAGGAGGGTGAGGATTGTAAACCTACCTCTCAGGCTCTATGCTTATTACCTGGGTGATGAAATCATCTGTACAGCAAACCTCCACTACACCCAATTTACCCATGTAACAAACTTGCACATGTACCTCCTAAACCTAAAATAAAAGTTGGAAAGAAAAATAAATTAAGTAATAGTCATAACTGTTCTAAGACAAATTGTAACCGGGCTTATTTCACCCCCTAGCCCCACCCAGCTTCACAAATATGAAGGCTGGAAAGTTTTCCCTTTCCCAGCTTTCCTCTTATAGTCCCAGCTATGGACACCCTGTAGCCTACTTTCCATATCACCTCATCATTGTACTGACAAAATCTAAATGTTTTGAGTGTTAAATGTTTCTAGACTACACTAAAAACAAACAAAAAACCATTTATCAGAATTCCATCTGCTAAATATCTTTATCCTATATTTTATGTCTTCTTAATCCAGTTTTAACTTGGGCTCTATCTTGTGAATGCTTTTGAGTATGATGAATTACGTTTTCTGGAATGTTCTCTACAATTGTCTCCTCTCCTGGGTTTATATTCCTTCCACTTCCTTCTAGCTTTTTACTACTTTTTCTTTTGTAGAATGTTTTAATTGAATTCCAAGTTGCCTTGCAGCAAACCAAGTCTTACTGTCTTCACTATTCTGTTTATCTCAATTAGATTTCTTGCTTCCTTATCTGCTCCATAAACCATCAGTAAAAGACTTTTGTCTCTGACAGAACTCTCTTGTCAGCATCATCCTCTGATGCAGACCACAGCATTACCTGCTCTGGGCTTTGTGCTTTACAGGGTCTTGCTTTGGCCTTCTTTTGGGGGAAAGAATTAATGGGGAGAGTAGACATGTCAACTCAGATCCTGTGCACCCTTCTAGAACTTTCTAAACCACATTCAGGTACCTGGGACCCTGGCTTTCTCTGCTCAACCCGAGTTCCATGGCGTGCACAGGTCTCTTCATTGAAACCATGCTCCCAAGGATAAATGTAACCTATACCCTCAGGATGGCTGAGTGGTGACTGTTTGCAGGGATATGGACTATTTGGTCTGAGATATCCACAGGCACATGCAGGAGGCCCCTTGCACTTGGGATGAAGACAGAGTGAGAAGAGAGAGGTGGAGGGATGCAGGCTCCCAGGCTCTCCCACAGGGGCAAATCTCATTGCAGACTCCAAGAGGCACAAAACTTCTAATTTGGTCTGGCCTTCCAGGTTGTTATGAAGGAATACTTGTCAAAACAGGAGGCTAGAACAAATTTTATTTACAATTTATTATTTTGATTTAAATCTTTTAAATATTTTAACATATGTCACCTGGTCCTCCCGGATCCTGCAGTCTGTCTCATGTTCCCATTTTCTTTCTTATTTATAGATTCTCCTCTTTTCAAAAATTTTTTTCCTTTCTTTTCTATCCCTTCTCTCTTGTTGTAATACACTAATTTCATCTTCTTCGTCCTGGAAACTGTTTGTGATAGATTTGCATCTTACCTGGCCAGGCCTGCAACACCAAGTCAGCTATTTCATACAATATGTAAAGCTCAGGTTTAGACAAAAACACCCTTTCTATCCATTCCTTCCAGGCTTCTGACCTGATGAAATCCCATTTGTACCTCCTCTCTTTGTTCCTTGGACAAATTATGTAAAATAGTTGATAGTTAGAATGTGAAGCTAAATAGCAGTATTATTATATTTTCTGGCCTAGGAAATCCCAACACTCCCAATGTGGGTAACAACTATTCTAATATAAGTAAAGACATAGCAATGTTAAATAATGCATGGGCTGCACAAATAATTTTATTTTGCTTTAAAAAAAGTTTGTCCCTCTCTTCCCCCTTTCATGGATTAATTTCTCAATTCGTATTTCAAAAATTTTGCCATATATTCTAAAATCAACTACGTAATTGAACATAAAACAATCCTCAGCAAATGCCAAATAACTGAAATCATACCAAACACACTCTCAGACTACAGTGCAATAAAAAATAGAAGTCGAGACTAAGAAAATTGCTCAAAACCATGCAATTACATGGAAATTAAAAACATGCTCCTAAATGACTTTTGGATAAATAATGAAATTAAGGCAGAAATCAAAACATTTTTTGCAACGAATGAGAACAAAGACACAACATACCAGAATCTCCAGGACACAGCTAAGGCAGTGTTAAAAGGGAAATTCATAGCACTAAATGCTCACATCAAAAATTTAGAAAGATCTCAAATTAACAACCTAACATCACAACTGAAAGAATTAGAGAAGCAAGAACAAATCAACCCCAATGCTAGCAGAAGACAAGAAGTAACCAAAATCTAAGCTGAATTGAAGGAAACCAAGACACAAAAAGCCATTTAAAAGATCAACAAATCCTGGAGTTGGTTTTTTGAAAAAATTAAGAGAGGCCACTGGCTAGACTAATAAGAAAGAAAAGAGAAAAGATCCAAATAAACACAATTAGAAATGACAAAGGAAATGTTACCATGGATCCCACAGAAATAAAAATAAGTATCAGAAACTGCTAGGAACACATCTATGCACACAAACTAGAAAACCTAGAGGAGGTGAATGAATTCCTGGACACATACAATTTCCCAAGACTGAACCAGAAAGAAACTGATTCCCTGAACAGACCAGTAATGAGCTCTGAAATTGAATCAGTAATAAATAGCCTACCCCCCCCAAACCAAAAAAATAAAATAAAATAATAAATAGCCTACCAACCAAGAAAACCCCAGGATCTGATGGATTTGCAGCTGAATTCTACCAGATGTACAAAGAAGACCTGGTGCCATTCCTACTGAAACCATTCCAAAAAATTGAGGAGGAGGGACTACTCCCCAACTCATTCTATGAGGCCAGCCTCATCCTGATACCAAAACCTGGCAGAGACACAAAAAAAGAAAACCTCAGGCCAATATCTTCAATGAATATCAATGCAAAAATCTTCAACAAAATACTTGCAAACCGAATCCAGTAGCACATTAAAAAGTTAATTCATTATGTTCAGGTAGGTGTCATCCCTGGGAAGCAAGGTTGGTTCAACATACAAATGTGATTCATCACCTAAACAGAACTAAAGACAAAAACCACATGATTATCTTAATAGACACAGAAAAAGCCTTTCAATAAAATTCAACACTACTTTATGTTAAAAACTCTCAATAAACTGGGTATTGAAGAAACATACCTCAAAATAATAACAGCTATCTATGACAAACCCACAGGCAATATTATACTGAATTGGCAAAAGCTAGAAGAATTCCTCTTGAAAACCAAAATAAATAAATATATACATACAAAACATAAGACAAGGATACCCTTTCTCAGCACTCCTATTCAACATAGTATTGTAAGACCTAGTCAGAGCAATCAGGCAAGAGAATGAAATAAAGGGCATTCAAATAGGAAGACAGGAAATCAAACTATCTCTGCAGATAACATGATTCTACATCTAGAAAGTCCCATAATCTCAGCCCAAAATCTCCTTCAGTTGATAAAGAACTTCAGCAAGGTTTCAGGTTACAAAATCAATGTACAAAAATCACTAACATTCCTATACATTAACAACAGCCAAGCCAAGAGCCAAATAAAAAAGGCAACCTCATTCACAATTGCCACAAGAAAAGAATAAAATACCTAGAAATACAGCTAACCAGAGAGGTGAAAGATCTCTACAATGAGAATTACAAAACACTGCTCAAAGAAATCAGAGAAGACACAAACAAATGAAAAAACATCCCATGCTAATAGATAGAAAAAAATCAATATGATTAAATGGCCACACCGCCCAAAGCAATTTACAGATTCACTGCTATTCCTGTCAAACTAGTTCTTCACAGAACTAGAAAAATCTATTTTAAAATTCATATGGAACCCAAAAAGAGCCTGAATAGCCAAGGCAATCCTAAGCAAAAAGAACAAAGCTGGAGGCATCACATTACCCAACCTCAAACTATACTCTGGGGTTACAGTAAACAAAACAGCATGGTACTGATACAAAAACAGGCACATAGACCAATGAAACAGAGTACAGAGGCCAGAAATAAGGCCACACATGTATGATCTTTGACAAACCTGACAGAACAAGTGATAAGGAAAAGACTCTCTATTCAATAAATGGTGCTCCAATAACTGGCTAGCAATATGGAGAAGATTGAAGCTGGACCCTTTCCTTACACCATATACAACAATCAAGTCAAGATACATTAAAAACTTAAATGTTAAAACCCAAAACTATAAAAACCCTGGACGACAACCTAGGCAATGCCATCCTGGATGTTGAACAGGCAAAGATTTCATGACAAAGACACCAAAAGCAATCGCAACAAAAGCAAAAATTGACAAGTAGAATCTAATTAACCTAAGGAGCTTCTGCACAGCAAAAGAAACTATCAACAGAGTAAACAGACAACCTACAGAATGGGAGAAAAGATTTGCAAGCTATGCATCTGACAAAGGTCTAATATTCAGCATCTATATGGAATTTAAACAAATTTACAAGAAAAAAACCAATCAACCCCATTAAAAAGTGGGCAAAGGACATAAACAGACACTTCTCAAAAGAAGACATAGCTGGGCGTGGTGGCTCACACCTGTAATCCCAGCACTTTGGGAGGCTGAGGTGGGTGGATAACCTGAGGTCAGGAGTTTGAGACCAGCTTGACCAACATGGTGAAACCCTATCTCTACTAGAAATACAAAATTAGCTGGGTGTGGTGGCTCTTGCCTGTAATCCCAGCTACTCAGGAGACTGAGGCAAGAGAATCGCTTGAATCTGGGAGGCAGAGTTTGCACTGAGCCAAAATTGCGCCATTGCACTCCAGCCTGGGCAAGAAGAGGGAAACTCTGTCTCAAAAAACAAACAAACAAACAAAGACAGACCAACAATCATATGGAAAAATGCTCAACATCACTGATTATTAGAGAAATGCAAATAAAAACTATAATGAGATAGCATCTCACACCAGTCAGAATGGTTATTATTAAAAAGTCAAAAAATAACAAATGCTGGCAAGGTTGCAGAGAAAAAGGAGCACTTTTACACTGTCGGTGGGAGTGTAAATTAATTCAACTATTGTGGAAAGCAGTATGGTGATTCCTCAATAGAACTAAAAGCAGAACTACCATTTGACCCAGCAATCTTATTACTAGGTATATACTCAGAGGAATATAAATCATTTTACCATAAAACACATGCATGTGAATGTTCATTGCAGCACTATTTACAATAGCAAAGACATGGAATCAACCTAGATGTCCATCAATGACAGATTGGATAAAGAAAATGTGGTATATATACACCATGGAATACTATGCAGCCATTAAAAACAATAAGATCATATCTTGTGGAAACATGGATGAAATTGGAGGCTATTATTCTTAGCAAACTAATACAGGAATAGAAAGTCAAATACCACGTGTCCTCACTTATAAGTGGGAGCTAAATAATAAGAACTTGTGAACACAAAGAAAGAAATGACATACACTGGTATCTACTTAAGGGCGGAGGGTGGATGGTGGGAGGAGAGAGAGAAGTGGAAAAGATATATATTGGGTTCTGGCCTTAATACCTGGATTATGAAAATAATCTGTACAACAGACCCCCGTGACATGAGTTAAACTATGTAATAAACCTTCACATATACCCCCGAACCTAAAATAAAAGTTAAAATAAATAAATACATACATACAAAACATTTTTTAAAAACAGAGAAAAAAAATTTGCCATGATTTTTAGTACTATTAGTACAAAATATGTAGTATTTTAAAACTATACTTCATAAAAAAGGCATTTAGTTTTTAAAGCAAATAAAAATTGTCTTTGCACTGTTTCTTGCAGAGATCATCACAGAGTCCCGAGGAGACATGGTGAATTCTGTCTTTATATTTCTTCCCCAGAATATTACAGATATCCATATATAAAAATCTGAAATATAATTAGTTGGTTATAGGAACTAAAATCTCTATAAGGCCATTTTTTGTTGTTGTAGTTTGTTTATCTGTAATGCTAGGGCCACATCTCCAGTAGCTGTGGTTCCAGTGTACTGGGATAACCCAGGACTGACTCACAGAATCTTAGCAGGTTTTATCTATGTTATGGCATCCCCAGTACTACAACAATCAGGTGATGGCAACTGCTTATGAACATGGGGAGATGGAGATCTAGGTGGGTATGCGAAACTCCTTCTCCTCATTGAGCACTTCACAGTCCACTTCCAGGGTGAGAGCCTTCATGACTAGGAGGGGAACCGTCACCACTTCTACATCACCTCTGATTTGGATGGGCTTGTCCTGTGCAGTCTGTTCCTGTCTTCTCTGTTCGAACTATTCACCACTTAAGACATTTAGCTCAATGTCTTAGCACCAGCAGGCTTTCATAGGTCTTCCCCTGTGTCTCACATCATTTGACCAGTGGAATCACTGAGAATCCTCCACAGCCTCAAGGAACAGGGTCAGTCATTCTAAAACAGAAGGGATACAGGCTATCATCAGGAAATCTAGGTGAGAAGGAAAGAGGACTCTAAACATTCTGGACAACAGTAAGAAGAAATAGTAACCGTATTGCTCAGGGTTCTCCAGAGAAACAGAACCATTAGGACTCCTAGACATATCAGAGGGGATTTAAGATGGGAATTTTCTCAAGTGGTTATGGAGGCCAAGTCCCACAGTATACCTTCTGTGAGCTGGGGCACCAGGAGAGCCAGAGGTGTGATTCAGTCCGAGTCTGAAGGCCTGAGAAGCCGGAGAGCCAATGGTGTCACTCTCAGTCTGAGGCAAAAGGCCTGAGGAAATGGGGGGCCATTGGGCATAAGTCCCAGAGCCTGAAGGCCTTCAAACCTGGAGCTCTCATGTGCGAGGGAAGGAGAAGATGGGTGTCTCAGCTGCAGAAGCGAAAGTTAATCTGCTTCTTTGTTCTATCCAGGGTCTCAGCCCATTAGGTGGTGCCCACCCACATGGCTGAGGGTGGGTTTTTACTAAGTCCACTGATTCAGATGCTAATCTCTTCCAGAAACTTCCTCACAGGCACACTCAGAAATGGTGTTTTACCAACTATCTGTGTATCCCTTAACCCAGCCAAGATGACACATAAAACTGTCACACTCACTGAGCAGAAATACATTTTTTAAAAATTCTTGCCTCAGGTCATTTAAGTGAATAGTCCAAGATAGTTTCTTTGACTTTTCTTTTTAAAAGGAAAAATTACTCTTACAATAAAACTCACCTCTTCAACATGTCTACTTCTGTGATTTTTAGTGTATTCATAAAGTTGTGCAATAATTACCACTAATTTCAGAACATTTTCATTATTCTCAAAATAAACACACCCACTAGTAGCCCCTGCACATTCCCTTTTTCTCTCAGCCGCTGGCAACCAGGGGTCTTCTTTCTGTTTCTATGGATTTGCCTATTCTGGACATTCCTATAAATAGAATCATACAATATGTGGTCTCCTGTTTCTGGTTTCATTCACTTAGCATAATGTTTTCAAAGTTCATTTGTGTTGTAGCATGAATCAGTACCTCATTCATTTTTTATGGCTGAACTATATTTATATGACATCATATGGATGTGCTACACTTTATATTACATTATATGGATGTGCCATGTTTTGTTTTTCCATTCATCAGTTGATAAACATTTTGCCTTGCTTGGTAATTTCCACTTTTGGATGTTATTTAAAAGGCTGCTGCTTGAAGACTCACGTACGAGTGTTTGTATGGACATATATTTTCAATTCTCTTGGGTATACACCTAGGAAAGAAGTTGTTAGACAATATGATAACTCTATATTTAACCACACGAGCAACTGCCAGACGGTTTTCCAAAGTGGTGCACTATTTACATTGCCACATCTTCACCAACATTTTTATTGCCTGTCTTTTTTATTATAGCCATCCTAGTGGGTGTGAGGTAGTATTTCATCACTGTTTTGATTTACATTTTTATACCATTGATTTATACATCTATTCTGTGCCAGTTCCAGTGTCTTGACTACTATGGCTTTGTAGTTAGTTTTGAAAATGGGAAATGTGAGTCCTTCAATTTTGTTCTTCTTTTTCAAGATTATTTTGGCAATTCATGGTTCTTCACATTTCCATGTGAATTCTAGGAGCATCTTGTTAATTTTTGCAAAAAAAAAAATCCAGTGAAATTTTGATATAGATTCAGTTGAATCTGTAAATAAATTTGGGGAGTACTGCATTTTAACAATATTAACTCTTCCAACCCATATATGCAGATGCATTTTCACTTATTAAGATATTTCTTAATGTATTTTAATGATGTCTAGTGGTTTTCAAGATAAAAATTGGACTTCTTTTGTTAAATTAATCCTTAAGTATTTCATTATTTTGGATGCCAGTATAAATGAAATTGTTTGAATGTCATTTTCAGATTGCTCATCATTAGTATATAGAAATACAGTTAATTTTTGTATACTTATCTTTTATGCTACAATCTTGCTAAATTTTTTTAATAGCTCTAATGGTTTTTTTGTGGGTTCGTGGGATTTTCTAAATGCAAAATAAAGTCATCTAAAACTAGAGGTAGTTTCACCTCTTTTACCACCTGGATGCATTATTTTTCTTTTTCCTGCCTAATTACCCTGGCTAGAACTTCCAGTAATGCTGAAAAGAAGTAGTACAAGTAGACATTCTTGGTTGTCCTGATCTTACGGCAGCACTTTCAGTCTTTTCACTAATAAGCATTATGTTAGCTGTGCGTTTTTCACTGATGCCCCTTATCAAGTTGAAGAAGTTCCCTGCAATTCTAGCTGAATATTTTTCTCATGAAGGATGTTGGATTTTGTTAAATGTGTTTTTCTTATCTATTGGGTTGATTGTGTGGGTATCGTTCTTTATTCTGACAATATGATGTGTTATACTGATTAAGTGACTCAACTTTACTTATCTTCCTGGGTAAATCTCAATTGGTCATGTTGTATTATTATTTTTATACAAAGTTGTTCAGTTTGTTAGGTTTTTTTTTTCTTTTTGCTGTTTTTTGAGGATTTTTGTGTTTATGTTCATTAGGGATATTGGCCTGCAGTTTTCTTTTCTGGTGCTGTATTTGTCTCCTTTTGCTATCAGGATAAATAAGATGGAAAAAGTTTCCTCCTTTTCTATTTTTAGGAAGAGTTTGTGAAGAATTGATGTTAATTCCTCTTTACAGAAGTTTATTTAAATCATAAAAAATATAAATAGACTTATAACAAGTAGAGATTGAACTGATCATTTAAAACTTCCTACAAAAAAAGCCAAAGACTAGATAGCTTCACTGGTGAACTCTACCAAATGTTTAGTTTGTATCTTTCTAGGTATTTCTGTTTTTATGTAGGGTATCTAATTCGTTGGCATACAATTGTTTATAGTATTCCCTTAGGCTATCCTTTTGGTTTCTGTAAGGTCGGTAGTGATATTCCATCTTTCATTTACAATTTTTATAATTTGAGTCTTCTCTCTTTTTTGCTTGGTCTATATTTAGAAAACCCCATCGTCTCAGCCCAAAATCTCCTTAAGCTGATAAGCAACTTCAGCAAAGTCTCAGGATACAAAATCAATGTGCAAAAATCACAAGCATTCTTATACACCAGTAACAGATAAACAGAGAGCCAAATCACGAGTGAATTCCCATTCACAACTGCTTCAAAGAGAATAAAATACCCAGGAATCCAACTTACGAGGAATGTGAAGGACCTCTTCAAGGAGAACTACAAACCACTTCTCAAGGCAATAAGACAGGGCACAAACAAATGGAAGAACATTCCATGCTCATGGATAGGAAGAATCAATATCATAAAAATGGCCATACCTTGCCATACTGCCCAAGGTAATTTATAGATGCCATCCCCATCAAGCTACCAATGACTTTCTTCACAGGATTGGAAAAAACTACTTTAAAGTTCATATGGAACCAAAAAACAGCCCACATTGCCAAGACAATCCTAAGCCAAAAGAACAAAGCTGGAGGCATCATGCTACCTGACTTCAAAGTATACTACAAGGCTACAGTAACCAAAACGGCATGGTACTGGTACCAAAACAGAAATATAGACCAATGGAGCATAACAGAGCCCTCGGAAATAATACCACACATCTACAACCATCTGATCTTTGACAAGCCTGAGAAAAACAAGAAATGGGGAAAGGATTCCCTATTTAATAAATGGTGCTGGGAAAACTGGCTAGTCATATGTGGAAAGCTGAAACTGAATCCCTTCCTTACACCTTATACAAAAATTAATTCCAGATGGATTAAAGACTTAAATGTTAGACTTAAAACCATAAGAACCCTAGAAGAAAACCTAGGCGATACCATTCAGGACATAGGCATGGGCAAGGACTCCATGACTAAAACACCAAAAGCAATGGCAACAAAAGCCAAAATTGGCAAATGGGATCTAATTAAACTAAAGAGCTTCTGCACAGCAAAAGAAATTACCATCAGAGTGAACAGGCAACCTACAGAATGGGAGAATATTTTTACAATCTACCCATCTGACAAAGGGCTAATATCCAGAATCTACAAAGAACTTAAACAAATTTACAAGAAAAAATCAAATGACCCCATCAAAAAGTGGGCAAAGGATATGAACAGACACTTCCCAAAAGAAGACATTTATACAGCCAACAGACACATGAAAAAATGCTCATCATCACTGGCCATCAGAGAAATGCAAATCAAAACCACAGTGAGATACCATCTCACGCCAGTTAGAATAGCGATCATTAAAAAGTCAGGAAACAACAGGTGCTGGAGAGGATGTGGAGAAATAGGAACTCTTTTACACTGTTGGTGGGACTGTAAACTACTTCAACCATTGTGGAAGACAGTGTAACAATTCCTTAAGGATCTAGAACTAGAAATACCATTTGACCCAGCCATCCCATTACTGGGTATATACCCAAAGGATTATAAATCATGCTGCTATAAAGACACATGCACATGTATGTTTATTGCGGCACTATACACAATAGCAAAGACTTGGAACCAACCCACAGGTCCATCAGTGATAGACTGGATTAAGAAAATGTGGCACATATACACCATGGAATACTATGCAGCCATTAAAAAGGATGAGTTCATGTCCTTTGTAGGGACAAGATGAAGCTGGAGACCATCATTCTGAGCAAACTCTGGCAAGGATGGAAAACCAAATACTGCATGTTCTCACTCATAGGTGGGAATTGAACAATGAGAACACTTGGACACAGGGTGGGGAACATCACACACTGGGGCCTGTCATGGGGTGGGGGGAGAGGGGAGGGATAGCATTAGGAGATATACCTAATGTAAATGATGAGTTAACAGGTACAGGACACCAACATGGCACATGTGTATGTATGTAACAAACCTGCACGTTGTGCACATGTACCCTAGAACTTAAAGTATAATAATTTAAAAAAAAAGAATGTTGAATATTGGCCCCCACTCTCTTCTGGCTTGTAGGGTTTCTGCCCAGGCATCTGCTGTTAGTCTGATGGGCTTCCCTTTGTGGGTAACCCGACCTTGCTCTCTGGCTGCCCTTAACATTTTTTCCTTCATTTCAGCCTTCGAGAATCTGACAATTATGTGTCTTGGGGTTGCTCCTCTCGAGGAGTATCTTTGTAGTGTTCTCTGTATTTCCTGAATTTGAATGTTGGCCTGTCTTGCTAGGCCCTAACTCTTTTATTTTCTCTTATGTCGTTTGCAGCCAGGGACACAGGAACACCGCATCGTGCAGCTGCTCCCTCCTGCTATTTTCCCCACAAAGCCCATTCCCCTTTGGTTCCAGTTTTGCGGTTGCCTCTCCTCAGCCTCTGCACCTCCAGGTTCTTGCCTGTGCTCTTTGCTGGATTTCAGCAAGCCAAGGCAGGAAGTACTTCCAGATGGTGGATCTCTGCAATCCTGCTGGTCTTCAGCTGCTCCTGCAGTTTTTAACTTTATTTGACTGTCTCTTCCTCATGCATCTTGGTTGTTTTTCAAGGGTGAAGGCTTTCAAGCTGGAGTCTGCAGAGCTGAGGATGTGGAGCATGTGGGAACGAAGGGTTCTGGGAAAGGCCATAGGGTGAAGCTCCAAGCCCCAGCCACTCTGATCAGATCCACTCAGCTTTTATCTGTTTTGTTTAAGTCCTCCATGTAAGACTTCCTTTTAACAAAGTTTGCCCTGATACAAAAAACAAAAACAAAAACAAAACAGTTGAAAATTACTTCCCTCAAGAAAAACTCAATTGTTGCCACAGATAAGAATAATAGAATACAGAGCCCGATAAAATGAACACAGAATCCACCATTAAACAATCCCTATTTCATATGACCAATTTAAAAACTGCTGGGGTTGCCCATGGTAGCTCATGCCTGTAATCTGAGCACTTTGGGAGGCTGAGGTTGGGGGCAAGGGCTCACTTGAGGCAAGGTGTTCGAGAACAGCCTGGGCAACATAGCAAGGCCCTGTCTTTATAAAAAATTAGATTAAATTTAAAAAATTTGTTGGGTTCTCTAGAACTTTACACACGAAAGTTATCTGTTTATTTTTCAGAGGAGGAAACTAAAGCCCAGGAAAGAAGGTATACAAGGTAAAATAAGGGTGTAGCTGGAGCTAGGAGATAAATCGACCATGTGTTGGCAGGGGTGGATCTTTGCCAGTATCTTGGGCACCTAGCACCTTTCTCAGTCATGGTGGTCCTTGGCGCAGGAATGCATTATCCTCCCTCCTGCAGGCCTGAAGCCCTTCCACCTTAGCTCACCATGAGCATGCTCTGCTCTCTCTTACTCCCCACTTCCCAGGTGCTCTGTGTTTGGCTTCCTGTGGGTTTAGAAGATGGCAGCAAATCCTCTTGCAAGTACTTGATTTAGTCAGCAATGCCTCCCTACCCTCCCTATTTCAGAGTATCTTAGTTTAAATCTTTAAGATCAAGTGTTTTTTGGCTCAGCCTCACCTACAGATCAGCCATTCTGCAACTCTCCTAGTCAATTATTAATCTCAGGTTCAGTAAGTTGTAGCCATGTGGGTTGGGTTACCTAGTACAGTCATGACCACCCAGGCCTGCCCCTTCACTGGATTGTGAAAAATATTCAAAGCCTGGCAAGTAAGCCAAAATGGAGATGCCAAAGCACATCTATCAGAGAAGTCATTCTTTGGCGTGGTCTTAGAGATCAACAAATGTAAGGTCCAGAGTTATATAAATCTATTGAGGAACAACTGGTACAGTTGGACTGTCTGTTGATCCTACTGCATTAGCAGGGTTCTCAAAAGAAACAGAATCAATAGGACTCTTCTCCTTATGATAAGATGTAAATAAATGAAGGCAGTCTGCTGGAGGGTTCCCTCTTACTCAGGGAAGCTAGTCTTTTTGTTCTGTTCAGGCTTTCTACTGATTGGATGAGGACCACCCACATCATGGAGGGTGATCTGCTTACTCAGAGCTCACCAATTTAAAGGTTAATGTCATCCAAAACACCCTCCAGGTTGATGCGTCCAATTAACCATCACACCTACTTTCTGAGATCACATCCACAGCAGCTCAGGTACTGCAGAATGAAAGGGATTCTACGGTCTTCCTCAGTGACTCATTTGAATCCACTTCTTATTCAGCCCAAATCATGCTTGCTTTTCCTTACCTAAATGTTATGAACTGTCACATTTATAGTACTGTCATGGAGATAAAAGCCACCGACTGACATTAAAAACAAAAATGAAATTTAAGGTACTGCCTTAACTCAGAAAAAAATCTTTATAGGATCTCCTTGATGAAAAGCCCCCTAGGGTTTCTGCCAATTAAATAATGAGTATCATATTTTGCCCTGTGGATAAGTGATTGCTTCAGAATGATTCAGTACATTGTGCAGGGTTGGAAATTCCTTGATTACTCACTAACTTTGACATAAAGAAGTTCAATAATAAACAGACTTCCAACCAATCTGACCACATGGTAAGATTCCTCACTGAGAAATGCCTCATCCTGCTCTCTCTCCTCTTCCCTTTGGAAAACCAGAACAACCTGTTCATCATCAGTGATATCTCAGCTATAAAAATGAAATAATACCACAAGATCTAATCCGTAGAAATGTGGTAGAAACAAACTGATTCATGATCAATAAATCTCTTAAAGTATTTGGTTCTATTATACAAGTCTAAGTGTTACTATTATCCTTGTGAAGATTTTATGAGCTACATAGTTGGGGGCTTCATTGCCTAGAGGAAGGAAAACAAATTGTCACTGAGAATGCAACTTTGTATATACAGCAGCCAGAAAGGCAAGAGTTCTACTACTGTTAGGAGGTAAATGCCATGTACTGTAAGCCTGGAGAGAATGTACCCATTCTTAATATCATAAGCAGAGACAAGTATTTACCATATATACTTTTTAGTGATATTTGGTCACATTGGCCCTTCCGTCCCTGCAGGTAGCCTGAGGATTATTTTCTTTTTTGACATGTAAATAATCTATTTGTCCCTGTTCTTTAAAAGAACACAGCTTTCATAAAAAATGATGAGTTCATGTCCTTTGTAGGGACATGGATGAAACTGGAAACCATCATTCTCAGCAAACTATCGCAAGGACAAAAAACCAAACACCGCATGTTCTCATTCATAGGTGGGAATTGAACAATGAGAACACATGGACACAGGAAGGGGAACATCACACACCGGGGACTGTTGTGGGGTGGGGGGAGGGGGGAGGGATAGCACTGGGAGATATACCTAATGCTAAATGATGAGTTAATGGGTGCAGCACACCAACATGGCACATGTATACATATGTAACAAACCTGCACGTTGTGCACATGTACCCTAAAACTTAAAGTATAATAACAATAAAATTAAAAAAAAAAAACAAAACACAGCTTTCAGATACCACTTTTGTCTAGAAGTCCTGAAATGCGTTTTATCTGTCCCATAATGCTGGAGGACTTCTGTATATTTTAAATTATACCAAGGAGAATACAGTGTGGAATTCATTTTTGATACTATGTCTTATCCAATGGTTAATACACTACTGATATAGTGCCACTACTATCACATTGTGTTAAGCAGTGTAGAGGGGATTTTTTTTTTTTTACAAATAAAATCTGCTAAAAGTTATTCTTTTGTACAGGGCAGCAATGTGGCTTCCATTTAAGCAGAAACACGTGATGAAAGTCCATAGTTCACAATGTCTGAAGCATCGCAGAGCAAGAGGGACATAAACGGGGGTTACCTATGGACACCATCATTTTATACCTTTGCTTTTGACAGTCCGTTTAAGTTAGACCCTAACTTTAGTGTTTCCTAATATTGCCTCAAGAATTGTTTTTATATCATCATGTTTATATAATGTATGATGAGAAAGTATCTTAGGAAATAAATTGCATGCAGGTTGAAAAAAAAACCTACTTTGAAGAAGTTAGAATCACATTGAGCCTCGTGGATCTCTCATTCTCTATTCCTTTAGGTTATTCCATTCTGCAATATTAGCTGAGCTATGTTTTGGAAGTTTGGACATGTTGTCTTATCTGCATTGACAGGTTACCAGGTATATTGATAGTAGGCATTCTTTCTCCCCAATTCCAATTATTCTATAGTTATTAAATATAAAGGAATCAGCATTTGGTTCAGTTCAGCAATAGTAGTTGAATTTATATAATGTGAACTTATGCAAGATGTCCACTAAAGTAAATAAAGTTGGCCCTCATCCTCAGGGAATTTCCAGGCTGATGTCAGAGAAAGATCCATTATTAATATTCAGCACATGAACTGGTGACAGATATAAGCACTGGAACCCGAGTGCAGAGGAATGACCTAAACCAGCATAGGTTAAAATTATAAATAACCTAAACAACCATTTGATTCTGAGATTTTGTGTTTTACATGTCAATTGAATCCGTCACAACCAAATTTTTTTTAAAAGGGGGATGGGGAGAGGAAAAAAAGTTAAAAAAAATTTAAAACTGGAAAACTTTTGCCTCCAGACTCACCTTCCTCTAATCCTTTCTCCATTTTCTCTCTGAGATGTAAATCTGATATTTATTTCCCTGATTTAAGCCCTTCCAGGTCTTCCAGAGCCTTGCTGAGAAGGTCTAACTTCCCCCTACTGCCATCCTCCCATTCCCTGGTCCCACCAACTTTCCAGCCTCATGTCCTGTTTTCTCCTCTATTGTCCCAATGCTCTAGCTATCATCAGACTCTACACATTTGCTAATCCCCTCCTCCTGGTATGTTCCTCCACTCTTGGTGCTATCCTAACTATCTTTCAAGACCCAGTTGAAGATTTTCCCCTTGGTGAAGCCTTTCTGTACCTCTCATGTGGAGTCAATTCCAACCTTCTTTGTGCTATCACTGTGGTTTATTTGTACCTTCTTTATGGTAGCAATGCATGCAGTAGCTTGCAGTCATTTGCTTATCTAACCATCTCCATACCTAGCCTCTGAGCACCTTGACAGCAAAAAAAATATCTTATTTATTTTTATCTGCCTGGCATATAGAAAAGAGTAAAAATAAAACTTATGATGAATAAACAAATGAATTACTCTTCTTTGCCTTGTTATAGCAATTAATTGGGTATCTTGCAATTATTTATTTACGTAATCCACTTTGACACCAGTGGGCCGAGGGAGGTCCTGAGACACCTCTGGGACCTCAACTCCAGCTGGTGTCCAGGCTCTTGACACCATCATGAGAATGAATTCAAGGTCAGAAAATATGAAAATATGGAGACTTATTGCAAAGGGAAAAGTACTCTCAAGAAAAGGGAGTGTGGGTATAGTCAAGAGAGCCATGTAATGGGGACTGGGGTTTCTATCTTCATGGGTTTCTTTAGCCAAGGGTGGAATAGTCATGAAGATTCCTGGGAAAAGGTGGAGATTTCTCAGAACTGTGGTGTCACCCATTTTTATACCAAATATGGATTTCCCCAGAACTGTCGTGGTATTGGTGGGTGTGTGATTCAGTATGTTTATTAGTATATAATGAGGTCCTAGGTGAAACCTAGGTAAAATTCAGTGCCATGTTGGTCTTAGCCAGCTTAGTCTGTACCCTGTTTTTCAGGGTCTTATCAGCTCCTAGCTTCTATAGTTATTTCGACAGTTTCCTTTTGCTAGTCATGTGGAACTGCTGCCTGGAGTTTTCTGTTCTCCTGCAACCATCCTGTGTTATTCCTGTCTCATCTCCACATCTAGCCTGAGTATCTTGAGGGAAGAGACTTTGCCTTAAATGTTTTTATCTGCCTAGCACATAAACTGAAAGAATAAGCAAAGAGATGAGTTAATCCGAGAAGTTATCTTTCAAAAATATTTTATATCAGAAATGACCATCAAATTTCCTAACAACAAGACTCTTTCTACAATTACATAAATACTTTCTATCTAAATACTGCACTACTCGAGAAAGGAATGACAAGAATGTCTCTTGGTAGACATTATCAACTGAGGTGAATTTTCAAGAATAATAATCATCCTGTCTTCTTTTCCCCCCTCACAGAATATTAGCAAATAATAATCTAGAAAGAGATGTGGTACCAGATACACTGGAAGTAACTAACAAATGATTTGAAGTGAGACTTTAGGGTACACAGACTCCTGCAAAATGACTTCTACTTGACCATGCCTTCATTTCAGCATAGTGTTGAGGAGAATCCCAGAGATCTGAATCCCAGGAGAAGTCAGCCCATCCTGCTGTTCGTGGGAATCTATAAAGGAGGTGCACAAAGCTCCAGTTGCCCCTGATTTGAGAGATGTCTCCAGAGCAGCACTTGTTCCTGGTAAGACCTCCCATTCCCTCATCAAGACTTAGACCAAAACATTTAAAAGTTGCTTCCCCATCTCCAAGGCTCCTAGATTCATGTCCTCCTTTGGCTCCTATCCAATGATGATTTCACCTCTAACAACTAGATGTCAACCTGCAAACACTCTAAGCACCAACTTCTTTCTTTCCAGTTGTTTTTAAATAGTACCCCTATTCCAATAATTTACTGCCCTCATCTAGACCTCTAAGCCATTTGCAACCCATCACATTCTTGTGTGCCCACTTCCGATGTTATCCAGCTTTGCGTCCATGGGCCATTAATACAATAGTTCCTTGCATGCACCCTCAATTCCTTAGACCATAGGCCAGCAAACTAAGGATCTCAGGACAAATCAGTTCACTGCCTGTTTTTATAAGTAATGTTTTATTGGGACCTGGCCACACCATTTGTTTATGTATTGTCTATGACTGCTTTTGCACTAAAATGGCAAATTGAGTAGTTGTGACAAACTGTATGGTTACAAAGTGAGCCTAAAATATTTACTGTCTGACCCTTTGCAGGAAAAGTTTGAGAGCCTGTGTCCAAGACGCTCTCCAACTTACTCACTTGGAAGGACTCCAGCTCTCCATTTATTCTTTACTGGCCCTGAGCAGTAGAGTAGGCTAAACAAAAACCCACACTTAAGCTGAAGATGCTCAACTTAAACACATGACCACTACTTTCAAGTAAGCCTTATTTCTCCCATTATCTCAGATTACTATTGCACATCTTCTCTTTCCTTAAAACTCCAATTACCCCTTTCCTCTTCTCATTCTTAGCTTATAAAATAATTATCAGAAAAAGAACTACCCTGTCAGCCACCACCACATCTAACAACCTGTTGACATCTCTGCCCATCTTCTCTGTGTTCCCTCTTATTTATTTATTTATTTATTTATTTATTTATTTATTTATTTATTTTTTCAGATGGAGTCTCACTCTGTCGCTGGAGTGCAGTGGCTCCATCTCGGCTCACTGCAACCTCCGCCTCCCGGGTTCATGCCACTCTCCTGCCTCAGCCTCCTGAGTAGCTGGGACTACAGGCACCCGCCACCATGCCTGGCTAATTTTTTGTATTTTTAGTAGAGACGGGGTTTCACTGTGTTAGCCAGGATGGTCTCGATCTCCTGACTTCGTGATCCGCCTGCCTCTTTTTACAATGCTTAACTAGGTCTACTCCTAGCTGAGGCCAACCACTTGACATGTGGGTTGAATTTTGTGTTAGTTGACAGGATCTCCAAAGAAAGAGAAACAATAGGATATATTCATAGAGGTAGATGTATGAGAGGGGAATAGATGTCTCAGGGAAATTGGCTTATGTGGTTATGGAGGCTGAGAAGTCCCACCATAGGTGACCTGCACACTGGAGAGCTAGGGAAGCCGATAGCATGTCTCAGTCCATGTATGAAGGTCTCAGAACCAGGAAAGTCAATGGTGTAAATTTCAGTCTAAAGCCACAGGCCTGAGAACTTGGGGTGCTGCCTGTGTAAGTCCTAGAGTCCCAAGGCCAGAGAACCTGGAGTTCTGATGTTGAAGGGCAGGAGAAGAAGGGTGCTCCAGCTCCAGCAGAAAAGAGAGAAAAATTTTTCCTCTGCTATCTAGGCTCTCACATTGGGTGTGGGTGAATTTTCCTTACTCAGTCCACTGATTCAAATGCCAGTCTCCTCTGTAAACATCCTCACAGATGAACACAAAAATAATGCTTTACCACCTTTCTGGGTATCCCTTAATCCAGTCAAGTTGGCACCTAAAATTAACCATCATGGACCTTGTCCACTTTCACCTCCTCAAGGATTTCGATCTTGTAATTATTCCCTTCCTTTTCTATTTCATTACTTTATCCTTCTCTCCTAGATCATGACCATTGATGAATGTGCTATAATAATTTCCATAAAAATTAAAATGCTCTTCCAAGAATCCCCATTCCCTTCAGCCACAGCCTGTTCTGTGTGGCCTTGTAACCATCCGTTTAGAAAGAGTTGTCTCTACAAATTCTTTACATGTTCTTGTCTTGAGTTCTCTCCTCAACCGGCTTTACCCATGCCTCCAGACTGAGAATGCAATTGGCAAGCTCACAAAGTCATTGTCATCAGCCTCTTGGGAGTGTACAACATAGGAAGCACTCTTTTTCTCTTGAAACACATTCGCCTTTTGGCTTTCAGAACACTGTAACCTCCAGTTGTTCTTTCTACCTCCTTGGGCACTGCAGTCTTCATTACTGGCTCCTCCTCTCCTCAATCATGCAATTGTAGGTCTCAGAGCTCAGTGCTCAGTCCTCAGACCTCTTATTTATATATGCTCACTTCTAGAGGGACTTGCCCCGTCCCCTGGATTTAATTATCATCTATATTCTGATGTTTACTGAGTTTATATTTCCAGCCCAAGCCAATTCTCAGAATTCTAAGTCTCATTTTCTAAGGCATCTGAAACCTAACAAGGCCCAGTCTTTCCTGTTTTCATAAATAGCAACTATTCTTTCACTTATAATCCTACAAATAGCCTTGTCCCCATTACTCACCTGTCTTGTAACAACTAGTCCATGAGCAAATCTTACTTTGAAATATGGCCAAGAGTGACATCTTGCCACCTCCAGCCTAAGTCTCCATCATCATCTCTTGCCTGGTCGTCTTAGCTTCTACTCTTGCCCCCGTCTCTCTCTTCCCCACCTCACATTCAACGCTTCTCATGGCAATCATAAGGATTTTATTTTAAATATAAATCAGCTTATGTCATTTCTATGTGGTATGTTTTCCAGTGGCTTTCCATCATGCTGAGAAGAGAATCCAAAGTCCTTTACATGATCAAGAACACCGTTCACCTTGGTGGCTCAGGCCTGCACTTTGGGAGACTGAGCAGGGAGGATGGCTTGAGGCCAGGAGTTTGAGACCAGTCTGGACAGCATAGTGAGTCCTCACCTCTGCAAAAAAAAAAAAAAAAAATGTTTTTTTAAATAGCTGGGTATGGTGGTGCACATCTATAGTCCCAGCTACTTAGGAGGCAGAGGCAAAGGACCACTTAAGCAAGGAGTTTGAGGCCACTGCACTCCAGCCTGGGTGACAGAACAAGACTCTGTCTCAAAAAAAAATAAAACAAAACAAAATGAAACAAAAATTCCCTTCATAATCTGGCTTTGGTCTTTCTGACTCCATCTTAAAATCAGACTCTCTTGCTGCAGCTTAGCCCCATCAGCATTTTTCCTGTTCCTTTGACATCAAGATTCTTCCCTGTCTCAGGCCTTTTATACTCACTGTTTTCTTAGCTTGAGATGCCCCTCCAGAGACCTGTGGTTATTACTTTGTTGTCGTCAGCAAATATCCTATGATCAAATGTCATCCCCTCAAAGAAATGTCTCCTGACTACCTCTTTCTCCTCCCAAGACATTCTCTATCTTACTACTCTGTTTTATTTTTTCTTTGCAGCATGTATCACAGTGACCATAGCATTATACATTTATTTTTAATTCTCTAGACTCTCCCCTAGAATGTAAACCCTATGAGGTTAATAACTGTCTAATTCACCCCTGTGTCCTGGAACCTAGAATAGCACTTAACACATAGCAGGCTTATAGTAACTACTTTTTAATGAATAAACAGAAGTGTTTATATTAAATTTCATGTCCTTATAATCATTATAAGGAGAATGAAATTGTTCAAACTTAAACAACAATAAGTGAAGAAATGATCCCACTCTTAAAAAGCCAAAATAATCCCATGCCTTGTGCTGTAAAGCTCAGAAACTTCAAATATTCTTCACTTATGATAGACATGTGACTACATTTAACCAAAAAAAGGCAAATCTATATTTTCAGTATTAATACAATAAAATGAGCCTTTAATAAATACTCATTTAGCTATAATAAAGAAAAAATGACACAGACAGGAAAAAACTAACCATCTGAAGAAAAGCACATGCTACGTATGCACATTCAAGAATTTACTCTCAAAATGCAGTTAAGTTCCCACATATGCATTTGACTATCTCATATTCCCATACTCTAGGCTTCCCTTTGCATTTTTTTCCTACATATATGTTTTTCATGATCACAGTTTTGATATATAAACAATATCACTACTTCTAGACTTACGGTGTCAGAGACAGCCAGCATAACCCCAATAGGAAATGAACTCCAGCTCTGATTTTATCCCAACAGGAAAGAAGATATGTTTATAATTTCCCAGTAGGAAATCAGATCTATTTCTCTGCTTAGCTTGACAAGATGATGGTGTGTCTTTTCCCTCTCCATTAACTTAATATCAAAATAATGGTAACTCAGAGTTAAATAAACAGGAATAGACTTCTAATGTCAATCAAAATATATGCTAATCTCACTTCTACTGTCAGTTGCATGGAGCTCAAATTCATTATTGAAAGTATTTATAATTTTCTTTCTTCTCTGTTGAAATCAAAAAGAAAAAAAAAGCCCCAAGTTTTATCCTATAATTTCATTTGAAAAATTATAACTTCTCCCCAATTATCCTCATCCAACTGACCTTCCTCCCATTTTTAGCTGGAAGGTGATGTATTGCTTCTATTTACCTGACAATGTGAGCATAAATCTATTTATGCAAAAACAATTTCTTAAATCAAATTTCCAGACTCAGAAACATTCAGTTTAGTCCACAGATGTAGCCTCAGATTAATTTTCCTCAGAGATACATTTTGTTGCTCTCTATGTTGAAAAAAAATGTTCTAGATGACTAATGATTCAGTGCTATTTTTCCCTTAGCAACATAAAATGAACTTCATAATAGAAAGAGCCTGATTTACTGACAACAGCTCTCTCTTAGTGAGGGGTATTGCCAAGTGCCTCCATATGTACTGTGTTTAAGATGCTCCTCCTAGGAGGCTTTTATCACAACACTGTGCAATGCAGTGTCTCTTCCTGGGAGAGTTCCAGGATAAAGGGAGAAACTGTGAATTGGTGCCCAAGGCTAGCCTGGACTCCTATTAGGACATCCACGGAGTATTCAGCTGAAAACTGTCTTCATCCTGGGTAGGTGGCCATAGGGTTTGGGGCATGGAACCAAAATTTTAAAATGGTGGGGAGGGGGCTTTGCTTAGATACTTGTATTGTACGTTGAACATTCATTCAGATCCCACAGGGAATGGGCAAAGAGTAAAGGAAGAGAAATGGTGTTAGTTATAAATCTTTAAAGAAATGTGTCTGTATTCGTCCATTCTCCCACTACTATAAAGAACTACCAGAGACTGGGTAATTTATACAGAAAAAAAGTTTAATTGACTGAAGTTCAACAGGCTGTACAGGAAGCATGACTGGGAGGCCTCAGGAAACTTACAATCATGGTGGAAGGCGAAGGAGAAGCAAACATGTCTTACCTGGAGGGAGCAGGAGGAAGAAGAGAGCAAAGGGGGAAGCGCTACACATTTTCAAACAACCAGATCTCTTGAGAACTCACTCACTATCATGAGAACAGCAATGGGGAAATCCGCCACCATGATCCAATGATCTCCCACCAGGTTCCTCCCCCAACATTCAGGATTACAATTCAACATGAGATTTGGGTGGGGACACAGAGACAACCCATATCAGTGGTATCTATCTATCTATCATCTATCTATCATCTATCTATCTATCTATCTACCTACCTACCTATCATCTAATATATCATCTATCTTTCTAGTTATCTATTAAAGTGATTATAAACTCACAGGATTCATATATTACTGAAATGAGTTTGGAGAATGCACTATCTAGAAAAAAAATTTCCGCTTGAGGCTTGCACTTCTTAAATTTGTAACTATGCAGTTAGTTAGATAATGGTTTTGTTGCTTAAAGTATAACACTTTTTAGGTTCAATAATGAAAATATTTTTTGGAAGAGCAGGTAGAGATTCAATTGTTCTCTATGTCTAAATTGTTATCCTATTTTTCCTGTGCTCTTGTACACCTTTGCTATATCCTCTGACTCAAAACCCTGTCAAAAATCTGTGGAGGGATAGGAGGAGCTTCAAAGTTTTCCCTGTCTGCTGTGACTGCTGCAGCCAGGAGCCACAGCAAAAGCTTCAGTTAAATGGTACAGTAAGATCTAGAATCTTATATTTGGATCTCTTCACATGGATAGCCTCTTGAAAGTGCCCACATAATAATAAGATGGCTTGGAAGAGCCATTAGAGTTACATCTTCCTATTAGATTCCATTGATCTAGGGTAGGTATGGAGCCTGCCAACTCCAGTAATGGCTATATTTAACGTCTTATATAAAATTGTATCTTTTTCTTAAATTATCCTAGATCAGAGATGAGTCATCACCTATACATCATTTTCCTTTTGATGTTCTGAATATATTGAAACCAATTTTAGGGTTTATTGATTAAAATGCATTTGTTATGCATTCAAGTCTCCTACATGCCTCTTAATACAGGTGGAAAGAAGAGAAAATTAAATCAACTGTTTTCAAGTGTTGCTAGGTTTTCCAGTCTGATAAAAGGTCTAAATGAAATCTATACTAACACATAAAATTGACAGACATAAAGAGCTACTGTAAACTTACAACCTAAATTAGTTAATTAGCATTTCTTTGGGATTCCTTGTGAAGGAATGCAGAAGATCTTGGCTTTGCTCTCCTGGGGCAATGATATTGGGGCTTCTGCTATTCAAATCTGGACCACATTCATTGGTTAAAAAAATTAAATAATAAGTTCATTTAGCTCTGGCATATTAATATAGCCAGGCAAAACGACTGTGGTTTGAAATAAATTAATTTGGATTTCCTAAGTAAGTTTTCTCTTTTAGTATGTTTTTATCAAGAAAAACAATCACCAAAGTGATAAGATGGTAAACACAAGTGCAAAAATAATACTCAGAATGTTTAAAGAGCCAAGTAAGTCTGCTGAGCAGACAATTAATTTAGGAAAAGCCAGTTCTCAGAAAATTGAAATTTCATTGCCTGCGATCCAGGAATATAGAATAAAATACATTTTCTAATCCGAAACAGCATTCATTCTGGGTTTTGTTGTCTGAATACATAATTACTAAAGTGAAATTTTCCCAGAGAAATACTGGTTTAAAAAATGCTTTTATTTAAGGAAATGATCAGGCAATTCCTCAACAGTCGTTTATTGGACTGAATACTAATGTGGTGCTTTCACTCTTGAGAGTTCATTTTTAAAAGGAAGTCCTATAGAAGCATTTAACAATCTGTCTGTTATAATATTATTATATTATTGTAAAATATACAGATGAAATGATAGATACTATCTATCTAAGTAAATGTTTAATAGCCATATTTGGGGTTTGGGGAGGGGCTGTCCTGATTTGTAGTGTTTGCCTATATCTTTGGTATAAATATACCCACCATGGCTGATTTCAAACTGCCAACCTGGCATCAGAGTATAGAACTGGAAAGAAGTGCAAGTACCCACAATCTTATAATAATTCTACCATATGAATACTACTATAGCAGAGAGTACAATAAAATGTAATAAAGCTATTAGAAAATGTTGAGTTCTAAATGTTTATACCTTTTTACATAATATAATAATGTAATGTAACATTGCATAATACTATATTATGTAATTTTTTTTTTTTGAGACAGAGCTTCACTCTTTTCATCCAGGCTGCAGTGCAATGGTGCGATCTTGGCGCACTGCAACCTCCACCTCCCAGGTTCAAGTGATTCTCCTGCCTCAGCCTCCGGAGTAGCTGGGATTACAGGCGCCTGCCACCACACCCAGCTAATTTTTTTGCATTTTCAGTAGAGACAGGGTTTCACCATGTTGGCCATGCTAGTCTCGAATCCTGACTTCAGGTGATTCACCCCCCTTGGCCTCCCAAAGCACTGGGATTACAGGCGTGAGCCACTGTGCTTGGCCATAATATGTAATTTTTAATAATGGCTATGTTTAGCAACAAGCTTGAAAATTCTGAAAATTTAACAATCGATTTTTGCAAACTGTTAAGATCCAGCTCAAGCATATTATGGTAAGATTTTATGACTAATTAGCATTATTCCTGAGGGAAAAAAATTCATTTTTAATGGATGAAAATTTAAAGGGCCTTCAGTTAGTGTCCACGGTTGTATCTAAATTAGGCTTTCTAGACATATATTCATTCAGCACCTCCTTCACAGTTATTAACATACTTTCTAACACATATCCTTGGCAACTAGAACACTACAAGGAAATGAGTGGCTCCTGTCAATAAGCACATCATTACTGACCCTTAATAGCTCATTATTACATCCCCTCCTCTGCAGGCCTTATCTTCGTATGGAAAGCATACCTAGTCACCGTGCTTTTCCCTCTGGCCTGTCACATCCATCTCACACCCACAGTGTTGCTTCAAGGGCCCAGGCCAGGGCTGCACCTACCTCCAGCCTAGTACTTGATATAAAAAAGAAAAATTTAACAATTTAAAGAGTTACTATACTTACCTATATATCTCTTCCTCTCCTCTATTTTTTTTTTGTGGCAAAATGATAACTACAAAACAGATTGCTAAAGAGTAAATGGGGTATTTAACCCTAGATTTCTCAAAGCCTCTTATCCATCTGTGGAAAGCTTCACAGAATACAGCCCAATGCAATGTGTCCCAAGTCACAATCTAATGAGTTATTTCACAGGGTGGCTGTGGCCATTCATCCTCTGTTCCTCTCCTTCCACATCCTCCCTTAACAATGTGGCAACAAAGTCAGTTACCACATGATGTGGGTGATTATAACCTTCCTTCCACCATCAATACTGGGTTTCCTGAGAGTGCTCCCATTTATGTTGTTGTCCTGGTGTAGTTATTAATAGTGCTCTGTTTCATCTCCAAGGGGTCCTAGTTTGGATGATGAATCATATTGTCACCCTTTTCCGGCACTTCTTGCTTCAACTCCAGACCGTCTTAGATATCTCATAAGACCTCCGAACTCAGTTCATACCAGTCTTAATCCACATTGTTCTTCAAAAGCCTCTATTTGCTGGATAGCTGTTTGTGTTATGGTATCTCCAATTTACCAAATTATTGAGGTCTTTCTTTTTAAACTTCCCTTACTCTTTCACGTAAAATGATTTGTCAATTTCTGTCCATTTTCTGTGGGTTTTTATCTCCAGCCAGGCCCAGTTGCTCTATTCCCATTCCCATTCCCACTGCCACGAACTCAGCATAGATTTTTCTCTTCTGTAATGCAGAAAATATCTCTTAACTACCCTGATTATCTTGCTTTTCCAATTCATTCTATATGGTCTCACTAGACTTAGAGAAAGAACCATACAAAGGCCTCACTGTGTGACCAGCATTTAGACTGCATCTGGTACATTGTACAAGCTCAACAAATATTTGTTGAATAACAGAATAAACATGTATTAGAGTAATCTTCCTAGAGCAGTCGCTCTTTATGCTAAAGACCTATTTAAAAATATGTTCTTTCAATAGACCCCCAAAGCAAAGTCCCTCTTACTCTGCATCCAAGAACCTCTGTGCTCTGGCACCCACCTCCATCCATCACATCACATCTGCCCACCTGGGTGCCTGTACCACCAGGTCCTGCCATGCCAAAATGCAGATCCTTCCTGATGTATGTCCAGTGTTTCTTGCCTTCACGCTCTTGGTCCTGCCATTGTCTTGACAAAAACCATCTTTTTCCTCCTTAACTTTTTCCACCCGATCTTCTAAGGGTATGATAAACAAATAAAGAGAGTGACTACTGCGGCAAGGAAAAAATCCTTTATAGCATTTAATGCCCGTGCAAATCACAGCGTTCACTCCTAAGGTTCGCTGAAAGCATGTTTTCTGTTGTTTCCATAGGTGATCAACTATGCCTCTGGGGGGAAAACAGTAGTTTTACAAATAATAAACTTCATCTTTCTAAAATAAAACTAGATTAAAAATATGATACCCATAGCAAGACTAAATCTCTACAGAAAATTAAAAAACTAGCCGGGCATGGTGGCACATGCCTGTAGTCCCAGCTACTTGGGAGGCTGAGGCAAGAGGATCACTTTACCCCAGGAGGTCGGGGCTGCAGTGAGCTGTGTTCACACCACTGCACTACAGCCTGGGTGACAGAGCAAGCTCTGTCTCAAAAAAACAAAACAAAACAAAACAAAACAAAAAATGATACCCAAAGAGATGATTTGTTGCTTCAGAATATCCCACTTGGGAGTAACTTTTAGTCTTAAGATTAATATAAACTACTCCACATGATGTATTTGATGTATCTTTATATGGTTCCATCACTATATTTTCTTCTCTAGTAGCTTTATAATAGACACTATAAAAGAAAAAGTCATCACCAAAACATAAAGTTAAATATTCAAAGATAAGCCTCATAATATTAGAAGATAAAACAAAATTCAAGAAACCCTTTCTGCCTGACTTCTGTTGAATCAAGAGCCTGGATAATAAAGAAATTGCACCAAACATGAATTATGTTTTAAACAAATGAATTACTAGCAAATATGGAATTGCTTTACTTGTATATTTAACTCACATCTTTCTACAGTTATTTAAGAAAAATTAAGTCAATTATTTTAGTTCCACTTATAATTACTTAGTAGGATTTGGGAGACAGATTTTATTCCCAATGATTTTTTTTTCTATGACTTCTTTTATAAAAACAGGAATTTTAATAATTCCAAGAGTAAATATAAATCTGAACTTTGAAGGGGTCAATTGTAGTTCAGGATTTGGAAGATAAAATGTTTAAATGAGCTTGGAGCTTAGCGTAACACATGTGCTTCTTCTATCCTTCTTTGCAATAATACCTCAGAGCAAATAAAACCAGCTGTGTAAATGAAAAATTCAAATTAGATACCAAGGAATCCAGTCACAAATCCATTATATTCCTTCTGTTCCTGAACACAAACAAACTGTCACTAAAACTTCATGAGTACCTAAAGTCAGTACCTAAAGGACAAAAATTTGTATGACCCGAAAGTTAATCATTCCCTAAAAGAGCATAAATATACCAGAAAACAAATGAGATGATTGATATTTAATACATAGATAGATAGGTAGATAGATAGATAGGTACATAGATAGATAGGTAGATAGATAGTTAGATAGGTACATAGATAGATAGATGATAGATGCATATGAATAGTGGGTTATGCATCCAATAACAGGCATATAAATTTTTAACCTGAGAAATATAGTAAAGTACCAAGAATAAAACACCCACACATACACACACACACACAGACACTCCATATATACCAATATGTGTATGCATAGTATATTAACAGTTCATTAAAAATTGGCCTGAGAATTCTAGTGATTGTTTACTAGCTAAGTTACAAGTTTTTTTCATTTATTCAAGCTAAATAATCTGGCTATAACAAAGACATAGTAATTTAAAATTAGTACTGCATTATAGAGTGCTATTTTCCTATGAAGCATACGATTTTTGAGAGATTAGTCTGTATACCTGTCATTGAGTAAGTTCATATACAAACTCACTCCCTATAAGTGGATGGCCTGTCTTGATAGAGGTGGGTTACATGGAAGTTGCCATTTGTCAAAATTGGCTCCAGTGTGGTCACAGTCCACTTTCAGCTCACACAAATACGTTGAACTATCCAGGAGGAGCCCCAGGTTTCTCCTCCCCTCCCCATATCCCTGAGGCCACAGATAGAGCTAGGGAAGGAACCCACTTATTTGCCTTCCTTCTGCTCTCTGGCCCCACTCTGGCAAGATCCTCCAGCACCATTTCCACAGCACAAGGAATTGCTCTTGGCCTGCTCTGGCTTGTGACAAGTCTCAGCCCATGCTGGGCAGACTGGGCCACTGTCACTTGACGTCCCATTGCCAAATGCTCAATCTCTCCTAGGGCCCAGGAGCACACAAAAGCTGCTCTTCAAACCGTTCTCTGCTGTAGGAGGCAGGGACTCTAGGCTCTGGGCTGAACTCTTGAATTGGGAACTGCCACACGATGCATCCTCTAGCACTATTGGGTGGCCTGGGCCATTCAGCCTGAGTGACAGGGCATAGACCACAGCAGAGGTCTCCCACTCAAAACAGGCAGATTTCTAAGTCATCTGCAGAATGGGTTGGAGCAGTAGTCCCAAGCGTGGTGCAATTTGTCTCCACATTCACATGGCAGGTATTAAGATATACCCTAACAGACAGACAAAATGAACTACCTGCACCCAAAATGAGACACACCAAAAATAAACCCGAATCTCATGGCTAGCAGGATGAAGGATTAGTCATATATCCTTCATTAATTGCTATAAGTTTTCTTTCCTGTAATTAAGCAGAAGCCAGGTCCTGAAAAGCATTGCCAAAACAACTACAGCTGGAAATTTTCCCGCCTGACCCTGATAAACCACCAGATGCCAGCAAGCCGACACAACCCCCTTTCCCCACCTTGCCATTCCTGCCACAACTTGGACTGGACAAAGGGCTGGTCTTAGAGACATTCTTTATTAATGAATAGCTGCAGATCTCAAGCCAGTTTCAGCCAGCTTATGGAGGCTGCACACAAACTGTCTTTGTGTTCTACAGTTCACCTTTTGTTGTAAAGAGTTGAATTCCACCTAATTTTAATGCTAAAACTCCGAAAGTGAACATAAAATATGTTACATATATGAATGCCCACTGTGCCCATGACTGATTTCCCTCACCAATATTCATAGATTTTCCCTCATCCTGCTCCATATGTATGTAAGTCTGACTCTCCTCACTCTCTTCTGTGGAACATACGCTTTTGATTTTCTCCAGAAGCTATGTTCCTTATCTATGGGTTGCTTCTCCTTCTGAAAATAAAGTCTTCTCCTTTCCTTCCTCGTGGATCTCACAGTCTTTTGTTAACACAGGGGTACAAGATGTGGTATCTTGACCTTTATCATAAGAGGGATAATCTGGCTTGTCCAGACCCTTAAAATTTTACAATGCAGCAGGCCACTCCTGCTTTACAAGGTTTATCTGCTACTCTCTGACTCCCTGTGTGTCACTAGGGCACCCAGATTACTTGCCACTTCTTGTTTACCAGGTTCAATCAGCACAGTGTTATCAATATAGGGACCAGTGTGATGCGCTGAAGAAAGTCAGAGCATCAAGGTCCCTGGAAGCTTCATTTTAAAAGCATTACATGGGTCAAACAACAACTTTTGACATTTGCTTCTTATAATTGTATGTCTTTCTTTTCACCTGACATTATTTCATAAGTATTTTCTCCTGTCATTAAATATTCCTTTAAAAGTATTTTTAAATGGTTCTATAATATTCCATCATATTATTATGATATTTATTATTCTCTGCTTATTTGGATATTTGCATTTTTAAATGTTTGCTATTATAAATAATTTTATGATAAGTGTGCATATAACTGTTTTCATCTTTGTTTCCCTAAAATACATTCCTGGACATGAAATTACTTAACTAGAGTATAAAGATGTTTAGGGTTTTGGATTCATACTGACAAATTGTTCTTAAGAAATGGAGTACTGATTTATATCCAACCAACTGTGTTTTAGAGGGCTCATTCCCCACACTCTGGCCAGCACTGATATTGGTATATTTTTAACTTTTGCCAATTTTAATGTTAAAATTTCTCTTTATTATTATTCTAATACCTGTTTATTCTCTCTCTCTCTTTTTTTAAGATGGAGTCTCACTCTGTCAGCCAGGCTGGAGTGCAGTGGCGTGATCTCAGCTCACTGCAACATCCGCCTCCCAGGTTCAAGCAATTCCCCTGCCTCAGCCTCCTGAGTAGCTGGGCTTACAGGCACATGCCACCACGCCCTGTTAATTTTTTGTATTTTTAGTAGAGTCGGGGTTTCACGAAGTTGGCCAGGCTGGCCTTGAACTCCTGACCTCAAGTGATCTGCTTGACTTGGCCTCCCAAAGTGCTGGGTTTACAAGCATGAGCCACTGTGCCCAGCCTCTGTTTATTGTTATATAAAGTTGAACATTTTCATTGTGCTTTTAAGACATACCTATTTCCTATTTTTTCCAAAGTCTGCAGAGAAGTAGCTAGCATAATCCCTTTTTATATGATTCCATAATTCTATAGGTATTAAATCCTTCTCATCCTTATCTTGGCACCATCCCCTAAACAATCTAAGACTCTAAGCTGTTACCATATTTTCAGTGGAAATGAGAATTGCTCCCTTGACAAAAGTCAAGATACTCATTCAAGAACTAGTCTGAAAAATCTTCCATTGTCCTTATCCTGTAAGACGAGTCCCTGAACCATTAGCCTTTTTTACTTATTGCTATATGTCCAGTTTGACAGGTCTTGTCTGACTTGAGGTCCCTAGGAAGATCATGACATAAGCATTCTGGAGATGTGAAATTTGGGAACAGATAGGAGATAACACCAGTGGTTTTCATTCGGGGATCCAGAACTTGAATGTATATGCAGACTTAATGCTCAACGAACCAAATGTTAACTTTTTTTTTTTTTGAGACAGTTTCTTGCTCTATCGCCAGGCTGGACTGCAGTGGCTCGATCTTGGCTCACTGCAACTTCCGCCTCCCGGGTTCAAGCCACTGCCTCAGCCTCCCAAGTAGCTGGGACTACAGGCTCGTGCCTCCATGCCCAGCTAATTTTTGTATTTTTAGTAGAGACGGGGTTTCACCATGTTGGCCAGGATGGTCATGATTTCTTGACCTTATGATCCGCCCGCCTTGGCCTCCCAAAGTCCTGGGATTACAGGGGTGAGCCACCGTGCCTGGCCTTAACGATTTCCTTATTCTTCTCTAAACTGTCTCCAAGTTTATACTGTTTCTTTTCAATTACAAAAACGAAAATGGAATGGTGCCACATGCAACAACATGGATGAATCTCACATAGTGTTGAATGAAAGATGCTAGTCAAAAAAACATACATACTACATTTATAGTCATGCATTGCTTAGCCATGGGGTAAGTTCTGAGAAATGTGACATGAGGTGATTTCATCATTATGTGAATATCAGAATGTGTCTTTACACAAATCTAGATGGTGTAGCCTACTACACACCTAGGTTATATGGTCCAGCCTACTCTTCCTCAGCTACACTTCTGTATAGCATGCTACTATACTGAATACTGTAGGCAATTGTAACACCATAGTAAATATTTGTGTATCTACCATCTCACACCAGTTAGAATGGCAATCATTAAAAAGTCAGGAAACAACAGGTGCTGGAGAGGATGTGGAGAAACAGGAACACTTTTACACGTTGGTGGGACTGTAAACTAGTTCAACCATTGTGGAAGTCAGTGTGGCGATTCCTCAGGGATCTAGAACTAGAAATACCATTTGACCCAGCCATCCCATTACTGGGTATATACCCAAAGGACTATAAATCATGCTGCTATAAAGACCCATGCACACGTATGTTTATTGCGGCACTATTCACAATAGCAAAGACTTGGAACCAACCCAAATGTCCAACAATGATAGACTGGATTAAGAAAATGTGGCACATATACACCATGGAATACTATGCAGCCATAAAAAATGATGAGTTCATGTCCTTTGTAGGGACATGGATGAAATTGGAAATCATCATTCTCAGTAAACTATCGCAAGGACAAAAAACCAAACACCGCATGTTCTCACTCATAGGTGGGAATTGAACAATGAGAACACACGGACACAGGAAGGGGAACATCACACCCTGGGGACTGTTGTGGGGTGGGGGGAGGGGGGAGGGATGGCATTAGGAGATATACCCAATGCTAAATGACGAGTTAATGGGTGCAGCACACCAGCATGGCACATGTATACATATGTAACTAACCTGCACATTGTGCACATGTACCCTCAAACTTAAAGTGTAATAATAATAAAATTAAAAAAAATTTGTGTATCTAAATATATCTAAACATAGAAAAAGAACAGTAAAAATATCATATCACTTTCTTATAAGACCACCATCAATTTTTTTGGTCCCTCATTGACCAAAATGTTGTTAGGCAGTGCATGACAGTACGTGATGTTCCATTGACATGTGGTTCCAGAGCAGGCAAAACTAATCTATAGTAATAGAAATAAAAATAGTGGTTATCTGACTGGGAATATTGGCTAGACGGAGTGTGAGGAAGCCTTCTGGAATACTGGAAATGTCATCTGAGCTGGCAGAGGGGCAGAGTTCATTCATGCTACACATATATTAAGGCTCATCAAGTAAGACTGGTGCACTTTACTGTATATATGATGTTCCTCAATAGAAACTTAATTAAAAAGAAAGGCCGTGCTCTAATATGAGTCTTCTGTTAAGTGAATATCAAATAATTTTATATTTTGATTTTTTTACTAGAGTCTTTAGGAGTCACAGGGATAAAGGCTTACATAGTAAAATATTTTGTAAATTATTTTGAATAAAACCAAATATATTACAGTAAGTCTAATATATATTAGATCAAATATATATTAAATCAAATATATATTCATAACATATATATATATATTTGTCAATTTCTTAGATTAACACCAGTCGTTCTTAATGTGGGCATGCCAGAGAAATGCCATTTAATATTAATTATTCTAGATGCTAATATAATTAACAACATCTGTAAGTTTACTAAATAATTTATTAAGTAAGCTGCCTCAAGACAGTAAGCAAAACTGAGAATCTTCATATCTCTGTAATTATAACTACCTAATTTATGTTTTTTAAGAACTCTGTATTTTTAAAACATTCTCATCTACCACATATGTAGTTTCCTCCTACCTTTCAAAAAACATAATGAAAGTATTTTGTTTGCATCTTATTTATTTTGCCAAACAAGAAAATGTTGTGAACTCTTTTGTTAGAAAAGGAATTCCAGCCAACGTTAATACAGCTGCCACACCAAAAAAGCAACTCACTTAAAATATAAGAAATATTTTAAAGGAATCATTTTGAAACTGATTTGTTTTTCACACAAAGCTCCAAAGACCAGATTTCTGATTATAGTTTCCAGGCTTAGATGTAACCAACACATCAAAATATCTCATACTTTTTATGGAAATGTAGACTATTATTACATATTCTTCTTGGAATTCTTCCTATGAGAAAATCTCACAAGCCATTTGGGAAGACTTGTTTTTTTTCCCCACTAAATATTTGAAAATTGCGAATTTTAAAATGCTTACAAGGGGACCTATTAGGAGGTATTTAAGTATGTCGAGTATTAAGTAAGCCAGTGGGAAATTGTTCCAAGATTACCTTTATCCCTTTTGCATGTCCAAATACAGATCTTTTCCTCTACTGCCCTTATTAAATTCCAAACTGATTTATAAATGTAAAGGAATTCTGGATAACCTTTTCAGAGATTTTTGGAAAATGGAAAAGAATTCTAAAGTTCACCTAAAATAATACATGCTCAAGAAGTGAAGAACATTTGGATAAAAGAAGTGTAAGGTAGAAGCTTGCCCTATGAAATTGCAATTACCAGCCACCATTAATTGAGGACTTACTGTGGTCACCTGGCTGCTGAACTGTCAGCAGCAGTGGCCAATGTGAGTTCCAATTAAGTATCACATTTTGGGTTGACAGCCAGTCACAGACTGGTGTGTCTCTCGTGGAGGAGAAGCAATTTGAGCCCTGTGGAGTATACACAGTTATTCTGTATTTAATGCAGCTTTTCATGCCCTGATTCATGGTATGTGTTCTGGGCACTGTTCTGGGCATTGGCAATAGAGTAATGGATGAGGTGGATAAGATCGCTGCTCCACTGAAGCTTAAATTCTGTTGGGAGAGAGAAACAATAATTGAGTGAATCAATGAGTAATATAATCTTTTTAGAGATAAATGCTATGAACAATGCAATACAAAATGGTGTGCAGATATGAAGGTTAGGGAAGATTCCTACTGGAGTTAACATTTCAGCTGAAAGCTAAACGATAAGAAAGTGTCAGATATGAGAGAATCTGGCAAAGAGGATTTCAGAAATAATAAACAGTCAGTGTGAGCACAGAAGTAGGCGTGAGTTTGGTGTAGTCAAAGAATGAAGATGTCCATGAGAAGGAGTGTGGGAAGGATGGACGATATGTTATGAGATCAAAGATATAGAAATGCACCAGAACACCTAGAATATAATGTAAAGAAGAAATTAGAAAGGATAAATTGTAAGCCATTGGAAAGTTTTCTTTTTTTTCTTTTTTTGAGACAGGGTCTCACTCTGTCGCCCAGGATGGAATGCACTGATGCGATCTCGGCTCACTGCAACCTCCGCCTCCCAGGCTCAAGCAATTCTCCTGCCTCAGCCCCCTGAGTAGCTGGGACTACAGGTGTGTGCCATCACACCCAGCTAGTTTTTGTTTTTTGTTTTTAGTAGAGACAGGTTTTGCCATGCTGACCAGATTGGTCTCAAACTCTTGGCTTCAAGTGATCCACCCGCCTCAGCCTCCCGAATTGCTGGGATTACAGGCACGAGCCTCTGCTCCCGGCCCATTGGAAAGTTTTCATTTGTAAGATAGTGTGATCTGAGACAAAAATGAAGCAGAAGGCATGTTAGTCTTCAGGAATGCATCAGAATCACAGGAGGGCTTATTAAAACACAAATTGCTGGCCTCCACCTTCAGAGTTTCTGATTCAATATTTCAGAATTTGTATTTCTTATTATTTCCCAGGTGCTGCAGATGCTGCGGGTCCAGGGATCACACTTTGAGAACCACTAGTCTGGTGCAAGATTCTTGGCAACAGACAATATCTTATACAAGGGTGGTAAGCTGTGCAGGTGAAGGGAAGTAAACAGATTTGTTATACATTTTGAGGGTAAAGCTAATAGAATTTACTTAGCAATGTGATGTGAGAATAGTGAAAAAAAAAAAAGAAAAAAGAAATGGATAGCTCCCTAAATTGGACTTGATTGAAAGGGGAATGGCAGTGCCAATCACTGATATAGGGAAGATGGCAGGGGGATGGTATACGCTGGGAAGTTAAATCAAGAAGTTGGTGTTTGTTGTTGTTGCTTGTTTATTTAATTTTGGTTTTAAGTTAGATGAGTAGAGATAACAAGCAGAGGGTGGGTTTAATATGTCTCCAACTCAGGTGAGACGCTGGAGCCAAAGATACAAATGTGTAAGTCATCAGCATACAAATGAGACTGAATGAGAAAATAGGAAAAATAAAGCAGAGCAGAAAAATGCACTCCAATGCAAGCTCTCCAGCTCTCCACTGTTTTTAGAGTTTGACAGAAGAGTGCAAAGGAAGCTGAGAAACAGCAGCCAGCAGAGCAGGAGGGACACAAGATTGTGGCGTCAGACAATGCAAGCAGGGAGGAAAGTGAGCCCAGGGAGGAAGTGCGCGATGCCAAATGCTGCTGCAAATCGAGGAAGTCGAGAGTTGAGAAATGTCTATGGTATATGGCAATACGAGGGGCGCTGGTCACCCTGACAAGGGTAGTTTCAATGACCAGAAGTGTCAGAAGCTTGACTGTAGCAAATTGAGAAGTGAAAGGGACAGGAGAAAGCAGCCGCAGGGAACGTAGGCCATTGTCAGAAAAGTGTGGTTTTGGACAGACAGAAAAACAAGGCCGTGTAGCTGGAGGAGATATGGGCCCTTCTAGGGGAGGGGCTTGTTTGGTGGTGCTTTGAACTTCAGGGAATCCACATCTGGATTACACAATGCTAGGCATGACCACGTCTCTGCTGCATGGGACGCTAGGGGTCATGGAAACCACCAAGGCCTCAGGCAGTGGGAGAAGTTACCTGGGGGAGGAGCAGGAGTTCAAAGGAGCTGCAGCAGGAGCAGGAGCCCGCCAAGTGTGGCAGCACAGCCTTTCCTGCTTCCCTCAGGGATATAGGCTTGTTCCTCCTGCCCTACCATGAAGTCACTGAATATAACAGAATATTAGCTAATTGCCATTGCCATTGTCAAACTGCAAAGTCAAAGGAATAAATGGATTGGTCAGGAGGTAGAAGAAAAGAGACAATAGACTAGAGAGGAGATAAAGCCAATTAAACTTGTACACATTGATTTTTGGAACTAGTAGGTAAACTTGTTTTAATATAAAATAAGAACATTTGTAGTGTCATAGAGGAAAACAAGGGTCCCTTGTAATGTGTGTTATAAAAACAATCATGGTGGGGGTTTTTTTTTTTTACTTCCATTTTTTTACTTGCATCTTGAGAAGTAAATTATTTTTTAAAAGGCCCTATCACACCTTATTTCTCAACTCTTCCATGATTTGTGATTTCATTAGTTAGTCTGTGTACAGAATATAAGACTCTCATCAAGGTGGTAAGAATTGTGCACTTTAATTTAAAACATTCCAATACTCTATTTGGTATTCAAGATAAACCAAATGGCCTGGGATTCAGGTGTTTTAATAAGTTCCATGTTTTTATACTATTAGCCTTCTGCTTATGAAGCAGACAAATTGAAAATCCATGAATATGTGTATATCAAGTATTCATGGAAATTTAATAGAAATGTATTCCTTAGAAAAGAAGAAAAACATTTAGACCTCTAGATATGCTACAGTACACAAATCTATTGCATTTTGGTGTTAGATTTGGGTCTGTTAAGGGAACATGAATGCTATTTACTTTTAGGTATAACCTATGTATGCTGATGTTTTTCACTCATCTGTTCAAAATACTGTCTATTCTCCTTCTGTGGGAAGCCACTAGGACAAGGCGGGGTGGGGGGGGGGCATTTACAGTTAAATATAATCTTTATTCGTGAGATTTCTCATTCTCTTGCCTTAGATCTTTTTGTCTGTGACTGGTTCAGAGGTTCAGTCTTGATAAGCATGCAGAAGTTTGGATGTTTATTTAAACCCTTTGTATCTAGCAAAAAATCCAGCTAGAATCTTTTGAAAGCAGCCTTTCTTGGAAGTATGCTGGTAACTCTGGCTTTCTTTCATATTGGCAGTTTAGGCAAATTGTCTTTCTCAGGCATTTTTTCACCTCTGCTTTGAGCCCTGGCAGCAAAGGAGAAATGTAGGTACTGAGTAAACATTTATATTTTAAGAGAGAAAAGAAGGACTGTAATTTAAGCATCAGCTTTATGTGAGAATCAGTGGGTGTCCAGGGATGAAGGAATGGCTACATGCATTTCAGATGAAGACACTGATTAATTAAAAAGTACGAGGGATACTAATGCATTTAAGTTGTTAATTTCAGTACTAATAGCTTTAACCCTTTAGATTAAAAAGTATTATCTAGCTCATATATATAACTTTATATTAATCTAATATTTTTGGTATTCAACCATGCAGTTGATATTAGTCCACTATTAGGTATTAGGCACTGGGATGACCATCAGGAACTGATTTATGAAAAATTTGGATAACTATCTTACTCAAGGAGTTCCTCTACAAAGACTCCTTTCTTTACCCTCGCACTGGGTCAGGTACCTTTTTATATGTTCCCATGGCACCAGATTCATTATTCAACAAATATTTATTGAGCATTTTGCTACTAGGTATTGCTTCAAAAAAACCCCAATTACAAGCAGAAACACATGACGCTCTTAGTGTCAGAGCCGGTGAATCAGCTCTGCTGCCTTCATTCCAACAAGTCACATTAATCCAGCAAGTCACATGGCCAAATTCACCATCAATATTATGGGCACACATTCTCCTCCCTTGGAGTCTGGTTGAGGTGGAGGGAGTAAATATCAGCTGCACTATCCTCTGCTTCATCACAAGCACCTACTGTGTGCCAACCATTTGTAAGCCGCTAAAGAGGCATTGAATTCAGTCTTTCTCCCGCTACTGAACAAGCAAGTACAACAAGCCAGATTAAAGGCAACATAGGTAGGGGTTAAGAATTTAGACTATGAAGTCAGGTGATCTGTGAATTCTGGCTTTTCCATGAATTAAAGCTATGATCTTGGACAAGTTCTTTTATCCTCTCGGAGCCCTAATTTATACACATATAAATTGAAAGTGACAATAAGGTACTTAGCCAGAGAGATCTTATGAGGGATTAAACAGATAGTGCATGTAAATTGGTTAATTCAGAGTCTGATATGATGTAAATGCTTGATAAATGGATGCTATCATCATTATCACCAGGCATCCCAAATGGACAAGGAAGAGCAGCCTTGCTTTGGATGTTGTGGGGAGCACCTAGAGTAAGCTCTATCCTAGCCTCTATCTGACTGGGTTACATGAATTGGTTGGCCTGTCTGTCTTCCCAGGTGAACTGTGAACTCCTTAGGAATGATACTCAGCCCTCCTTCCCCAGCTGCAGGAAAATGGCTGGCACTCAAAGCATGCTGAGAATAAACCATCAAAATCCAATTCTACCTCATGCTGTCTTACAGTACTGCTATTGCAACTAGCTGTGGTTGAAGGATCAGTTTGCTGTTTTGTTTGTCATTGTTTTCATTTCCAAGCTGTTGCAGACCAGTATTTTTCATCTCTACCATGTTCAGCAAGACAAATCCACTAATCCTGTGCTTGAATGTTGTAGTCATGTCAAATAGCCATAAAAGTTTCTAAATGTTTACTCATTATCTCCATACTTATCTCTTTATGAACTGGTAACAGTCAATTTGTAGACCAGCACCTGTTCACAGTCCTTCCTTTGAAGAGCTCTGTGTGGATTTTGTGGATTTAACCTCATCATATGTCTGAGTAAAAACTCTTGCCAAGGGAAGCATGCTGATAAGCCGGCATGATCTGCTTATCCTCCATGAGAACCTCCCAGATACCCACAGCCCAGGGGGAACCACCATTTATTTTGTTGATGGTTTTCTCTCAGACCATTTGTCTCTTGCTCTTTTTCCACAGCCTGTGCTTCCAGTAGGAGCACAACAGAAGCTGCTGTGGATGAAAGTGTGTGGGAGTCTTGGGTTGCACCAAGTCCAAGGGAGTCTCTTGCCTGTGGTTCAGGGGACTTCTGAGAATGCATCAAACCTTGGCATCTTTCCAACACAGCACCATGAACCACCAAGGAAGGAGATTGATCTTCATCAGATATGTTATGGGCTGGGTACCATCTCAGAGGCTCCCAGGACTCTCCATAAACTTCTTGATAATCCAGACAAGAGCTACTGCTCAAGTATCAAGTATTTATGGGTCTAAAGTAGCTCACTGCATGACCTAAGTGCATCTTCCCAGCAGTGATGTTAGCATCAGCTCTTCTAAATTAACATGGGTAAGGGGTGTGTCTTAGTCCATTTTGTGTTGCTATAAATAAATATATGAGGCTGAGAATTGTGTAAAGAAAAGTTTACTTGGCTCATGGTTCTGCAGGCTGTACAAGAAGCATGGGGCCAGCATCTGCTTCTGGTGAGGGCTTCAGGAAGCTTCTACTCATGGCAGAAGGCAAAGCGAGCCAGCATCACATGGCAAGAGAGGAAGCAAGAGAGAGGGAGAAGGCACCAGGCTCTTTTTAACAATCAGATCTAATGAGAACTGACAGAGTAAGAACACACTCACCCCTGAGGGAGGGCACTAATCTATTCATGAGGAATCCAACCCCTCAACCTAAACACCTTCCACTAGGTCCCATCTTCAGCATTGAGGATCAAATTTTGACATGAGATTTGAAGGGAACAAATATCCAAACCATATTGGAGTGTGATCCAAAGGCCTTCAAGGAACAGGAGGTTCAGGTCTGAAACAGGGTGTCCAAGGTCCAGCAGAAGGAGAATGTGCTGAGGTTCTTCGAGCTCACTGCGCTTCAAGTATCCACCTCAATGAGAGGTTTACATTTCTGGTGCCATGGCCAGGGCTCTAGTGCTGTCCTAGATGCCTGTATTACTCTTGATAGAAAACATCCCCAATATCCCAAACCTTCTCCAGCCAGTGTCCTTTAAACAAACAAACAGACAACCAAAACAGCCCTTAAAGCATGAAGCTTCTGCTAAAAAATTTCATCATCATTAAGACAAGAGCTTGAACAAGAAAGACAAGGATTTCTAGGCTTAGGCTATCCTCCTCATATTTGCCCTCCACTGGGATCGACCCTCCCTGACAGGCAATGAGACTGAATGACTAGAGGTTCTTTGTATAATCTGCATGTGTCACACCCCTTGTGTTTGCTTGTGGGGCCCTCTACCTTCTATCCTACCTTCTACCAATGCTTTATCCTCCCTGGTTCATGTCCTACATAAAACCTTATGATAATGTGTTGCACGTAGTGGGTCTTCATTAAATGTTTATAGAATGAAGAGAATTAGGCAATACCTCTCTTTTCTCTTCAGGTTCACTGCAGTGTCATTTTGTTGTTTAGTTCAGCCAATTAAGACTTAAGTTTCTAACTCCTAGACGATTTTTATGTAATGAGGGTTTTTTGGGGGATTGAGAGGTGGCTTTGGAAATTATGGTTCAAATAAATGATTAAATACAAGAATGAATAAATGATAGCTTTTGCCCTGTTGTGTATGTGACTGGGTGGGGGGTGGGGAGCTGGGAGTTTTCCTTCACTTGCTGTTACACTAGAAAGGTGTTTTCCTAATGAGATATGATTTCTCCTTTCTTTCTACCTGTGTCAAATCTAAGATATTACAGTCATTTCGCCAAAGCATCTGATTCTGAAAGAAATTGCTTCTCTTAAAACATTCATAGCAAGTTTCCAGATCATACTGAAACTGAATGGTTGCCAAGTCTGTGACAAAAGTCTAGACAGAAAGACTTACTTTCTAGAATCAGAAGCAGTGAGAAGCTTAGAGAGGTGTATTCCAACTTTCATCATTTACAGATACAGAGCCAGGGGTGCCGAGGATCCCTCCCCACTGTTCCATGGCTGGCTGGTTGATAGTGGAGGCAGGCCCGGAACTTGAGTCTGCAGACTCTCTCCCTGTGCTCACCACTGGGCCCACCTCTCATTGGTGGAGTTATTCCACTCACATTTCTTGTATGTTTGAGGCCTTGGGAGAGGCAGCAGGAAGTTGAGGGTACACTTAGGCTGGAGATGGAGGTCCTTGTTAGAAGTCCATTTCTGACACTCTCGCATTGATTGTTGGCTCAGTCACCTGATTTCACTAAATCTGCTTCCTCATTTATAATATGGAAATGAGCCCTTCCTATATCTCAGGGTTTCTATGTCACTGGGGTTGTCATGAGAACCAAGTGAAAGTCTCTCTGCTTTTTCAACATCCCAATTCCCATTCCATGTAGACCCTACATAGGTGATGCACTCTCCTTTTTCATGCCTCACTCCAGCAGTCACATAATGTTGATTTGTACCAACACTGGTGATGTTAACTTTGGTCCATTGGTTATTGTGGTACCCACCTGGTTTCTCCACCATCTTGCACAGCCAAGTCCTTCCTGGGTTTCCTTGCCACATGGAAGGGTCAGTTTCTCCCACTATTTCTCTCTCGAGGTTGCTGCGAGTGTTAAATGTGTACCTTTGCCTAACTCATAAGATCTGGGCACTAAAGGTGGGTTCCCATTATTATTTTATGTGTTTTTTTCTCATATAGTAACCATAAGGGTACTGTTTGTCCCTTTCTAATGAACAAGTTTTTGTGGGGGGATTCTTTGAGGCCATGTGAATATCCTTGTACCTCATCAAACATGCATCCATAAGTTATAGCATCCCAAGTCAATTATTGCTGTGTAGTGGCAAAATGGTGAAATTCTAACCTCATCATTCCTCGCACATCCATTAGTTCCCTAAATCAAACTCTGATGATATGAGGGAATAAGACAAATACTTTGCCTCAAGGAATTAATATGGTTCATTTACTCCTTCAACGAATATTTATGATGAACTCTTCAGCTATGTCTCAGGAACTGTGCTAAAGCACTGAGGGTGCAATGGACAGCAAGACCTCACAGTCTTGCTCCTCTCTCCATGGAACTTACTAATGCCAAAAATAAGACAATCAACACAAGCAAATCATTAAGAGTGTGCCATATCTGCCCAAAGTGCGATGGGAGCATGTGTCTGGGATGTCAAGAAAGCCTGTTTAATCACCATAAAGGGTGTCTAATCTGAGGTTCGGAGAAGGAACAGGCATTTGACAGTGAGGGGGCTGGGAATGGAAAGCACATTCCAGGCAAACGGACCAGCATAGGCAGAAGTTGGGAATGGAGCCTTCGATGGGGGACGCTGGGTGGCCCTTTTCTTACTCAGTGTGCCTGCCTGATCACAGAGGGCTTCCCTGTAGCAGTCCTCCTGCCACCCACCTCCACTGCTCTTATGCAGAACTGAAGGCCATTGTGGCAGAATTTCTTTTTTTTTTTTTTTTTTTTTTTTTTTTTTTTTTGAGACGGAGTCTCGCTCTGTCGCCCAGGCTGGAGTGCAGTGGCGCAATCTCGGCTCACTGCATGCTCCGCCTCCCGGGTTCACGCCATTCTCCTGCCTCAGCCTCCCAAGTAGCTGGGACTACAGGCGCCCGCCACTACGCCCGGCTAATTTTTTTTTTTTTTTTGTATTTTTAGTAGAGACGGGGTTTCACCGTTTTAGCCGGGATGGTCTCGATCTCCTGACCTCGTGATCCGCCCGCCTCGGCCTCCCAAAGTGCTGGGATTACAGGCGTGAGCCACCGCGCCCGGCCGGCAGAATTTCTATCACTGGGGAGAAAACACTGTTGGTTAGCTTGGCCCTTCTGAAGGGAAACACTTCTTGATCCCCGGCCTCTCATCCCAGATAGGCCCCATCAGAGAAGTCTCCTTGTGTCTTGGAAGGAGAAAAAAGAAAAGTTTCCCTAGAGACATCTTTCTTAGACCTCAGCATCTCATGGATTTTACTCTGGGAACTCAGGCTCTGAGGTAACACACTAAATTGAGGATGCACAGCCGAGTCCTTCCTGGGTTTCCTTGCCGCACGGAAGGGCCAGTTTCTCCCACTATTTCTCTCTCAAGGTTGCTGCGAAGGTTAAGTGAGTACCTTTGCCTAACTCATAAGATCTGGGCACTAAAGGTGGGTTCCCATTATTATTTTATCTGTTTTTTTCTCAGTTAGAGACAGGGCATATTTTTGTGATTGTTATTATTATAGCAACATACCAGCTATTGAGATAATATAGCATGGCCCAATATAGAATGTTACTAGTATACATAACACAGAATCACATAATATATTTTATTTTAACGTAGTATTTATTAAAATGGCTTTTTGATGTAGTTTTACATCACGTAGGAAGAAAAGGAATATGTTTTGAACACTGCTTTTCTTTCAAAAAAGAATTTTAAGGCAGGCATGGTGCCTGTAATCCCAGAAATTTGGGAGGCCGAGGCAGGTGGACCATCTGAGCTCAGGAGTTGAAGACCAGCCTGACCAACCTGGTAAAACCCCGTCTCTACTAAAAATACAAAAAATTAATCTGGCATGGTGGCGGGTGCCTGCAATCCCCGCTACTCCGGAGGCTGAGGCAGGAGAATTGCTTGAACCCGGGAGGCAGAGGTTGCATGCAGTGAGCCGACAGCACACCTCTGCACTCCAGCCTGGGTGATGAAGTGAGACTCTGTCTCAAATTAAAAGAAAAGAATTTTAAGAGCCACAACTCAAACTTAGGCTCAGATAATGATTTCTAAAGGCCAGCAAATACAAAAATTAAGGAATAAGCTTATTTCTCATTGCTGCTAATTGTTGTTGGGTTTTCATAAAAGTAGATACCTGAAAATTGTTCCTCATAGTCCCATCAACACTTGAGACTGTGTAGGTCAGGGGCAAGGTGAACCACAAATTGATTAAATATGTACTACTGATGTTCTTTTAGACAATAAATCAATGTGGCAGTCCGAGGGGCACACCCAAATACAAATAATACTTTATATATTCCCACACTGAGATGACCAGGGTTTCTAAAGTGATTGCAGTTGTACAGCATTGCTATAAAGACATATGCTTTTCAATAAACTTGCTGAAACTCATATATCTAAATGAGGCTTCCCCTCAGAGTAGTTACTATGGGAGATGATATACTCATTCTCACAGAGGTGTTATTTCTTAAAATATTCTGGCTCTGTTTTCAGAATGGTTCCCAAGATACATTTTTGAAAAAACTGCTTGAGAATGATCAATGTATCATTTATTCTATAATTATATCTTATTCTAAAATAAAAATAAAATTCGATCACTCATTTTTTGTTGCATCCAATTTCTAAACCAGGTTTCAAAAATGGATCCAATTTCTAAATATGAGGATGCTCCATTGAGAGGGATATGTATCCCACTTCAGGTCTGTGGGCTTACCAGTCTCAAGTTCACACACCAAGGACACTCCATGGTCCCAGGACAAGGGCTAGGGAAAGTCACCATGCAGCTGAGCTTTGATGCCTTAGGTTCAAATTCATTCATTTATTCACTCACTATATGTGTTTATTATTATGCTTATTATGAGGCAGGGAGAGTGCTAGGTCTTGAAATTAGCATAGTGATGAAGACATAGCCCTGCCTGTGATTTTATAGTGCAATGAGAGGATAGACAAAAATTAGCAACATCTTTACCTACATGTATAGTGAAAATTATAGAGAAATTATATATTTTCTTTTATCTTACCAGTTTTTTATGCTACTATGGGTTACTTGCATAATAAAAATATTATAAATACATTTATATTTTAAAGTGTTCATAGTTTATAGAGGGCAGTTCCTCCCTGGCTGACGTAGTCCCCTGACTTGGGGTGTCTCATTGGAGTCTTTAGCCTGAGGCCAGGACCATTAGCCCAGATCTTTCCCACCAGTTCTGCTGATCGTTTCCCTGGCCCTGCTGTGGTGCTCTCCAGAAGTCTTCGTTTGAACAAAGTTTCCAAGGAGCACATGAATCTAAGAAACTGGCTCAAGTCCTATGTAAATGATTCACTGTCTTTAAACCAGCAAATTCTCTAAAAGACATCATACATAGTGCTTTAGGTCAAACGTTTTTTGTTGGAAACAACAGAAAATCCAATTCAAACTGACTAAAGAGGAGGATCCTTCTTCCTTCCTTCTTACCTTCCTTCCATCCTTCCTTCCTTTCCTCCCTTCCCTCCTTTCTTTCTTCTTTTCTTTCTTCCTTTCTTTCTCTTCTCTTTTTCCTTCCTTCCTTCCTCCCCTCTTTCCTTCCTTCCTTTTCTTTCTTTCTTTTTCTTTTCTTTCTTCCTTTCTTTCTCTTCTCTTTTTCCTTCCTTCCTTCCTCCCCTCTTTCCTTCCTTCCTTTTCTTTCTTTCTTTTTCTTTTCTTTCTTCCTTCCTTCCTTTCTTTCTGTCTTTCTCTTCTCTTTTTCCTTCCTTCCTTCCTCCCTTCTTTCCTTCCTTCCTTTCTTCTTCTTTTTCTTTCCTTTCTCTTTCTTTCTTTCAGAACTGCAAGCCAGATGGAATGACTGAACAGTCCCAGCTCGGCCTTACTGCACCTGATGGCCCCAATAGCTCCAGGACTATCTTGCCTCGCTTGTTCAGCCCAGAGCCGCTCCCCTACTTCTCCTCAGGGGACATAGATGGGGCAGGTGGCCTGGGAGATGGCACACTCTCTAACTGGCCCTCTCTGAGTCCCTGTCACACCCTCAGCCAGTGGTGAGGGGAACTGGTAACAGGGAGCCTCAGCACCTCAAGGAAATTAGGGGTGTTGTATACAGAAGAGGGTGGTGGGTCCTGCACAGGCGAAACCAACATGCCTCATTTCTGAGGACACAGAGGAATATGTGAAATTAGTGCAGTTGACAATAGGTAGCTTATAGTTTCCTCATACGAAGTGGAACAAAAACAGTTCATGAGAAGAGGACGTTAGCATGCAGGCCTCCTGTCTGTGCCTCCCTTTTACGGGCTTTGTGGGCAGAGCTGTGGTGGGAAGCCTGGTGTTCTCTGCAGGCGGACACTTCCCTTCTGTGGAGTCTCCACTCAGTGTGGTCACGCTCAGAGCAATCAGGCCTAACCAGCGACTCTGCTTGATAAAATATTTAGGTATTCGTTTTGTTAGAGGTTAACATACTTCTGAGTACTTGTCAATCAAAATGCAAAACCAAAAACAAAAATCTAGCCTAGGATCATTAGTTACTTGAACTCGTTAGATTTTTTTTTAAGTTCTGGAATTGTTCTTAGTTTGCCCCTTCCCCCTATTTCTGCCTATAAATTTCCTGGTTGGACGTCCCGGCTCACTCCTTTAGCCATCTTACCATAAGAACACAGACTTTGGCCTTTGTTCTGTGGAAAGCACCCGGGATTGTCACCTTGTTAGCTATGCATCTCAGGGAATATACTCTCCTCTACCAAATTGAAAAACTGTTGTCATTTACAAGAAATGCCACCTCATGCGGAGGTCACTGTCGGTAGAGTTTTAACAAGCTGTGCTGTACATGGTGTGCTCTTTGGAGAGACAGGCCCATTGTTTCTGCTGACCTGTGACTGGTGTGCAGGGAGCAGTCAAGTGAGAGTGTTTGCAGCTGCCATAGGCTTCTGTGTGGACTGGATCCAACCTTGTGTTTTATCTATAGGGATATCTATTTTATCTGCAAGGTCTCAGGATGGAAATGAAATCAGGGTGCTTAAAATACCAGCTTTGGTGAAGTAAGAAGCAGCAAACAAGACCCACATGGCAAGTTCATGTCTGCTCTACTCATTCTTTCGAATCCCTAAATTCTAGAGTAAAATTTCTCTTATAGAAGTATGAAAACACACGCGCGCACATGCACACACAGGCACACACACATGCACATCTGGTTAGAAACATTTGCACAGAAAACTTTCAAACTCTTTTGGTTTTAACATTTAAAATCTTCTAAAGTGTTCACTTTCCAATAGCATCTACAGCATCATTTAATCCTGTTTGACACAGAATGATCTCGCAGCTCCTCAGCCTTTCTGGGCCTGAGGTGGGCGTTATACATGTAAATGACTTCAGACATGCCCTGCAAATAGTATTGCTTTCACTTAGTCTCCACACTTGGCCTGTTTTCCAGTAAACTTACTGCTATCAACTGAACATTTGCATCCTCCCAAAGTTCATGTACTGAATACCCGCAATGTGATTTTGTATTTGAAGATGGAGACTTGGGAGGTAATTAGGGTTAGGTGACGTCATGAGGCAGGTCAGTAATGATGAGATTAGTGTCCTTATAAGAAGAGGAAAAGAGTCTGTGCACAGTGGCTCACGCCTGTAATCCCAGCACTTTGGGAGTCCAAGGCGGGCAGATCACGAGGTCATGAGTTTGAGACCAGCCTGGCCAACATGACGAAACCCCGTCTCTACTAAAAATACAAAAATTAGCCGGGATGTGGTGGTGCATACCTGTAGTCCCAGATACTCGGGACGCTGAGGCAGGAGAATTGCTTGAACCCAGGAGGTGGAGGTTGCAGTGAGCCGAGACCGTGCCATTGCACTTCAGCCTGGGCGATAGAATGAGACTCCGTCCCAAAAGAGAAAAGAAAAAAAAAAAGAAGAGGAAAAGATTCAAGAGAACATGTGACGGCACAGCAAGAAGGTGGCCATCTGCAAGCTAGGAAGAAGGCCCTCACCTGGACTCGACCATGCCGGCACCTTGATCTTGGACTTCTAGCCTCCAAAGCTGTGAGAAAGGTGTCTGTTGTGTAAGCCACCAACCTGTGATATTCTGTTATGGCAGCCCAAGCTAAGACACAACCGAGTACTGAATTACTGTGAATAGATATACTTATCTAGTGGGTACAGTGTGTAGATAGTTTCTAGCCCGTGGAAAGTTGTAATAAATAATGAGTTTTGCAAAAAGCTTTATTTCAATAAGTCAAGCTCAACACAGTATACAACCATTTAGGGAAACTTCTCTTCTCTTGGGTTCCCTGTCCCTCTCACCCCCTCCCTTCATTAAGCTCCCTAATGTTCCCAATCCTGTAAGCATGTTGCACAATGAAAACTGTAGTTGCTCTAAAGGGTGTTGGACAGCAGACTTCCACAGTGAAAGGGATAGGAATGTGCAATGCAGAGCACGGATGGTCTATCGAGGTCTTTAATTAACTGCACACGTCTGTACATCTCTATACCCCATTTGAAACAAAGTGATTTTTACAACTGTAGTTAATGTTTGTAGATTAAAAAATAGAAAGTCTTAAAGTAAATTCATGCTAAAGTGAATGCTGGGCAGTATGTATGCAAAATGGGTTTTCCCAGATGAAGTCACAGTGTGAATATTTAGATGGGTGGGTTTTCTCACTGCTTTCTCAGTGGGAAAGTTAAATAGAATAATGTAAAATGCAAACAATTTTTGACAACAATTAAAAAATAATTTTTTTAATGTGGAGGACATGCCAGCATGCTGTATGTGATTTATTACCAAGTGTTCTCTACTATGAATAATTGTCATAAGCATCTGAAGGAAGGAGGTTGCTTCATGTGAGGCAACAGGAAGGCTTGGAGAGGAGGTAGTTTGATTTGGTTTTCCTAGGATTTGAACTGAAACTAAGGGAGAGGAAGGAGCAAGGAGCTCGAGGCAGTGGGAGTTGAATCCTCTCCCCTCTACTCACTTGGTTGACTTCTCTTTGTGCTCCACAAAACCCAGGACACACCAGGCCCTCAAAAATAAAAAGTTTTATTTACAAAAATAAATAAAAGAAGTTTTCCTGTGGTAAATAATTTTCTTTTTCTTTTCTTTCTTTCTTTTTTTTTTTTTTTCTTGAGACAGAGTCTTGTTCTGTTACCCAGGCTGGAGTGCAATGGTGCAATCTCAGCTCACTGTAATCTGTGCCTTCCAGGTTCCAGCGATTCTCCTCCTGCAGCCTCCCGAGTAGCTGGGATCACAGGTGTGTGCCACCACGCTTGGCTAATTTTTTGTATTTTTTAGTAGAGATGGGGTTTCACCCTGTTGGCCAGGCTGGTCTTAAACTCCTGACCTCAAGTGATCTGGCTGCCTCAGCCTCCCAAAGTGCTGGGATTACAGGCGTGAGCCACCGTGCCCAGCCTGCAAATAGTTTTCTAAAAAGCTCAGGCCTCCTTTATGGTGACCGTTCATTCTGCTGAGCATCTGAAATGACCCTTATAAAAGCAAAGAGTATAGTGAGGAGTGGGGGATATACAAGGCCTCACAGTGTGCCACTGTATACGCACATGAAATCCTCACAAAATAATTGACCCACACCACTCAGGAGAAGGCAATAGCATCTCCATTTCACAGTTGACAAAACCGAGGCTCAGGGAATTTCAGTGAGTTGCTGAAGGTTCATCACAGGAAAAGGCAATGGGAGTCAAATTCTCAAATCCCCAAGCCAGTTCTCACCCTCTCGCTGGCTGCCTTCTGGGAGGTGGAGGGCAGGGAGCGGTGGGGAAGGGGTCCCCAGTGCTCCCCTGGAGCAGACAGCAGATGTGAATTCTTGTTACTGGGCTGCAGAGATTAGAGTTTTAAGTTCTCAGACATTCCTCAGCCTCTGTGGTTGGCTCCAGTCTAGGTTCCTGATTTATTTGGCTCTGGGAGACTCCACCCCGGGAGTGTTTGCTGGTCTCCACTGTTTTATTTGGTTCTGTTGTCTTTGTTCTCCAGGTGGCGTTGGTGGCTGATGCGTTCTCCAAGTCCCCATGAAAACTGAACTCTGAACTTAGGTAGGGGGACCAGCTTTTCAGAGAGACCACCCAGGACACAGCCGCAGCAGCAGGACAACAACTTTATATATATAGTGTACACATGCTTGTCATATTCATATATATAGATAGTATATCCATACTACATATGTATATATTTGTTTATATGATAGACATGTTAATCACCTTAAGATATGAAAACTATGTGCTTATTTGAAGTCATATACGATTCCATATTATTTACTTTTGTTACATAAATGTTACTAATTAAACAAAAATAAGACTACTGAATGGTAGCAATTGGTAGTAATTAATAGTTGGATTAGCTAAACAAATAATGTATCTCAGGAAAGCATAATATGTGTATAACGTTTCTGTCATCTGACACAGCAGCTTATTTGACTTTTCTCTTTCCTGGATATTTTTGTGTTGTAAGCTCAGGTAGGATGTATTTGGGACACAGTCAGTGAAGAGGGTGGGCCCCAGAGTCTGCCTCTGCTGCTATCCCCTCCCTAGCCCCTCAGCTTACTTCTGGGATCTTCAGAGAATTGAGTTCTTGAGTTCCTGCAAAAGTGCCTCCTGACTCAAATACCTAGGAAACACTTTTCACTAAAATTGTTTCTCGGAGATTAAAGGCTCCGATGAAAATCCCGCAGAACATGCTTACATCCATTTAACCTGAAGTTTCCTCTAAATTTGATTATAGCACATTCTTTTTTTTCCCCCCATTGACACTTATTGCTAAATAGCCAACAGGTCCTACCTGACCAGCCCATCCCTTACCAGTCCTGCTGGCCTCCCTGCAGTTTATTTGATCTGTCTCTAGCCCAGATTGCTTCTCCAAGGTATCTGCAGAGCACCTCCCTCACTTCCTTTAGTCTTTCTCAAATGATTCCTTGAGCAGGCCACTCGCTCTCTCTCCTCCCTGTTTTATTTTTCTTTCCCTAAGTGCATGCCATCATCTAACATTTTATAAGTCTGACCTATTTAGCTATTGGATCTACTCTCTGTCAAGAAGCCGGGCTCCTTATGGCTGTGAGCATCTATTCTGTGGGGGCTCATTGCTGTATCCCTTGGGCCTAGAGATGCTTGGTTCATCACAGCAACTCAGGGAAGAGAGGTGAGATGGAGAAGGTAAAGAGGGAGAACCACAGCACACATGTGTGGGGAGCCTATGAAGGGACAGGACATAACTGATGGGAAGCCACCCCACTAAGCCTATCTGGTCTCTCCCCACAGATTAAGAACCCCAAAGTGCTCCTAGTTCTCTCTACTCCACATCCATTCAGCAAACATTAAGCACCTACACCCAATACTTGCCACACAGTTAACTAGGGCCTGGCGATACAGAGGTGAGAAGAGTGCCCATCTTCAGGGAAGTGATTGCTAGTGGGCACCTGCAGGTGGGCAGAAAGATGGATGTTGAGCAGAACCAGCCTTGACAGCAGCTGTGTCACCTTCTCACCTGCAAGACACTTGCTATTCTTTTCTTTTCTTTCTTTTCTCTTTTCTTTCCTTTTCTTTTTTCTTTCCCTCTAAACCTGAATGTGTGAAAAAGCAATCCAATCAAAAGGAAAATAGTGTTAAGAACAAATACATGCTCAAGGAAAGAAGATCCTTTACACTTCCCTTTGAGCTGGAAATCAGCCCTACAATCTGCTTGTCTGCATAGCATTTCATATCTCCCTGAACAGACCCCAAAATCACCAGGATTTAAGTTTTGGAAATAACTGAGTATAATTTGACCCTCAGCACATTTGTCTGGAATACATTCCTTAAGAAATCCAACATGTGCGTATATACACGGCAGAATGCACAAAACTCCATCTCAACCATTAAACTGCTGTTAAAAGGTATCAGGTGGGGAATTAAACTTGAAAACATTTGGGAACCCAAAACGCTATCCAGATCTCCATTCATAGATTTTTTTTTTTAATCAAAAGAATTCTCAGCAGATGGTAGTAAGTCCATAAACTCAGAGCAAGGGGTCTTCAGGGAAGTGAGTTCATTTTAGATCAGATGCTTCAACACCGAGATGCTCTGAGAAATCTGAAACATGGATAGAACACACCAAGCCTTTGTCCAAACCAAGTGGAGTGATTTTCCGGCAGCCACAGGCCTTAGCCACACATTCCTAAACCATGTGCAGCTGTCAGCTCACTGGGGGGACACAGGGAAAGCTGTTAGTGAAAAACCACATGCCCATGAAGTTAATAAATGAATGTCTCAATGTTTTCCACCAAAATAAAATGCTCAGTAGCTCAAGTCCTTAAAATGGCCTAGAACTCAATAGAGGAAAGTGATGTGACTGAAACATTCACAGAACCTGTCTGGGAGCTGGGTTTGTGAGGCACATAAATACCTCACCTGGCTGCTGTTCTCCATCTATTATAAAAAGGAGGAAAGGACTGGAAAAGATTATGTATGCCTAGAAATCCTCGAAAGCTTCAAACTTATTTACACTTAAGAAGGCAAAACATGCTAAGCCAAGCATTCTAGGAGGTGGTGTAATGAGAATTCTCTCTCCCATTTTCCCTTTTTCCCAGTTGAACTTCCATATGTTATCAATTACGAGCCACCACAGTTTCATTCAGTTGAGGGAGCAATTGCATTCACGCATGGCTTGTTTCCCTCTGCCCCAGTGAGCAGAATTTCCAGAGAACAGGATGGTGAACCCGTGGTGGAGAGGTCAGTGTGCACACATTGAAAGGCTAAAATGGGAAGTGTTTCTGAGGCCAATTTGCCTGGAAAACTGTCTGCCAGGAGGGCTTCAATGGTTAATACCCAGCAGCACTACCCCAAGGATATATTTTCGCATAAAGGGTAAGTTTTTGTATTTTGGCTGAGAAAAGGAGTATGCTACTCATTGTCTTTTGGGACAAATATGAGGGTATCAAGATTCAGCTCATATCAATAGTCTTAGATTATTATTTCCCACGCCCCACACCCCCAGCAGAGCTTCCCTGGCTCTGGGCTATGGTGCAAAGTGAGCAGGACTTCCCCTTCCTTTGAAGGCAACTGCGCAAGGAGTGAAAAATACTTGCTTGTAAAATCTCTTTGTAAAAAGAATTTCATATTCTGGACTCCCATTACCTCAAACATGCTGTCTGGTTTATTTTCCAAGAACAGGTAGGAAGAAAACCCTTCAATGTCAAGCCCAGTTGCCTCTTGTAGAACGGTGGTATCAGCAACAGAGACAGGGGAGGCAGAAGGGCATGAGCTGGTGGGGGCTCCACAGCCACGAGGTGGGATTTAGTTGAGGAGTCATGTTTGGATTCTTCCATTCATTCCAAAGGTACCTACTCTTCACACCCCTGTGCCAGACACTGAACTGGGTAAAGGAGGTAAAAGGTGACCAAGAGAGTCACTTAATGAATATGGTAACTTCAGATTACAAAGAACCAGGAAGGAAATACGAAGGGATGGAGATTAACACAGCATCTACTTTACATAGGGTGGCAGGAAGGGCCCTCTGAGATGTCAGCTGAAGCAAAATCTAAGACGACAAGTCAGTAACAGGAAGATCAAATATCAAGGGAAAAATAGTCTACTAAGGCCAAATGGCAAGATCTTGGCCCCTGGGGACTGGGGTGAGAAGAGCTGGTACGTTCCACAAGCATAGAGAGAGAAGGAGCCCAGAGCAGGGTGAGAGTGGAGAGAATGGGGGCTGAGGGCAAGGGGCCTGGTCGGGAGGGACTACTGAAGGGCCTTACAGGCTGAAGTTTGGCATTTTAAAAGAATTGTGTCATAACTGCAATGGAAACCACAGAATGACACCATGTGATTTCTGCTTTTTAAAGATCACTTTTGGTAGCTTTCTGGGAATACACTGAGGGAAGCAAGAGCAGGGTGGACACCCACTCAGAGGCTATGGTGGTGGTCCTCATGACAGATCACAGTGGCCAGAATGCATTGGGATATTGGAAATCAACAGAGGTTGCAACCTGATTTCAATCTGCCGAGTTTGTCACAGTGGGCAGGTACAACTGAATGCGTTTTTTAAATTTCTGAAAATAAGCCTCCAAAAAGCTAGAGCTTGTAATTGTGGTTCTAAAATGTATCAAAGTATTTTTAAGTATCTGGCAACTACAATATTCTCACCTGATTTCCAGTTAGCAACACTGAAAATCATCTGTGAAAGCAAAGACTGCACATGAATCATCTGGGGAACACTTGTGAAAAGGTGGATTCCTGGTCTCTGTTTCCTACCACCCCCTCCTGATGGGACAGCATGGCGGTCTCTCCTGTGTGGCAGATTGGGTGCACTTCAACAGAGGCTGTAGCCAGAACAGGATAGACTGTACCACAGTAAAAAAAGAGCCCCACACTATCAGTGGCTTAGAAGGATAAAGTTTATCCCCTGGGTTGACATAGTCCTTCTGGGTTAGGATGGAGGCCTTTGTTCCACACTGTCCTCATTCAGGATCCTAACGGAAGCTCCGCCCTATGGGACTCTGCTGGTTGCCATGTCAGGAGGAAGAGAAGAGAAGACAATCGTGGGCTGGCTCTTTATGCTGCCTCCCAACTGTAACATGTCGCTTCTGTTGGTGGCTCATTGGCCACACCTAATGCTATGAGGTGTAGAAATGCCATTCTCCTAGGATCTTGGAAGGAGAGAGAAGGGGATATCAGAACCAGTGGCAATGTCCACCTCAGCAGACAAGGAGGCAGAGGAACCAGGCCTGGAAAGATGGTTCTTGAGATATTGAGGATAACTGGGCATCTATGGATGGTGAAGTTAATAAAATGATATTAAGACAGTGGTACTCATTTCCAAAATTGACAAAAACTTCCTTAGATAAATTTCTCCATCTTTATTAAGTATTTTATGTTTGCTAGGATTAATTTAAAAAGTTAATGTATATTAACAGAAAAACTCTAAATCAAGGTTTCTTTAAATATCTGATACATAGTTTTTGAGTCAAGGGAAACTGCATAAAAATAACAGAGTTGGCTGGGTGCAGTGGCTCACGCCTGTAATCCCAGCACTTTGGGAGGCCAAGGTGGGCAGATCACAAGGTCAGGAGGTTGAGACCATCCTGGCTAACACGGTGAAACCCTGTCTCTACTAAAAATACAAAAAAATTAGCTGGGCATGGTGGCGGGTGCCTGTAGTCCCAGCTACTCGGGAGGCTGAGGCAGGAGAATGGCGTGAACTGGGGAGGCAGAGCTTGCAGTGAGCTGAGATCGCGCCACTGCACTCCAGCCTGGGTGACAGAGCGAGACGCTGTCACAAAACAAAACGAAACAAAAAAACAGAGTTTATGTTACCCAGGTTGCTCCTACTTGGCACGATGGAATTGTTAGCCTTGTGAGGCTCCACTGTTCCCTGATCCAGCCTCCTTCATGGGGTCTGAGCAGCTGTCTCCCTGTTCCAGCCCCTCTGCCAGTTCCCTTGCCCTACAGCCCTGGCTGTGTCCACCACCTCACTCATCTAGATCTCCGTTTTCTCCTTCGTACAGTAACATGGAGAGGGACAGTTTATTGCTAATGTCCCTCTCAGAAGAACCCAGAAACTTGGGTCCTGATGTGATCACATACGCTCAACAGTTTTGAGTCACTCACTCTATGAAACAATCACAAACCAGTATGTTCAACAGTGTTTTAAGTTCTGAGAAATGTTATGTGATGCAACTTACTGCAAAGAAGCAAAAGTGGTTCCTGCCATCCTAGATATTAAAAGTTCATTTTCATATGCACAGAATGAGTCTTAGGATATGTTTTATGAACCTGGGTTTGTGTTTTGCTTTTTCCATTTACTGGATGTGTGCCTTGGAGAGGAAACTTAATCCTCAGCTTCCTCATCAGTAAGATGGATTTTAATTTACTTCTAAAGTTCTTGTGAGAATAAAGTGAGATAATGTGACACAGTGCTTAGCATAGTGTCCATCTAAGACATGCTAATAGTTGTTTCATTAATGTCACATGAAAAGAACATTCAACTAGTAAAAGACTATCATAATGTTTATCCTCACAACTTTGGATGGTATGTCGGTGTGAACACGGCCACATTCGATTCTGTCAGCCTCTGCCATTCTGAAAGTTTAGTGAGGCTTTTTCTGGAGATTCCTTCCATTTAGAAAAGAGCCCTTCATTTCCTTCTCCAATTAACACTCTCTAAGGTAGACAGAGCATAAAATGCTGTTCCGTTAGGTGTTTGGCCCCCATTAGGGCCTCACTTGCTGTCTTACTTGCCCACGATATGAACCCAGTCTTCTCTGAATTCTCATATTCTTCACACATCATCCTAATGCTTCAAAAACAGTTATCCATGCTGTCCCAGAGCCCTGAGGCCAAGGGCTCACATCCGTTTGATGGCCTCCCCCCATTTTCCAGGTGAGGGAATGGCGGCACACTTTGAGGCAGGTGAGTCCCAGGTATTAGAGGAAGGGGTTCTAAAAGGTAGCCGAGGCCCATCTCCTTCTGGCTTTTCCTTTTCCAGAGTTTCTGCCAAAGCAAGGGGACAGGACCTGAACACACAGGAGAAACCCTCACGAAGGTGACCTGTGCAAAGCCACACACACAGCCACCCAGCCTGGGGTCTTTCTAGCTCAGCTCTTGTTCAGCACTGTAGAAAGTGACATAAGCCGAGTTATTTTACAGGGCTAAGTGGACAAGTCAGGTTTGGTGTTTTCAAAATGCTGATGAGACTAGCCATCTCTTCTGACTGAGTTAGAAATCTACTCGGTTTATCTGGAGCATCCTTACCCTCTTTACTACTTCTGGTCAGAACATGCCAGCTACACCTGTAACGATGGGAGAACGCAGTGATGCTGACTCACCAAATAGTCAAAATGTGTTTCCTGATTGTTGAATTGTGGCCATTTTTCTCCATCCTTCTAAAAGTCCTTGATCAAAACAGACAGGATGCGATTTTAAAATATGGCACACTCAAAACTGAAAGCACACAATTCGAATGTCCTTGTCTCTTTGAACTCAGTGGGCTGTGTGTTACTCACAGTGGAAGAGCTGAAGTCTTTTTCTAACTTTATGGGCTCCCATTTAGGTACAAATGAAATCGCTGAAGTTTTGACTGCTTGAGGACTGTTTTTTCACACAGGCATCGGTTAAAAAAATCAAAATGAATGTAAGGACCCTTCTGTGTTTAAGCATAACACACTTAGTTTGCCTCTTCTTGTCTTCAACTGGGCTGTAGGGAGGGCATGGCTTCCTCAAAACATTTCGTATCAGAGTTGAGTTTCAAGTTCCACTCTGCAAGTTCCTTTCTTTGGGATCTTAGTTAAGGTGCATAATCTCCATGGAACTAAGTTTCTTCACCTCTAAAATGGGGACAATAACTATCACTTTGGGTTTGTTGTGGCAACATTTATAGTTTAGCACAGGACGGGAACGTGGAAAAAAAAAGTCAGTACATACTAATTAAGCACCTATTATACACCCTGGGCTGCTGTGTTTGTTGCTTGCTGCCCAACTCTGGGACCACAGTTTGCATCACAGTCATTAGAGATTTGTATGTTTATTAGGATGTTTTCTCTTTTTTTTGGCAGGGAATAAAATGTTTTGAGGAAGGCACACCTTTTTAAAATTCACACAAAAGGACCATTTAGGCTAGAAAAGGCTGGGTCATGGCCATGACAAAAAATATAATCTAATGGGGAAAGGCAACATAGAAACTCAAAAAAAAAAAAATTGCACTGATTGATGACTGTGTTGAGTATTGAAACAGCAAGTGTCTGTGTGGTCACGGAGGGAGGAGAAAGCATTCCTTCCAGTGAAGAGCTACTGAAACTCAGCAGCAATGGTAGTTTTAAGACATGTCCACAAGTTCCTTGATATTCCTCCCTTTAAAATATGGGCCTCACTCTGCTCCCTGGGAGGGGGAGCTATATTTAGTGACCCATTTTGAGTGAACTGAATGTGATGGACAGCCATCACACACATTGAATGTGTGTGACCCAGGACACTGAACTGTATGAGGAATTGTGGCATCCTCCTTGCTCCCTCTCCTTGGTCACTCCTTCTAGGGGAAACCAGATCCTATGTTATAAGGACTCTCAGGCAGCCCCTGGGAGAGGCCCATGCTGTAGAGAATTGAAGCCTCTTGCTAATACCTTGTGAGCCATCTTGGAAGTGGTCAAGCCCCAGCCGCCATCTTGTCTGCAGCCTCGTGAAATACCCTGAGCCAACACCACTTGGCTAAGCCACTCTAGCATTCCTGATCCACAGGAACTACGATAATAATTGTTTATTGTTTTAAGTTGTTGAGTTTTGGAACAATTTGTTACACAACAGATCACAAATGCAGCGGTGAAAAGTTTCCAGAGGAAATTTCCCTTCGGTTGGAGCCTGGGGGCCTGGGCTTGGTGACCGAGATCTGAGAGTCATATGCCCAACTTTCTCTGTTATAGGAAGTTAGGATTTAGCCTATCAGCAACCAATTCAAGCCAGAGGATGTCTTTACACAGGGGAGTGACATGACCAGAGTTGATGATGGTATTTGTGGCGTGAAATGGAATGAGGAAGAGGCCGGTTGGGGAGTGAGGGAGACTTCCAGTTAGGAACTTCTAGAATCAACAGTTCAGGTAAGAGATGATGAGAATATGAACTAAGGCAATGGCAGAGGGGTTGCATATGGGAGGACTGTCTTAAGATTTGGTGGTTTTCAGAAAGAAACAGGTAGTTTCTAAGGCCATCTAGTGCAATCATGTTTCACTCTGCATTGTGTAGGAAAAAAAATGTGAATTATATGGTAATACCATATTTATACCAATAATATCATCACACACACACACACACGATACTTCCACGAGCTTAGAAGAATGAGCCCATCACAACGAGTACTTCACAAGAAATGCCACACTCTAAGGATTTAATATTAAGCATTTGAAATAGTTCTTTATAGAAATGCTAGTTCAAGAATAAAAAGAAAATAAAGAGCGCCCATCTTCCATTGGAACCAAAAGCCTCACATCTGTCTGTTGTACAAGTAAGACCACAGAGGATTCGACTGAATTATAGTGGGGTGATTTATAGGCCTGTCTGAATACAGATCGCACACAGTATTGAAATACTGGAAGATTCAAACACTGTCTATGACTCAAATAGCACAAGCAGTGATAGTAAATTAGCTAAGTGCTCATCTCTCCAGACAAGAGTTTCCTTAGGAAAATAATATCTATTTTTGGTATTTCAGTAGCTCTAGAAAGAGATGAATACTACTAAAAGAGATGAATATGTCAATGCTAAGTCATGAATGTTTTAAAAAGCCACATTTCTACACAAATGGAAGGAAAATTTTGCTTTTTTTTTTTTTTTTTTTTTAGAAAACTTATTTTTATTCTATTATATTGAACACATTGTATCACCCCCACTCATAGCTGCATTCCAAAACAGTTCTTCTGGGAAGCAGGGTTTTAGTTTTACTGAACATGAATAAAAAATCCAGGCAGAATTCAAAACCAGGGGAAAGAGTCAAGGAAGCAAATTTGCTTTTCAGAAGCAAGATATTTATAAACAGTAATAGCTGAGAATCATATAATTTGTTTCTGAAAATTACCTTTTAAATAGGGCTTCATTTTACATTTGCATAGTATATGGAATTTTGTAAGAAGCATTAAATTTCAAATAACTTGATGCAATAAATAATCATGGAATACTCATTGTCCAAATATAACAGATAGAGCATGTCCACTAAGAGTAATGTTATTTCTCTTAAAATAAAGGGGAAAATCTAAGTTCCTTGAGGCAGAGACTGTGTTGTTGACTATGGCAGTCCCGTGCCTACCATGATACCTGAAATGAGTCACTCAAACAGTGACATTTTGAAGAGGAATGAAGGAAGGAGTGGAGGAGCGAGTGTGTGAACACATGCCATGGTAGGGATGTTGGGCTGGTACAAATAAAAACGAAGCCATACATTTCAAAGGTGTGCCTCCAAGGTGAGAACTCAAAATATTTATAACTGAAGAGTTGTGTGGAAGATGTAAAAAATCCTGATGTTTAAGAAAAGACAAAAATAACACAAGTGTGAACTGAGATGCTGCAGCACATTTTAGGAACCTTGATGTAATCAGTTTAGCAAAAGCACATTGCTAGAGCCACAATTAAGAACACTGGTGTTTAGAGTAATTGGAATATGGTGAAAATAACTTAATGAAATAATGTTTCTTCAAGCCTATCAAAAATCTGCTTCTGTTTCATAGTCCAAAGTTAAACTTTTGTGCAATACAGGACAAAGAGAAACCACCACCATTAGTGCCTGCACCACAGCAATTTATTAGCGTAACTTTTTCTTTTTTTCTTTAAAGATTTCATAACAACTGAAGTATGTACAAAGTCTTACAGCATTTACACCATAAAAAGTTTCCTATTAGCTCATGAAGTCTAAGGTAGTGCTGCTGAGAACTTCAGATGTGGCAAAGGCAATGAGGCAAACCACTTGTAGGTTTCCCTCTCTGCTGCCACATCATGGTGTCAGCTGAGTGACAGCTAACTGTACCACCTGGAAGACAGGTTATTGGGAAAAAAGGGGACAAGTTGATAGGCAGCACTAGAGACCATGGGGTGGAAAAGCTACATAGCATTGTATTTCTACAGTTTCCTAGAGCTGTAACAAAGATCCACAGCCTGAGAGAATAACATATGCAAGACAACAGAATCACGCTGCTCAGATATGGTTCAGCTACCAAGTGTGTTCACTTTTGAATGGAAGGCTCTACTGATATGGCTGGTATTTGACTTCTGTTCATGTCTTCAGATAGCTCAAATCTGCACAAGCCTCACTCCCTTCCCCCAAATCAAATAACAACAAAGGGAGAGAGAAAGAAATAGCATGAAATTAGTAGTTCTCGACCAAAAAAAAAAAAAAAAAAAACAAAAAACCACAACTTTTTTTTTTTTTAAAGGCATTCAGTATTTGTTTTAGGGTGGTCATTCTGTCGAAAGATAATATTAGGAATTTCTGAATTATCCCAATCAGAACAACATCAACAAAACCCCCAAACACCCAACCTCCTAGATTTAACCATCTTTCTTTGTATCTGATCGTCTTTCCTTGGGGTCAGTATTACATAGAACCACCAACGTTTACACACTGAATCGGACACAAAACGTAGCATTGTTACCCCAATGACTGCTTCACTAAGTGGCAAGAGAATTTCAACATGTAAACGATTAACGTCAGGCTCACCACTTTATTCCACAGAAAACCCAGCCTGGTTCTATGTTCGGTCAGTCATTATCTGTTTGGTAGCAGATCCCATTTACTGTCCCACTGGAATAGTCTCACATGTAGGCAAAGTGGCTTTTTATTTCAAAAAGATTCTGCTCTCAACTTAAAAGCCAGTTGATAAAACTTTTAATTAAGACACAATAGCGCGGGATATAAAAACACAAGAACCACATAAATATCGAAGAAGTTGTATACCATTTTCATGTAAACAGTTTTGCTTACGAGCAAAGCCCTAATTAGATTCTGGCCTGAAACTTTTGGCAGATGACGCGTGTTCAGCCAGGCTCTGTAGCGATGGTGACGTGGAAGCCAGGTCAGTCCCCATGTTGACAAGCATGCAACTTGAAAACATTGCACAACAAGCAACACAAAGAGTGGAGAAGCTCACAACACTTCAAGGAGACCTCACAACCTTCACAACTGCGTAAGCACAGAGACCCACGCTCCCTCCTTTCCACGCACTGTCTTACACATGGGAGACCTTCTGTGACTCTCTAGCTTGTTTGATGCTATATAACCACTTGATGATTCTAGCATTTCTTTCGATGGCAGAAATGCCATACGGCACGCGGTCATTGGCACTGTCATCATTTCTAAGGTCACTGTTACTGTCCTGAGACTGTTCACAGTCTGAGCTGATCATGCTTGCGCTGCGGAAGTTGAGGGATATTATGTCAGAATTAGCCCTTGCAAAGTTTTCCATTCCCAGGTTTTCCAGCTCTTCCGGGTCCAGTCCACAGTAGTTGAAGAACCTCTCCACGTCCGCGTCCACTCGGAAATATCTGTCACTCAAGTCTGACTTAGACCGCTGGAGGGAGGGTCTTCGGCTGACTCCACAAGCTGGTTCCACAGGGTCGGCCTCGGGGGACTTCATGGAGGCGATGGCTGCGATTTTGGGCTTGGGAGGCAGGGGAGGGGCAGAGCTACTGCAGGGGATGGCCTTGAGGGGCTTCACGCTGGTCACCTTGCGGATGTCCGAAGAGCTGTGGGACACGTGGAGGAAGGACTCGGCTGACTGCTCCAGCAGTCTCCTGCCCACGTGGGAGCCGCCCTCCTGCGGGCTCCTGCGGCCCTGCGTGGGGTAGACCTTCAGGGACTCCGCGAAGGAGTGACGGTGCAGGTCAGTGGCTTCCGACCGGTGGGGCGGCCAGTTGCGGGAGCTGTGCTTGTGCCCCGAGCCCGAGCTAGAGCCCTCGGAGCTATTGATGATGTTCTTCAGGATCTCCAGCTTCAGGTTCTCCCTCTGCACGCCGCTCTCGGTCTTGGCGTGGTTGCCGAACACTTTGAGCGTGGGGCTGCCCAGTGCGCGCTTGGCAGCCGGGCACACCGGGGGCTTGGCCAGCACGGCGGGCTTCACGGGCTCCTGCTTGGCGTTGATCACCTCCTGGCTCTTGACGTACTTGGCCTTGTCGGCCTCCAGCCTCTCCACGGCGCTGAGCCTCTTGGGGTTGGGCTCGGCCTGCCTGCGGAAGTAGTCTGGCCCCTTGTTCAGGATGCGCAGGGGCACAGCAGAGGTGAAGGTGCCCGCGGGGCTGACCGGCTTCACCATGCTACCTGTCTGTAGGGTCTCCGTGGGCATGGTGGGCGGTCTTTCCCCGGCAGCCGTGTTGGATGCTCTTCTGGGCGCCTCCGCAAGGCCTGAATAGACACATGTACATGAAGCGCCAAGGGCGGCGGGTGCAGCCTGGGAGCGAGTGTCAGCAGCAGCGGCCGCAGCAGCGCCTCATCTCACAGCTCATTAACCGCCACGGTGGCTTTCATACACTTTTCTCCCCTTCCAGGCGGCCCTTGCACAAAAAGGCCACAAGCCACAAGTTCCTTTAATCTGCTTCGCTGCCTCCTTTCTTCTCCCTGAAGGAGGTGGGAGTCTCCTCCAGGTCTTTGTGTTCAACTGCAGGCAGAGCTGAAACACAAAACAACCAACCGCGGGTTAGGAGGGGCGGGTGACATCACGGCTCTAGCAACAGAGAAACCCCGCAGCGCCCCCGCCCCGCCCCTGCGCGGCCGAGGGTCGTGGGCCGCAGCTCAGTAGCTGTTTTCCCGACCGCGCGAGGGGGACGACCCGGGCCTTGCGCCCCCGCCTGCGCCGACGCGCGGCAGCACAACGCTGTGCCGGGAAGAAAGAAAGGGCTGAGGTTTCCCACGCGCGAACTCTTCCAGCTGCCTCCGGATTGGTGAGATCCGCCTTCTGAACACGCCCGGTTGGCATTTCTCAGCTCAAAACCCAGCAAATACTTGATGAACGTAGGAATGAGGGCTTAGCCAAGCCCTGTTCCCCAGCTCATTACATGCCACTGAGTTCCTACGAATCCCTTCCATGCCCCCCGGTTGCAACGTCGTGAATTATCTCTTTTGCAATGAAGCAAAACTTCTCCCTCTGTACTACCAATTTCTCAGGAATACTTGCAACAGTCACTTTTTTAACTTCATAAACTGAAAAGGGCAAGAAATGGGATTGGCAGCAAAGCTACAAAGTTTAAAAAAAAAAAAAAAACCTCAACACGTTTCAGTTATCTTACTTTGGCCAACCAATATATTTAAAAACTTTCTCCTGAAAACCACAAATGTGTATGGAGTTCCACCCATTAAACACAAGCTTATTTTTTTTTAACATTAGAAGATCCATAGAAATACTTCCAAATTTACCATATGAGTAGATAATTTGATTGTCCCTAAGTTATCCATAATTTTTCATACTTAATGAGCAGAAATCAAAAGTTTCTTCATGGTATGTATATTCCCAAATCCTCTACAGTACTAGGAACAAAGTCTTAAAAGTGTCCAATCATACCTAAAAATATGTTACTTTAATACTATAGAAAACTTGGGTAATAGGTAAGCTTTCATGGGACAACTTGACTACCAAGCCAACAACAACAATAAAACCCACTTGTCAATAGTTGAACGTTTATCAATATTCCTACTGTAATTCTGTAAGGAGTCTTTTTATTTCATATGCCATATAATGTAACTCTTACCCTGCAGCCCCTGGAAACAATTCCTCCCATAGCCTGTTACTGCAGGCAGAGAACATTTACAAATGCATCAGCACTCCAAAGCAAGGGGCTAATGACCTTAACAGCATCTTTGGTTATAATTAGGAATGCTAAGAGAGTAACCTATTCAACTAACATGCCAAATAACTAATTTACAAAATAAATAAAGTCATATTACAACCACATCTGCTGGTATTTCTCCTTATAATTTCCTGAAATTCTTAAATCTGTAAATGCAACCCATCACCATGTTTTGTTAGAGATAATTTTAGTAATCTGTGAAGGGATTTGTTCTAATAAAAATATTTTCCTGTGCAAGATTTGAGAAACCCCAAGGCAATACCTACATTAACAATTTCCTTTAATTGTGCGGTTCTATTTTGATACCTCAATTTAGTATAAAAAACAAAAAACACCTCCTCCCATTAAGATGAAATGAGATTGTTTCTTTGAACACATTTTGAATGAAATGCCAGAAGGGAGCCCCGATTCCTCTGGAGGCACAATCTCATCCTCTTTACAGAAGAGACTCAGAGCCAGAACAGGCAGCAGAGCCTGGGCCAGGATGCAACTCCGAGGTCATCATACCCGGGACCCTTGGGAGAGGGCTGACCCCAGGACAATACCAGAAAGTTTGGGGGCACAGTGAGGGGCAGGACCAAGATCTGCAACCTTCAGCTTTGTGCCTGAGGACTAGAGTGGGAATACCACCTAGTGGGCAGTGGGAGACAAAGTTCATCTCCCTTCTCCTGGGGCACGAGTTAGTTGGACAAGATTCCTTCAATCCCTTCGTACTGTAAAATCGTGAGGTTCTGAGGATCTAAGAATGAAGGAATTACTTCCAGTTTCAAAATGGCGTGTTGGAATATTGGTGAATGACTGAATTTTTCTATGGTCCCGCACTGACTGTTCTTAGGCCAACGCTCTCTGAAGATGAGTTGTAGTTCTCATGTAACATTCCTCCTCATGCAGGCCTGTGCTTCTCTTCTAACCATCTTCTCTTCTAGTTCTATCATATTAGGACCAGAAGCCTAAAACACCTACACCACTGGCGTGGCCTTCCATGCACACCTGCGTGTCTGTTAAGGTAGGCTTTGGTACTGTTGGCAACACTGAATAAAAAGCCTGACTGTCGATTCACAAGAGTGAGGAATACCAGTCTATCTTCTAAGAAGCATTTTCCAGAAAGCTGCTTGTCTTCCTTGCACACTGCTTTCTCTATTCATGTGGCAGACACCCTCAAGACGGCTCCTCCAGCACTCACAATTGTTCCACACCCCTCAACAATTACTAATCTTAAAATCTGTGTGAAAGAATTATGTCACACATAGCAATTATCTGCAAGTATTTCATACTTCATTTCCTTTTGGCTTCTACCCCTTCCCACTCCTCCTCTGCTATTCCCAATTTCCCTAATAATTTTCAACACAGTGATGATGTTTTGACATGACCATGGTTAGAGTTTATAGTTTTGATGTGAACTCTGGGAAGGAAAAAAAACAACTTCATCTTATTGGAAGACCCAAAAGCAACAGAACAAACTAAAGATACTGTTTGGGGTGTTGTGGGATACTAAGGCATACTCCAAGTTTTCTACCTGGTTTAGCCAACAAAGTAAACCTACTTCAAAAATAAGCAGGTGACTTAGGTTGCTGTCTCTTGTAATATTTACTTAATCCTTAACTCTGGTTCTTTTATTTTTTACTGTGAAACAGTGTGGGCTGGGACAGAGCTATACAGTGCTGGAGAAATACTCTGAGTTTTGTAGTGTAGACTTTGTACGAGATAACCATGACGTCTGTTCAGAGAGCACTGTGGCACATGATACTCTACTGGCTGTGGCCTTGCTGTCAGCCCTCTGATGTCCTGAACAGGCCCCCTGAGGTGCAGTCAGGCACTGATGGGATAGGCCAACCGCCAGGCTGAGAGGGGCTTCGTGTTGTTTTGAGGAAGGAAAATTAGATCTTGGCCCCGTAGGGTTTCATCAACAAAAATAATTATATAGCCTTGCCTGATCCTTGACTTATGACTCAGGACAGAGAACACAGCCTGAGGGTGGGAGAAACTTCGATTCATAAACCATCTTGGCTACATTCTACCCTGTTTAACATCCATTTGAAAATTTCATGAAGGGATAAAAAGGACTGGGGAAAAGAAACTTGGCAGAGCCAAGGTGCTAATGGTTCGCTGAATCAGAGCAGATATGAACTCAAATGTGAACTCAAAAGCAATCTGGCCTGGGGGTGATGGTGGCAGGGGTCGGGGTGGGGGAGCACATCATCTGTGGGGGAGTCCTGGTTTGTGCAGGGAGAACAGGTGGCACATAGAGCCAGCTGGGGGACAAAGGACCCAAGGACAAGGAAGAGCAATGTTATCTCCCACTACTCACTCTAGTGGTGCTTCTCAAACTTTAATGGGCCTGCAGACCCCTCAAGGATCTCCTTAAAGCACAGTCTGATTTGGTAGATTTCGGGTGAGACCCAGATTACGCATTTCTCACCAGATCCCAGGTGATGCTGTTTGTTGCCTTTGAGTAGCAACAGGAAAGGGGGGAAGCCCATTTCTGTGCTAGCCAGCATCCCATTAGAACCCAAATGCCTCCAGCACAGAGGAAACAGGCCAAAGTTACTTGTCTCTGAATGAGCAAAAGTCTGAGCTTTTTAGGCACAGAAATAGCAATCTCAGAGAATTCCAAGTTTTTAAAACCAAAGTGGCCTGAACCTTTCTAACTTCCCATCTGCCAGCTCCTCACAGGTGCAGTCAGGTGAACAGGTGCAGTCAGGTGAACAGGACCCTCAGCTGAACTATAACCTTGGGGAGACCTCAAGAACATTTGCAATCCTGGAGGTGGTTAGATATAGAGAATGAACCTCATACACAGTTTATTTGAAAAAAATGCTAAAGCCAAAGTTCCTGTAATCCGGGCAATTTGTGCCTCAAAGCCTCTGAGGCCAGGCAGATAATGGGAGAGTGTGTGGCCTTCGGAAAGGAGCCCCCCGCTACGGGCTGCCATGGGGAATGTGGCTCATTGTTGACGCAACAGCAAATCCAGAGCTCTGCACAAACTCTCCCGATTTAAAAATTCAATATTAAAAACACTGTTGGCCACATTTGGGCTGCTGTTTTGTTACTTCCTCTTTAAAGAGTGCTTCTGGTAATGAAAAAGAAAAGGATAGTTAATGCCTAATTAGTCTTTAAATTTTAAGTAGGAAAGAAAGCACTGGAGTTAGAGCAAGGGCCCTGGGAACTGAACACAACCTGGATTCACCCACAGAAGTTTCTATGTGAGAATGAGTAATTCCCCTGTGTCTCACAGCAGGAAAAGGGGGGTATTGAAAGAGCAAGGCTGAGTAATTCAGCTCTAAGTCACCTAACATCTAAGTGTCTTGATTTTCTTATCTATAAAAACAAATGTGTTCAATCTGGTGAGCTGAAAAATGTCTTTAGCTCAAACATTCTTGGGAGCAAATAAAAGAAGCAATTTACCTTTGAAGTTATTAAGAATTCTAGAACTGATTCTTCTAGCTTCCTAACATGCCAGATAACAAAACGTTTACAATATGTGTAAAACTGTTCTCTGGAACACTGCTTTTTGATTTTTCTGGTAATAGTATTTGTGCTTACTAACTTTAAGCATCAGGTTCCAACTTGACTCTGATCACTCTCATATCTATACTCTTGGCTTCCCTTTTAAGAACAGTCGCATCCTTGTCTTTGAAGTAAAAATGCAGTTTCCCACGGCAATGTGAACTTTTGGATTCTTTACAAATGGAAGAGAGATTCATTTACAATACAAGAGTACTGACTGAATTATGGCTGTGTTCAATTAATTAGTACCTATTGGTGGAGCAATTATGTGTAAGACGTAGAAAAATCCTGAACTTAAAAAAAAGATTCAAAATGCATTTGGTAAATGTGAATCGAATGAATGATGTAGAAAATAAATTTGGCAGGACTGTGGCAAAGGACTTGAAGGTAAAGGAAGGGTAAGGAGGAGACAAACTCCAATAAAGACCCAGGAGGCGAGGGCATCCCTCATCAGGGCAGCTTTTGAGTTCATGGTACATTCAAGACACTCCAGTGGCTGGTATGGAGTGCTAGGGGACAGCGGTCAGAGGCCAACTAGGTGTAGCGGAAAGGCAGATGACTTTGGATTTTATTGGGTAATTGAGCATTGGTGACATGGTCATACTTGTATTTTTTTAAACTCCCCTGGCTGCAGTATGGGGACAGGATGAGTGGGGATTAAGTGTGGCTGCACAGAGGTGAGTCAGAGCTTCCCAGGGAAGGGGTCATGGCAGCTGGGCTCTGAGCACCGCCCAATATGGCACTGCCTATGGTTCTGCCCCGTAATGGTTGAGTAGCCTTGGGCAGTTCACTTTATCTTCTCGTGCCTCAGATTTCCCATCTGGAAAATGGGGATAGCAATAGTACCTACCTCTTGAGGGCTTTTTGAGTGGGTTAAATAAGAGCACACAGGCATTTTCATTCACTTCACTCTTAGCAGGAGGGTGGCTTTAGGGTGGAGAAAAGAGTGGACAGTTTCAAGAGATGTTTAAGAGGCACGCTGGGCTGAACTGGGAGACAGACAGGATGCAGAGGGTGAGGAGGTACATGTTGAGGATGAGTCGTTCCCAGCTTCCCACTTGACTACGGAGAAGTGGTTGGCAGGAAGTATACACTCTCCCCTCCAATCCTTGTTCCCTTCTTCCTCTGCACCCTGGGCTTAAGCCAAACAGAACTACAACTACAGTGGTCCCTCCACACCCACTGTGTCCATTCCTGCTGCTCCGTCTGCCTGAGCCATTTTTAACCAACAGCAATGCCATTCCATTGCTTCCTTTATCCATTTTATTTAGACATTTATTATTATTATTATTATTTAAAACAGAGTCTCGTTCTGTTGCCCAGGCTGGAGTGCAGTGGCACAATCCTGGTTCATTGCAAGCTCCGCCTCCTGGGTTCATCCCATTCTCCTGCCTCAGCCTTCCGAGTAGCTGGGACTACAGGCAGCTGCCACCATGCCCAGCTAATTTTTTTTGTAATTTTAGTAGAGACGGGGTTTCACCGTTGTTAGCCAGGATGGTCTCGATCTCCTGACCTCATGATCCACCCACCTCGGCCTCCCCAAGTATTTATTCATTTTAATTCATAATATATGCTATGCTTTTCAACATCTTCCCTTTTCCTTCTCTTCCAAGCACATCATCACTTTCATTAACCCCTTTTATACTGTGAGCATAACTTGTAAAGAATGCAAAAGTAAGGGAGAAAAGTGAAAGAGCGAATGGAGGAGTAAAAGGCTGACCAAAAAAGACTGACTTTGCACACTATAAATTGGACAGAAAGTATGAAATCAGAGGGCCAACCATCTGGAAACATTAAGTCAAAACCATCACCCTTTCAGGACCTGCACTTTTCCAATTACTGAATGCTGTGTCTTTTTCTTTCTTATCTCCATGGTGAAATCCCTCACCATCTATAATTCTGATGCCTGAATCTTCTCTTTCTGACCTTAGCATTGCCATCAGCAATCAGCTCCGGATTGCAAGTAAAATAATCTTCTTGACAACAACACTATCATGTTATAAATTCTTTAAAACCACAGACTTTTCCTAATAATATTTAAACTTCTCATTCCAGTAGTCTAGTCATATTTTAGCGTATTCTTTCAGCTGACTACAGTAGGTCTTCCAATGTTATTTAATAAAGTATCCTCTTGCTCTGTGTTTCCATTATTTTGTTTTAATTAGGCACTTTAATTTTTTCGACAAGATGAGTAAATCATTTCTCCACTTTTTCAGCAACCTTTTAAAGTCTTGTTTCTTTTGACACATCTACTCTATATGACCAGAGGATGGGAAGCAAATGTTGAACCAGGTGTAGAGATGCAGGGAAGGCCAACTTTTACCTTCTAACGTTTTTACAGATACAGGTCAAGGAATGTCCACCCCAGTGGTGCTCCTGAGGTGTGCTGAGGAATACTAGTGCAACAGCACAAAACTCACACAGGCGTGTTGATCAAACGGAAAAGTTATTTTGACTTAAGTGAATATGCACTACGTTGTGACAGGATCCTCCAAGTGGCAAGTCAGGAGGGAGTGGACTGGGTACAGTTTGTTACCCACAAAGGTTTCACAGGATGTCAGGTGGGCGAAGCAAGCTAGCAAGTCTACTGGAATGGGAATAGCTTTGCCTAAAGCCCTTCACTCGGTGCTCAGTTACACAATGGTGGCCATAGCCTCCTCTCATCTCACACTGGCTGGGGCTGAATTCAAGGCCACCCAAAAAAGCCCAACACAGGCCCCTTGGAGCTGAGGAGCCTGGGAACTGGCTTATACCTCCAGTCTGAGAAGTCTAAGGGCAGAGTCTGTAATGGACTCTCTAACCAGATCACACAGGCAGGATGAAGCTGCCTTTCCACAGGCACAAAAATGAGGGTTTGCTCGGCCCACACATGTGCCGGGGAAAGGTGGTCTAGGAGTATTCTCAAAGAAGTCCCCTCAAAGGAGGCCAACAGAAAACAATGTCTGCCCAAAGCCCTCCTCTGAGAAGGCTGGGGGCATCCACTAGCTGAGCAGAGGCGTGGCTGCCTCCACGGAACCCAAAAGCTCCCAGAGAGAACCAGCTCTGAAATGTGCCATGCCCAGGGGACATTGATTCCCACTGCAAGAGCCAGGGAGAGAAACCTTGTCACTTCCGCTGAATGCTCTGTCCGTCCCTTGCTCATTACGCAATGCAGGGTCTGCCCAGTAGAGGCTGGTAGAGCCGTCTGATAAGGAGCAGGAGAGGAGCTGGAGCAAGTAAAGGGGAAAATGATGCTTCTTCTTCACAGGGTCTCCAAGCCAATGCGGCCCTGAGCTGGGAGAAGAGAAACCAGTTTAACTGGACCAGAGGTGGAGTTTTGATCTTGATGTGAGGCAGCACTCTTCCAGGTCTGAAACTGATCTGGGGACTAAATTATTGAAGACGAACTGAAAAGGCTACAGGTCCTGTCTGAGATTTCATCCAGGCAAAGAAATGAGAATTCAGTGGGGCAAATGCTTAGGGCACGGAAAAAGAACACAGGACACTTGACCCTGAGCAAGTTTCTCCAGCTAGTGTACCTGAGTTTCCTCATTTATGGAACATTGATAACCATGATTCCTACACTTCACTGGCTGGGGTGAGAATTCCTTGAGGTGACACATGAAAGTGCTTGGTCAGGAGCTCAGCCCAGAAATTGTTCAGTAAACGTAAGCTGTTTTTTTTTTTAAGACGGAGGCTCACTGTGTTGCCCAGGCTGGAGTGCAATGGCGCAATCTTAGCTCACTGCAACCTCCGCCTCCTATTTCAAATGATTCTCCTGTCTCAGCCTTCTGAGTAGCTGGGATTACAGGCGCCTGCCACTACGCCTGGCTAATTTTTGGTATTTTTAGTAGAGACGGGGTTTTACCATGTTGGCCAGGCTGGTCTCAAACTCCTGACCTAAGGTGATCCGCCTGCCTTGGCCTCCCAAAGTGCTGGGATTACAGGCATGAGCCACCGTGCCTGGCCAATGTAAGCTATTATTAAATGCTGTCCCCAGTGTCTGCAACTTGGCATTGATAATCACCATCATTAGATTTCAAGGTTTATGGTAAATGAATGATCTTTTGTCTTAAAAGGATTCCATTACTCTCAAGTGATACGGCCTGTGCTATTTCTGTCAAAGAGGATTGACCATGCAGTTTCTGGCTAAAAGGTCACTTGTATGACCCCATTTTTATTTGAGTTACAGAGAAAATATGTAGTTTCAAATTTCAAAGCAAACAGTTATGTGAGTGAAACAGGCTAGAGTAAACAATAAAGCCATTATTACAAATGAAATCTGGTGGTAGGAGAAAAATAGCCGGTCAAATCTCAATCCACGATGGATTCTTTACTTTAATGTCATTCTCCAAGGTCATTTAGAGAAGTCATCCACATGCTTCATTTTCATTTGTAAGTAAAGCCATTAACAAAAATGTTAGAAGTTTCTTTTAAAATGTTTTCGTCCTATTTAAGACAACTACAATGAAATAGAGAGTCAGAAAAAAATTTCACATTTCCAGTTCGACATTCTTCCTTGGCCTAAGGTAAGGAATGTGTTATTATAAGAGGGCCCCTAACTTGCATCAGTGAGGGGGAGCCTTGCCTTTTACCTGGGATTACAGAAATCAGTGCTGCGCATAACCAGTGCCAAGAATCACTTGGAAATATAATGACTTGCTTGATGAAAATTACTTTAAGTAATTAAAAAGCAGGGCCACTAGAATTCCTTTACGCAAATACAATAAGAATGCCGCCCTATCCAAACAAACATAAAATGATCCCCCTTTCTGCCAGTGTTTCCTCTCCTGTGGAGAGCTTTATGTGGCTTCATGCTCAGTTGTGACAATGTGTGAGGCCATGACCAAATATTAAATGAATGTGGAGTTCAAGGGACCACTGTCATTTTTTACAGACTAGTCTACTCCAGTCACAGAGTTTATAAGACTTGCTGGGCCGGGGCACGGTGGCTCACGCCTATAATCCCAGCACTTTGGGAGGCCGAGGTGGGCAGATCACGAGGTCAGGAGATCGAGACCATCCTGGCCAACAAGGTGAAACCCCGTCTCCACTAAAAATACAAAAATTAGCTGGGCGTGGTGGCACGTGCCTGTAATCCCAGCTACTCAGGAGGCTGAGGCAGGAAAATCGCTTGAGCCTGGGAGGCAGAGGTTGCAGTGAGCCGAGATCACATCACTGAACTTCAGCCTGGAGACACAGCTAAATACTCTGTCTAAAAAAAAAAAAAAAAAAAAAAAAAAGGACTTGCTGGCTACTGTAAGTCTGAGAGTTAGTGGATTCCCCATTTTGGGTGAACCAGGCACACCTTCCAGCAGTAATAACAACTCAATGAACTCGGTGATTATAAACTCTGGTAGTAACTCCTGCAGTTTATAAGTCTTTGTGCTGTGAGTTCCCACACCTCATCTCAGCGAGCCTCCTTAAAAGGCGGTCTGATCCCCTTGTATAGAGGAGAGGGTGAGTACTGGTGAGTGGCAGAGAGAGCCCAGACCAGAACCCAGGGTGGTGTGGATTTGGGGAGCCGTGCCCAGTGCTTCTACCAAGGTCCATTTTAAGGGTCCGCACTTTGCATGTTACTGCTTTCTCCTTTAGCTGTGTAAACTTGTACTCTAGGGCAAATCTAGCACAAATGATAAAGTTTACTGTGCCAATATATACAGAACATTTATTTTTGAAAAATATTTTAATTTCTAGTAAACAGCCTTAGGGCAGAAGATGATATTTACTCTGAAATAAAATGTGTGTTATAATAAAATTATGAAACATTTAAATTTGAAGGGAGAAAAAGCAGTATTTTGGGTGAATTCCTCTGTGAGTGTATTAGATAAATTGCTACAAAAATTATGTTAAAAAATTACCTGTTAGTAATGACCACTTCCTATTAAGCACATACAATGTCCCCAGAACTGTAATAATGCCCCATTAGTAATGACCATTTCTTATTAGGCACATATGTTGTCCCCAGAACTGTAATAATGCCTTTCACACATTTTTGAGTTCCATCCCGTGAACATCCCTAAACCAAGTGTTGTTATCCCCATTTTACAGATGAGGAAACTGATGTCCAGAGACATTTAAAGAGGATGTCTAAGATGTTCAGCTATGGAGGGGCAAGGGCTTCATACCAAAGTGGGTACAAGGATGGCTTGGCCCACCCCACCTTATCACAGTGTTGTTTCAGCTGTTAAAGAGATATGTATGAAGCACCAAATGTATTTTTAAATGCTTTATATTAAAGTAATATGGCTCAGGCACCCACACTAATTATATTTTACTTCTGAAAATCTACTCTTTTGACCATTCACTGTTTAGTATTAATACCAGCTTCCTCCAGAGGGTGAAGGACGAAAAAAAGCCTTGATTTTTTGTTAAACCAAATAACCATGCTACTTGTTAATAGCTTAAATGCACAAAAAAGAAGGTAAAATGTTTATAAACTGAGTTCTGTTCATTTTAAATTTTCCTTCTTTACGCTGCTGACTGTGGATCTGTCAAAGTTGGCTGAACTTTGAAGAAAATAATGAAAGATTTGAAAAAGAACAGTAACATAAGACTGTGGTTTCATTCTATCTTACTGCACAGAGCATATGAAGAGCAGAGATCACCTAATTTTACTGCTATTTTTAGTAAAGCCCTCAGCTATGCACATAGTAGGCATTATTTCAAATGTTCCCAGAGTTGAACTAAAATGTTAAGCATTCAGTAGAATACCTAGCACACCCTTTCATATTGTAAAGGCCCAATGAAAATGTCAGATAAAATCTTGGGAAGTGAAGTTGGGAATGTGTATATATTTGAAACGATACTCCAAGTACCTCCTTTTGATTGGAGTAATCTCCAATATAAGGCAAATACATGGAGACTGCTTATTCACCACCTAAGAAACACATTAGCACTGAATTCTGCTTAGAGCACAAATAAGGGGCAAAAGGAAATGAATACAAGGTAGAATTTTACAGCAGAACCAGTGAGTTCACTTAAAAAAATAGTGAATATTGTTGATCTCATTTGTCAAAAAACACCTAGAATTATTTTCCATCTCTTGAAGAGTTCTTTGTATAGCAGTTGTTAGAACAACTAGTTCTTTGCCTTAAGTATATTCTGAAAAGAACAGTTTATTTTTCACTTCTGTGGATTCAGACTGAACTGTGGGATAAATAATCTTCAAAATAAGACACGTAAGACGATAGACACCTATTTATTGCAGCACATATTTTCATCTTTCCAGCACTTAACGTGTCTTACATAAAATCATTTTCAAGCCTAGAATGTTAAAGGTAAGGTTTCATCACAATTTGCACTTGAAATATATTTTTGGGTTCAAGTGACAGGAAGCTCAGCAATGACTAATAAGTTCATCCACCTTGCCCAGGCCCAGTTCAGCTCTGCCATTAAGCTCCTTGAAAGGAAAGCAGCAGACGTGGGCTCCACTGGGCAGAGCTAGGTTGGGTCCAGCTGTGCCTAAAGGTAGACACTGCCTTAGGAGGGAGAGGAGAGACTGGTGTCAGGGGGATGTGGGTCTGTGACCACAGGCTCTGTCCCCTCTATCCAGCCTCCCCTGACCAAGATGCCCTCCTCCTTCCCAGGCTCTCTGATGCCTGCCTCCACATTCTGCGCTCTCTCCTGGAATCTCCTCCCCTCCTTGAGTCTTCCAAGCTGAAAAAAGAGTTAACAAAACTACAGGGAAGTCTTTTCTGACCTCTCCCTCTGAGTCCCATCCTTCCTCCTGGGCTCTTGCCTTACAGTCCTCATTCCCGAATGGTGAGTGGTGGTACTGACCCTCCTTCCCCAAGGATGGGACACCGGAGGGCAGCTGCCTGGCTCCTGCCTGCCCAGAACAGCAGATACTGGCGGACAGCAGAGTTTGGAATCCCTTGTAGAGATTCTCGTGTGACATGTGTTTAGTTCAGGATGTGCCTTTGCCCCAAGATAAAAGAATACAAATCTAAAAACCTCACCTAATGTATTATGAAAGTGGCTTTGTTCACTTACCGGCCTCCCCATTTGTGCCTGCTATCAAAAAGAAAAAAAAAAAAAACAAAATCGAGCTCACTTAAGAGGCTCTCTAAGGATTATAATAATCTAAAACCAACATTAAAAGTAATCTGATCAATACTTTAAAAAATTACAGACATTGCTGGGAGGGCAAAATACATCTTTCATTAGACATGAAAACTTTGCCTTCAATATACATTAAAATAAAATGTACTTTTTTTTACATGATTCCATCATGCTTTTATGTTAAAATGATACCACTTGCTTCTATCTTGATTAACATTTAAGCTTCTCACTCTTGTTTACTAAAGAAAAATAACTCCCCAAAGTGAAAAAGGGAGTTGGCTTTTAGAAACAGTTATTTTATTCTCAGTCTCTAGCTTTCTTGTTGTTGAGTTAGAAATGAAGTTTTCTCCTACGTTTTAACAAGAAAGAGCATAATTTTGCTTGCAGTATAAGGTAGTTGCTGATATTTGGTGCCTCATGATCTCTTAAGCTTTTGATTTTGGGCACAGGCACCTTCAATTTAAGAAGAGGAACCACAGCAGCAATCATTTGTTGGCCGCCTGTCAGCAGCCAGACCTCATGCCAGGCAGGGTGGATGTCTCCTATTTACCTGCCCTGCCCAGCACCTGTCATTCTCCCACTTGACAGATGGGGAAGCAGAGACATGGAGGGTCTCAATGACTTGCCTGCGGTCAGTGAGCTGAAGGAGCTGCTGTCCACCTCGGGGCCATCTGTATTCTAAGCCTGTGCCCTAAGACTGCTCTGGATGGTCATGGAAACATCTGTGGCCACAAGGACTGAAGAGGGGCCAGACCTGAACATCAGCCAGGAAGGAAAAAAAAAAATACTGGCCAGCGCCCCCCTCACCACCCCCAGCCTGTACGATGCCAAGCCCCATGCTGCTTTCACAGCAAAACTCCTTCCTGCTACGGTGGAAGAGTGTGTACCTACTACAGGGAGAAGCCGCGGTTAGGAGTACTTGCTGTGCTGGAGGATACATCAGTGAGGGGGAGTGAGAGGCAGGAAGATGATGTGAAAACTTTTTGAGGAGAGGCATTCATAAAATATAAAAAATAGGCCCAATGAATCCAATATGAGGCAGTGACAATAAAAGCTCTTTGGTGAGATTCTCCAAGGGGATCTCAAAATGTGGCGACACCCTCCTTCGTGGAAAATAAGTATTCTAATATCTTTCTAAGGAAATTAGAATATATTCTGGGCAACAGAAAACCAACAGTCTAGTCATGACCTGATTAGATAAAAATCAGCTTATCCTGGTGAAGCCTGAGCCCATCTCTGGCGACAGATCCTTCAACCATGCAGACCCACGCAATGCAACTTTCCCCTAAGCTCTGCCCTCAAGGGAATCACTTCAAAGGGAACCTGTTTAATCAAGTTTATATAGGCAGAAGAACTAGAAGGCAGGACACCCCCACTAGAGTATTTGTTCATTCAGCAAGTGTTTACTGAGCATCTACAAATGTGCCAGGCAGTGAACAAAATAAACACTATGTGGAGCTCACATATATGGCAATCAATCAATTAATCAATGGATCAATATAGTATGTAGTATGACAAGCATGGGTGCTGAAAAGAAAAGCAGAGCAAGGATTTACTAAGGTGGAAATTACTGTTGACTTAGATAAGAAGGGTTTTGGTAAAGTGATTGGCAGGGTTTCAGGAGAGATGGGAAGAATAAAACAGGAGACGGTGATATAGGTGGCTTGTTTCATGAGTTTGGAGAGGAGGTAATAGTTAGAGGCTGGTAAGCAGAACCAAGAGAGGATATTTATTTTTCAATGGTAAAAACAGTAGCATGGGCTGGGAGCAGTGGCTCATGCCTGGAATCCCAGCTAATGGGGTTGCGGGGGAGGTGAGGCAAGAGGAATGCTTGAGACCAGGGGTTCGAGGCTGCAGTAAGCTATGATTTTGCCACTACACTCCACCTGGGCAACAGAGAAAAAAAAAGGCAGCATGTTGGGAATGACACAACAGAAAGAAAAATGCATTGATACAGGAAAGACTTTACACTAATGCTGAGAACAGGGGGATTAAAATGTGACCAAAAATTTGAACCCAGAGAATAATGACTTATAGGTGTCAGGCGGTTATATGGGATTTTTCTTAACTGGTCGGTGGCGTTGGAGGAGAAGGCCTTTTTAATCATAAGGGCTCTAAAGGAGTGGCAGTGAAGAGAGCTTCTGTGGGATGGGGCCTGTGCCTATATGGATTGCTGTTGGAGGCTGAGGGTGGGCACAAGGCAGAGAGCATGAAAAGGAAGACAGTGATACTGTTGTGGGAATATTCTTAGACGCTGATGTGTAAACAACGGCCTCATGGTCATGGAGGCAAAACCTAATAGGGACAGGTTGCTGCAACTCTCCATTTGCTAGACATCTGGCAGAAGCAAATCATCTGATGAGTGATAATTTCATCATCTGTAAGACAGAGGAAGAACGTACTGCTTCTGTGAACTTAAAGTTTATCAACAGGGAATCAGATCCTAGGAGAAAACAGCTAAGAATTCATAGAGTAATATAATAGCTAAGGAAGGGATTCAATCATTCAATTTATACTCACGCTGGGCACTGTTACTAGCACTGGAGGTATTGACATGAATGGAAGAGACACAATTCCCTGTTTTTGTGGCATGCTCAGGCATTCACATACATTCCACAGAACAGATTGCACAATTCAGGGTAGAGATGGAGGAGATTTTATAGTTGGATTCTAAGGGAAAATGTAAACTGTGCCTATAAGGAGGAAAGGCTGGTGTGACCGCAGGTTCTAGGTCCTAGGGTCAGAACATGTGAGTCCCCTCCCCCATTTACCACTGCATGACCTTGAAGAATCGTCTCTCTAACTTTAGGTTCCTTAGCTGTGCCATGGGGCTGATACCAGGACTCATGATCGTAGAGGCGGCAATATATGTTAGCTACTGTTCTTTTTAACGAACTGGAGAAAACATTATCAGATGAACATCATAGACTATAAAGGCAATTTGCAGATTAACAGAAGGAAGAATTTTTGAACAATTCAAACTGTTCAAAACTAGAATTCATTGGTTTTTAAAGAAGTGCTAGCTTTTTATCCTAGGAATGCTTCATGCAGAGGTAGACTTAACATCTGTTCAAGAAATTTTAGAGGGGATTCCTATAATGGGTGTAAGGAGGAGGCAGGTGAATGTCAAGTTCCTTTCTAATAGGTTCTATGTTTCTTTGAAACTTCTACTTTCAAAGCAAGAAGAAAGGAACATGAAGACAGAACATGAAGGCAGAATTTTAAAGATAAACTGTAATAAGAATTTAAGCATTAAAAAAATCATTGCAATATATTAAGAAAGTGACAAGAATGTTTTTGATAAGTAGATTAAATCTAAGAAAAAAAAAGACAGTAAAGAAGAGGGAGGTTTAAGCAGACTGGATGAAAAAAGTAAGAGCGGAAGAAAGAAGGAGCAGGATGCGGGGCATCTCATCAGCCGTGGGCACTGGAGACCCTGCATGGGTGTGGCTCTGCCTTGGTAAGCTGTCAGCCTTTTGTTCCTCCCTGTTCTAGTAGCCGCAATCTGTGCCAGGGTTGATCCCTCACATCCTTTATGGTCCTGAGCCTCGAGCCTCACATACTTCTCATACAGCATGTATGAGAAGGTACAGAATGTGTACAGTGCCTCCAGCAGCGCCTTCCTTTCCTCCAGGCCAAGGGAACCACTGGACAGGAGCCATTTATTGGGCTAAAATACTACCAACAGGGGCCCCGAAGGGGGTGGCTGACTGGAGAACGGAGGCAGCTTCTAATGTTATCGAGAGGTGGATGTTTCTGCAATAAACTGTGCTAAAAGGTCATGTTATATTTGCATGTAATGTGTCAGCTTATTTCTGAGATTATGATAGTCTTTGGAAGACATTTAGCCAGCAATTACAGTTCAGTAATCACCTTGTTAATTCTCCAGTTGGGACACAGTACCCCTGAGGCCACTGGCTCAGAGCTGAGATGACATCAGAGACCACTGGGTGTAATGCTTGCCTCTCCAGACCAACTCTGACTCAGGTGGTTTCCCTTCCATTAGCCTAGAGGGGATCGAACTCTTTTGTGACATTCTTCTTTCTTATTGACTATTAGAGGGAAGATGTTGAATGTTTCTCTTTTGTTTAATAGCTCTAAAGATAGACGGAGTCTTTTAAACCTTCATCTATTTTATTTACTAAGGCATTCTGGATCACTCCCAGCGTTGTTTCTAGAACTCAGGAGGTGAAGCTTTCCTGTGTTTACAAGGATACTTGAAAAGACATTTCAATAAATGCAGCCAATACGTCTATGAAGAGCCAATGATTCCTTTTAGCAGGCTAAAACTGACCACAAAAGAAAAGTTATCCTAGGGAGATGATGGAAAAAAAAATATAAAACTTATTGTTTGTCTCAGAAAATATTTCTAGTCTTTGGACAAAGAACTACTCAAAATGCAATTTCTCATTTTTCAATGCCAGCTTTTTCAAACATTATGATCAACAGCAAAATGTGACCTACTTCCTCTGATACCTCAGAAAAGTGATGTGTCATCCCCAAATCCATTTCCCCCACTTGCAGGGCAAAAGACAAATACTTATACAGCCATCCTTCTCTGACAGATGAGAAGGGCTCTTTTAATCAACATTCTCAAAACACAGTTAATTTTTTTTTTCCTGAAAAGTATCTATCAAATGTTTCCCTATGGCTGGACAATTTAAATAATCCTTGGGTTCAGCTCTCTAACTGAAACTGAAATCCTAGAGTAGACTGGGGAAACTCAAAACAGGGCCTCACAGGGTGCTGGTGAGGGAAGTGATGTAAGGATTACAGTGATTTTTCGAAAAGTAGAATTCTCTGAGAGCACTTGATGTGAGAATCCTGATGAAACCAAAGAAGGCCCTAAGACCCCTAGGAGGCCGTGGAACACTGAACGCAGAGCAGATGCAGGACTCATGTTGGTCTAGTCTGAATCCTGCTTCCCTGTCTTTTAGCTCTGTGACTCTGGACAAGAGAATTCCATTTGTGTGATTCCCTTTTCCCATGTGTTAAATGGGATAATAACAGCACCTTCCTCACAGGGTGATAGTGAAGGTGATATGGCGTGAAGGCTGGAAGACACTGAGCACAGGGCCTGTCTGTCATACAGAAGGTGTGAACTATATTTTTATAGTAAAACGGTTATTTTTAATTGGACATACTGACAGTACTTGTGTATTGTGAGAAAAATCACTTCCCTGGTCAATCCATCCAAACACATGCAAATTCTAGATGTTCTTGTAAAAATGAAATGGATTAAAAGAGAATCTCCAAAACCCCTTATGGAATTTGAGAACCACTGCGCTAAACCTGTTTACTTTGAGGAAATCTGACATCTTCACTAGGTTGAGCCTTCCTGTCCATAAATAGGGATCTTCCTCTCCATTTATTTAGACTTTTGATTTTTTTCATCAGTGTTTTGTAGGTTTCAGCATATAAGTTCTAGATGTGTTTTATTAGATTTATTTTTAAGTATTACATTTTTTTTGAGCCAATGTAAATGGTATAGTATTTTTAACATGAGTTTCCACATACTCACCACTATTGAGAAATACAATTGACTTTTGTCTGTTGATCTTATATTCTGCGAACTTGCTGAACTCACCTTTTGGTTCTAGGGTTTTTTATTTACATTTTTGTGTAGATTATTTGAGATTTTCTATGTAGACAATCATATAAGACAAGATAGACAATAAAGAAGAAGCAGGTGTAAGAAAAGTGGGCCAGATGAAAATGAGGGAGAAGGTCAAGCAAAACCTCCCATCAGTTATTTGCGAGCTTATGCAAGATTATGCTAAAACTTATATGGAAAGGCAAAGGAGTATAATAGCTAAAACAGTTCTGAGATAAAAGAATAAAGAATGAGGAATCAGTGTACTCAATTTCAAGACATTATCTAGCTACAGTAATCAAGATTGTGGTATGATGGAAGGACAGATGCACAGATCAGTGGAGCACAACATATAACCCAGAAAGAGCCCCACACAAGTTAAGCCAACTGATTTTTGACAAAGGTGCAAAAGCAATTCAAAGAAAAAGGACTGGACTTTTCAACAAATGGTGCTGGAGCAACTGGATATCCACAGGCAAAAATATAAACGTTGACCTCATACCTTTTATCTCATACCTTATACAAAAATTAACTCAAAATCATAGAGTCAACTGTAAAATAAAAAAATGTTATTATTAGGAAACAACAAAGAAGAAAATCTTTAGGATCTGTGGCTTGATGAAGGGTTCTTTGATATGACATCAAAAGAGTGATCCATGAAAGAAAACTGATAAATTTGACTGATTAGAATTACAAAAACTTTTTATCTGTGAAGGGCTCTGTTAAAAGGATGAAAAGATAGGCAACAGACTGGGGAAAATATCTGCATGATATACATCTGACAAAGGGCTCATATCTAGAACATACAAAGAGTTCTCAGAACTCAACTTTAAAAAAACCAAACAATCCAATTGGAAAATGGGCAAAAGACATTTCAACAAAGGGCATATAAAAAGGGCAAATAGACATATGAAAAGATGTCAACATTATAAGACATTAAAATCTATCACTATTCATGAATGAGCTATCACTACACACTTGTTAGAACAAGTAAGATTAAAAAAAAAGAGAGAGAGACACACCACCCAATAAATGCTGGCAAGAATGCAGAGAAACTCTATCACTATATGCCTTGATAGTAGGAATGTAATAGTGTAGAGACACCCTGGTAAATAGCTGGGCAGTTTCTTGAAAAACTAAACATACACTTACCATAGAACCCAGCAAGTGCACTCCTGGGCATTTATTCCAGAGAAATGAAAACTATATCCACACAAAAACTATACACAGTTGTTCAGAGCAGCTTTACTTGTAATAGCTCCAAACTAGAAGCAACCAAAATGTCTCTGAATGGGCAAATGGTTAACTAAACTATGGTATATCCATACAATGGCTGATACTCAGCAATGAAAAGGAACGAACTATTGAGGCATGCAACGACTGGGATGTATCTGAGGAACAGCTGCATGAAAAAAAGCCAATGTCACACAGTCACATACTGTATGTATATAACATTCTCAAAATTAGAGAGATGGAGAACAGATTTAGTGGTTTTCAGGAGATAAGGATGAGGAGTCATGAGGGTGCTTGTAAAGCACAGGATCTCTGTGGTACAGAATAGGATCTTGATTGTGGTGGTGGTTACACAAATCTATGCAAGTGATAAAATGAACTATACATACAAGCTCAACTTCCTGGTTTGATACTGTACTATAATTATATAAGACATATAGCCATGGGAGGGTACCGGGTGACACATGAAACTTCTACCATCTTTGCAACTTCTTGTGAATCTGTAATTTCAAAGTAAAATGTTTAAAGAAAACAGCTGGGGGAAGAGACAGAGATCCATAATCTGCTTCCCAAATAAAGGAACAATCATGATTTTAAAAAATAACAAGAGGTTAAAATTACAATGTAAATTGACATGTTTCTCAGGTCATAAGACATTTTATATGGAGAAATGGGCTCTCACATTTGTCATATTTTAATATTGAGAAAATAACCTAGGGTCAAACTTTGGCCTAAAAATCAGAAAAATGAGACTATCTCCTAAATTGTTCCAAAATTTTAAAATGAAGTCTCTTTTTGAACAAAAAGTCTTTTTCCATTATTATGGTTCAGAATATGCCATGGATTAAAATGTTTTTTAAATAGTACTGAAGGCAATAAAGCACAATCATATGAAACGATTCATGTCTATGAGGATATTAAATTGACACTGCATTGAGAAGATGAGATAAGAAACAAAAGAAATTTAACACATTAATAGTGTTCTTTGAAAGAGTTTCTCAATAACTTTCTTTTTTTTTCTTTCTCTGTCACCCAGGCTGGAGTGCACTGGCGGGACCATGGCTCACTGCAGCCTCAACTTCCCAGGATCAAGTGATCCATCCACCTTAGCCCCTTGAGTAGCTGGGGCTACAGGCATGCGCCACCACGCCCAGCTAATTTTTATATTTTTTGTGGAGAAGGGTCTTGCCATGTTGCTCAGGCTGGTCTCGAACTCCTGGGCTCAAGCTGATCCACCCACCCTGGCTTCCTAAAGTGCTGGGATTACAGGCATAAGCCACTGCACCTGGCCTCAATAATATTTTCATGTACAAATTACAATAATCTAAGCAGAACAATTCTAGATTTCAATGATTTCTTACTGTAAACTGAAGTGCTTTAAAGTTATATTTTGATAAGAGATTTTAAAAAAATCAGCACCAAAGAACAAGGATTTGGGGCAGAGTTGACGTTGCGGTCTACCAAACGTAAAAAGAATCATTTTTCTTTAAAAATTCCTCATTATCATGTAATCTATTTAGAGGAACTAGAGTCAGAGATACCATATTTGACATTTCCTAAGTCTCCTTCATGAATTCTACATTTTAAGTGACTATTTTAATAGAGATGAGTGTAGAGTGATGGGAAAAGTTTTGAAAACAACATACGCTTCTAGGTTTAAGTTCCACCTAAATATGCAAGTCAGTTCTAGTATCAGTGATGCAAACAGGGTGGCTTTCTCATCCTTTAGCATCTCCCCAAAATGCATCAGGCATATTTAGGATGCGCCTTCCTACCTTCCACCTCTCTTCACATACATCACTAGAGTATGGGTTATGACAGCATTTCTGAGATTTAAGGACTATAAACAAGGATAATGAAAAGCTCAAGTGAAAAAGGTTGCCTGTGCAGCGTAACATGAAATCCCAATCTCTATTTGTAACTAGGCTGTTCCATCTGTTTGGCTTTGAGATGGAAGCATTTCTGGTAGACAGTGCAACCCAAGAATTGATCCACTACAACTCCTCTTAGCAATGGTCTGCTGTGCTTTGTTACCAGAGAAGCTGAGGGTTTCACAATTTCATTGTCATTAGGGACGTGAAGAGCTCCCTCTAGTACAAATCATCTTACTGTGGGCTGACTGAGTAACCCAACGAATCCAGTACTGAATGTTCTGCCAGTATATGTGGCCTCTAGTCAGTAAAATAGAGCCCAATCCTAATTCAACCTATTGAACAGTAAGATGTTAATGGGGAACCTAGCCTTCCACTTTGTCTCCTTCACTAGGTTGACACTTTTATTAAATAATCAGAAACAGAAACAAATAAAAGGGAAACAGGGTAAAGTAGGCTAGCAGAGATATAAAAGATATAAAATTAACAAGACCTTTGTCCTACATGGATATCTTATCCTTTGCATTTGTAAAGAATCCGAAAAACACATATTCTATATAAATAGAACAAAATCAAATCCCTGTCACAAACACTCTTAATTAACTCAGAAATCTGCTTTTATTCTGTCTTCCAAAGGAAGTATGCGCAGCGGGAAAGTGTACCTCAGAATCTAAATCACGACAGCTACGAAAACAAGTCTGGCATAGCTGACAGATTTTTTTCTCGATGAGTATTTATAAAGGAGAAGTCATGCTTAATCAAATAATTTATAATTACTATCTGTATAAAATCTTTACCATATCATGTTCATGTACTACAGAATTTAGCATTTTCTGCATAATGGGTTCTAAAGATTATAGCATCATACACAGAATATTAGATAAATAGTCTGACTGCTATCATTTAAATAATGTGTAATTATACAAAATCAGTGATTAAAAAGTAACCTTAAGGTTACTTTTGGTTCAAAATGGTAGCAAGATTTATTTAGTTTATCTCTTTTTATTCCCAACTCCCTGTTAAAATGAAAATAATAAACACAGCAGAAAGAATAAGAGAGACACAAAGTGTACAGATGAATTGGAACTAATCTCACAGGACGGTGGCAATCATTCGAAGTGTCTGGGGAAGATCCCAGGGAGAAGTGAGTGCATTTGCCTGGCACCACCCCCCAAAGAGCAGGAACTGAGAGAGTGTGGGCTCAGAAACAAAGTTGAAAAGACAGAGCCTGTGAAGCACCAAATAGAGCAGTAGTGGGCTCCTGAAACCCCACCCTAATATGGCAGTGAGGCAAGCTCCCACACCACTTGCCACCTCTGCCAGCATCCAGGGGGTCCTTGGCAGGCGGGAGCAGTTTGATAGCAGGAGGACTAGGGTAAAGGGAGCCTTCAAAGGGTGGGACCTTTAGCTCCCCGCTCTGCTGAGCTCTCATAAGGCAAGGAACAGAACACAGGATGCTTTCCAGAAAGGAATTATTTTTCCCTCTGAAGAAACTGATCAGCCCTAGGAAGGTATGATCTGGGGGAGACGCCTGCTGAAGTTAGGGGTTCTAATTTGGAGAAAGTCAGCTCTGCATGTGATTTCATACAGCACACTCCATCATCAGCAACTCCCACCTCCACGCTGAGATTCCGCTCTGAGTTTTAGGAACTCCCTTTTAAATGGTAATGGGCAGCCAAACCTCTAACATGAAAGGCAGAGACTACTCAAATAATCAAACAGAACAAAAGCGACCTGAAGGAAAACAAGATATGCAAAGGACATTTGCAGAGAACTTCAAAAGGCCTAGGAAATGAAATAGAGAAAAAAGGGAAGTTAGTGCAGCCCTAAAATAAAAAGCAAACGCACTTAAAAAACCCAACAACAGAAAAAGGCAAAAATAAACTTTGGAAATTAAATATATACTTAAAATTTAAAGATTCAATAGGTGGGCTTGAAGAAATATCAAAGAAGTGTCCTAGAAAGTAAAATGACAAAAGTTAGAAAACAGGAAAGAAAAGATCATAAAAATTAGAGGATCCATCCCAGCAGATGCAGTAAGCAAGTAATAACAATTATAAGCAAGGGTAATAGAAGATGTTGAAGGGGAGAAATTGTTTAATAAATAATATTAAAAGTTAATCAGATGAAGGGATACAAGTACTTCTAGGGCTGGAATATCTAGAGAATAAAGAAACAAAAAATCCACAGTAAGGCAAGTTTCTGTAAAATTCCAGAGCACCAGAGACAAAGAGAGGATCTTAAAAGCTTCTAGAGAAAAATCTGGGCACATTCAGGAACCAAAATGGTGCTGTACTTAAAAAGAGCATTTAATGTCTTCAAAATTGAGGGAAATTATTTTTAAGAGATAATAATCATTAACCTACAGTTTTATGCTCAGAGAATCCTTCTTCAAGCAGAAGGATAGAATAAAGATACTTGTAGATATGCAGAGATTAAAAATATACTTTCCAGGCCCCTTTACTTAGGAGGCTTACAGAGGGTGTGCTTCAGTAAGGTGAGAGAATAAACCTACAAAGAAAGAGATATGAGATCCAAGAAAAGAGGGGATTCCATCCAGAAGGGCAGCCAAAGGCGGTTCCCACATTCTGTTGATGAGAAGTCACAGCACAGCAGCTGTTGGAACAGCTTAGAGGGCAACTGGCCCTGAAATGACCCTGGAATAGAGATACAGGAAAGAGGTCTGTATGAGCACACATGAAATATTATTCAAAGGCATATGGCAGGAATGCTGGAACATTTGGGAAAATAATCTAACTCCAGATATATTAGAAAATACGGCGAAAGACAAAAAGGAGGTCATTAACTCTATAAAAAGAAGACTTTGTCTATAAGCAAAGAGGCATGGTTAAAGGATACTATGCAGAATGTGTAGCTATATTACATTGTCATAATAAAATTAACTTAAAAAGTAAACTAATTATGAAGACTCCCAACGTTATATAATTTCTGCTATCTGGCATAGTCCCTGGGCAATTCAAGGGGAAAGACAAACAAAAAATGAGTTTAAAACATTCCTACAGGTTTTCCGTACAGTACAGAGTAAATTTCATAGATTCAAAACTTACTAAATGAAGCATTCTCATATGGATGCTTGGAATCTGGGAAGCTAAGATTGACTGAAACCCAAATACTTCTCTTTACTTTCATGAGCTCTACTAGACTTCTGAGACCCACAGGAGAATACATCAAAAGCATTATTATGTTGTTCTATCAGTGAGACCATTGAAGCTGCATCCACAGTGGTGCGTGTGGACAACAGAGATCAATGGGCCTCTGGCTTCCCTGTTTGCATGGCACCTCCCCAGACCTAGCAGCCACACAGCATCTGGAGGCTCATCGCGCCTCATCCTATTACAGTGCTGATTTTTCTGCATGAACTTGCCACTGACTAAAATCTACATTTATTGTCTGTCTCCTGCACTGGAACTGAGCAAGCTCCAGAGGACATCACTGCATCCATTATTCACCGTTACATCCCTTTATATTCAAATATTTAAATGACTGAAAGAACAAAGGGTGTAACTGAAGGGAGTGGCATGTTTCTCCCATGTTTCTTATGGGGACACTCCGCCTTGCTTGGATGTTGGCTCTGGGAGGGAATGGGCCTCAGGGGATTCTGATGCCAGCCCCAACCCTGCCAGGCTTTTCAGTAACTATCACCTATTCTCCCAGTCTTCCATCTAGCCTAGTTACATCCATTCTTGTTTCTCCACCTTGGGAATTTCATGGATCCCAGAGGCATGTACTTTAAATGAGGGAATCTTTAGAACACAACTCTTGGGTAATAAATCAAAACCTCAACAATATGGGCTGACAGTCCCACCCTCGGAGCTCTTATTCTTATCTGCAGTGGAGGGGTAGCCACTTCTGGGATGGGATCCAGCAATCCATAAGCTCGTGTTCCAACACAAAAATAAATTACACAGAAAGATGTTCACCTGTTGAAATACCAGAGGTACTTCCTGAAATGCCCTGCCTGGAATTTCTCCAGGTAGATAATGGCTGTTGGTGGAGTTATTCTCTTATTCCTACATTCTCCATTATTCCTTAGTGTGCCACAGTCTACAGGATAATTCAGATGAGAGGGGCTGGATCAGGAAGACGAAAAAGTGGATAATTCAGTGGATAATTCAGACGAGAGGGGCTAGATCAGGAAGATGAAAAAGTGGATAGTTCAGTGGATAATTCAGATGAGAGGGGCTAGATCAGGAAGATGAAAAACACTCTTTCTACATAAAGAGGGATTCCTAAAGCAATCTCATTAAGAAAACTGTACGCTGTGGACCAGGTATTTGAAATAATAAAAAAAAATTATGTGCAAACATAGTTTGCCTATCTTCTTTAAATATGCTCCAGCCATGTGGTTCATATTTCCTCACTCTAGGTAGAAACCATGTGCCCTTGAGGAAGGTGTCCTCAGAGTCACTAAGTCCAGGACACGATTCTGGGATGTACAAATGTTGACTGAAGGTATGAATTTGGAAGTCGGACCGACCTTGGCTTGGCCCTGGGCTCTGTGGCTTACTGGCTACATTTCCCAGAAGCAGGTTATTTACTCAAACCTGAGTCTTGGTTTTCTCAATAGTAAAAGAGCAATGATAATAACCAACCTTACCAGATTGTTGAGGATGTAGAATGAGATAATCTGAAGAGAGCGCTTAGCGGCATGCCGAGTGCAGTCAGTACCAAAGAACTGCCACAAGCAGAGTGGTCATATACTCTCTTTCCACAGGCCAGCCTGGGAAGCAGTACAACCCTGAAGAATCTCTGCAGACAGGTCAGTGGGAAGAACTAAAGCTATCAGAGGGGTCTGGATATATCCTACAGTGATTGCAACAAGACTATAAGTACCCTTGCCAGTTAGAACCAAGTTATTTGGAATATTAGATCTTCAGTCACAAGGATAAATTTACGCACCACTATTTCTCCCTAGTATGGTCTGAATGTGTCCCCCACAAAATTCCCATGTTGAAACCTAACCCCCAGTGCAACAGTATTAAAAAGTGTAGCCTTTAGGTGGTGATTAGGTCATGAGGGCATCAGTCTCATGAATAGGATTAGTGCCCTTTTATAAAAGAGGCTTACGGGGGTGTGCCTGTCCCTTCCCCCATGCGAGGACATAGCAAGAAGTCACCATCTGTGGGGACGGAGCCCTCACCAGACACCAAATCTGCTGGTGCCTTGAACTTGGACATTCCAGCCTTCAGAACTGAGCAAATAAACTTCTGTTGTTTACAAATTACCCAGTCCAAGGTATTTTGCTATAGCAGCTCAGACTAAGTTACCCTCTAAACTCAAATTAAGAGAAAATAAGTTATGAGGGGAGAAAAGGGAGGGCATGCACACGAACTTTCTTCAGGAATGCTGCCTGCTTTGGGTTGGCTCCATTCTGGATTTCAGTCCAGCCACCTCCAGTAAGGGGCAAGTGAACAGGTACTTTTCAGAGTATTTGTTTTTTGGTTTCTAAAGGATGCCATTATCTCATTTCTTCAGAAAATCATGAATAATTTTAGTTCTGAATGTTTGAAGTAATATAAGAATAATGTCTGTAGGCAATGTTAAAACAAGAATCTAAAAATGAGACTGTAAGGCCAGCAGCACGAATATGGTTGAGTGGCTTTTTAAACTTATCATTATGAGGACTGCTACCTGTTTCAGGCAAACAGTGTTCCCCAGGCTGCACCAAAATAACATCTGAAGTTATATCACTAAGAATGAGGTACTTTTCAAACTGTGCTTTTATGGTTTCAAAAGGGGATTTTTGGAGTTTTTAATCCATAAGTGGCCTGGAAGATGCTCACAACTGATGCTGCTACAAGGTGCTGCTGCTTTGTAACTAAAAGTGTGAAGGCACTGAAGGTAAACAGTCTCCTTAGCACAGACACTTTGGAAGCAGCAGCAGCTCAGCCCCAGGTACCACGCCCCACCCTGCCTTAGAAGTAAGCATCTGCAATTAAGCCTTCTACTTAAGCTAGTCTGAAGAAACTTCCCACCGCTAATCTTCCGGTAAGCACCCAGACCCAACCGGAAATTTGGTCTCCCCTACCCCCTTCAAAAAAGATAACCCGTTTTGGGATGGGAAGAGTGAAATCCTAATGTCCTGGAATGCGGCTAGTTTCCATTCTCATGGTTAGTAAATCTGCAGAGCTTTCTGGCTCTTGAGACCTGACTGAGGCTTAATCTCTGGCTGTATCAATCTGCATTGGCATTTCCAGGACAGACCATGCTCATTCAACAAATGTCTGGAAAGTAATGTCACAGAACAAGGTCAGTGGAGAAAGGAGAAATAAGAGAAGAAATATATTGAATTGGGTCCCTTGGGATTATGGAAATAGCATTATTATCAATAAAGAGATTAATGACAATGGGGTAAACATTTTTAAAACTTAAAGCTAAACATAAAGCTAATGACATTTGTGAACACAGGATTTATCTTTTTCACATCCAAAGATGTTACTCTAGAATCTTTCCGATATTTTCTGGAAGCTGATTTGACAGTGTTGTATAATTATCTATAAAGACAGATACTTCTTAATTTTAATTTTAAACATGCTGTCTTGTATTTAATGTCCGTTAGTTTTCTGAAAGAGTTTAACAGAGAACTAAGTCTCCACTCTATTAAGTTTAATGCAAATTAAATAAAGAAATTGCAAAAATGCCTTCTGGTTATAGACTATGTTTATTTATGTACATATTCATTAGGCACATACTACATAATAATAATGATTATAGAAATAGCACTCAGACCGTGCTTACTATGTGCCAGAACCACTCTAAGGCATTTTGCAAATACGAACATATTAACTCTTAACAATGACTCTATGAGGCAGGGGCTATTACTACCCTTCATTTTACAAATGAAGAAAATGAGGCCCAAAGATGCTAAGGCATTCAATACTTTACCCAAGAAAACCCTCGCTCTACCTTAGCTAGAGAGAGATGGAGTTGGAATTTGAACAAGGCAGGCTGGCTCCACTATAGATGCTTCTCATGACTACCATGTGGCCAAGGAAGAAATTGAGGTGCTGAGAGGTTAAAGCCTCCCCCAAATTTGCCATCCCCACTTTTGGCAGTAGTTCTGTTGCTCTGTGCTTATGTATCAAAGCTGAGGTTTCTGAAGCTTTTTCTGCAGTTTTCTTCTGGCTCTTTTCTCGAATACTGGTTCATGGGTCATCCCACTGGGATGTAAATTAGAATAAAGTATCTGTGTCCAGCTGCCATCAAGAAAGCACCACATCGAATCACATCAACTGTTCTCAGGTAGAGCTCAGTTAGCTTCTGCTTTATTAGATTCAGAGAAAAATACCTCACTGAGATTCCCTAATTGGTTTACCTAATAATACTGATTTTTCCCTCACACCGGTTAAGGGATTCTGGACAGATCGGCACAAAAATGCTATAAAATAAACCTGCCACAATAGAGGCTCTTTGCTTTCAGCCATCCTGTCAGATCCTGAGATATGCACTCACCTTCTCACTTGCTTTCTTTAGGTCTCGAGGGAGCAGCTAGGCTTATACTCCTGAAGGCAGCCCCCAAATGCTGTGTGCATCGCGTTAAGAAGCTTGAAATGGTTTTGAGTTAGCAAACCATTCCTGATGCTCTACAATCTGTTCTCCAGCCTCAAGAATTGAGAATTATAAGCCTTAAATGGAATACATTCTGGACAAAACAAATAAGGTAATTTACTTGTCTTTTTTTTAATCTCTTCCTGGAAACTGAATGTTCATTCATTTATAATCTCTTGGTTTACTATCATGACACATTCAAGTTTCAGTGCCTGGGAGAAATAGGACTCCCAAGAACTTCAAAATAGGCTTATTCCACAGATGTGTTACAGAAGATTTAAAAGTATTACGAAATATATCTGGTCTGAATATTAGGGTTGGCATATTTGTATATGAAATAGGTGGGTTAGCTCCTTCTTTATTCAGGCATTGTTCTATCTGTCAAATAAGAAAAGCCTCATTGAAAAGGGGATATCTGAGCAAAGTTATGAAGAAGGTAAAGGAGTAACCACAGAGATGCTAGGGGAAAGACAAGTGCAGAGGCCTGGAGGACAGGTGTGGCTGGCATGGGAGGAAGGAGATGGAGAGATAATGGACACAACCTGTCAAGGACCATGGCTGTCTTCAAGGAGAATGGGACTCTACTGTGAGGTTTTGCATCCAGGAGAGAGGGCTCAGACTCACGGGTTAGAGGGAGCTTTCTGAATGCTCTGTTGGGAAAAGACTGCAAGAGGGAAGAACAGAAGCAGGAAACAGTTAACAGGCTAATGCAATGATCCGAGGGGTTTGAACCATGATGGCAGTGGTGAAAGCTGGTTGTTTTCTGAATATATTTTAAAAGTACAGCCAATTGGTTACCAGGCATGCATGCATGTATGTATGTACGTATGTATGTCTTCCATACTAGTATTTAAGCAGTCTTGATCTGTTTTGTGTTCTGCATTCCCAGGGCCTAAAACAGGACCTGGTACACAGAGTTTACAAATATCCTGTTAAACAAGTGAACGAACTGGCCAGGGTCCAAAGTGCTTCCAAGTGGTTGGGCTGGGATTCCAATCTGGGCCTTTCTCTGGCTTCCAAATCCCAGATTATCATCACTATGCTATTCTACCTCTGCTAACACTACTTTTTATCAGGAATAAAGTTTTTTCCTAGCCTAAGTTATACTCAGCATAATACATTTCTCAACACCAGAATAAGGTACACTGTATCACTAGCCATCTGCTGTACAGTACCGATGTCTGGAAGATAAAGGCCAGGGATGGGCAAAAGTCCCAAGGTGCTCTTAGATACTTCAAGACTCTGCTGTAATCCCAGCACTATGGGAGGCCAAGGTGGGCAGATCACCTGATGTCATGAGTTCGAGACCAGCATGGCCAACATGGTGAAACCCCATCTCTACTAAAAATACAAAAATTAGCCAGGCGTGGTGGCATGTGCCTGAAGTCCCAGCTACTCGGGAGGCTGAGGCACGAGAATCGACTGAACCCAGGAGGAGGAGGTTGCAGTGAGCCGAGATTGTGCCACTGTACTCCAGCCTGGGCAACAAAGCGAGACTCTGTCTCCAAAAAATTTAAAAAATAAAAAATAAAAAAAATGATTCAGGCTCCGCTTTTGACTAGTGTGTGTGTGTTTGTATGTATGTCTCTGCACGTGTGTGCTCACGTCCACCTGTGCTGTGTATAGAATTCGTTGTCTGGGGAAGATGGTGTATTAATAGTATTCTTTAGTTAAACAAACTATATGGAAGAGGAATTACTTTTTGTCATTCTAAAGAAAAGGAAAATTGAGCCAGGAAAGTAGTCTTTAAGAAATTGGCCAGGGTGGGGCATGGGGGTGGGTACAAGCCGATGAGCAATGAAATATTTTGGAAAAGATTGTTAGTCAAGATGAGTCACATATTCTGAGGAAAGTCGATTTGCCTAGAATTTACAGTGATCCAACTACTAATTAAGAAAAAAAAAAAAAACAACTTTCCAATAGAGAGGACTGGTGACCCCAAAGCACTCGGGAATTCTAGTGGTCTGATTCCAGCGAAGACCATCTCCCTTGCTGCCCTTCATCAGAGGGCAACACAACACGGGGCTGAGATAACTTGCTGGGTTTAAATACTGTATGTAACTAGCTGAATGTCCTTCAGCAGCTACTCAAATTTTCTTGGTCTCAGTTTCCTCATCTGCAAAAAGAGATAAAATATTATTCATCTCCTAGGATTATTAAGTCAGGATTAAATGAATCTCCACATGGGACCCATTTAGAACAGGGCCTAGCGCTCACATTGATAGCTGATGCTTATTCAACCCTTGTACCTTCAGCTCGTGGTTTGGTCTCTCACCTTGCTGCCAGTGGAGATATCTAAATCCTCCCCAACTTGTTCAGGTAATTAAGAAGGGAACTCGCCTGTCAGTGTTTGAATACAGAAAAAGAAGCCTTGCATAGAATGCCTGGGATTCAAGAGAGGTGAACTTGGAGCAGCAATTTCAAGATCACAAAACTACTGAGGTCAGCATGAGGCTGGCTGAGACGATGACGCCCTGGGTAGGGTGAATACACTTGGGAAAGCCAGTATAGATTTCTGAGTGTTATATAACTACAGCTTTTAAAGAAAATTCTGAGAATTCAGGGAAGTATATTATTTGTTCTTATATCATTACCAGAAAAATAATTATTTAATATAAATCTATTAGACTATCGAGGAATAGCAACTGTGGCTTCTAGTAGTAACCCTCTCAGACCAGACCAGTACAAGCCCTTCCCATGGACAAGAGACAAGTCATGGACAGATCTATCAACACTTCTGATTCTGTTTCACATCATAGCAATAGCTGGAAAAATAGTATCTCCCTGCACAAATATTAGCCCTTGAGTGATTGTTCTTTCTCTTAAGAGAGAGGGCATGCTCATTAAAGACCCAGAGGTTAAGCTAGAGCAAACCTATCAAATGTGCAGATGACAATGGCAGGGCAGTCAGTTACTTTAAAACACAGATTACCAAAAGAAAGGGACAAAGGACAGTAAGTAAGCATAAGACTTTTAAGGCCCGATGTAATACCAAGAAGTCACTTATACTCTGCTTTGCCATTTATCTTCTTTCCTTGCTTTATGAAGTTTCAGCTAAGACATGAATCTAAAGCAATTACAGAAATGAAAACCTATGAAGTGACATTAAAAATCTGTGCCCAGCAAACACTTCTTTATTAATGAATCATTTCCAGTCGGAGATTTATTTCTCTATCGCTGTGGTCTGAATGTGCCCCCCAAATTTGTATGTTGAAACCTAATCCTCAATGTGATAGTATTAAGAGGAAGAATGTCTTCCCTTTTGTGGCTATCACTGAACTGGTAGTGGCCAAAACGAAGTTTAATCCCTTTGTGACTTTTGACTGAAGCAAGAACCACAAAATGGCATTTCAAGGCACCTTTCCACATTCGCAGGAAGATTACGTCTTCCTCTCTTTCCAAAGAGCTGACACAGAAGTACAGTGTTTGATCCATGCTCATCTGAAAGGATGATGAAGTTCAGGCTGTGTGAGGACACTATAAATGTCAGCAAACTGGCAAAACAGTCAAGGTTTACAGGAAGAAATGTGTCATCTACACTGAGCAGGTGCAGTGGGAAAAGGCTAATGGCACAACTGTCCACATGGGCATTCACTCCAGCTGTTACTTCTAGGCTGAAAGTGAACAGAGACCAAAGAAAGATCCTTGGACAGAAAGCCAAATCTCATCAAGCAGGCAAGAGAAAGGGCAAACACAAGGAAGAAACAATTGAAAAGATGCAGACATAAAGTAATCATATGTAGAATTTTCATTTTAAACTGGTAAAATGAAAAAAAAAAGGCAAGATCTTTGGGAGGTGATTAAATCATGAGGGCAGAGCCCCCCCCCATGAATGGGAATGGTGCCCTTGTAAGGGGCTGAAGAGAAAAGAGTTCTTCCCTTCCACGACTTCAGGACGCAGTGAAAAGATGTCCATCTGTGAGCCCAGAAGTGGGGCTTCACTAGACACGAAATCTGTTGGCATCTTGGTCTTGGACTTCCCAGCCTCCAGAACTGTGGGAAATAAATGTCTGTAGTTTAAGCTACTCAAGGGTATGGTATTTTGTTACAGCAGCCCTTAAGTCCTTAGTCCTTAAGTCCTTAGCCCTTAGTCCTTAAGTGGACTAAGACACTTACTATGCAGAAAACTTTAAAAGATCCCTTAAAAACATAAAACCAGACATATTTCCTTTGGGAATCTTAAGAATATATTGTTTAAAAAAATCACTCCCAGAGGCTATTAATGAGAACCAGCACTCAACTGGAACAGGACCAGACAGGGCCAAGCTATATTCCAACAAAGTGGGGTGACAAACCCCAGGAGAGCCCAGGGGCGTGGCCCAGTGGACCCTCAGCACCATCTTGCACTGTGGAAAAGTCAAATCATCACCCAGGTGAAGTTCAGCTACAGGATGAGTGGGGGTTGTTACTAATGTTACAAACATATGCTCAAGGTAAAGACTGCAATGACTCAGACTTCAGAAGTCTTGCTTTATACAAGGGGCTGTACATGATTTTTCAAACAAATGTGAGGTGGAGCATATTTGTAAAAATTATTAGGTAAGCTGTTGATGTGAAGATACTAATTTATGTTTATTTTTATTTTTAAGAAACGGAGTCTTACTCTGTCACCCAGGCTGGAGTGCAGTGGCTCAATCTTGGCTCACTGCAACCTCCGCCTCCTGGGTTCAAGCGATTCTCCTGCCTCAGCTTCCCAAGTAGATGGAACTACAAGTGTGCACCATCATGCCCAGCTAATTTTTGTATTTTTTTTAGTACAGACAGGGTTTCACTATATGTTGGCCAGGCTAGTCTCAAATCCCGACCTCAGGTGATCTGCCCACCTTGGCCTCCCAAAGTGCTGGGACTACAGGCATGAACCACAATGCCCAGCCAAAAGTACTAATTTTAAACTTTAATATTGTTATAATTGTAAACTGTACTAAAAACAACCCAAAAAACTTTTGTCTTTTTTTAAACCAGTGGCCTTTTGCTTGAAGTGTAACTAACCCAAACTATGAATATACATTGGGTGAATTTACTTCACTTATATTAGTTAAGTAAGGTATAGAAAGTACCTAGCCCAATGCCAGGCACAAACTAGGTGTGAAGTGAATGGGTAAGAGAATACAGCATTAATTCTTCGATTACTTCCTATGGTCAGAGAAGGAGGGGTTTGCACACACGTGGGGGACCTAGAAAATAGCAGCTTATGTCTTTTCACTCACATGTTTATGTAAGGATGGAAACTGTTTAAATCAGCATTTCTGATGGAATCTTTTAAAAGTAGTTTTTTTTTCTTTTTTTAAATTAAAAAGTAGTTTATATATTTACATGTCTTCATTTATTGATGATTCACGGCTGCTATCTTAGCTACTATAATACACATAAACACCTTCTGTAGATGTCTAATGTTTTAGACTTCCAGTGTTCCCACATGGAACCAGGCTGCTAGCTATTAATGTCTTGCCATCATTCACAAGTCCAGAAGTTCCCCAACCTCTCACAATTATTTGTATTTATAATCCACTTCACAATTCCTGCTTTGAATCTACTGAGTTTAAAAAACAGAAAATGAAATTTTAAAAATTCACAGGAATATAAGCCAAAAATAAGGTATGAGTGAAAATTTAGCAGTGAAGTGCATACTTTCATACCCATCACATGGAGAGTGATTTTCTGAGCTCAGAATTATTTTTCAAATATACAGGCAGATGAGCATGGGGGCTGGTACAAAATAAATGTGTGTATTTGGAAGTTTGCTTTATGTTTGGGAAAAGAGATTCACAGGCTTGTACATAAATACAAAACATACAATTATTTTTATAAGGATTAATTCATTCATATTATTCTGAAGTCCAATATTTTTCTTAACATTAAATGTATGAATTACTATAATGAACAAACAATATTCAATCAAGTCAGTTTCACAGATTTAAAAATAACGCTATCTTGAGGAAAGTATAGTTCCAAAATAACATTTAGAAGATTTTATGTTTGGCTTGTAATTCGGAATCTATGCTCCTATAACACCTTTCACAGCTATTTAAAGACAAACTTTTATATTTAAGAAGTAATAACCAATAATATTTCCCCTTCTGTGTCTCTCCTTGAAGTATTTAGCACAATGTCATATCATTGTTCAAATGACAAATTAAATGCCTGTAATTGTAGATATAAATAATTATAAATATTATAAATGGCTACACCCTGTTGATCGACATTTGAAATAAAAAAGGAAATGTAATAGTTGACCAATAATACAGTTGAAATCAAGTTCTGAAATAATTTTTCTGGAATAAAATGTATCCTTAGCCAAGGGCTCTGATTTACGGTCAATAAAGATCATGATAAAAAGAATGCTAGCAGGTAAAGTATCTTTGAAATACTATTACTTTTACTTAAAACTTAATTAGATTTCACTATATATAATCAGTGGAATATTTTATTTTTTTCAACTATGATCCTAATACATACCTTCTGAGACATTTTAGTCATTGATTCTCCAAAGAAGAAATTTAAATTTTAAGCATCTTAATCGGTTTCTTTCCTTTCTCTTCTGTACAATTTAAAATGCAGAATAACATCCTAAGTAAATTCTTTTCCATATAAATACAGATTTCCTTCTCCTTTTTCTAATCATAGCATTTAGTAGTACTTTCTGGTCTGGGGCAAATTACACTAATAACTACAATCCCCCACCCTCCCCAACAAATGAGTATGATAATATAATCATGCGCCTTGGAGGATTTCTTGGATAAGTAATTTTAAACAGTCCAAATATAAAAAATGAATACTAAATCAATAGCATGCTTAATCCCCACTAGGTCCAACTCAGATTACTTCTTTTGGATGGAAGCTTCAGGCCTTTGTGGTGTCCCATATCTTAGCTTTTCAGAGAATTCTGTCCTCACAGTGTTGTTTATAGACAGTGATGGAAGAGAAGAATCATCACAGTAAACATGGAGAGTATGATGTTCCGAATTTTCATTTGTCCCTGTCGCTGAGCCACTCTACAGCTTCTGAATAAGTAAACTGAATAACCCGCAATAAACTGTTTTCTCCCATAAAAAATCAGTTGCATAAAAGGGCAGGTTAATGATGGGAAGGCAGCAGGATGTTGTTTAGTCTAAGGGTGGACAATTTTGGGAGGCTGATGGCTCTGGCCACCCTACAGCCTTTCGTGTTTCCGATGTCACTGGGGATGCCTGGTGGCCCTTTGGATCCCCCGTGGGTATCCCAGGCACTTTGGCCTGTCCAGGATTCCTGGCCTCGTTTTCCTGTCTGTCCTTCTTCAGTTGTGTCAGTGGAGCACAGCTTTGGGCAGGTGTATAAGCCACAGGAACATCAACAAGCCTTCCTCCCCAGAATTTCCATATACCCCTAGCCAGTAACCAAAAGAAAAAAAGAAAAAAACTTGTGCAGGATCAGTATCATAGGAAACAAAATCATTTTTCTGTGCCGCTAATAAAAACAGCTACTGTGCCTTTTCTTGAAGACCAAAAAGTAAGCCCTGGGGTCTTTATGAGTTCTATTTACACAGGTTCTCGTGATGGCTAGATTTGTATAGCAAAAATTTATTCCTGTAAATATTATGTTAAATTTGTAAAATTGGTTTTTCATCTTTCTTGAGGCTTCTGTTCTTACTCTGCAGCTAGTTGGTAATTGATTCAAACTTCCTTTCATTCACTCATTGGTCCTGCAAGATAAACATTTATGTAACAAGGGCTGTGGGCCAAGTATGGGGATGCTTGGGATGGGAGTGGAAGTCATCAACAGATAAGACACGTAAGAGTTCCTAGTCTAGTGTGGAAGACAGAAATGAAGTCGGCAGACTGACACAATGTGCGACGTGCTGTAAGAGGTAAAAGAGGAAAAGTGTTTCAATCCAAATTCCACTATTTACTGGCTAAGCCCAGAGCAAGGTAGTTGAGTTTCCTCACCGATTAGAGTCTGTAATAAATAGGGTTGAATAGGGTTGTTGGGTGGGTTGAGACTGTGCTTGTCAAATGCCTTGTACATAAAGGGCACCCAACAAACAGGAGGAACCATGGTTGAGAATAAATTACTTCCAGAACCCAGATGAAGGAGGAATGAAGCTCCTGGGAAGTATGGGAAGGAATTCTCAACATTTTCACCATGGTTCACAACATGGAAAAGTGGGAGACCGGGACAGGCCCTCTGAGCAGAAGGAACAGTCTGAGCCCAGTCATAACCCATGAATATGGGGAATTCACCGCCCCCGGATGAGACAGGAGGAGCAGGAGCTGGCGCCTGAGGACGGTCATGGAGCAGGCTGTGCTCCTGGAATCATCTGGAGCTTCCAGGCCAGCCTCCAGAGCTGAGGAGACCAGGCCAGGAGGCTGGTCTACAACTTGAAGTCAGGAGCAGCCTCGATCCAAGCCATCCATTTATCCGAACATGCCAGGAAGCCTCACATGGGATCTAAGCCAAAGGAGAGGTTCTGTGTGTTGTTTCAGGTCAGATCTGAAGTGAAGGCCTGCCAGCAAGTGACACCAGGCTGACTCTTTGTGCTCCTACAACCGTTCTGAAGGTGTCACCCACGTCAATGCTGGCTGAGGCTCTATGTTCCTCCTTCTTCCTATTCTTGAAATTGCCCTTGTTCATAGATGAAAATAAAAACAACCAGAATTTGTGAATTAGTAAAGGATCTTCAAAATCAACATTTTTGACTTTTTCCTTGACCATCACTGGCATCTTGTTGCTCAATCATTCCTTATAGTAATCTTCACCCCAGGCTCAGACAAAATGTTTTGGAGTAAGAACTCTTTAAGTTTTTCTCTGTAAAGCTGATGAACATGAAGGATAAAATACATTACATGAAAAACTTCATATAAACTCATGTATAAGAAGGGCCCTCTTCCCCTGGAAGAACAAATTCAACTAGCTTCTCTGCTACACAATGGATTGGGACGTTACATTAGTAAAAAATTAGAAAGACTAGTGGGTAAAATCAAACTTTCCACTCTCAGATTTACTGTGAGCTATGTTTAAATCAGCTTCATTCCCTGGACATGATGAAACCAATATTTAAAAGCACAAATGTTCCCCAAACAAGGCTTTTCATTACGGTATGTAACCAAGCATGCTGTCAGAATGAGGCCCCTCAGAGCACAGCATAATGATGTGGTATCCACCATGGGCATGCTGGGGGCACCAGGAACACTCTCCAAAACTGTAATCAGGGTTCCTTTCTCTTACACAGACCATAGCACAGGATCTGATGCATTAAAAATAATCCAGAGGCGCTTATTATTATGCATTATACAAACATCTTTCAAAACCAACCAATTTTGAGGTTTTAAACTATAGGTACTTATTACAGGGTTGAATGACACAAGACAGTTTCAATTATTTTAGACTTTTAAAAATCAAAACATTCTGCATGCATACTACAAAACACACAATAAATCCCACAGCTTGTTGACTTAAACGAGCAAACAAGACTGTATTTCTCATGCCCAAGAGACTAGAACTGTCACTAAAACTTGCTATGTATAATGCAGTGGGTTGGCTGTTTGCTGATGGAGAATCCCGGTGGGCCTTCTTTTAAAATGAAAAGGACAACAACAACAACAAAAAACTTTAATGTTGCAAAAATATTTCACTAAAAGTACCACAGAAATGTGAGTCTGAATATTTAATTTCAGGACTTTTTGAAAATTAAAAGTAGCAAATATTAGAAAGTCAAGTTCTGTAATCAATAAGGCATCTATTACTACATAAATTGCCTTTAACAGGCTAGGAAACTATTGATAATATTGAGAATGTGTTAACTAATTTTTCAGTAACATAAAATCCAGACGGCAACAGTAGTGGTTTGACTACTTTTTTTTTTTACCACCGCCAGTCCCTGCTTTGTGAGGTTATGGCTGTACAAATAACCATATAACCCAAAACCATGCAATGAGTACTTAATAATCAACGGCAAAAATTATGACTCTTCTGTGACCTTTTAAAACTTTTTGTCAAAGCGTTAAAACTCGCTTATCGTCAGTTATAAATGTGAAGGGAAATGAACACTATAAAACAGTAACTGACAACATAAACACACTGAGGTTTTAGACTTTCAGTCTTTCAGTTTTAAAAATGTATCAGGAGTAGTCTGAATGGTGTGTGACTTCATCTCATCACACAGCATACAGTATGGCGTGAGCATCTTTTTTATGGTTTGGCTAACTGCCCTTTGTAAGTTTGGGTCAGCTTCCAACATTTTATCCTTTGTGCTTTCTGAGAACTCCTTTAATGTAAAGCTTTTTGATGATATCACTTCCTATGGGATATCTTTGTCCTTTCTGTCAAAACCCCATTCCTCATTTATGCTGATAAGTCTGCCTTCCCTGGGTTCCTGTTGGCCTATCCAGAGTCTCCTCCCAGATCACGAGCAGTGTCAACATCCCCACCATCAGCTATTTCTTCTACACATGCTTGATTCTAATTTGACTGCCACTTTTCATTGCCCTGCTGTGTTTCCATCTTTGTTGACTAATTCCATCTTTTAAATCTATTTTTGTAAAATTCCACATGAGTTATCACTCTTGGTGGGGAGGCAACACAAGGACAACCTTTCCTGTCTGTGTGAAAACTGAATAATAAATGTGCACAGAACCATCACCAGCAGACATGGAAAGAAGGGGCATGATTGGTCATTGATCATGATGAGCACCTGCTATTTACAGAGTGATTTGGGGAATGAAGACCTAACTATGAGGTTTGCACTTTATTTAATTACAGTTAATATACTATGGTAACTAAGATTTGAACTGTGACGTTGGGGAACTGGTTTTATTTAACTAAAATACGAGAATTGAAATTAATGCAGATTGAAACCATGCAAAGTGAAAAGTAGTGATTGGATGGAATTCAAATTCACTAGACACTTTTGTTCTAATTCAATGGACTACAACAGTGTATTTATTTATATTGGGGCAACAATCAGATTCCCAAGCTTTGCATAAACATTCAAAGTTGAAAAAGGCATCTGAATATAGGAAAACTAAAAAGTTCTGAAAAATAAATCACCTATCCTTTTTAAAAAATTCATTCAGGCCGGGTGCAGTGGCTCATGCCTGTAATCCCAGCACTTTGGGAGGCTGAGGCGGGCGGATCACAAGGTCAGGAGATTGAGAGCATCCTGGCTAATATGGTGAAACCCTGTCTCTACTAAAAAAATACAAAAAATTAGCCACGCATGGTGGTGGGTGCCTGTAGTCCCAGCTATTCGGGAGGCTGAAGCAGGAGAATGGCGTGAACCTGGGAGGCGGAGCTTGCAATGAGCCGAGATCGCACCACTGCACTCCAGCCTGGGCGACAGAGCCAGACTCTGTCACAAAAAAAAAAAAAAAAAAAAAAAAAAAAAATTCATTCATTCATTCATTCATTTTCAGACAAGGTTTCACCCTGTTGCCCAGGCTAGAGTGTAGTGGTGTGATCATGGCTCAATGCAAACTTGACCTCCAGGGCTCAAGCAATCTTCCCCACCTGGGATTACAGATGTGAGCCACTGTGCCTGACTTCAACTATCCTTTTAAATGCAATAAAAATTGAGCCAACAGAACAGCAGAATATGCTAAGTGCTTTATATCTATCTTCTCATTTAATCCACACAATCCTGAGGAGCCTGAGGTTTCCAGGAGTTAATTAACTTGTTTGCCAAGTGCACCCTGATATTGAGTGGTAGAGCTGTGATGAAACCTGCGTGTATCCAGCTTCAGAGCTTGTTCTCAAACCTTAGGTAACATGGAGCCCAAAGCAATTTCAGGAAAATGGCAAAAGTCTTAGAAATTACCACCTCCCCCTAACACAGGACAATGCTGACCCAAGGCACCTAGTTCCACTTCCTAGGTATGGCCCTCAGGCTGCAAAGCTGAAGGTTACCCATCTGAGGAATATCTCATTTTGTTAAAAAAAAAAAAAAGAAGGCAATGGAAAAGAAATCCTTTTTTTTTTTTTTTCCTTTAAAGAACTGCTACTACAGAAATCTACCACCTAATACATGTCAGTAATACGATGTGGCTGATGCAAAGTTACTCAGTTAAAATTCAACATTTATTTCCAAGAGAAGGTGGACTTCTGGTTTTCTCCATTAACAAAGTGTTTTTCTATCCTTTAAGAAATCGCTGAGTCATGTCATTGGAGAAACTTTTTGAAATAGTACTTGAAGCAATGTACCTGTATTCTGATTGGTTGTATTCATATATAAAAACACGATTTCAAACATTTAAAGAACAGCATAGAAGGCAATCAGATATGATGACTTTTTGAAAATGTCTATCACATATAGGTTAAGAATAGTAGTAATATTGCCAGGAGTACTTGTTTCAAAACTCGTTAAGTACTGTCTTAATAACATAGATGGCTGCAAGCATGTTACTACAGGTCAACTTTTTAATATTTACAATTTATTTCATATGTCATAAAAATCTACAATCACTATATTTTAATCCAGTCCCATTTTACTCCCAGCCTTTCCCTCCACTCCCAGGTACAAAGAGATTGAGCAAGCAAATGGCCCATATATAAAACGATATATTTAAATTTCATTTTTATTTGTAGTTTCAATAGGTAATTTTCTACTTTGTCTTGGGATCTTAGCTGCTCTCAGGTGCTCTGCAAACCTCTTTATTAGATTTCCTTAAAATTGGCTGCAGATGAGGTTGAAAATGCTTTGTTGCAATTCTTGGAGAAGAACAGGTGGAACTATAGTGTCCCTTTCAACCACATGATTCCATATTACACTGCCAGGAAACATCTTATCCAATCAATGTGTTTCTTAAGTTGACAGGTAAATCTTTAAAGACTAGAGTTGCAGAAAAATCAAAGCATGAAATATGGGTATGCAGAGAAGCAAAAGATAAGGTGCTGAATAAAGAGTTAAAATATCTCCTTAGTCTTTTATTCACTCATTTGGCAAATACATAACATACATAATAGGTAAGCCCTGCTCTCAAGGCAATGAGAAGTGAATGAAAGAATGACAGAGTTCCAGCTACTATGGGACTGTGCTCTAGCTGGGCAAGGCACCCAGACAATTAGATTAGAGTGTAATCAACAATGTGTCACAATTAGCAGACAGCACTACGTGAACTTCAAAAAAAGTCATTAAATGAACAGTGTGGGGCTGTGGGAGGCAGGAGGAGAAGGGGCCTTCTAGAAATGGTTGTTGCCCAAATTAGATTCCGAGGGACATGAAGTTCACTTGAATCCTTATTCATATTCACATATGCTGTATGGAATGCCAGGTTAGAAAACAGGATGTGCCGGAAATGTAAAACTATTAGGACTAACTATTATACCTTACACCTCCTGGAAGGGGTTAAAGTAGTAAAAATGATTGCAATTTATTATCAAGGTTGACTGATATGTCTGGGAAGGGACATGAATGTTTGCTTATAGAAACACATAAAAAATGATGAGTTCATGTCCTTTGTAGGGGCATGGATGAAATTGGAAATCATCATTCTCAGTAAACTATCGCAAGAACAAAAAACCAAACACCGCATATTCTCACTCATAGGTGGGAATTGAACAATGAGAACACATGGACACAGGAAGGGGAACATCACACTCTGGGGACTGTTGTGGGGTGGAGGGAGGGGGGAGGGATAGCACTGGGAGATATACCTAATGCTAGATGACGAGTTAGTGGGTGCAGCACACCAGCATGGCACATGTATACATATGTAACTAACCTGCACACTGTGCACATGTACCCTAAAACTTAAAGTATAATAATAATAAAGAAAGAAAGAAAGAAATACATGCCCTTCTGTACATATTGCATTCATTGACCCAAATGCATAAACCTTCCTGTACCCCCTTACAAAGTTCAGCAAATTTTAAACAAAATAGGAGTTTGTTCTGCCTTGCAAAGCTGTTTAATTCAATTGGCCTTTTTTTTTTTTTTTTTTTTTTCATAACAAGCATTGTACTATATAATACTGCTCAGGTAAAAGACTGACTTTTCTAAAGCGTAAGTCTAATTGTAGTACTCTCTTCTTGAACCTGTTTCATGGCTTTGAAGTTTCTAGCCTGAGTAACTGATCAGTATCCATCTTGTTTTATGGCATGGCTACTGTACCAGGAGAGATACAAGTGAGAAGTTTGTGGGCTGTGTGGAAGTGAAGATGACCAGGCCCCTCAAAAAGAAGGGAAGTGGAGATGCTCCCACTGGAAACTATGAAAAAGGAGAACAGAGGCTGTACTGGGGCACCAGGAAGGGAGAATGGAGGCTGAGGGCAGTGGCAGACAAGAAAGCTCCTGCAACTCCAGCTTAGTCGTTGCATGTGAGATACACTGTTATGGCGTAGGTGGAAATCAATTCATTTACGCAACAAAAGCAATAGACATACCAGTAATCCTTGCCCAAATAAATTCCTTTTCGTAGTCAGGAATCATACCATCTGATCTACGCTAGTTCACTACCTTTAAAAATAATTATTAATCTCTTAATTTAGATATAATCTGAACCAAAAGTCGGACATAAGGAGTAATTTCATTGAAGATCAAATTATGTAAACGGTAAATCCTCCAGCATTAAAATCAAATTACACAGTAAGAAAAGGTAAGCTGTAGATGGATAATTTCCCAATATTTTTGCTCTCAAACAGAAATAAATTAAGGTTTGGGGAATACCCTTTGCCGCTCTGTGTTAGCTTTTCCAAGTTCTGTCAATCAGAGCTGCTCATTCTGTAACTGAGGCAGGATGACTCACTTTGAATTACACTGAAGCCGTTCCAAAGTTATTTGCAGTCTGGGTCTCTTAACATGCTTGCTCTGCTTTCATGTAAACACATTCTTGAAAAGTGTTGGCGAATAAGTTATCATTGTTGAATGAAAGGAAAAGTAAGATGTGATGGTCTGGAAAATAACGAAAAGTGGCATTCATATGGAAGATTTCCTTTCCCTTCAAATTTTAGATGTAGGGACTGAGCACCTTCTAAATGGCAGAAATACAAGTTGGCAAGTGCTCCAGCTCCAACTATGGCTTTTTAGTGCCTTGCCTTGGGAATAAATGAAGCATGAGCTCTGAGACTCCAACTAAGACAGTTATCACTGCCTCATGGCTGTACTTGTAGCTTCAGAGAAATGGGTACCAAGAGGTACAAACAATGGTGAGCCACTGGATGCCATCTGTCATTTGCAATCATGACTGTCTTAATATCTGGTGACTCAATCCACCATGACTAAATTACAGTGCAGCAGAGTACCATCAAGAAATTAATTCTTGAAACATGAAACATACTAGATTTCGGAGGAAGTCAGTTTAGAGTAGAAATCAATACAGCTGTAATTAATAAATACTTCAGTTTATTTTGATTGACGATGCATCATGGTCATGTTTTAAGAAAGAAAACAAAAAGCTATTTTTGGGTTAAAATGGAATTACTATTTGATGAAAAGTTTTAAAAAAATGTTTAGAGAGTTCACCTGCCATCTGGGAATTAACAACTGCTGGCATAAGTTTAAAAACGATTAATTTATTCTTTAAATGAAGTTAAGCTAGGATGATTAGAAATAAATGGACCCTGCAAGTACATGAATGATCAGACTGCTTTTTGGAGCTTGGCAACACACAAATGGTCAAGACTTCATTTATTAAATGCACTCACACCAATTGTGTTTGATTTGTACTATATTTTGATCCAAACACAAGATCAAAATTACAGATTTACAAAATCACTGCTTATTGTAAAATCAGTAAATAGACTTGGAATAGTAAACAGGTTTTTTTTTTTTTTGAGACGGAGTCTCACTCTGTCACCCAGGCTGGAGCACAGTAGCACGATCTTGGCTCACTGCAAGCTCTGTCTCCCAGGTTTACGCCATTCTCCTGCCTCAGCCTCCCTAGTAGCTGAGATTACAGGTGCCCACCACCATGCCCAGCTAATTTTTTTTTTCTATTTTTAGTAGAGATGGGATTTCACTGTGTTAGCCAGGATGGTCTCGATCTCCTGACCTCGTGATCCACCTGCTGCGGCCTCCCAAAGTGCTGGGATTACAGGCGTGAGCCACCGCGCCCGGCCAGAAAACCAGTTTTATTGCAATGGTATGTGTTATGGGTTGAATTGGGTCTTCCAAAATTCATTAGTGTAAGTTCTAACCTCCAATACCTCAGAATGCATTGTACTATAACATTCTCCATTTGCAAATAGGGTCTTTACAGATTTAATGAGTTAACAGGAGGTCATTCTGGAGTAGGCTGGGCCCCTCATCCAATAAGACTGGTGTCCTTATAAAAAGGGGCAATTTGGACACAGACACAGGGATAACACTATGTGAAGATGAAGGCAGAGATGGAGATGACACTCTTATAAGCCAAGGAACACCGAAGATGGCCAGCAAACCAGCAGAAGCTGGGAGAGGCATGGAACAGATTCTCCCTCAGAGCCCCCAGAAGGAACCAGCCCTGCTGATACCTTTATCTCATATTTCCAGTCTCCAGCGCTGTGAGACAAAACATTTCTGTTGTCTCAACCACCCAGTCTGTGGCATTTTGCTAGAGCAGCCTAGAAAACTTATACAATAGGAAACATAGTCAATTGAGAACAAAACCAAAATACACCACCCTTGCTCTCTTTGAAGGAGCCCACCCAGCTTCAGAATGTATCTGATGGGAATAACTCCAGTACCCCAAACTGAGTCCATGACTTTTTTTTTTTTTTCAAAATCTAAAGGAAGCACCAGATTAACTCCAGGGAAGTGCCATTTCAGTGTTAGTAGTTTGTGAAATATATTAATACTTACACTGTATATTACACAGAACCAGGAGACCAGAGTTTACAGTCTCTGATTTCCAAAAGATTTCCCTACAATCTAAGTTACAAGAGAAAAGAAAGGGACAGGCAGAGTGATTAGACGAGGAGAGGTCTGGCCAGACAGTACTGAGAAATGGCTTGGGAGGAGGCAGAAAGAGTGGGCAAATTGACAGGATATATGGGAACCCTAGAACAAACACATGGTGTTTCTGGATGCTGAGCCCGCAGTTGGTAAGGAGAGACTGAAGAGAGTGACTGAAATCAATAAAAATCTTTAAAATGAAATCAAGCACATAAAACACAGAGCTTTCATCAAGCCCTTTAGGTAGAATACAATAGGCCACATAGTAGAAAATGCACATTAAGAAATACTGTAATAAAATACCTAAAAAAGACATAGGTGAGATCTACTCTAAAAGGAATGACAACACAGTTTGATATACATACAGTATTCATATCCGTATATCTATTTAAAAATCTTAACATTGGTATGAAATAACAATAAGTATCTGCAAATTAATGTGCTATATGAGAGTACTAAATCTGCCCAGATGGGACAGGAGAGATCAGAACTGAGGTATGTATTAAGCAAGACCCCAACAGACTGAATAGATAAGCTTACTTTTCTCAGTTTCAAAAATTTATTTATATACTGAAATTACTTATATGCTGAAGTTAAACGTGTTTAATTTTTAAACTATAATAAATACAGTTTAATACAGTTTAAATAATTAAATGCAGGTTGAGTATCACTTATCTGAAATGTGTGGGACCAGAAGTGTTTTGGATTTTGATTTTTTTTTTTAAATTTTGGAATAGTTTCATTATACTTATAATGAGCATTGCCTTTGAGCGGCATTTGGGTGCTCATCAAGTTTCAGATTTTGAAGCATTTAGGATTTTGGATTTTCAGATTGGGGATGCTCAACCTGCATTCATTTTTCTTAAAACTACATTTAAATATTTTAGTACATCACAGTTTATTATAAAATAACCTTGAGTATTTGTCTACATCCCTTGAGGTATTACACCAGTTTTCAACTAAGAAATCAGCAGGAATAGAAACACTGCACACAAAACCTACAAAACCTCCTATCAACAGGGAAGAGTGAACAAGAATGTATCCTGTCTGCACAGGGACAGTCGGCATGAAAAATATAGCAAGTCAAAGGGCTGGCAAGATGGCTGAATAGGAACAGCTCTGGTCTGCAGCTCCCAGCAAGATCAATGCAGAAGGTGGGTGATTTCTGCATCTCCAACTGAGGTACCTAGCTCATCTCATTAGGACTGGTTAGACAGTGGGTGCAGACCACGGAGGGCGAGCAGAAGCAGGGTTGGGCGTCGCCTCATCCGGGAAGTACAAGGAGCCAGGGAACTCCCTCCCCTAGCCAAGGGAAGCTGTGAGGGGCTATGCATTCCAGCCGAGATACTACACTTTTCCCACAGTCTTCACAACCCTCAGAACAGGAGATTCCTTCTGGTGCCTATGCCACCAGGGCCCTGGTTTCCTGCACAAAACTGGGCAGCCGTTTGGGCAGACATCGAGCTAGCTTCAGGGGTTTCTTTTCATACCCCAGTGGTGCCTGGAATGCCAGCAAGACAGAACCGTTCACTCCCCTGGAAACGGGGCTGAAGCCAGGGAGCCAAGTGGTCTACCTCAATGGATCCCACCCCCAAGGAACCCAGCAAGCTAAGATCCACTGGCTTGAAATTCTTGCAGCCAGCACAGCAGTCTGAAGTCCACCCGGGACACTCGAGCTTGGTTGGGAGAGGGGCATCTGTCATTACTGAAGCGTGAATAAGCAGTTTTCCCCTCACAGCATAAACAAAGCTGCCAGGAAGTTCGAACTGGGTGGAGCCCACTGCAGCCAGAGAAAGCCGCTGTAGCCAGACTGCATCTCTAGATTCCTCCTCTCTGGGCAGGGCATCTCTGAAAGAAAGGCAGCAGCCCCAGTCAGGGGCTTACAGATAAAACTCCCATCTCCCTGGGACAGAACACCTGGGGGAAGGGGTGGCTGTGGGTGCAGCTTCAGCAGACTTAAACATTCCTGCCTGCTGGCTCTGAATAGAGCAGTGGATCTCCCCGCACAGAGCTTGAGCTCTGCTAAGGGACAGACTGCCCCCTCAAGTGGGTCCCTGACCCCCGTGCCTCCTGACTGGGGGACAGTCAGGACCTCACACAGGAGAGCTCCAGCTGGCATCTGGCGGGTGCCCCTCTGGGACAAAGCTTCCAGAGAAAGGAACAGGCAGCAATCTTTGCTGTTCTGCAGCCTCTGCTGGTGATACCCATGCAAACAGGGTCTGGAGTGGACCTCCAGCAGACCTGTAGCAGAGGGGCCTGACTGTTAGAAGGAAAACTAACAAACAGAAAAGGGAAAACTAACAAACAGAAAAGAACAGTGTCAACATCAACAAAAAGGACATCCATACCAAAACCCCATCCAAAGGTCACCAACATCAAAGACCAAAGGTAGATAAATCCATGAAGACGGAGAGAAACCAGCTGAAAAAGGCTGAAAATTCCAAAAACCAGAACGCCTCTTCTCCTCCAAAGGATCACAACTCCTAGCCAGCAAGGAAACAAAACTGGACGGAGGATGAGTTTGATGAACTGACAGAAGTAGTCTTCAGAAGGTGGGTAATAACAAACTCCTCCAAGCTAAAGGAGCATGTTCTAACCCAATGCAAGGAAGCTAAGAACCTTGAAAAAAGGTTAGCTGAATTGATAACTAAAATAACCAGTTTAGAGAAGAATATAAATGACCTGATGGAGCTGAAAAACACAGCACGACAACTTTGTGAAGCATACACAAGTATCAATAGCCAAATCAATCAAACAGAATAAAGGATATCAGAGACTGATGTTTAACTTAATGAAATAAAGTGTGAAGACAAGATTAGAGAAAAAAGAATGAAAAGGAACGAACAAAGCCTCCAACAAATATGGGACTATGTGAAAAGACCAAGTCTATGTCTGATTGGTGTACCTGAAAGTGATGGGGAAAATGGAACCAAGTTGGAAAACACTCTTAGGGGTATTATGCAGGAAAACTTCCCCAACCCAGCAAGGCAGGCCAACATTCAAATTCAGGAAATACAGTGAACACCACGAAGATACTCCTCGAGAAGAGCGACCTCAAGACACATAATCGTCAGATTCACCAAGGTTGAAATGAAGGAAAAAATGATAAGGGCAGCCAGAGAGAAAGGTCGGGTTACCCACAAAGGGAAGCCCATCAGACTAACAGCAGATCTCTCTGCAGAAACCCTACAAGCCAGAAGAGACTGGGGGCCAATATTCAACATTCTAAGAGAGAAGATTTTTCAACCCAGAATTTCATATCCAACCAAACTAAACATCATAAGCAAAGGAGAAATAAAATCCTTTACAGACAAGCAAATGCTGAGAGATTCTGTCACCACCAGGCTTGCCTTACAAGAGCTCCTGAAGGAAGCACTAAACATGGAAAGGAACAACCAGTACCAGCAACTGCAAAAACATACCAAATTGTAAGGACCATCAACACTAGGAAGAAACTGCATAAACTAACAGGCAAAATAACCAGCTAGCATCATAATGACAGGATCAAATTCACGCATAACAATATTAACCTTAAATGTAAACGGGCTAAATGCCCCAATTAAAAGACACAGACTGGCAAATTGGATAAAGAGTCAAGACCCGGCTGGTCGCGGTGGCTCACACCTATAATCCCAACACTTTGGGAGGCAGAGGCAGGTGGATCACGAGGTCAGGAGTTCAAGACCAGCCTGGCCAACACATGGTGAAACCCTGTAACTACTAAAAATACAAAAATTAGCCGGGTGTGGTGGCAGGTGCCTGTAATCCCAGCTACTCGGGAGACTGAGGCAGGAGAATTGCTTGAAACCGGAAGGTGGAGGTTGCAATGAGAAGACATTGCGCCACTGCACTCCAGCCTGGGTGAAAGAGCAAAACTCTGTCTCAAAAAAAAGAGTCAAGACCATTGGTATGCTGTACTCAGGAGACCCATGTCATGTTCAAGGACACACATAGGCTCAAAATAAAGGGATGGGAGAAATATTTACCAAGCAAATGGAAAGCAAATAAAAGCAGGGGTTGCAATCCTAGTCTCTGATAAAACAGAGTTTAAGTCAACAAAGATCAAAAGAGACAAAGAAGGCCACTACATAATGGTAAAGGGATCAATGCAACAAGAAGAGCTAACTATCCTAAATATATATGCACACAATACAGGAGCATCCAGATTCATAAAGCAAGTCCTTAGAGACCTACAAAGAGACTTAGACTCCCACACAATAATAGTGGGAGACTTTAACATCCCACTGTCAATATGAGACAGATCAACGAGACAGAAAATCAACAAGGATATTCAGGACTTGAACTCAGCTCTGGACCAAGCAGACCTAATAGACAGCTACAGAACTCTCCACCCCAAATCAACAGAATATACACCCTTCTCAGCACCACTTCACACTTACTGTAAAACTGACCACATAATTGGAAGTAAAACACTCCTCAGCAAATGCAAAAGAATGGAAATCATATCAAACAGTCTCTCAAACCACAGTGAAATCAAATTAGAACTTAGGATTAAGAAACTCACTCAAAACCACACAACTACATGGAAACCAAACAACCTGCTCCTGAATGACTACTAGAAAAATAACGAAGTCAAGGCAGAAATAAAGATGTTCTTTGAAACCAATGAGAAAAAAGACACAATGTGCCAGAATATCTGGGACACAGCTAAAGCAGTGTTTAGAGGGAAATTTATAGCACTAAATGCCCACAAGAGAAAGCAGGAAAGATCTAAAATCGACACCCTAACATCACAATTAAAAGAACTAGAGAAGCAAGAGCGAACTAATTTGAAAGCTAGCAGAAGACAAAAAATAAGATCAGACAGAACTGAAGGAGACAGAGGCACGAAAAACCCTTCCAAAAAAATCAGTAAATCCAGGAGCTGGTTTTTAGAAAGATCAACAAAATAGATAGACCACTAGCCAGACTAATAAAGGAGAGAAGAATCAAATAGATGCAATAAAAAATGATAAAGGGGATATCACCACCGATCCCACAAAAATACAAACTACCATCAGAGAATACTATAAACACCTCTACGCAAATAAACAAGAAAATCTAAAAGAAATGGATAAATTTCTGGACACATACACTCTCCCAAGTCTATACCATGAAGAAATCGAATCCCTGAATAGAAACATTAACAAGTTCTGAAACTGAGGCAGTAATTAATAGCCTACCAACCAAAAAAAATCCAAGACAAGATGAATTCATAGCGAATTCTACCAGAGCTACAAAGAGGAACTGGTACCATTCCTTGTGAAACTATTCCAAACAAAAGAAAAAGAGGGAATCCTCCCTAACTCATTTTATGAGGACAGCATCATCCTCATACCAAAACCTGGCGGAGACACAACCAAAAAAGAAAATTTCAGGCCAATATCCCTGACGAACATCGATGTGAAAAGCTTCAATAAAATACTGGCAAACCGAATCTGGCAGCACATCAAAAAGCTTATCCATCACGATCAGGTAGGCTTCATCCCTGTGATGCAAGGCCGGTTCAACATATGCAAATCAACAAACATAATCCATCACCTAAATAGAACCAATGACAAAAACCACATGATTATCTCGATAGATGCAGAAAAGGCCTTTGACAAAATTCAATACCCCTTCATGCTAAAAACTCTCAATAAAGTAGGTATTGGTGGAACGTATCTCAAAATAATAAGAGCTATTTATGACAAACCCACAATCAATATCATACTGAATGGGCAAAAACTGGAAGCATTCCCTTTGAAAACCTGCACAAGACAAGGATGCCCTCTCTCACCACTCTTATTCGACATAGTGTTGGAAGTTCTGGCCAGGGCAATCAGGCAAGAGAAAGAAATAAAGGGTATTGAAATAGGAAGAGAGGAAGTCAAATTGTCTCTGTTTGCAGATGACATGATTGTATATTTAGAAAACACCATCGTCTCAGCCCAAAATCTCCTTAAGATGATAAGCCACTTCAGCAAAGTCTCAGAATACAAAATCAATGTGTAAAAATCATAAGCATTCCTATACACCAATAATAGACAAACAGAGAGCCAAATCATGAGAGAACTCCCATTCACAATCGCTATAAAGAGAATAAAATACCTAGGAATACAACTTACAAGGGCTGTGAAGGACCTCTTCAAGGAGAACTACGAACCATTGCTCAAGGAAATAAGAGAGGGCACAAACAAATGGAAAAACATTCCATGCTAGTGGATAGGAAGAATCAATATCGTGAAAATGGCCATACAGCCCAAAGTAACTTATAGATTCAATGCTATCCCCATCAAGCTACCATTGATTTTCTTCACAGAATTAGAAAAAACTACTGTAAATTTCATACGGAACCAAAAAAGAGCCCGCATAGCCAAGACAATTCTAAACAAAAAGAACAAAGCTGGAGGCATCATGCTAGCTGACTTCAAACTATACTACAAGGCTACAGTAACCAAAACAGCATGGTACTGGCATCAAAACAGATGTATAGACCAATGGAACAGAACACAGGCCTCAGAAATAACACCACACATCTACAGCCATCTGATTTTTGGCAAGCCTGACAAAAATAAGCAATGGAGAAATATTCCCCATTTAATAAATGGTGTTGGGAAAACTGGCTAGCCATATGCAGAAAACTGAAACTGGACCCCTTCCTTACACCTTATAAAAAATTAACTCAAGATGGATTAAAGACTTAAATGTAAGACCTAACACCATAAAAACCCTAGAAGAAAACCTAGGCAACACCATTTAGGACATAGGCATGGGCAAGGACTTCATGACTAAAACACCAAAAGCAACAGCAATGAAAGCCAAAATTGACGAATGGGATCTAATTAAACTAAAGAGCTTCTGCATAGCAAAAGAAACTATCATCAGAGTAAACAGGCAACCTACAGAATGGGAGAAAACTTTTGCAATCTATCCATCTGACGAAGGGCTAATATCCAGAATCGACAAGGAACTTAAACAAATTTACAAAAAAAACCCACAAACGACCCCATCAAAAAGTGGGCAAAGGATATGAACAGACAATTTTCAAAAGAAGACATTTATGCAGCCAAAAAACATATGAAGGAAAGTTCATCATCCCTCATCATTAGAGAAATGCAAAACAAAACCACGATGAGATACCATCCCATGCCAGTTAGAATGGCGATCATTTAAAAATCAGGAAACAATAGATACTAGAGAGGATGTGGAGAAATAGGAATGCTTTTACACTGTTGGTGGGAGTGTAAATTAGTTCAACCATTGTGGAAGACAGTGTGGCGATTCCTTAAGGATCTAGAACCAGAAATACCATCTGACCCGGCAATCCCATTACTGGGTGTATACCCAAAAGATTATAAATCATTCTACTATAAAGACACATGCACATATTATGTGTGTTGCAACCACGTTCACAATAGCAAAGACTTGGAACCAACCCAAATACCCATCAATGATAGACTGGATAAAGAAAATGTGACATATGTACACCATTGAATACTATGTAGTCATAAAAAAGGATGAGTTCATGTCCTTTGCAGGGACATGGACGAAGCTAGAAACTATCAATCTCAGTGAACTAACACAAAAACAGAAAACCAAACACCGCATGTTCTCGCTTAGAAGTGGGAGCTGAACAATGAGAACACATGGACACAGGGAGGGGAACATCACACACCATGGCCTGTCGGGGGGTAGGGGGTTAGGGAAGGAATAGCATTAGGAGAAATACCTAATGTAGATGACGGGTTGATGGGTGCAGCAAACCACCATGGCACATGTGTACCTATGTAACAAACCCGCACATTCTGCACATGTATCCCAGAACTTAGAGTAAAATTAAAAAAATAAATAAGAAAAATATAGCATGTCTCCATGAGGATGTTGAGATTTAAAAGACAAAAATAATACATAAACAGCAAAATATGAATAAATAAAATTATTTTCCTCCAGATGAGTGTAATACCAAGCCTGAAAGTAAAATATGAAAAAGGAAGGCTCAATTAACAGCAACAGAATGTGAGTCTTTTAGCAGTGGTTACTCTGCTTACATGAAGTACTATTATTAATAATATTAAATGTAATCCTTTCCAGATGAGAAGAGTCTGTTTGTAACTTGAGTGCTTTTTTCAATAATTATAACTTTTAAAAAGCTAGATATTAACCTTAGACTTCTTTTCATTTCTTTAAAACTGGTATGGAGTTAACGTTCCTGGAACTAGCCAGAGGGCTGGGAAAGTAGTAAGCTGTCTCCATGGTAACAGGCTGCTCTGCCATGCAGGGATCATTTCACATGTTCCTTGTAACCCAGAGACCACATGGAGGGGAGAAGCAAGATCCCCATTTTGGATTTTCAGGGTCACCATTAAAAATGAGTTTCAGTAGGATCGTATTTTTATAAGAATGCTGAATGGGGGGCATCTGTCATGAATATGTAAAAATTACCTATGCTTATTTTTTTTTCTCTTCTTCAGTCTGCCAGTGACCATCAGGCATGGGCTCTGATGGAAGCCTGGTGGTGATAAGGTCATCCACAGATCTCATTATGCTGTGAGCTACAGCCGACGTGATTATAAAATTCTGAGGTGGAATCCTGAGAGACAGGAGGGCTGAGCCAAAACCCTTCATGGGGTTGTGCTGCAAGGAGTGCCTGCCGTCCAGCAGGGCCTTGGCGAGCATAAGCAGGACACCTGAGCTGTGATAAATGTCCTGGTGATGACCAGAATCTGCCTGTGCTTGGGTAAGGGAGAGGCTACCCCGAGGAGCTGGAAACAAAGACATGGAAGCTAGGTAACCTGACGCTAGGCACTCTCACATCCTGGAATGAGGGAGTCTTCACTGAGCCTATTTCTTTAAGGGAAATGTTTTCATTCTGCTTTGCTTAAAACATACTCCCAGCTGAAGAGAGGAGTATGAAAATGCCCTCATCTTGTCTTACCATGTTCACCTTTTCGAGAGGCATTAACATTTGGCCCACTACAGAGACTGTTTGGATAACTAAAGAGCATGCTTTAGTAGAAGGGCCCTTGGTTAGGAGAGCAAAGGCATGGCTATACCTGCCTTGCACTGCCTCATCTAGACCAAGGGGCTGTAAGGATTCAGTGAGAAATCCAAGTAAATGCTTAAAAGGGTGTGAAGTGCATAGCAAGCATCTCATATCTGTTAACTGCTATATTTACTACTGTTAATGTTACTAGTATTGCTCATATTAAAAATTATAATTTACTTGTGGGTGCCTTAAGTTTATGGTTTTTGCTTTCCACAAAAAACACACAATAGAATCTGAGCTCAAAGGCCTTGTGGGGAAAATCTCAAGTCAATCTTTATAAATACTGAGATGAAACCACTGAGATGCTTAAAGGAATTATCTGAAGGGTATACAGATACTTTAGCCTTTATTTTGAGTAAACTAGAGTGGACCCTTGAATAATGCCAGGGGTTAAAGACCCTGACCCTCCACCCCATGCAGTTGAAAATCTGAGTAGAACTTTTGACTGCCCTAAAACTTTAACAAATAGCCTCCTGTTGACTGGAAGCCTTGCTGATAACAACACAAATTTTGTGTGTTAGATGTATGATACACTCTACTCTTACAATAAAGTAAGTTAGAGACAAGAAAATGTTATTAAGAAAATCCCAGGCTGGTGCGGTGGCTCATGCCTGTAATCCCAGCACTTTGGGAGGCTGAGGCAGGCAAACTGCCTGAGCTTAGGAGTTTGAGACCAGCCTGGGCAACACGGTGAAACTCTGTCACTACTAGAAACACAAAAAGTTAGCCAGGTGTGGCGGCATGCGCCTGTAGTCTCAGCTACTTGGGAGGCTCGGGAAGGAGAACTGCTTGAATCTGGGAGGCGGAGGTTGCAGTGAGCTGAGATCACGCCACCACACTCCAGCCTGGGTAACACAGCGAGACTTTGTCTCCGCCCCCCTGCCCCCCAAAAAAGAGAAAATATATTTACTATTCATTAAGTGGAAGTGGATCATCATAAAGGTCTTCATTCTCATCATCTTACTCTGAGTAGGCTGAGGAAGAGGAGGAGGAGGAAGAGGAAGAGAGGTTGGTCTTGTTGTCTGAGGGGTGGCAGAGGCAGAAGAAAATATAAGTGGACCTGAGCAGTTCAAACCTGTGTTATTCAAGGGCCAACTGTATTTAATAGAAAGTCTGCTACTGAATCCTGCTAATGTATGAGAAGGACAGAAATCATACTGCATGTGTATAAAGGATACAATTTTCTAGAAAATGCCAAATGGCAAAAATATGTTTTCAAAGTAAGCAATAGTTTTGATGCCATTTTACTTCCATGAAATGCTTTCTTCTAAAACATGATCTCCTGATCAAAAATAAATAAGAGCTATGTGAGCTTTTACAATAACTAACTCAGAAGTAAAACCTGTCATCAGTGCCTCTGTACAATAGCTTTTTCTCAAAATGTCTGTATCCTATCATTATGAAGTTGGAGTGTTTACAGTGTTCCCCCAATGGATGTCTTTTCAAATTGCCATAATTATTTTGATGCTAATTTTGATCTTAATCCATTTATCACACCAAATCAAATAATCCTGAAGTAAAATGATGTCTGCTAATAGGGAAGAAGTGACAAGGGAGGGAAAAAGCCCTTGGGTGTAGAAGGTAATGCCTGTGAGATCAGATTCTATTACATCTTTTTGTGGAAAGCAAAACCCACAAAACCAAGGCACCCACAAGTAAATTAAACCACAAAACTAGATTAGAGTGAATCTGACACCATTTGTTTTAAGCACTATAGCAGAGGGAAAGCAGCAGTGAAATAGAAGCATCAAACATCTACATAAAGATCCCCAATTCAAATGACAAGGTTGATAGAGAGTGCTAATTTTCACAGAACTGCAGAAATTACAGCTTAGCCACAGATGACCTTCAAGTGAAGAAATACTTTATGATCCATATACACTAAAGTTCACCAATTCATGTGGCTGATGCAAAAATGTGCCTCCGATAGGCAGCATTAAGACCATAGAGTTGATGTGAAATAAAACCATTCATCTGTGAAGGTTTTTACTTTAGCCTCTCCTGCCCTTTGTTGGACCATTTGATTGTCATCTTAAAACGTCAAAGCTTTATTGCAGAGTTTTTACCACTGCTAAAGGAATATTCATGGCACTAGTCTCTTATCCTGTCAAAGGCAGTATTTATATACATGAGAATATAAAACTCTTGTAACAAGGAAAAATGTCACAGATTTACAAAGGATCAAGTTTACAAGGCAGCAAGTTGGTGTACATGTTGCACCCCATGAGCCCTCTGATCAAAAAGCTAGTATTAAAAGCAGAGAAGTCTGTCCTTGATAGTTTTTGGACAGAATATCACTTGGTCTTGGAATGCAGTTAGAACTCCTCCACCCTCTTTTCACTCTAAGGACACTGCTGAACCCAAGATGAAGGTGCAACTCTCAAGTGCGGCTCCATTTCCTTGTAACTTCTACACAAATTCTAGTGTGTGCCATCAACTGAAATCATAGAACTTTCTAAAGTTTGGGGAATGAGAGAAATATAATTTGGTTTGTTAAATAAGTATTCATATTCATAGCATCCCATAAAAAGAAGCATATACAATCCTTCTACTCAAATCTCTTCCAAGAATGAAGATAACACAGACAATGTATTATAGAGAAAGAAACACATTTCGTTGAATTCAGAATTCTGTCTAGAAATGTTATTTTACTGCAGGAGTTTTAAACTAGATATATGACTTGAAGCGTCATTTGGAACTGGGAATTCATCAAGTCAGTAAAATAATGAAGACATTTATGGAGAGACTTGGGTAAGAGGGAAGACTCACTGAATATATATATGAATGAAGCAAAATAAAGTTCAATGGAGAAACTAAAATTGTGATTGTCCTTTAAAATTAATTGTAGAATATTTATAATCCTAGCATACTACAACAGGTGTAAAATAAATACATTTTGATAGTCTGTGTGTTACTTAAAACTACTATCAAAATAAATTTTTTTCTTTTAATTACATTTTAGCAACATTTACTGGGCCCCTCTTATAAGCCAGTCAAGTGGGAACCAGGTATCAGGTATTGAGTTGAGGTCCTAGAGAGTTTTACTTCTGGGGAAGCCTCTTGGATTCACCCAACAGATAACATTTTTGAAAGTTACAAATTAGTTTTGTAAGACCAATTTACTTTCCCATTGATAATTTACTCATGTTTATATTAGTTCAATTGATTTTTAAACTGGGCACTGGCCCCTAAAGGTTAAAGTTTAGAATGTAATAAAAACTTTGAGGATCAGTAATCTTCAAAGTATTTTCTTACTACAGAAGCTTTCTTTAAAGACAATGTGGAACATTGGTATGCAAAATAGATGAATGCAGAGTGGTTTTGGCTAAAGGAGAGACCCAAATCTCAATCCCCATCAGCCTTGAAACCACTAATACTCCAGGGAACAGGGTTTGAAAATCACTGCTGGAGTTCAATTCATTCATTCTGCCGATGAGCCAATGAGGAGATGGCCCCAGAGAGAGAGGTCAAGTTTTGGAGTTGTGATGGCGAATGAGGCAGAGGAGCTTGTATCCTGGCTTTTCCAGTTATGACCCATGTAGCTTTGAGAGGTCCCTTTTCTCTGATGCTCTGTTGCCTCATCTATGAAGCTGATATAACAGTTTACTCCACCCCTCCAGGCCGCTGAAGTGAAAGTGCTTGTGAAATGTATATGCCTATTCAAAAAGCAAATTGCTACAGCTGCTGCTCTAACAGAAGCCTTAAATCAGAGAACTGGAAGCGAAGCCCACCGATCTAAGTCACAGACAGATAGGTGACCTCTCCAGGGCTCTAGATAAGGTAGAAGGTGACGCACAGCGCTGGTTTCTTTGGCACTACTACATGGTAAACACCCCTGAGGAGGAATCTTGGTTGGCATCTGCAGCAAGTTCTTTTGTTCAGAGAAACCTTCAGAAAATCTAATGTGCTGAAAAAACATGACTTCTAAATAGTAGGAAAATATTTACCTCCGAAGTCTGTGAAGCACCTGGCACCTAAAGCACACTGGACACTTGGCAAGACTGTTTAGAGGCACAGATCTGCAACCAGACGGTGTATGGTGTGAGCTCAGATCTAGCCCCATGATCACGTGCTATGTGTCCCATCAACTATCTGTTGTGAGAATGAAGGGAGATGATGCACTAAAGGGCTGAAGTGCCTGGTGAATGCCAAACAAAATACCAGCTCCACTGTCCTCACCTTGTGCAATATCACATAAGTCAGTCATGACAGTACGGAGCTATTAGCCCATTAACATTCCTTTGTCTTTACTGGGGGAAATATACCTCTATTGAAATGGACCCTTAAAGCATCACCATCCATCACTGACAAGTGAGGGGACTGGGAACTTTGCAAAGGTGGCAGTTTGTAGAGTATTTTACATATGAGAGCAATATTGCACAAATTTACAACAGAAGTAGCACTCTCTGTGGAATGTCCTAAGAAGTGCACAGTGGTCCTATTTATGCGTAACGTTAAGTGCCAATAAAGAGGTGACTTCTCAGTATGAGACTTAAGAACACTTCAGGTAGCACTTCAAAGCCAGGTTTCAGTCGTCTGAAAAACAAGATACTGACTGAATGAAAGGGTCTAATAATCATAAAATGGTTTTAAACATAGTGGAGTTTAAAATTAATAAGATACTATAAACATGTATAACATGAAGTATTATTAATAAAATATAATAAGAAATTCAAAATTGTTGCAGATTTGGCATAAAATGTCTTCAAGCGATCTCTTAATTTCCTGTTTCTTAATGGTAGATTTAAAGTCATATATTCATATAATTTTTTCTTTATTATACTTAGCATCTTAATCTAATGTGTAGTGACCAAAGACTGCTAAAAGTAAGAGAGATGCTCTCAAAGGCTCCAAATGAGGCAATTTACTTTGGCTTAACCCTCTTGGAGACTACCTTAGAAGAGCTGCAGATTCGGTTATGAACATGACCACTGTACATAGGTGATGAACACAGCGTTAATTTCATTTTAGCCACATTTATTAGGCCCCTCCTATAAGCCAGTCAAGTGAGAACCAGGTATCAGGTATTGAGTTGAGGTCGTAAGGAGTTTTACTTCTGGGGAAGTTGGCTTCACCAATCAGAAAACATTTTGGAAAGTTACAAATTAATTTTGTAAGCTAAATCATACTTTCCCATTGATAATTTACTCAGGTTTATATTAATTCCATTGATTTTTTAATTGAGCACTGGCCCCTAAAGGCTAGAGCTCCGTGTGTGAATGGCCAGTGCCCAAGAACTGCAGTGGGGGATAAACCACCCCGCAAAAACTTCATATGCAGCACACTTCATAACAGGGTCATCTGTGGGGGGTTCAAAGTAGAGAAAATAGATATCTGGTGGAGAAGAAAGTGAACATGATCTTAAAATGTTTCATAAATCAATGTGCCAGAGGTATTCCAGCATTCCTTATACTCTAAAAATGAATGTGAAACTTTTTCAGGCCCAAGTTCAATACAAACATCTCTCTGGCTCATAGGCCAATGGTCAAAATCTTAAATTAAATCTAGAAGTGTATCAACTTTTTGTTTGTTTTCTTGAGACAGAGTCTCGTTCTGTCACCCAGGCTGGAGTGCAGTGGTGCGATCTCGGCTCACTGCAACTTCCATCTTCCGGGTTCAAGCAATTCTCCTGCCTCAGCCTCCCGAGTGGCTGGGATTACAGGCACCCGCCACCACATCTGGCTAATTTTTATATTTTTAGTAGAGATGGGGTTTCACCATATTGGCCAGGCTAGTCTTTAACTTCTGACCTCAAGTAATCTGCCTGCCCCGGACTCCTGAAGGGCTGGGATTATAGGTGTGGGCCACCATGCCTGCCTACATGTGCATCAGCTTTACAAGACTCTTCAGTTGATTAAAGGAAGGGGGCATGACCCCCACAAAAAGTAATTTCTTCCCTTTACCAATACAGCATGGAATGCTGAATCACAAATACAACTAGGAGAGTAAATGAAAACGAAGCCTGCTTTTTCTCCTGTTTTTGATGCCAATTGCCAGGTTCAGAGAGTGATGCGTCAATCCCTACTCTGACTGCCCTAGCATCCTGTGCCTCGGTGTAGCCACTCTAACACCCTCTGTAAAAACAGTGTCCAGAGGGAAAGTCCTGGGAGGTGCAGGGTGCAACCTACTCCTTGTACTATGCTTAGAAACCAATGCCACTCGGTGGGGACATTTACCATCATTTCCTTGGTAATGATCCATAAAATCCCTGCTGGCACCTGACAGCAGCCTCTAGGGACATAATCCCCATGAATAGGTAAAGAGTGAAGCTTCACAACCCATTCTATCTGGGGATGGAGAGTTTAAGGTGTACATGGTGGTAAGACTTCCAGTGAAAAATCATGTTTAAAAAACGGAGATTTCACCAGGCACGGTGGCTCATGCCTATAATCCCAGCACTTTGAGCGCCTGAGGTGGGAGCATCACACGGTCAAGAGATCGAGACCATCCTGGCTAACATGGTGAAACCCTGTCTCTACTAAAAATACAAAAATTAGCTGGGCATGGTGGCGAGTGCCTGTAGTCCCAGCTACTTGGCAGGCTGAGGCAGGAGAATTGCTTGAACCAGGGAGGCGGAGGCTGCAGTGAGCCAAGATCACACCACTGCACTCCAGCCTGGTGACAGAGTGAGACTCCGTCTCAAAAAAAAAAAAAAAGGAAAATGGAGATTCAAGTCCACTGCTGGAAGGAAGGAAAACATAGAGAATTTTATAGAACCACATAAATTAGAAATGAAATTAAAATCAAACACTACTTATAGGCCAACAATCACTAGAATGATGCTTGAAAATATTATAGTTCATCTTCTCTTTAGCGAGGTGTACACCATCCATACCTTCTACTGACTCATTTTTTCCTCCACTATATATGATTCAGATGGCAGCCAGCAAGGTCTTGGTCATAAGCACAATTCAGTAGCCTGCTGACCTCAGGAAAGACAGCCTTGTAACTTCTGAAGATACACAGGACAGACCACTAATATGGTGAGCTAGTTTGAACCAAAGATTCAAATACACACAGTTCTGTGGTGGATTCTCTCATATGCCATTGATCCGGATCAACCAGGAGTTAGCCGTACTCTCCTATGTACCCAGAGCTTCAGTTCTGCCTAAAATTCATCATTTTCTTGGATCTCCTCACATTTTCTTCACTTCCAACTCCAGCACTACTAGTTACTGTTCTTCTTAGGATGATTTTTCAAATATAGAGTGTTTATCCCTTTACAAGAATGTCAGTGTCTCAAGGTGGGAAAGGTTCTTAATCCCCATTTCACCCCCAGGCAAACTAGACACTGGATACGTAATTTTTAATGGAACAGCAAATGATGAGAGAATTAACATACAGAACACGAAGCCCAGGGGAGGCGTGGATGGTGGGAGTGGCCTGCATTCTGTATTCTTCATTGGCCCTGGAGTGTGGGCTTTTAAAGGTGCCACTTCCCCGAAATAGCGGAATTAACACAAGTAGTGAACGTGGAGACAATCACAAATAATTGAATCTCTGAATATTGAATCTGTGAGTCCACAGGGAACAATCAATTTGAGCAAAATTTAAAAAATGAATAAATAAACTATGTAATCTGAATTCTAGAAACAAAACCCTATTTTAAACGCAGTTGAGGAGACCAAATTCAAGCAGCCTTTGAATAAAGCTAATTACGCCTTGATTATTCCTTACTTTGACTAGTTTAAAGTTTCACCCAAGTTCTTACCATTCTGCACCATAATGTTCAACTACAACTAAACATAAATAACCCAGTTTCTTCTGTTTCTTCTCCTCTTTTGTTTCTGACTTCATTTTTGCCTTTCTTTCTCCAGCAATAGACTGTGTCTCCCCTCTTTCAGTGAAATAGCGCTTCCAGCCCTGCTAAGCCCTGTGCTGTTGTGTCTTATATCTGAAGATGTTGCTGTCAGAGCTTGTGAGAGGCAGTGAGCAAAAAGATAGATGAGCAACGTACAGTGACTTTCCTTCATATGTACAAAAAACTTCAGTCTATTAAATTCCACAAACATCTCCTTAATTTTTTTTTTTTTTTTTAAGAATCAGGGTCTTGCTCTGTGTCACTCAGGCTGGAGCACAGTGGCATGATCATAGCTCACTGAAGCCACAAACTCCTAGGCTCAAGTGATCCTTTCGCCTCAGGCTCCCAAGTAGCTGGGACCACAGGTGTGTGCAACCATGCTCATTTAAAAAAAAAAAAAACAAAAAAAAACAAAAATGGAGATGGGGGTCTCACATCTACCAATGAGGAGATGTGTTGCCCACGCTGATCTCGACTTCCTGGGCTCAAATGATCCTCCCACCTCAGCCTCCCAAAGCACTGGGATTACAGGTATGAGCCACTGTGCCCAGCCCCACAAACATTTCTTTATCCTCTGTAGTTTGCTATATTCTGTGCTCGATTCTACAGATTCAGAGTTAAAACATAATTCTTACCCCCAACTTGCTTATAGTCTATTAGAGAGAGACAGAAAAATTTTACTGTAACTTAAATCAGATTTTCACAAGTGCCTTTAATGTCCTCATAGACTAAAGAATGTACATGACTATGTGCTCACAGTCATAAGGAACTCTGAGGACATAGAATGTAAATGATGAATAAATGGTGATTAAAGGATAAGAAGCCAACATGGGAGGGAGAATCTGAACTGGTTCTTCACAGTTTAGACTGAGTTCCTCCTTCTTCTGCTGTCAGTGGGGCTGCTTTGCCTTCTAGAGGAGATGCAGTTATTTTCCCCTAGATGGTTTGTCTCTACATGCCCATTAAGACGTCACTCTACTATAGGCAGTTAAGAACTGACAATAGCTTTCCATTCTGTGTTGTTGATGAAAATTTTTATTTTCACAAAGGCTTCCTGGGTGGGTAAATCACTTCATTCCTCTTCAGGAAGTGAATCAGTCCATAGAATAGCGCTGATGCTGCAAAGCCATCTACAATCTCCTCTAGGATTTCAACCCTAGCCCATGTGCTCGCAGCTCCCTGTACAGAAGAGTTGGGAGGGCAAGGCTTATTTATTCATCCCCTTGAGCATCTAAGAGCCTAGGTTCTTTGATGAAGGCAAAAGTTTTAAATAAATTGATCATACAATTTAAGAGATAACACATAAACCCTCACAGACAGCAAAGAATAATTCCAAGACTACTTATAAATAAATGCACATGGTATACATTAAATTGTGAAGAAATTTGTTGCATGAATTATGAATTTGTTGAATGAATAAATGGCAAAAATTCTTAGATTCTAAGAAAAAAAAAACCCATTGCTTTTAAAGGAAAAAGTAACTTTTGAAACGGGCACTAAAGGAACTCTTGGACTTTAAGAGAGTGGAATGGATAGGGGATTTCGGGCAAGACGCAGCCCACAAGCTCTGAGGAACCAGGTGTGTAGGGAACATGAGCAGAATAACAGACGCTGACTTTGAGTAAGCAGAAGAGCCCAGATGAGAGGTGGCTTTGGAATTTAAATTTAGTAGACAGATAACTGGGAGAAACAACGTTTCAGAGCAGGGAAGTAACAGGATGAAAACTGTAAAAGAATTTTCTGGCCAGGTATGGTGGCTCACGCCTATAATCCCAGCAATTTGGGAGGCTGAGGTGGGCAGATCACTTGAGGTCAGGAGTTCGAGACCAGCGTATCCAATATGGCGAAGCCCTGTCTTTATCAAAAATATAAAAATTAGCCAGGCATGGTAGCACACGCCTGCAATCCTAGCTACTTGGGAGGCTGAGGCAGGAGAATCGCATGAAACTGGGATGCAGAGGTTGGAGTAAGCTGAGGTTGTGCCACTGCACTCCAGCCTGGGCAACAGAGCCAGACTGTGTCTCAAAAAATAAAAATAAGAAAAAGAATTTTCTGCCTCTTACATGGACTGGTGTGGGAGCAGAAACTAGAGGCAGGTGACCAGCACAGGGCTAAGTCAGTAATGGGGTTGTTTGGTGATGAAGAGGGCTGTGCTGAGGCATGAGCCCTCGAGGAGGAGTCAGCAGGGCTCAACACCTGAACAGGCAGGCATAGTAAGGGACAGTCACTTGAGAGGCTTCTTCCCAGAGGAAAGGTCTCCACTGACTGTCATGGTGAGTGAAAGCTGTCTCTTTTTGACCAAGGATGATGTGGAGCTTGGTTTTAAATGTATCATAGAGAACTAGACCCATAGGACTCAAGTAAAGGCAAAACATAAGTATTTCAGGAACATGAAGGGCCAGTGCTCTGTGAAGCTCTGCCTAAAGACCATGCAAGGAGAGGGCAGCATTGCTCCCCTGGTGAATAGGAGGAATTTCCAGAAGAAATGCAGATTAGGAATATATTTAGGTTTTTGGTCGCATCTCTGAACATAGATACACACACATGATACCAGAATTGAATATTTAGCATTCTTTTATCCTATGCTATGGAAGAGGGAAACCTGTGTGGAGAGGACACTCCAGTGCTCACTAAACACAGGGTCCTGGCAAGCATCACATCTCTCTGAACTTCTCTGAGTACTCAGAATGCATGAGTGCTTTCTGCGTCCACACCTAGAGATGGTAGCACATGATTTACAGGTTGAAAAGAAAGTGAGAAGGTCTGGAAACTCTAGGTTTTCTCCTGGCACAACTGCAATCACTGTTTAAATCTCCTCTCTTTCACCTGTGTCCTCCTAACAGTCTCTTTCCCTCTTTGTATGACCTTTTTGGCCTCTTTCCTACTCTAGCTGATTGAAGATTTTCATGGTTTCTACAGATCATTCTAATATTCCACCAGACATTTATGTTTCCTTGTAACCTTTCCATTCTACTTTCCCCATTGTCCGACTTCCCTCAACCGACTTTCCTGTTGCATGTATGACCCTGATATTGTAAAGCAATTAACTGGTGTGCAAGGGCTGGATAGAGGTTTGATAGAAGAGCCTTGGGTAGACTTGGGCTTTATACCCAGTGTATGTCTAACCACATGGTTGCCCTTTGGTCTGAAGTTTAGCCTCTGATACCCATATTACATATATCCCATATCTACATACTGAAGATTCTAATGCTTCTCTGAAGGGCAAGTGAAAACTGCACATAACGTCTCCAGCACAGGGCCACAGGGCAGTCCTTCTACAGTCCATGGTCATAACTGTAGCCCATCCTTCCTCTCTGCTGATCTTTGTAAGAAAACAGTGACTACATTTACAATTACACAATTTCTATTATAACAGCCACTAATAAACTATGCAGGTAGTAACACAGAATCTGTCTTACATTTGATTTAAAAAATTTTAATATGTCAAATTACTCTTTTTTTTTTTAAAGATAGGGTCTTGGCTCTGTCACTTAGGCTGGAGTGCAGTGGCATGATCGTAGCTCACTGCAGCCTCAAACTCCTGGGATGAAGCAATCCTCCCACCTCAGCCTCCCGTGCAGCTGGAACTACAGGCGCATGCCACAACACCTGGCTAATTTAAAAAATTTTTTTTTGTAGAGACAGGGTCTCACAGTGTTGCTCAGGCTGGTCTTGACCTCCTGGTCTGAAGCGATCTTCCTAACTCAGCCTCCAAAAGTGCTGCGATTACAAGCGTAAGCCACCAACACCCTACTGCCAATTTGATAATTTAAATTCCAATCAATAATTTTTTGAACTTCACAATAAGTGTGTGTTAAATCCTCAAAAATAGAATTATACTTCCTTCTGAGTATGAGGGAGACTATCCCTAGATCTACCCTTAGAGAAGTGTATACAATTTTTGTGAATAAGTAAAAGAAAACATCTAAAATCCCTGCTTCTTTTCCCAGAGAATGCCCTTTCCTCCTCCTCTTTTTAAAAAAGCAGAAAGCAAGCCTGGCTCCCGGCACAGTGGGTCTCACTGTCGTGCCGACTCTCCTGATTCCTGAGAAGACCTTGCTCAAGGTCAGCTGAGATGGCCTCAGAGGAGCCACACCTGACTGTACTGCTGGAATCTGATCTCTGAGTCATTCTCTTGGCAAACAGCTGATCTGGGGAGAGGCAAAAGTCAGGGGTGCTGGCATGAGAGGATGATGAGTCATTGACAAGGTACAAACCTCTCATTCTGGAGGACCAGCTTTAGGAAACACCGAGTTGGAAAAAAAAGGTGTCTGGGGAAAACCAGCAAGCATTTTTGGTGAGGCCCATTTAACATGCAAAATAAATGCACGAGGGTTGTTGTTGTTCTGAGCAATTTCTCAAGTATCTAGCACGCACCATATTAAAAAGGCAAAAATCTGGCCGGGCGCGGTGGCTCACACCTGTAATCCCAGCACATTGGGAGGCTGAGGCGGGCGGATCACGAGGTCAGGAGATCCAGACCATCCTGGCTAACATGGTGAAACCCCGTCTCTACTAAAAATACAAAAAATTAGCCGGGCGTGGTGGCGGGTGCCTGTAGTCCCAGCTACTTGGGAGGCTGAGGCAGGAGAATGGCGTGAACCTGGAAGGCGGAGCTTGCAGTGAGCCGAGATCGCACCACTGCACTCCAGCCTGGGTGACAGAGCCAGACTCTGTCTCAAAAAAAAAAAAAAAAAAAAAGGCAAAAATCTGGAGAGAAGTTTTGAAAAAGGAAACCTTCAAGGAGAAACTGACTTTATCAATTACTTAAGTTTGAATAAGATAACAAGAAACAAAAAACAAAGGAAGTCTTCAAGCTTATTTCCTGAAATTGTAATTACATGCATAATGCATAGAAATTGGTGTTTGTGTATTCCTTTAAAAATGACTTACATATATACACTACTCAGGACGTTTCATATTCTAGGATGAACAAACTCCAAAAGGTTTGACCAAAAGAACATTACAATATCATTTTATTTCATGACTTCATTTGCCTTTTAGTTTCCTTAAACAAGGAGCCACTTTTAAAAAGACCCAGTGTGTTCTCTAAAAACAAAGTAATCTTAAACTCACATATTGAGAGCAGTGAAAATTTAATGGCGATAATAATGCATATGAATTCATAAGGCTGCTTATCTGTAATTTAAGAATCTAGGAAAGAAAAATGTTTTAATAAACTTTAAATGCAATAATAACCTGAAAGTTAAAAACATTTGGATACAGATAAGAAACAAATTATGCTTTTCAAAACATTCTTTAAAGCACTTTTAAAAATGTTTCAATCTATTTATGGGAAAACTGATATAAAAAACAACTCCAAGTAACTTGCACACATTGACTTAAGGTTATTTAAGAATTAGGTATCGGGGTTAGGATTTACGCCTGCAACCCAACTGACACTGTGTTGGTAAGTCACATGGCTAAGTTCTTTCTAACTTTCCTGATCTAGGTAAATAATAGTACTGATAAAGCTCAAGCCAGTTACTTATGCCTGTGAAGGTAACTCACTGTCTTCTCTGGATGGTTTGCCTTGATGGGGGGAGGGACCTACCCCTTCTTGTGTACCTAGGCTATATCAGGTATCTCCATTGCTCTGTCTTGTTACTTTCCCTATACCCCCACTGCCTTGCTGTTCTTCTTACTTGGCATATGAGAAACTGAGGCTCACAGAAATAAAGCAAACCATCCCAGTCCATCCAACTGGTTACTAAGCAGACGAGCTGAGGTGAAGGCCAGGTCTACTCAACTCTGTAGTTCTTCCCTGGCCACTAGGGCTGCAAACTCAACTGCAGTCAGCAGCCATCCTGGTGAGCAGATCATCACGCAGCCACATACAAGAGAGAGGAGGGGTGGTGGGATCACAAGAGGGAGCAACATGTCCTGGCTTGCTCTGACTTCCCAGTTCTAGCACTGCAAGTCCCATGTCCTAGGAAACCCCTCAGCTCTCTAGGATGGTGCAGAATGAAAAGCATGGGCCTGTTGGAAAGTATTCCCCACTAAGTACACCTGCACTCGGGTACAGTTCTACAACCTCAGCTCCGCAAGTGCTGGCGATGGCAGATGCAAACCTCCTTCCAGCCAACAGGAGCCCCCGGCTTTCGTATCAGAGCTTCTTATATCTGAGATAAGAAGATAAGTAAGATGGCGATAAGAGTGAGAGACTTCAGGTTATAGCACTGAGGGGTGTTGTTGGCTTTCTCTTTAATTCCTGTTTCTACATATTGCAGAATTCTGTCTGGCACAGGTTGATTCTTATTTGTCAGCCTAAGTTAGATTCTTAGGTTCTAGAAAAGAGATCATATCACCCGACAACATCCTGCATAATGCAGTAATAATAAATTACAAAATACATGGCTTACTATATAAGCAAGAGTACATTACAAATGGATGCTAGAAAGGAAGCTAGAGGAAGGCTGTCAATCAAATCCAAGCATGGGGCCACTCAGAATGTGGGCACTGAGGCTGAGGCTCTGTTCTCCTGAGGGTTGCTCTTTACACTCTTCAACTCATGGTGGAAATGAGGTAACTGGAGAGCTTCTTTATTTTCCTAAACATTTCTAACCTCCTCATTTGGTGTTATTGAGCTCTCAGTCCCTCCATAAAAGAGGGAATCATCTGTACTTTGACCCCACCATTCTTCCACTTCCTTAGCTCTTTCCTGGAAGATGGTCTGGCTGTAGGAAGAGACCTGGAAAAAATGTTCCCAGGCTCTCCATCAGCTGTGGGGACCAGAAAGGAGTCCTGGGAGTGGTGGGGACGTGGGGAAAAGCACCCTGCCATTCCCAGGCCTGCTGGTCGGCCATCCTCCAAAGATGCTCCACCTCCTCAGTCTCAGTTCCTGGACTGGAATTTAAGTTCTGCTCTCTTGACCCTGCCTCCCTTAAGGGGCCAGCCTGCAAAGATCTCTGCGGGTCACCCACTCCCAGTGCCCTTGCTGCTGACCCTGCACCACCATCTCATTCCCCGAGCACAGAGAGTAAACTTCTGACCAGGCCAGGTGGCTCATGCCTGTAAACCCAACACTTTGCAACGGCGAGGTGGAAGGACTGCTTGAAGCCAGGAGTTAATATCAGCCTGGGCAACATAGTGAGACCCCATCTCTATGAAAAAATTTTTAAAAATTAGCCAGGCATGGTGGTGCACATTCATAGGCTTAATTACGCAGGAGGTGGAGGCAGCAGGATCACTTGACCCCAGGAGTTCAAGGCTGCAATGAGCAACACACCACTGCCCTCCAGCCTGGGCAACAGGGCAAAACCCCATCATTGACAAAAAATAAAATTTTCTTTAAAACACAGAGGACTTCTAAACTCCTGGGAGATTACCTGATAAATAGCACACAGCATTTAACAAACTAATAACTAGCTGATATGTAGAAGGTGTATCATGAAACCCCTTGGAACGGCAAACAGCCATCACCGATACTTTGGTCCTGGCAAGGACCTCAAAAGGTGGGGATTTTATTTTATTTTATTTTTTAAATATTTATTTATTTATTTATTGCCAGACAGCAAAATATCTGAAACCTCAGCTTCTTTGTCTTAGTGCAATAATGACACAGGTTTTCGTAGAGAATCAATATCTCCTTCTCAGAATGGATCAAAGCAAAGCAATATGCTTACCTGAGAGGGGAATGAGTATTTTATGGATGGTAGGCAGAGGTCACAGGAATGCTGTCCTTTCTTAAAATGCTCTCTGCAGCAGGAAATTGCTAAAAATCAAAGGAAGAAAAGATTGTTATTGCCTTTTTATTTGATAAAAATAGGCAAGCTATTAAATACATTTAGCAACAGACAGTGGTAATTCTTTTAAAAATTAGTCAATACAGGCTGGGTGCAGTGGCTCACGCTTGTCATCCCAGCACTTTGGGAGGCCGAGGGGGGCAGATCACTTGAGGGCAGCAGTTGGAAACCAGCCTGCCCAACATGATGAAACCCTGTATCTACAAAACACACACACACACACACACAAAAAAAAAAAAAAGCAAAAATTAGTTCAGTGTGGTGGTGCTACTCGGGAGGCTGAGGCACAAGAATCACTTGAACCTGGGAGGTGGAGGTTTCCGTGAGCTGAGATCATGTCACTGCACTCCAGCCTGGGTGACAGAGCGAGACTCTGTCTCAAAAATAATAAAAATAGAAACTGATCAATATATTAAAAAAAAAAGACAGCAAACATGTCAGTACACCAAAATGCATTAGTTTTTACAACTTCATTTGGAAACTATTTTGTTTACTTCAACTATTGTTTCTTTTTTAAAACAGACATTTAACCATGGATAGCAATTATGCAGAAAGAAGAATATAGTATCAAGTTGTGATGAGTTGCATAAATAACATTTTATGTGGCATCATATCTTACTTCCAGGGCTGTGAAAGAGTGATAAGAGTTTAAAGGGGCCTCAGAGTCCCTGGTACACACTCCCCATCTACAGAACCAGAAACTGAGGCCCATTCAAGGTGAGGGGCTCCGCAGCACCACTCCGGCTGGCTGGGGCAAAGCTCTTGATTGCCCCAGGAGCACCGTTCATCTGCACTGTAGCACCCCCATGCCGGGAATCATTAATTCTCTCATTCATTCAACAGGTACTGGCTGAACACTTTCTATGGACCAAGTACTATTCAAGGCTCTGGGGGTTAAGACGAAAAACCTCTGATCTCATGGAGTTTATATTCCAGAAAGGGGAAACTAAAGAAATAAACAAATACAGTAAATACTATCTCAGAATGTCCCACTGAGGTGGCTCCATTAGAGTGAAATCCTGCAGGCAGTGAGGGAACAAGCCATGGGCTCTCTGGGGAAGCACATCCCAGGCAGCAGGGGGAGCAGCAGTGCCATTCTCCGCGCTGTGCAAAGGCACAGGAGGTTGGTGTGGCTGTGAGTGTGGGGGATTGGTGGACACTGTGTGGCAATGGACGGGCCCACCGATGGAAAGCAGGTGGCATGGACAGGCAAGCTGATGAAGGCCAGAGCGTTGGAGAATAGCTACTTACAGGGGGGTAGCAAAGGAGACAGGGAAAAAACAAACCAGAGTTAGAGTTAAGAGAGCAACAGAGGAGAATTGTTTCCTGTCCTGGAGGTCCGCTGGGTCAGAGAGCTGCTCTAAGGGACTACCATCCAGCTTAGGCAGTGGGGTGGGGTCCGGAGGGTGGGAAAAGTAAAGCCTGCGCATTTTACAGGGTTTGAAAAAGTAAGTGTGGAAGCCAGGCTAGGGTAACACATGACAGAATTAGGAGGATTTCCTGACCGCAGGACCTATAGGAGTAGAAATGCAAGATCTGTTTCCAGGTAGAGATTTTACTGGTGGCAAGATCTTGTGCAAACAGGTGACCCCTAAAGTGGACTCCCCCTCCAAATTTGTCAAGAGTTAAAATTTAAATCCAATTAAATGTGTAACAAAAGCAGATGCCTTCAAGGTGAAATCCAAGTGTTACAATACAGTCTCAAATTTTACAAGCTTGTCTTTAATGAGCACATAGAAGAGAAATGACTTTCAGGAGTCTACATGCAGCCAAGAGGAAATGACAATTCCTGCCAATGCAAACAGTTCCAAAAGTAATCACTAAATTACTTAAGAGTATAATAGCAATCAAAGTGTTTGGTGATTTATCTAAGATGCATTTCTAAATTCTGGATACGTTAAAGAAAACTTCAATTCCCATATGATGTAAATCTATTAACATATTTCCATGCAACAACCTAATGTGTATTCTGAGAAGAGTTAGCAGGGAGAAGAGAAATGATATTTTACATGTATGGAAGTCAATAAAAAATATAAAAACAGGATATGAAGCTATGCCAGCTTCAACTTAATGCTGAGTTGTGAAGGTGATGTCAAGATGGGCAGGAAATAGTAAGTTCTGGATTGGGTACCATCTCTCTTCTCCTGAAGCCCTCCCTGGCACTCCTCACCCCCTTTCTAAAAAACTGGTTGCCCCTCCTTGGTATCACCAAACTATGTCTCTCTGTCTGCCTCGTGCAGCCCTATTATTATTAATTTAGCTGCTTCTCTTCCTCAGTAGTCACTTCTTACAGGAAGGGACTGTGCCTTCTATTTTCTCTCGATAAAGCTTAGCACAGAGCTTAGCATATGGTTAAGTGTCCATGATCATGGAATACTACAGTGAAAAATAACTACACTTAGATGAGAGGCCTAATATCTCTTTACATATTTTTCCAATCCCGGCAACTTTAACAGGTCAACCCTGAAATATTTATCAATTGCTAATGACAAATATCTTTCAGGTTTTTGGATTATGACAGATGCCAAGTGACCAGCCACAAATCCACCTATAGATATTGCCATGGAAACTCTTACATGCAATATCATGCACTACCCATTTCTCTTTCCTTTTCACAAATATTTTCCACACCTTGTTCAGCCCAGTTACTTTGCGGCACATCATATTTTTCATGGAATGACTTCAGTTTTTAAACTGGTGACCACTTTTCCTGTTGAGACCTCAGGAGAAAACATTAGAAAGTATCCCTTATAACAGAAAATGTTTTGATTTTAAAATATGATATGTATGTTTATGCTGATAGACCTATTGTTGTTTGGTCAGAAATGTCATCAGTAAAGAGCTATGGAATTTTAACGAGGAAAAAGAACAACATTTTAAAGTGTCCAAAAACTTTCTTTTTATTTTCTTGTCACAGAAATATGTAAAGAGTCTCCTTAATTTAGTTTTTAAAAAGTTAAGACGTGATACATCTGAAAATAAAAGCACATATTTTGGTTACTTTGCAAAAACATAAATAACACTTGTTTAATTCTGTTATAAAGAAGCCTCTTTGGTGTATGTTAAAAGTCCCTTTGGGATATCATAATACCGTTGCATTACACAGTACACAGATACATTCATATTTAAATTTTTAAAAAAGTTCCTCCTCCACACAGAAAGTCTTTAAGACCCAGCCCTAGGCATTTGACATCACTTAGAGCTACTTCCTACATCTTTCCATGACACACACCTCAAAGGGGCTCTGCCCAAAAGGAACTCTAGACAATGTTTATGTGTGCCCAAGGCTTTCACAGTGGAAAAAACCTTCTTGGAAATTATTTAAGACTAAGGCAATTTAGGGAGCATTTCAGGAGATAGAGAGACACACAGAGAGCGAGATGGATCCACACCAATTTATCCTTCCCAAAATGAGTGTCCAAGCCTAACTGTTGATTCGCAGAAAGGTTTTTCTGCACATCCACATAGAAGAGCACAGCAGGCAGAGGGAGGGAGGGAAACGAGAGAGGAGCCTGGACTTCTGGAAAGAGCAAAACCACTCTCACTGAAACTGCACTCTCCGCTACTGATACGCACCCTTCTGCAATGGGAACAGGCGTGGTTTGTATCAAGGAAGTGGAATGTGAAGTAGAACGACTGTTCCCAGGTTCATTTCACCACACAAGGTGTCTAAAACCTGAGAATGCCGCCAGCTGGTTCAAGTCACAAAGACACTGTATTACAAGCAACAACTATCAAACTTTCTTATTATAGACGATACTCTATTACAATTCATGGCAAGCTTTCATAATATTCCTTTTTTTCCCCTTAAAAATGTTATTTGGATGCATTTTGTACTGGATGACTTACTATCTGCCAGGATGGACCTGAAAGGAAATGTGGGGTGGGGAGGGAGGCACGGTTGGTAAGTACTCGGAAGTTTACTCTGTCAAAGAAAGTACAGAACCCCTTTAACCAGAACATAGTTCTAGATCAGAGCAGGTATTTGAACAAATCATTAAAATTGCAACGTTTAGTTTTTCAGGAGCAGAGAAATAATTCCTGATGGTTTTCAGAGATCAGCAAGGCTCTGGTGACAGCAGACGCGTGGTGGCTGGCAGCCAGCCGTGTGACTGGTGACTCAATACACAAGTTTCTGTGGACTCTACAGTCTGATATGGGAAGGACATCAATTTTTAAGTTTGATGAATAAGTAAAAACAAAGGCGTTTTTGGTATAAAATACGACACTATGGAGAAGGGACGCTGAGAAGGAAAAACTCATGCTGCATTTGTTTGGGATATTTGAACCTCAGCCTTGCCCATTTAAATATTTTTCTTTTAGAATGTACCATTTTTTTTAATCCCAGATTATTTAAGATTATCAATTTTCAGGAAAAAATTAATAGAAATAAAAATGTTGTCAAACAGTAGACAAAGTAAGTGGTAAGAACCCCACCTTCCTGCGACTTCGTTTCAACTCCTAACTCAATGTCCCTGCTAAACAAAGCCATGAGACGAAAATTTCTCTTTCAAGCACAGCTAAATATACACTTTAAATATCTCTGGCAGAATGGGATATGTTAACCCTCTCTGTATTCAAAAGGCTTAATAAAAACTACAAAAGGTGAGACAAAGAAAACCATCCAAAATGAAGGCTGCACACATCTTTAAAGAAACAATAGCACATTACTTCTGCTAAGGCACAGCTTCAACATCAGGAAAGTCACTGCCCTGTCCTAATTAGAGTGTGTTTCACTAAATTCTTCCTGATCGCTCATTATTCAGGACAGTGTGGACTCAATGCAAACAAAGTCTACTGGGTACTGAAACACACCTACAAAGACACCCAAATTGATGCAACATTGGGCATTCCAAAACAGAAGCGAGTCGGTAAGCATCACTCCCAAGCACACACATGCACTCTTGAATCCAGGTAAAAACATTATTCCTTGGTGAATACCATAAACAGGGTAGCTGTTTACCAGGCAAGCCTGCGGGAGAATGTATTTTCATATGGAATGCTGGAGTACCCATGGTATTAACAAAGCAAGATCAGATTAAACAGATGACACGATGAACATACTTCATTTCACGCATGGCCGTGTTTTTCGTGAGAGACAGACTTAAGTAATTACCATGAACTGAGCCTCCTTCACTGACCTCCCACAGCAGCCGGCTGTCCTTAACGCTGATGCTCCACAACAAAGACAAACGCCTTCTGTCGGGCGCCTTATTCCTTCTTTAACGTTACCAGCCGAGCACCTCCACCGTTGCAAGAACACAGTACAGCACCTCTGTATCTATGTCTCTAATGCAGCATAAAGATTACTGTGGAAACCTATCACACGGGCGAGCAGCAACGCCACCAACCAATGAGGAAAAGGCACATGCGGAATCCAGCACATGCTCTCTGAGACACAGGCTGTCACCGGCGTTTAGCAGGCTGCTAATCTAATTATAGCTGGTTTGCTAGCACAGAGCCATTGGAGCAAAGCACAGGAGAAAATTCAATTTTAATAAATTAAACCTCATAGACAAAATCATCTCGATTTCCTGTCATTTTGAGGATTAATGTGTCACCTTATAAACTATAAGTGATTTTTAAAGTGTGTTCTTATTTTCCTCAAATCTAGAGAAACAAAGAGTGGTTAAATCAATGTATAGCACTATCGGCTTACTTAAGCTTATCAGATTCCAGCATTAAGAATAAATAATAAAATCGATACTGTGAAAATAATAGTGGTGCTATAAAATCTGAGTCTTACTTTATTTACCCTAATTAACAATTTGCCACATATTTGTCATAAAGTGCTAATTAATCTCTCTTCAATATAGTTGGAAATACCATGCAAATTTCTATCTATAGTGGAAAAGTGCTAATCAAGGTGTCAAAAATCATAATCTTGACTACAGTGATTAATTCGCAGTTATAAGGGACAGAAAAGGGATCTCAGAAGTTATTGTAAAAGGAAAAATTAAACACATTTGGCCACTACACAACTGAACGGCCAAACTACTTCTAGAAGCCAAATCCTGTGATACATACGTGGGTGAAAAACATGCGTTCTCACAGCCAGACTGCCGGGGTTACAGTTCTGGATCTCCATTACCTAGCGCTGTGACCCTGGGCAAGTAACTGCATTTCTGTGTCTAAGACAATGATAGGAGCCACCTCGAAGAGTTACTGCCAATGAGCTGTAAGTGCTTAGCACAGGGCCTGGCACAGGGTGGATTCTGGGCTCTATACTAAGCTCTAATGAGTAGTAGTGATCTCAACCACTCCATATTGTCTCCCTTTCTTTCCAGCATCACAGCACTCAAGAGAGTACCTCAACATGTCTCCATCGTACAGTTCTGTCAGAAATACTATTCTGAAGCCATGAAGGCTGAGAAGCTAATGGTAGGGTTGATTAATCACACAGAACCATTATTGGTATTCACTGTTATAAGGCAAATTATTTCCCCTACTTCTTTTTAGATACATAATAGTCACTACTTTCACTTGATTCTATACAAAGCTATCTTAAAAATAAATTTTCAGGAAATTAAGGGCTTCTAATTATTTTTATTAATGATATAAATTTTAAAAATGTTTTCTATGGAATATAAATTGGGAAAAGTTTTAATTAGAAGGAGTTGGATTAAATTTAAAATGACAAATTTATGTTGAAAAGGGAGAGAAGTCAGCCAGTCAAATGCAACTCTCCGTTCTGAGAGTTGTTTATCTACTTCTTTTCCCCTAATTTCTTTCTTCTCAATGTGTTCTACAGAATTAGCAGTCCTGAGCTGATCTAATCAAATCTGTAAATGTTAAATGGTTTTTTTCATATTTCCTACAAGTGGGTATGTTCTACCAGTCAAATTCCATTCCAAAGATCAAAGATAAAATGCAAACTTCCCTTTTCTGTAGTTTTTTTTTTTTTTATTTTTAGCTAAAAAACTTTACAAAAAGCTGACATGCTCAAGAGGCATTATGATTTGCTCTGAGGAACCAGATTAATTAGTAGCCAAGAAACAGGACTATTGGCAAAGGGGCATTTCATCCTCCAATCTTTGTGTACCACAAACTGTTGGGAAACAAACCAGTGAAAGGAATGACATGGACCATAAACTTCAAGGGAAAGCACAGAAACTCATGGTCCATAAATTCAAGAGTGAAAACTTGTGCTGGAATGCAAACACATACGCAAACCCTGAAAAAATATGATGGAGATAATTGGCTAAAGAAAATGAGAGCTGTGTGTGCTACCTTGAAGCATCATCCTAGTGAATTATCAGAGTGCAATCACCATTACCAGGAGGTAAAAACTCCAAGAGGAATTGGCTTCAGAGATTTGGCCTAAGGCACAGCTCCCTGAAGGCTGCCAGGATACAGGCTAGTAACACTTCCAGGCATTTCTCTAGGAAACATCTAACAGCTTCTGCCTTCCTCTTAATTTAACAGACTGCTAGCTCAAAATAGGCACTGAAAAAGCTGTTTAATTAATTTGTTTCATGCCTGTTTAGTAGAAGACATTAAACAGACACTTTCTAAAAGAAGAAAGCTACTGTCCTTTCTTGGGTCTTATCTTTCAACATGTTCAGACCCAGTATTTGTTTTGGAACTGAGTAACAGTTCATTGGGAATCTTTCTCATTGCCACTTGGCTGCGGGGGGCCTATGTATACAACCTCTGGAATGAGTCCTCTTGTCTTTGAACTTCAGTCAACACACTTTTGATTCTGAAAAATCATTTGTTTACTCAGTGAATCATGTTAGGCCCTTACTATGTGTAAGGACTTGTGCTGCACCCTGGAAATACTGTAGGGAATAACAGAGCATTCTGATTCCTAAAGGAGCTTCTGTTGTAATGTGGGAATGCTCATTAAGTGATTAACAAATAAGCAATAAAGATCAGGTAAACTGCAGCTCAGCACAGGATGCTCACATGAGAGGGGTGCAGGATCTGGCTAAGTCTGAAGCAGGTTTGCTGGCTTCCTCAGCTGGAGTGTGGCAAAAGATATTCAAGAGCTGTGAAGGTCGTGGAGAGGCTGGCAGAGGGCAGTGGATGGAGGAGGAAGGAGGAGACACAACCATACACACTAGAGGAGGAAAGGGTTTGTTTGGCTCAAGCTCCCTGAGGGTCTGACCACAGCTTCTCTCCTTCTAGATCTTTGTAGATTCCCATTACCTTCCAAGTCGAAACCCTCATCTACTCTTCCTGGCTCACAGAATGCAGACGTGTACTTTTTACATTTGCTGTACTGGCAAGGAGGAGCAGGCACTACAGAAACCGTCTGCCTCATTGCATGGATTTCCTCAAGTTCTGTTCTCATTCTCTAACCCTGGAGACTGAAAATGAGGCTGTGTTTCCAGAATTTTCACATAGAATTGTTACAACTGTTACAGCTTTTTCCCCTTGGAAAAAAGTTAGGGTTCACGCATAAAAAATGATTCTGTTGAAAGCCAGGGTTCCAGGTAACTTTAGAGAGATCATAATATTCTGGCAGGAAGTATCTCAGTTTCAGTTGCTGGTCAAACACTATCTTAAGGAGAAGGGTCCTGGAGAGCTGTTTCTGCTCTGATGAACAGCACCAGGGCCTGAGAAGGAGGCTTGGCTGCACGTAGGGCTATTGCGGCTGATGTTAAAGGACCGGCGTTTGAGCTGTGATCCAGCAGGAGCCTTGGGCCCCAGCCCACATGAGTAGAGGGCAGCTTGGAGGGCTGAGTGCTGAGCAGCATTTCTATCAGGGGACCTCAAGCCACAACATGAAGTCACTGCAGGCAGAGAAACCAACGATCCGCTCCCTAGTCAACGCAAGCCAGGTCCGGGGAGCCACCAGGATCACCCCACACCGAGGAAAAGAAAAGAGTACCCAGGCTGTGAAAGTCTCCTTCTGGCTACCAGGGGCAAGACAACTGGCGGGCAAGAGTCCGGGGAGCTTGTGCCCCTTCCTTTTCTGTTCCTGACACTCAAACAGCAGTCTTTCTTTTTTTGTGAAGAGTGTGGCATACCAGACACTTACTCAGCTGTGGCCTGGATGGCCTGGAACAGACTGAAACTGGCTGCTGGAAGTCACTCCTGCTGCTCCAAAGGCCATGGGCAGCAGCCCTGGCCCCAGCTCCTCCACAGACACTTGGCATCCCTGTGCCATGAGGCAGCTTCACTGCCTGAAGAGGTCCTCAGCATCTCCCCAGTACCTGCGCATCAGCCCCGAACACCGAGTGTGAGTTCTCAGGGAGGTCGCCCGCTGAGAGGGATAATAGTGTTGGACAATGACCTTGCTGGGTACAAAAACCCTGAGCAGACTGCACGAGTCTTCTCTGCAGGGCTCGGTTTAGAAGTCAGTTGTGCATCTTGGAGTGTCTTCTCAAAGCCTAGTTTTTGTTCTTCCTCAAATGATCTGCTTTTTATAGTACTGGTGAAGGGGGCGGGGTACTACGAGGCTCTGGAAGGGGCATGAATTAAAGAGGTTACTAGGACTCTCATGCTGGGGCCAGAACATGGTTCTCATATACTTCCTTGTCATCACGGCTCCTCCTCCCTGTCCTCATAATGACATTTAACTAGTATTTATTTACTCCTATCATTTGCCAAATGCTGTGTCAGGATGAGGAGTACAAGGACCTTCCAAACCAGGGAAGGAGACAGATTCAACAATGCCAATGACTAAACCTGAACACGGCTTTAAAATTGCAAAGGAAACGTCACATATAGTATCTGCTTTGAGAATCCCCAAAATGCTGTTGGGTAGGTATTCTTACCTTCCCACTTACAGATACGGAAATGGTCCAGGGTGGTTACAGGACTTGCTCAGCAACTCCAGACTCAATTCATTCCTAACACTCAATTCATTCCTACACACAAAAATTATTAATAATCATCCCATGGGCATAGTAACTGGATATGATTAATCTAATATATAATAAAGCCATAATAATGACATATTACAACCTAATAATAATTAGGTATTATAATCATAAATAGATATTATTGTTTAATGAGAGCTATGAATTCTGTTGCAGAAGTCATCCTAAGACTTTAGCTTCCCTTCTGTTCTCAAATCATACCATGTTTTCGGATGTTAATAGGCATCCTCTAGGTTATGAAAGTGTTTACCTCATTATTCATCTCTGTACTACCTAAAGTACCTGGGATTCTTTCTACATGGACCGTGGAATAATTCCTATAAAATTTTAAGTAACAATACATGAGCAAATATCCTAAATTTCAGTTTTGTCTTCTAAAGCGTAATGTCTACCATTTCAGTTATATGGAGGTTCTGATAATTTGAAGTAGTCCCATTCAACCCCATCACCAGCCCTTTAATGCATCTCTGCACTTACTGTCCAAAATCAAGGCATATAATTTTGCACGGGTAAAGCATGCTGCTGTTTTTAAAAAAAGATTCATGCAAGAATTTCAAGTATGCATGCCGTGAATGTTCATAATTATGTTTCAACACTAGTCACTTTGAAAGATTAGACTTTAATCTAAACAAGTATGTAAGTAAAGAACATCATTTGCTATGAAATTCATCTAGGGTCTTTCTGAAACTTTTAAAATTAGTAGAGGCTAAAGGATAGCTGTCTCGATAAGAGTCATACAAAAACTTCGAGGGTTATATCTTAAATGACATTCCTAGGGGGAAATTATCTTCTTAGAAAAATATCACCATATACGTCTCTCCTTCTATGCCATTTATTACGTTTTATCGCAAACCAGCTACTTTCTAGCTGGTAACCTTTTGTAAACTACTTAACTTTTCTATGCTTCAATTTTCTCATCTGGAACATTTGGAGGAGGATGTTGTGTGGATTAAATGAGTTAATGTACACATAAAGCATTTAGGGAGTGCCTAGCACTTAGTAAACATCATCTAAATTCTCCCCACTTGGATGATGGCAAAATTAAAACATCCAGGCCAAGGGATAGATGATACTAGAAAAACTGACACTCTCCCTGAAAAAGATGTATATAGTATAAATACATGCCCTAAATACATGCCTCATGCCCTGAGCACAACCCAGATGAAAACTGTTATACTGTTAAGAATTTGTTAATAATATCTAGAAATTCTGGGACTTAACTAAGCGCAACTTTTTCCATGAGGCAATTTGGAATAACTTTTGAAATTAAAAAAAAAAAGTGTATACATTTACCCCTGTCCATTTCATTTTGGAAATATCATTCTAAGGAAATAGTTGGGATCACATGCCCCAAAAATGAAATAATTGATGATATGTACAAAAATATTAGAGAAAGGTGTTTACCATGGTATCCTTTTGATATGGTTTGGGTCTGTGTCTCCACCAAAATCTCATGTCAAATTGTAATTCCCAGTGTTGGAGGTGAGGCCTGATGGGAGGTGATTTGATCATGGGGGTGGAGTTCGCATGAATGGTTCAGTACCATCACCCTTGGTACTGTACAGTGAGTGAGTTCTCACAAGATCTGGTTGTTTAAAAATGTGTGGCACCTTCCCCATCTCTCTTCTTCCTGCACCAGCCATATAAGATGTGCCTGCTTCCCTTTGCCTTCTGCCATGATTGAAAGTTTCCTGAGGTTTCCCCAACCATCCTTCCTGTACAGCCCGCAGAACCATGAGCCAATTAAACCTCTTTTCTTTATAAACTACCCAATCTCAGGCATTTCTTTATAGCAATGCGAGCACAGACTAATACACCTTTATAAGGCAAAAACAAATTAACAATCTTACCATTTGACAATAACAAATTAGTTAAATAAATGATAGCATATAAATAAAATTAATAGAACATTGTAAAGTTATCAAAAAGTCCTATTATAGGAAAATATTTACCAAATGAAAATATAGCTGAATATTAGGTAAGTTATAAATCAATGTATACAGGTAGAGCATGAAGGTTCCAAAATGCTCCCAAATCAAAAACTTTTTGAGCACCAACATGATGCTCAATTGATATGCTTACTGCAACAGTTCAGATTTCGGGTTTTTAGATTAGGGATGCTCAAGCAGTATGTTCTCGGAAAATATTACAAAATCTGAAAAAATCTGAAATTCAAAACACTTCTTGTTTCAAGCATTTCAAATGATGTATGAGGACTCAGTTTTGTTAAAGTCTCTGTGTGTATAAACATATGCTGTATCTCTTTGAGTATACACATAGGAAAGGTCTGAGGCAAATGCTACAGCATCAATAGTTTTTATCTTTGCATGGCAAAGATAGTCAACCTGTCTGAATTGTTTAATTTTTCTACTATGTCATTACTAACACTGAATATAAATTGTTAATAAAAACTTGTATTTTTTTCCCACTTCCACCCAAGGAAAAGGTAAAAACTGGAGGGGGTAAATGTTTCATGAGCGGCCCCTCTAAAGTCTCGGTCTTAAGAGATTCTTATGCCCCGTGCTCTGGTCATCTGATCTGGCCTACTGCCTGCCTACATGGTGCAGCTCAGCTTTGTTAACCAGCTAGTAAGTAGCAGCCTCAGCAAACAGGATTTTGATGTGCTAACCATTCCCAGCCATCAGTCAAACCATTAGGCTAGGACCCAAAAGTTCAGCTCAGAATTGTCAGCCAATTTGCTGATTATTATTAGACATTAGGGAAAGCCTCTGTTGGCGCTGGTACAAGTCCTCATCGCTAAGGAAGGCCCAGATATTTCATTCCTTGGTTATTTGGACAATTCTCTCATTTTATGTAAGGATATTCTTATATACTTGGAAGATATGGCCAGATTCAAATGTCTGGAAAGCAGCCAATAAGTTTAAGTGATGGGGAAAATGGAAAATAATTTCTTTGGATATAAAGTTAGAAACATTAGCATGATTCAAGATTGACATGAACCTTGGCAAGTTTCTGAAATTTTATGGATTGTTACCACTATAGTGGGAATCGAGTTTAAAATAAGGTAAAGCAAAGCAATCATATTTCAGTGTGTCTGCCTATCCTGGCTATATTTTTACTTCCACAGTACAAAATATCTGTGAATCATAGCTCAGTATCATTAACAGATAATGGTTCAATGGGTTTGTCAGAAAGATATTTCCATTTATATATGTATATTTTAAAGGTAGTTTTATTATATCTAGAGACCAATTTTTTAAGTTCCACAATAGAAATTAATGTGCAAATGGAGTCTGTTTAACAGAAATCTGCCTTGAAGCAAACTGAGCTCTATTCCATCTGTACTATAAAGTATGTAATTACCTGTAAAGCTAAGACTTTTCTTCTGTTGAAAACGATCACCCCCAATTTCTTTTTAGAAATGTTACGCCATGCATAAACAGTGATGATTTTTCTGTATCTAGATTCCCTATATTTCTCCTGTTTCTAATTTACATACAATAATATATGCAGAGATGCTTTTCCATGGTCTTCTTTTATAGCAAAGAAACAATTTTTCATTATATAATTTTGCTAAAGGCAGCCTCAACAACCATGGGACCTTTTTCATTTCAGAAGTGTCAGTCTGCTGCAGCATTTACCACTGGATGATTTTAACAGAAAAAAAATGTATCGTGTCCTTCAAGAATGAGGAAAAGTTATTTGAAGAGAAAGAATCCTTTAAAAATATGAACATCAGAATAGTTTCTAAATAAAGAAGAAAATCTGTGTCACTTATTTAAGGTTCTTTCTCTTTCTTGGGTTAACAATGTATGCTTTATGGACCCAATAAAAAGAAGTTATTCCTCCAAACATTACTAGAAGAGTGTAAATCCCTGGTGATGTCTGAAAGCTGCTTTTGCAGATGTGGGTTCTCTCTATGTAGGGCACCTTTTCTAAGCACAGTATCAGTGACCTGGGAGAAGGAGCACATGGGAAAGATAAGTTTCACTGCTATATTACTTTTATCATGTGTATGCTATTAGCTCTGAAACTGGAAGTGGTGTGAAGGACATTAATTCACCTTCAGGAAACTTTCTTGGGTCTCTCTTGTACTTTATTTTCAAAGTCAGATTACAAGCTAATTTAAATTTCAAGTATTCGATTACATTCCTCTTGAATGACTGCTCATGATCTTTACCAAGTCTGTGCTCCCTTTCAGGAGAAGCTATTTTAATTCCACTGCAGGCAGGCCTTCTAATGAAGAGGAGAGTTTAAATTCCTCTTATAGGGGATAGCATATGATGAATGTTTTTTATCATAAAGTCTGAGTCAAGCCTACACAAGTGGTTTGCATACTCAATTATATAGAAGGCTTTTAAAGTAGCGCCACAGAAATATTCTGTAATAGGAAGAAATGGCACAAAGTATCCGACAGATGAGCAGAAAACCCTTCCAGGGGTCAAGAGAGCAGCAACAGGAACTGTCCACCTGATAGCTTGATGGTATTTTCAATGTTTTACAGACCAAAGAAGCTTTTATAATTTTAACCGTCTTCTCCCAAAGGGTAAGCATGATCTTCACATTTATTTCTATAGTCGTTGAATAGAAACAATTTGAACATGTGATATAAATCAATGCCAGGCTTTAGAAAGATGGTAGCTGGTGTTCTCTTATACTGAGAATATTATACTGTGTATGTTGGGGGAGGGGGTGCTCTCAGTTAATTTTATTTGCCCTTAATTGGTGCAGCTCATCCACACAGAACAGAGTGGATCCTGGCTTCTCTGGGTAAAGAAAGCAGAAAATCATACAGGCTTTGCTCTTCCATCAGTCATGGTGGGTCTCGCTGATGAGGACTAATGCTTGAGCTCTCATGCTTGAGAGGCCCTAGGTGACAGAGCCAGGGCCCTGCACTGGTGGGCAAGGGTTTCTTTCCTCAAATCCCAGCTTGGGATAGGTTGAGAGAAGGGGACAGAGAAGAAAGATCTTTTTGCATTTTGTAACTATCTCTTTCCTTAAAATTTCCTCATTTTCAGCAATGAAATTTACAGAGAATTTCTTCCCTGTCATTTTACTTTTTGCAAAATAATTTCCCGTTTCCCAAAATATACTGTATGCTATGTGCTGCTGGGGAAGATGTTAGGGAGCAAAAAAAATACTCCATTGGCAACCAAGAAAAATAATACGAAAGCACTGTTACTTAAAGTATTGGTCAGTCTCACTGGTCTTGGTTGTGTGAGATTAATTGGAATTTCAGTTCATCTATTTTCCTTTCTGATTTATTAGTTTTGGGCCACTCTGTAGTCTGTGCTCACTCATGCCTTCATACATATTTCTTTTCAGCATTATTCCCTGACCTAAATTGCAGTGAAATGAAATGTACTGCACCAAATTTTTCATATCTGAACAAACTGAAGTCATCCAACTGCATAACACATTCCACCTACAAAATTCAATGTCAGAATCATGCATTAGTGATGTTTCACATTTTGTGGAAATGTGAGCCACGGTGAGGAATCTAGATAGGTAGGTTGCCTGTGTTCCCACTGATAAGAAAGTATCCTCTTCCCCCAGAGGACAGCTCAATTGTTCCATAAAGACACTGTAATCCCAACATTTCAGTGTTAATAAGAACCAACATATCAATAAAAGACAAGAAACAGACTATAAATAGATCCACATATATAATACAATCAATTTTTAACAAAGGCACTAAGACAATACAATGAAAAATTTAAAGTATTTTCAATAAATGATCATGAAGGAATTGGATATATATTAAAAAAAATTAGTAAACGCTGACCCTTACCTCACACCAAAAATATCAATCTGAGGTAGATCACAAACCTAAAAGTTAAAAACTAAAACTATAGAGCATCTAGAGCAAACAGGAGACTATTTTTGCAAACTTAAAGTAGGTAAAAATGTTCTAGAGTTGCAAAAACATCAACTGTTTTGAAAGAATTAATAAACTGCTCTTTAACAAAAATTAAAATGTCTGCTCATCAAATAACACTTAAGAAAATAAAAAGGAAAAAACTAGACGAAAGAAAATATATCCAATACACATACTTGAAAAATGACTTTTAACCAGAAAAAAAAAAACTCCTACAAATCAATAACAAAAGAACAGCAATCCAACTTAAAAAGGGGGCAAAAGACTTGAACAGACACTTCACAAACACAAATGATCTGTAAGTATATGAAAAAGTACTCAGCATCAGTAGTTATAAGGGAAATGCAAATTAAAAACATAATGAGACACAATTCCATAGCCATCCAAATAACTAAAAAGAAAAAGACAATACTAAATGTTGGCAATGATGTGAAACAACTGGAACTCCCACACACTGCTAATGGGAAAGCTTCTTTGACCATTTCTTATAAAGTTACCCAAACCCTTACACTATGACCTAGCAATTCCAATCATGGGCATGACCCAAGATCTATAAAAACGTATGTCCACAAAAAGACTTATTCAACAATATTTACAGCAACTTTATTCAAACTGTACAATTGGAAACAATTCAAATATCCATTCACAGAAGAACAGATAAACAAATTATGGTATAGCCAGACAATGGATATTATTCACCAATAAAAGGCAGCAATCCTACTGATATAAGAGGAAGATGAATCTCAAAGACATCCTACTAAGTGACAGGAACCAATGCAAAGAGCACTAGTTACTATAGGATTCCATTTGCTTTAATACAACTAACTCACGATTATAGAATCAGAACAATGATTTCTTCTGGAGGTAGAAAGAGAAAACTGAAAAGTGGCAAGAGAGAATTTGCTGGGATGATGAAAATATTCCTTATGTTTATTAGCGTGATTACCTGAGTGTATATATTTGTTAGAATTTATCAAACTGTACACTTAAGATTGACAAATTTTACCTCAAAAAACCCTATTGTACAAAACATTACAAATATGGTATTACTATAAAGTTTTAAAAAAGGTTTTATTACTGATTTGATCATCCTAATAAAATTATTTTTATTTTAAATTCCACTGAACCTTTCAATGTCTTATTTAAATGTAGCATATCATGCATATCTAAAGAAAAAAATGACTCAATCTCTCATGCATTTATGACAGTTATAGTTTATGTATTTCAATGTCATATTGTGCCTTGATATTGAGATTATTTTATAAGGACCTGAGAATAATTCTTCCTATTCATATATAGGCCTTATTTTAAAGTTAATCACTGTTAACATTGACTTAAAACATCTTTCTTTATGTTTTCAACTAGTATTTTTGCCTCTTCAGCTTTTTTCTTACCAGTTTTTCTTTTACTTGTCCCACGTTTGTAATAAAGCCACTTTCTGGAGGAAATTAATATATACTTTATATGACTGTGGTATTCACAATTGTCTTTTTTTTTTTCCTTTTTGTCTCTGATATCGTTCTTAAACTCACAGCTAAGCATCTTGAGGTCAAAGAAGTCTTTAAAAATAATCTTGGGTTTGACTCTCTGTTCTGTTCCTTCCTCACTATATGACTTTAAGTTAAATAATTTCATTAAGATCCAGCTACTTCTTAAATAATAACAGCTGTCACTATAGCAATTTCATAGCTTCAAAAGAGGAGAGAAGGTGAAATCAATCCCCTTGCAACTAATAAGGGAGTGTATTGTCTGTAGAGAATGTAAAAAACAATAATAAAGCCACATGCAGACAATTCTAAAACATGTCAATGACAAAATAGCCTCTCCCCACGGCCCCAAGGGGCAAAATGGTCTCAGTGACACTACATAGGACAAGTCAAAGCAATGCAGGTTGGAGGCCACCCTTGTGGACTGCAGGAGGAAGCAAAGTAACACAAGCACCAGGTGAATCATTTAGCGACAGCCGAGGAATAGCTAACCTTTACTGAGCAACTTCCATGTGCCTGGTCCCATGCCAAAAGGCATTAATCATTTAATCCTTGCAAAATTCCATGAAGCAGATACTACTGTCACCATTTTACAGTTGAGCAAACTGATGGAGAGATAACTAACCTCCTCAGGACTACCAACCGGTAAGAGGTAGAATTGGGAGCATGCTGGCAGTGGACCCAAGAGGTGCCTTTGAACCATGAAGCCACATGACTATTTCTGAACTGCATGGCTTTCCTAGGGGCTTAAGATGGTGACAGAGAAAAGGGTGGAGGCTGAGAAAAGGGGAATTCTTGATTTAAAACAGTCTGTTTGAGAGATTTTGGATCCTTAAGGTTGGTTCACAGCAGTATAAAAAATAAGAAAACCTGAAAGCCATATTCTTTAGGAAAATAAATTACAGTCTAATTTCCCAATGTCTAGGAAATACAGAAGGGCAGCCTTACCAAAAATATTGTGCTCAGCTGCCTAAATGTGCCCTGTGTTTGTGCACACATGAGTGAGCAGGTCCATGTCTGACAATTCTCACTCTATCAACAAGCCCAGCACTTTTGTATCTGTGCCCATAGTGTGTGCTCGAGGGGCCCCAGCCAGGTCACCCTGGAGAGCTCGTCTGTCCGGTGCTCTCACCAAGGAGGGTAGTGACCAAGTGCAGGATCAGCAAAGAGGAGCAGAGCCCTCTAGGCAGCCCATGACCAGGGAGCCCAGCTGAGTGTGCTGTTGTGGCAGTGGACTCACCCCTCGGCCATGGTGTAAATAAATCAAGTGGTAATTACACTCTGCAGCACTTAATGCCATTCCTATGTTGCCCTCATTTATGAGGCCCTCATTATGCAACTATGTTGCAGCTCTAGACAGAAAGAAAGGCAGATCATTTCCACTAAAAACATAGGGCCTCCTCATTTTCGGCCTTGCGTCCCACCTGAGTCCCTGAGGCACAAGAAGTGACAGAGAGAACATGCACGCAGAGTTCCAGACCCTGTGACTACATCCTGCTGTTACAGCAGGGGTGGGATGGAAAATGCTGGGAAAGGGGACCCACCATTACCATACTGGAACACACACCAACAACCAAAAGCCTACAAAAAACTGAGCATCAGTTCAAATAAACTATGCATTAGTATGACAATTTAACCTACCAGAAAGAAACGCTGAAATTTTCACAGAAATGCATGCACACATGAACCTGAACAAACTAAGTTCTCATGTGATTTCCATCAAAGCAAATCCAACCTTCATGTTTGGCCATAAACATGTCATCTTGGGTAATTTATAAGGGAGCACTTAGCAGATACATGAATTATGCCTTCATGAAGATTTTAGTTTTAAATGTTATCAGGCTGTATGAAAATGCAACCTAATACTTAGTTTTATATAAAATGTCAGTGCTCTCTCTTAGTCTGACTTTATTATACAATTACATTATGCTTAAGTTAAATAGATTTTAACAACCTGAAGAAATTGAAATGGCACTAGAAAGCCAAATATTTAAATTACACTTATTTTAAACTATTGGCTATCTTCTAGATGGACTCATCCTGACGAAGTATAAAAGCTAAAAGTATCAATTATTCAAAAATTATTTAGTGACTGAAAAATTTAGTTTTTAAAAAAGTTATATATACTAAACTAGGGATTAGTGAACTTTTTCATAAAGAACCTGATAGTAAATACTTTATGCCTTGCAGGACAGTCTTATGACCTCTCAACTCCACCACTGTAGTGAAACCAGACATAGTCAACACATAAACAAATGATCACGGTTGTGTGCTAATAAAACTTTATTTACACAACAGACAGAGGGTTGGATTTGGCACACAGGCAATAGTTTGCCAACCCCTGATCTAGGCTAGACTAAAACATCAAGTGGAATCCCATCTCTAATAAATACTGGAAGCTGCAACTTCAGGGCATAAATACGAATCCCTTTGTCTCCAACTGTACAACTTTTGATACAGTCAATGTTTCTCTCCAGTTTCCGCAAATTGTTAACTTTTATCATGAAACATGAGATTTGAGGGTGTTTATCCTTTCTTGCATAGAGCACATGAACAGGTGTCAATGCTGATCATAGCTAGAAGTAGAGTGGGTCCCATGTGTAACTCCGGATGGCTAAAGAAAGTGTTCTACTTACAAGAGGATGCTTCATTTGACTAGGATTGGCTCTCAACAAGGCCCGTGCACCTTAGAAGAAAAAAGTCACTTCTGTCACATAAGAGCTCAACTGATTCACTCAACTTCAAAAGGGCACTGAGAATGCCATGCTTTGAAAAACATACAAAACAGTAAGAGGAGCAGAGAAAAGCTTGATGTGTTTTTCTCAAATGACACAAAACAATTTGTCTCCACAGGTTTAAGGAAAATCAATTAAAACATAATCTGTAGATCAGGAGTGGTAGCTACTTAAATACCAAAAAAGGAAAATAACCCCAAATAGAAAAGACAAAAAAAGACATATCAAGGTATGAGAAGAGTAGACCTATTCAAACCTATTCCAACACAGTCTGCTAAAACCAGATCCTCAGCACTGCACATCTGCTGGTCAGATCTGAGCAAATGACCATGGCAGGTCAAGTGGAGAGCTATTCTGGACTTTTAGCACTGAAAATCAGGGTGTACACAGTGAAACCACGCTGCTCTCTGACCCCACTGCTAACTCGCCGCAGTGACAAGGTAAGCTCCACTGGCTGCCCTGGGTTGATGTCCTCATTACAGTAGATAAACTACTGAAAACCCAAACTCTCAAAGGTTGCTGCTTGCAGTCCTTTTTGGAACCAGCAAGGGTAAGAATAACTATTTCAGTTCCCAAAGATGTTATATCATGATCTGTATGGATCTTTTAAAAAATGGTACCACTTTGGAGAATTACTTATCATTTTAAGCAATTCAATACTAAACAGCTGTTTCTAATATCAGGTTAAAAAAAAAGAAGAAAAATAGGACCTGAGAAAGTGCTATGAAATAACTGTTAATTTTTAAGATATATGAGTAAAGATGAAACTAGCCTAAAAAAGAAATTTATTAACTACAGGGATTACTTACATTAAAAAAAGATCTACAGGTAGAGGTCTTTTGCTTTAGAGGGACATGGTTCTCCCCACTCCCGCCATCAACTCTTACAAGCCTCTAGCTGCAAACATACTGGCCCCAGTGCACTCAGGAAAGGTAGATTTCCAAGGGCTCCCAAGACTATGCTCCCACCTACTCTCAAATGCTCTGTTCTTGCAGTCTCAATCTTCTGTCTATCCTCATTGACAGTCTATCTTCCTATTTCTGTGTATCTATTTGTTTAAACGGTTATAACTGAAGAAATATAGCAAATTACACCCAGCTAGCCATGGGTCTTCCATAAATTCCATTTTGAAAAACCACACTGATTCTTTGGTAATGAAGCTGAGGATTAGGGAGAAGTATAGAAATATTCTGCTTGATTTTGTTCATCTGGGATTGGAAGGAGATGTTTGATTTATATGTCTGTTTGCCCTCTGGAAGGAGGCTACCATGGGTGTAGACTGTTTCTAGTTGGTGCTAGAATCTTCTCCTCAGGAGATGTGGTATCTTGTGGTTTCATATCCACCTTCATGCCTCCACTCCCCTCAGGATCTAATTATTAAATTAAATTTAGCCTATAGCTGCCTCCTTATGCATTTTAAGTTTGGCCTAAAGGTTTTTCAGTTCATAGTAAACTGTAACCTAATTGGATGTGTAGACTGTCATCTACTCTTGTGTCAATCACTGAGTTTTGGCCAATCAAAGGCAGCCACCTATACAAACCAAGTTCAAATAAGGCAAACACTGAACTGTAACTCATCTGGTTGTTTATGCATCTCACTTCAGTTTTCTGTACACCACTTTCTTTTTTCTGTCCATAAATCTTCCACCATGTGGCAGCACTGGAGTTCTGAACCTGTGCTGGTTCAGGGGCTTCCCAATTTAAGAATAATTCGTTTCTCAAGTAACCTACGTTAAATTTAATTTGTCTAAGATTTTTCTTCTCCATTAAATACATAATACAGTATACCAAACAAAACAGAAAAATTTTTTAAGTGAGCTGAAGTTCTAGAAGGGAATAGAAAAACATTTTAAGTTAAGCCAAATATTGAATAAAAGTTCATAATGAAACATAAAAATCATTGAGATAAAATAATGGAAAATATTTTACTGGAGCACCAAAACTCTGGTCTAAAATATTTTTCTTGCCTATCTATACTGACTGCCTTAGGGACCTCATGGCTTTAGATACCATAAATATGCTAATGACCTCCTCATTCACATCTCTAGGCCATCTTTCCAAAACACCAGATTGGTGTATCCAATAGCCAACTACATGTCTCCATTGCATGTCATTAGCATCTCAAACTGAGTTCCTGATCTCTCCTAAACGTGACCCCACCACATTCTTCTTTCTTCTGTCAGTTAATGGCAGCATCTTTCTTCCTGCTGTGTTGGCCAGAAACTCAGGAGTCAGCATTTCTGTTCCTCTTTCTATCACACCACACAGCCAAGTTGTCATTAAATCTTACACTTTCAGTTATCAGTCTTTCCAGAACCTGACCATTCCTCACCACCTGACAGCCAACCCCTGGCCCAAGCCACCATCCCTTGCAATCTATGTCTGTAGCTGTCTTACTGGTCTCTTGTAGACTCTCTCAAACACAGCACCTCACTTCTGCAAGGCCAGCAAGAGACTCTCTACTGCAGTCAGCTGATAGAGTTTTATATACTGCAACCTAATCACAGCAGTAAGAGTCCATCACTCTCGGCCGGGCGCGGTGGCTCACGCCTGTAATCCCAGCACTTTGGGAGGCCGAGGCGGGCGGATCACGAGGTCAGGAGATCGAGACCATCCTGGCTAACACGGTGAAACCCCGTCTCTACTAAAAATACAAAAAATTAGCCGGGCGTGGTAGCGGGCGCCTGTAGTCCCAGCTACTCGGGAGGCTGAGGCAGGAGAATGGCGTGAACCCGGGAGGCGGAGCTTGCAGTGAGCCGAGATCGCGCCACTGCACTCCAGCCTGGGCGACAGAGCGAGACTCCGTCTCAAAAAAAAAAAAAAAAAAAAAAAAAAAAAAAGAGTCCATCACTCTCACCACACTCTATCAGGCTTATAACCACCCATTGCAAGGGCCATCTTAGAACTCTGCCTACCACGCTCTCTAAAATCGCTACCCTATCCCACCCCTGCAATATACATATACATCTATCTCCATCCCTGCTTTGTGTTCCTCCGTAGTAATTTTTACCATTTGAATGCAAATATGTTATATATTTATTTATTCTCTGCTTCATTTCACTCAAATATAAGCCTCACAAGGACAGAAGTTTTTGTTTCCTGCTATATCCCCAGTCTGCGGAACAGTGCCTGGTTCAATAAATATTTATTGAATATTTATTGATAAGTAAGTTATCAATAAATAATTATTGAATTAGTCTACTATTTACTATGTAGGTTTACTTTTAAAACATCAGGATCTCAACATCTCTATACTGCTTTCTATGATCTGTTTCTACTGTCATTGCATTGCATCAGAACTTTGTTGAGTCACAAAGGATGAAATTAAATGTTATCCCTTCCCATGGTAACAAAGCTATATAGTTCTATTTTCATTTCAAGTTCCACTGCAAACATGGAAGATTTCAGCCAACTATGTGGTGAGAAGTCCACATTGAGTATTTGTAAAGCCAGCATTTTACGTGTTCCCTGTCCAGTGCCCAGCCTCACAGATGATTCCCATGTTTTGATTTTTTATTTTAAAAATTCTTCAGTCAAACAGTGGAAGGAAAAGGAAGTAAAAGCCAAACTCTCTTTGAATACTGACTTTAAGAAAATTAGAGTATGTGATTAGGTTAATGATTCAAACAGACAGAAGTAAGGTATTCAGAAGGAATGAACATCCTCTTACCAGAGTAATAAATGTTATAGATCCATTATCCACCTCATTTAAATGAATGCTGCTTTTTGAAAGAGGTAGGGGAGAGTAAAAGGCCAAATGCCATAAATATGAAATACAATTCCATGTGAAATACACATTTATATCCGTTCCAACCCATGTGCCTCTGGTTAACAACTTATTTTAGGTGATTTTTAAAAGCCCCAAATTGATATGCACTTAATACTAATATACATCTATCTCCATCCCTGCTTTATCTTCCTCCATAGTACTTTTTACCATTTGAAATGCCAAATATGTTATATATTTGCAAGTCCCATACACAAATTGACAATTTACCTGAACAATGCACCCTGAAAGTCACAAGCACACGGCCTCTCCGAAAAGTAAACATAGGCTACCCAGGTGTTCACAAGTCCTAACAAGCAGCCTGATTTTGTCTTATAGCTTGCTTAGACTTCCCCAGTCTTTTTCATTTTCCCAGCACTACCACCACCAATAGTAGCAATTCAAGGAACACAAAACATTTCTAAATCTCCCTTACCACTGATAAATGAGCATTCATTTCTGAATTCCTGGCTGGCTTTTGTTTCTGGCTTCTCCCCTCTTACCATCCACACAGCTTCAAGGTTAATCTGCTCAAAACAGTGATTTTGATAAGTTGCTCCTCTGGTCTCGAACTCAGGGCAGCTCCCTGTGTCCTAGCTTGTCACGTTCTTAACCTAGGTTAAGCCCTTAACAAGAGTCAGTTTGGTTTCTATGTTCATTGCAAACCTGCACACCTGGCTCCAGTCCTCATCTGGGCACCACTGGCCCAGGAGTGATTGGCTGAAACAATACAGGTCAATGAATGGAAATCATTAAGCATCAAACCCTCAGCCCTACTGACTGTAAATTAAGAACATCTCTGCATGCCAAGGACAGAGCTGTTTTTCTTTCCCATAGAAACACAGTAAGGTTAAACAAGAAGAGAGTTCTTAGAGCACGGTCTTCAGCATCTCAAAGTAGAAGCAGTATAAACGCTGGGGTGAATTTGGCAGCATTTCCCAAGCATTTTAACTGACCTTTCCATGGAGGCGGAATTCAAAGAGGGGCCAGGATTTCCCACCCCCTGGTGTATGCCCTGTGCGTAATCCCTGGGCTAGTAAATACCATGGATTTGACTCCCGTGATTGGCAGGTATGTGGCACAGTGACCTCAAGATAGAGAGAGTATCTGGGTGGGCCTAGCCTAATTTCATGAGCCCTTTAAAAGGGTTTCCTTTGGCTGGTCACAGAAAAGAATCCAAAGAGATTTGAAGTCTGACAGGAATCTGATGAGGGATCCTGCTGTTGGCTGCAATGTTCCTGAGAAGGCCCACAGCAAACAAATGCAAGTGGCTTCTAGAAGCTTCTAAAAACTTCAGTCCTTGGCCTGCAGCCAGGAAACACGGACCTCAGCCCTGCCGACAACCTGAATGAGCTCAGGAGCAGATTCCTCCCCATGGCCTTACTTGAGAGGGCTGTGTAGCCAACTCCTTGCGCTGGAGACCCTGACAGAGAACCCTGCTGAGCCATGGCAGACTTGGAACCACTGAGCTAAGAAATGGGTACTGTCTGTGGAAATCTGTTATGCAGCAATAAAAAACTGGTATGCTTTCCTCTAAGCCTAGCCTCTGTTTGTTCATGCAAAAAGTAACATCCTAAAAGTATCTCACAGCACTATCACCTAAACTCACAGATGTGAACATGTTAAAAAAAAAAAGAAAAGTATAAGAGGTTGCTGAAGAATATTCTATCCTCCTCACAAGACCATGACATCTGGGAACAAGCAGAATATACAAATCCTTAATGACAATGACTATTTTAAAGACCACCATGCATTTGCCATTTTTCTCAGCAATGGTAAAATTGAAACCAGCCCTTCCATGATATTTTATTAATGTCACATCAATGACAGGAATATCAACAATATAATTTATTTACATTTCTATGAGGTATATTAGGAAAAGTGTTCATCTTTTATTCATCAAAATACTAATTATCTACTGTATACAGGATCCTTTGTAAATGCTTACTGAATAATTCCAAGGAATGCTAATAAAAATATGCCATCAGTAGATTATTACAAGAAAAAGTAAATATTAGAGGATGTTTTTCCCATTGCTTTACTTAAGAGTGAGCATTAACTTACTAAAATATAAATATTCTGAAATAAAATATACAAATATTCTGCATCTGATTCAGCCCTTGTTCTGCAGATATTCACAGGCTATTAAGAAAGACACAGACAGTCTGTTAGGAATTGAAACGAGCAATTTCAATCAGTACAATATTAGTGGTATGTGTGGTCTTTAAGATTCAGTGTAGCCAGGGAGTTATATATGTGTAGTGTGACAGTGGCGAGGGGTCAATTAAAGTGTCTATCCTCCGTCAATCCATCTGCTGTGCATCCATCCATCCATACATCCAAGACTGTTACAAGCTAATGAGAAACATCTGACCTAATTAGGGCAGTTCTGGCATTTGCTGTGCACCTAAGGAGTGTAAGCAACTACATTTAAAAAAAAAAAAGACTAGCTTTTCAAGAAATATTTGTATCCATTGTAACTTGCTTAAATATGAAAGATAGTTGACAGTTTTTAATCTGTTATGATTAGGCATTCACATCTCTAATACAACAGTTTGAACACCACAAAATTTCATCCATCCATGCAAAGGGAGCACTATTTTATGCACTAACTTCTAAAATCCCCCAAATAGAAAGTTATATCAAAACCAAGCTTACTCCCCAGAAACATAATATATGAGAGTTCAGGACTGAAATCAAACACACTCAAACTTTCATTCCTGACCCAGCAATCTAAAATGACAATACATGTATTCTTGAGATGGCAGAGTAATTAAAAAAGAAAATAATCACCATTATAGTTTAAGAAAAAACACACACACAATATCTATCCTACCAGTCCTGCTGAAAGGAAATGAAAATCTCAATCGGTATTACTCTATAATGATTTTTCTTAAGTGAGAGACTTCCCCACGATAATCCATTTCTTATTTGGCATTTATTTTTAAAAGGATGAGCTATGACTACTCACACAAGCTGTTTTCAAATTCTACCACTGAAAATCATTCCTAAAAAAAATTTCTGAAACTCAGTGATCAGATGTTTAACATCTGCTGTGTGCTCAACAAAGTCAGGAATGCAAAACAGAGTGCTTGGAAATAACAGGCACATAATGAATGCACTGATTGAATGTAGTGAGAAGGACAACATGGGCCCAAGCCCTGAAGTAGGTTAGATCTTGGCTGTAGAGATGCAGCTAATAAACATGTGAACATTTTAAAATTAAAAATTCATAATATAAAACAATAACAAAACACCCCAAAGAACTATCTACTTAGAAATGATTAAGATGGTACATTTTGTATCATGTTTTTCACCACAACTAAAAAGGAAAGGAGGGCAGGGGGAAGGAAGGGGCAGATGATCAAGCTAGGAAGACACCAATGCCTTGGAGGAGGGCAGGCAGAAGAGACAGGAGGGTTGGGGCCTGAGGAAACCCCAATAATGGGAAATTCCCCCACAGAGGCAAAGGTGTCAGGTATCAGCAGGTAAGGAATTCCAAGAAGTATAATGGTGAGATCAATGTTAATATTCCTTTTTAAAATAAAAAAAAATCAGGACCACCAAAATAGCCCCAGCAAATCTGCACTAAAAGTCCTTTCAATGCTATTTTTATCCTCAAAATATGAACAGATAATTTTCCTGGAAAATGCAGACACTTCTGAAAGAGCCTAAGTTAGAGAAAAACCACTACAGACTGCTGTTTGCCAAACAATTCACTGATGAGTTACTTCTGTAATAATGAACTACGCTTAAGCACCCTAGAGCTTCAAGCTGGGTTTAAGGATGACTAAGAAGTATTTAGAATCAACACTGAATTTCCTCAGTACATACATAACCTTCAGATGTAAATCATTAAGCTTTTATGCTAATAACTCTTCTGGAGAAGTTGAAAGAGGGTTAAGATGAAGACGCTAAAGTTTAAATTAAATCCTACTTTGACATTAAAAAAAATTTTTTTTTCAAAATTCTCAAACTGGTCTCCAAGCACACTAACTCCTACATAAAGAAGCTATTTTTTAAAGCCCTAAGATATCAATATTCATTATGCACACTGAATAGCCCAGAAAAAGCTCTCAAGTTTTACAAGAGATCAGTCATTTACCAAAACAAGTATAAACTGTACAGATAGAATGCCTGTATTACTATTCCTATTTAATAGGTACCTCTTCAGATATTTACTAAGGACCGTGACTTGATTTATATAAGTCAGAGAGAGAGAGAGAGAGAGAGAGAGAGAGAGAGAGAGAGAGAGGAAAAAGGAAGATTAATTACAATTTGATGAGGTACAGAGTGCCTCTGGTCAGTTGCTGGAACTACACCCCAGATGTAGTTCAGGGATGCCATTGAGGTGATGGTTGGAGACTGTGATGGTGCCTTCTACTCTGGAACTTCTAAAGGAAACAAAAATGGCAGCTTCCAGGCATAGATCACATATCTCTATAGTTTATGAATGCATCCCCAAGACCCAAACCTTACTACAAACATCCTCCCCCAACACAGACCTCAGAGCAAAGGCTTCAGGTACTTAATATTTACCTCTTCTCTGCAGATAGGCTGAGACTCCTGGGCCAAGGCGTAACAATTATTTAACTATTTGAAATCCTGCAGAATGCTCAGTCACCGCTTCCAAAAAAGCAGAATATCTCATTCTTATTAAAGAGTCTTCACTGTTTTCATAGGAAAGCAGTGTACTGAGTTTGCATTTTCTACCTAATCAAATTATCTCCTGGAATATTATTTTCAATATCGTTTGGAAATGTCCCCTATCATCACCAATATTTTCTCTTCGTAACTCTTCTATCCAACTTTCTTTGCTTTGAAAATGTGTTAACATTACGGCTGTCGACATCAGCTCTAGAAATCTGCCATATATATTTCATAGGATTCTCAGCCCAACACTTTTACCTTAAGACCCTATGTCCTATAGTACAAATTCTCTCCAACATGTGTAAAACCACCCAAACATTGCACATTCAACTGCACTATAGTCACTACAGTAAAGTGTGACCCCTCTGCAAGGTCTAGTGTAAGACAGGAGATGCAGTAATTAAAACTGGCCATTATGGTGGCCTGACTTGGCATCAATGACTCTTCTTGCAAAATAAGTGAGAGCAGGAGCAGATGATAGGAGTTGAAAATTAAGAAATGCTATTTTGCCTATGGTAAGAGGGATACATTGATTTTCTTCTTAGATTCCTGCTCTAAGGGAGTTTCAAAGGTTGCCCCAGCAAGGAAGAAATTACATACCTATGTACATCTAACTAAGGTTTTCTGGTTATCTCAGGTTTGCCAATGGATGACTATGTTGTAGTTAATGAGGATTCCTGGTATACACAGTACTGTAGACTAGAAAGAACACAATACCTGGAATCATGAGTCTTCAGTTACATTTGTTAGTTAACTCCTGGGCCCCACAGAACTGCTCTGTGCCTTAGTTTTTTCATCTGTGAAATGGGCACTCTTCAGAATGACAAAAACTATGTGCAAATGATTTCTGAGAATCCAGGAGTCCTAGAAGACTGAATTACTAACACTTTTAAAGTTCACAGTTGTGTTATTAATATATATAGTAATGGTTGGTTTTGACAATTTAATTGCATAAAATATAAAAATTCAATTATAGCTAATTAGAGCTAATATAATGCTAACTTGGCCACCATGCTTAATGAATATCATATTTTATGTTACTGAAGTGATTCTTATGTTAACAATAAGATCATAGCAGAAAAAAAATTCACCTAATCAGCATGGTGATGGTATTAGAACATGGGGCCTTTGGGAGATGATTAGGATACAAAGGCTGCAACCTCATGAATGGGATCAGTGCTTTTGATCAGGCTCTTAGAAAAGAGCCCCAGAGAGCTGCCTTGTCCCTTCTGCCTTGTGAACCCACATAGAAGGCACCATCTATGGGGAAGGAGCCCTCACTGGACACCAACTCTGCTGGGGCCTTGATCTTAGACTCCAAAACTGTGAGCAATCAATTTCTGTTGTTTATATATTACTCAGCCTGAGATATTTTGTTATAGCAACCTGAGCAAACTAAGACATTCTCTGTAAAGGAATGTCCACCTTCTGGTATTAGGATCTTAATATAATTTCTTTGTTTTTCATAAGATGAAAATCCTCCTTGGTCTGTGGTCCATAGTGCAGTGGTTTTCACAGATGGCCGATGACTTTTGAATTTTATCCAATAGATAAAACTTTAATTGCTCTAATCAACTATGAAACATGTCTGTCAGATGAAACCTGGGTGGCTAACTGGCCTCAAGGTCACAATATAAAATAAAAATAAGTACAATATTAAAAGAAGTCCAAGTCATTAGAAGACATCACATATAGTAAAGCTGTTCACAGAAACAGACCTATGCCTCATGAGTACACAGAGCGTGCATGCAGTCAGATCAGGAAACAGTTCATTCATTTCACTGGGTGCCAGGCCCTGGGGATAGAGCAGTCAAGAAACAGATAAAACATCCTGCCCTCAAGATGCTTAAATCCTCATCCTACTATTAACACTGAACTTACTAAATGAAGAGCGACACAGTAGCGAGAGAGAGTGTGGTTATATGTCACTTTGCTGACACCCTGCCACAGCCCTGATGACTGCTGATGCACACAGCACTGCTGTGAACAGTTAAGGGAATGGAATTCAAGTGTGCTCTGAACTCCACATGAAGCCCCGTGCTAGCCCTCCTCCCTTAATAAAGGTGTCAATAACCATCATAATTGCAGAGACCTACACCACACCAACTTAAGATTGTCAGCTTACAATGAATTCCACTCCACTAATTTTTAAAATAATGCTTTAACAGGCTATTAAGCATTGACTTTTACCTAATTAAAGCTCCTTAAAAAGAGAGCTTTTTATTTTAGCCAGTTAACTCATTATTTCCTAAAACTAAGTAGTATAAATGCTACATAACTCATGTAATATTGAATATCCTTAATTGATAAAAACAGTTTGAGGGCTCTGTTTCACTTCATCCATAAAGTATTCTGCCCCTGTCTCATAAAAATTTCCAAGTGTTGCCTGATTTTTAACCACAATGCTCTTCATTAAAGAGCATCCATGATGCCCTGAAGTCTGATGTGTGAGTGAGTTTTGCTTGTTTCAAGCTAAATGACAGCTGAAATATTTCCATTTGGTTTTTATTTTCTGATTCTATTGTGTCAGTGTCTAATTTGCAAAGTTACAAAGCTGATGATTTTGTTAAGTGTAACATCCATAGTCTGGCTACTAAGGTCCATCTAAATTAGAAATGAGTGCAGGTACTTAGTTTGATTGTTCAGCTGCCACCCTAACAGCTTCTTTATTTACCTGGTAGCTGCTGCTTTTATATGGATATTTTAATATACAGACATTTCCTACATAACATATTTTTATTTTTTCATTCATACATTTTTAACTGAAAGGTAGCTTCGATGCACTGAGGTAAGCCTATAAAGCATGAACTATTACCAGAGATATATTTGTTTTCTGTATGTTCCTGAAAGTTATCTAAATAAGGCTGTCAGGCAGCTTTTGAAGGGCTGCACAGACAGTTGCACAGGCTGCACACTGAACAATCTCAGGGGTCATCATGACCACGGTAGTCTATGTAAGTGGCACCCCTAGGATTGCACATTATTCACTTGTATGAGTATATGCAGTGCCTCTGAGAACACATGTTATCTAGGTGTGAACTCATGCTGCTCTAGAAAGTAATTCACAAGTAGCACAGATGAGGTGCTTTATTCAAGCCCCCCAAAACATATCTAAGCCCAGAAAAATAGTATTCATATTCATTGGTTCAAACATCTCCCATAAAAGGGGAAATGTGTATTCACATAGTCAAACCAAATGCAAAGAAATAAGGGAGATGTGCATTACATTTTTTGAAGACACTACAGTATAGCAGTCAAGAGAAGGGAATTCTAGAATCAGTCTGATTGGATGCAAGTACCTGCTTCACTACTTTATTAGCTTGTGTGACCCTAATCAAAGTATTTCATCTCTCTATGCCTCAGTCTCCTCATCTATAAAATGGCATAATAACAGAACCTACCTCAGAGCTGTTAGGAGGATTAAATGAGGTAATACATGTAAAATAGCTAAACCAGTGCCTGGCAATAGCAAACTATGTAAGTGTTTGGATTTCGTATTGGTTCTATTAGGTAAAAAAATCAAAGCAGAAAGAGGTCAGGGGTTTAAGAATTAGTGATGTATTCCAGATTGAAAATGAAGGCTCTTCATTAGGAGATATACCTAATGTAAATGACGACTTAATGGGTGCAGCATACCAATATGGCACATGTTTACATATGTAACAAACTTGCACGTTGTGCACATGTACCCTAGAACTTAAAGTATAATAATAAAAAATATATATAAAAAAAGTTATAAAAATAAATAAAAAATAAATAAATAAAAAGAAAATGAAGGCTCTTGATTAACAGGGAAGTTTTCAGCAGACCAATCTGTTTTACAACTCAAGTTTCTGACAAAGTTAAAATCCCTGACTTGAAGTAATCATTAGGTCTGAAAAGCAAACTCGCACTCACTGAGTGTTACCACTATTGATGTGGCCGTCCTCACAGGGCACCGGGCTGGTGCATCGCAGCCTTCGGTGCCTCAGCTGACATTTACTGGCCACCTCTCCTCTTGGGTAGGGACGCACCTAGGGGACAAACGACTCCAGTTTACCTAATCAGCTGCCAATAAAACTTCAAATCCTACAAGGGAATAACTGCCCAAAGGCTCGTGCAGCCTGCCCTGGTGAGGTGTTTGCTGCTTTCATTCATATTCTTTAAATATCAGCTAATCCCTGGTGCATCGCACTCCCACCTTGGAAAATTATCTCATTCACTGCAGTGCAAACAGGCCCTGCTCCTGGTGCTATGAGAGAGAAGGAAGTGTTACAAAGATGAAAGCACCACGCAAAGTTTCCCAGGCTGGAGGGAGCCAGGACTATTCCCACAGTGTGAAGTGGGACAGCTAGAAACCAGAAAAAGTCCTGGCATGTTAATTTGCAGATGCTTTTTTATCTATTTCAATTCTTACGCAAGCATCCAGGAGATTTGATAAGCAGTTTTGATGTGGATTACAGTTTTAGATAGTAGAAAACACAACATACACAAGAAACATATTTTTAAAGAGAATTAAATATATGCAACATTCAAGCTTCTCTCACACCTACATCTAGCAATTCTAGAAAAGCGCAGTCCTACTCATAAAATGCTGGCACATGATGGTGCACACATTATCTAACTGTACCAAAATGTCCCACAGTACCTCTTGCAACCAATCACCTAACTAGTTCTCTTGGAAGAAATAAGACGGGGAGATCCCACTGGGGAAAACTGAAGTTTGTATCACAGAAAAATCCAGGTAAATTAGAGGTCTGACTAAACTAGGAATAGATAGGTTGTGTAAAAGAATCTCTGCAAAAAGCAGCCAAAAGACAAATGGGTCCCCTAATTTCATCTCTGCATGATGCTGACATTGCACTCACAATTCTCATTACCACTGGATTGTGCCAGAAAATCAGGAAGTGGTGCCCAAACCCTGTAACTCAACAGCTTAATAAAAATGCATATGTTCTATTTTTAAATTAATCAACATCTGTGATTTTAGAATTTCTTCATCATAAATGCAATTAGTACCATACACTAGATCACATGTGTGGAATCTAAAAAGATGGAATAGGAGCTTTCAGTCCAATAACAGTACTTGTTCTAAATTTTTGCCTGATTATAACAGTCACATAAAAAATTCTATGTCTTATGAAAACAGAGAAATCAAAATCTATTTTATTCAGCCTTTATATGGTAAACAGGAGGAAACAGGTTTGGAGAGTTTACACACTGTACCAAAGGCTCTATCCCACTAAGAACTGAAGCGAGAACCCTGCTTATTTCATCTAAGAAAAATCAGAGTTCAAGGAAATAATTTCAATTCCTAGCACTGCTTCCTGACTGACAGCAGAAGTCAGCTGTCTGTCAACCATCTGCCAGTTAAGTGATTAGTGAGTCCTACAGCTGAAATTCAGAGAATAGGAATACCTGCACTAGCTTTAAGTAAGTCCTTACTTAGCAGATGGTTAACACCAGTAAGTGCTGATGACCCCTATTCTTCCTCCACCAATCAGTGCAATGCAAGGCATCAATGTCACAAGTTGGTGACAGCTGATTACCACTGTAGTGAGTGAATTTTACCATGCAGGGTAGTGTGCTTACCTTCCCTACCTGGCAACAAGACTCCCCATGTGTTATGATTTCCATTGACTGTGGCTCACTCCACATGGGCAGTAGCTGCAGAATAACAACAAATCAAACTGTTGGGGATGGGGGAGACAGAATCAGCAAAGAACATTTGCTGATATGTTGGCTAAAATATCACCATCAATCAATTAATGAGGACCACTGATGGTACATAGTCATGACTGGATGTTTCAGATGTGGACAGAAGGGTAACATAGGAGAAGAGTGGGAACTATCATCACCTTTTAGATTAAAACAGTGGTCCCATTTCTTGCTGGAACGAACACTGCGACTAATGTTCACTCCCTTCATCTGGATATGTTAGTGAGGTGTGCACAGACGATTAAGATTTTCCCATTTTCGGCTGCGCGCGGTGGCTCATGCCTGTAATCCCAGCACTTTGGGAGGCTGAGGTGGGGGATCATCTGAGGTCAGGAGTTCAAGACCAGCCTGGCCAACATGGGGAAAACCCATCTCTGCTGAAAATACAAAAATTAGCCACATGTGGTGGTGGGCACCTGTAATCCTAGCTACTCAGCAGGCTGAGGCAGGAGAATCACTTGAACCTGGAGGCGGAGGTTGCAATGAGCCAAGATCGCGCCACTGCACTCCAGACTGGGCAACAAGAGTGAAACTCTGTCTCAAAAAAAAAAAAAAAAAAAAAAAGATTTTCCCATTTCTAACCTCTGCTTTTAAAAAAATGTACATTTATCACATTTATCACTACCATTTATTATTTTAGCTATAAACCATGGTATGCCAACTTAAGGATAGTAGAGAAAGAAGAAATATCATAAGTGGACATTTTCAGTCTCATTAAAAACTGATTTTTTTTAAAAAAGCTGATCCTGCATAGCTATAATTTACTTTCCACTTACCTTAATGTAAGTCTCTAGATTTTCAAATCAAAATACAATTTTAAAGTTCCTAATATAATTGTTAGCAAAAAAGGTGAGGCAGTGTTTTTAAAATTATATGGAAACAGGCACTATTTCCTAAGATGTGAATGCATCCGTTTTGGGTGTAGGCATTTGGTTCTGGGTGGGCTAATGGCCACTGCTGCCTGGGTTAGTATTTTCTCTTCCTCCAGCTCTAATCTAGGCAGAGCGGCCCTGGAGTGCCTGGTCTCTATGTGGGCCTGTGATGCTGACAAGATGACTGTGCAGGAGCCACAAGCCAACGCCTGGGAGAGCAGCCGCCATGCGCATATGGCACATGCTCACTGGGATACAGATACCAGTTTCTCTTCGTAAGCATATTTCAGGTATTGGTAACGTTAGAGGAAAGCAAACTGCTTCTGTGTGCTGTATGTTCAATAAATAAACTATCACAGAATGCAGATGAATCCACTTTGGGGACAGAATTATTTGTGCCCAAATAACAAGTAGGGAATGTTAAATATTTTGCAGGAGAAAAAAAAAAGCGTTCACTCAAAAATTGCTGAGGTGGGTACAGTATGTCGAAGAAGCGCTGACCAATTCCAGTGCTTTGGGAGGCAGAGAAGGGAGGATCGCCTGAGGTCAGGAGTTCAAGGCCAGCCTGGGTAACACAGTGAGAGGCTGTCTCTACAAACAAAAAATTTAAATTTTTTTAAAAATTAAAAATGTAAAAGATTTAAAAATTTAATTAAAAAAATTTTAAATATTCAAAATTTAAAAATTAGAGACCACACCACTGTCTCCACAGGCACGGTGGCATATGCCTGTAGTCCCAGCTACTTGGGAAGCTGAGGTGGGACTGCTGGCACCCAGGAGTTCAAGGTTACTACTGTGAGCTATGATCACATCACTGCACTCCAGCCTGAGCAAGGGACGGAGTCCCTGTCTCTAATGTGTGTGTATGTGTGTGTGTATGTTTAAATATATATAAGAAGTGACCTCCAGAGGGGGAGACTAACCTTACTCTATGTGACTCAAACCACCACTATCAGGAGGCAGATCTGAAATTTGGCTCTGAAATTCCTGCTGTACTTCCCACTGTCCCATAGATAGGAGCGGCTCCTAACACAGCCTACTCAACAGACAAAACTTCTTAAATGACTATTTTTAAAATTGTGAGAAGAGTACTAGTGAGTGAAATTTCAACACCATATAAACTCAATGGGATCTCACATGTATAAGACTTTTTCTACATGGCTGGTGAGAAGTTGAAAAGCAAAGAGTAAGAAAGTGAAGCTGGAGACAAAGGCCTTCTTGGCCCCTGGAACAGGCCTGTGGTGCTCCAGGGTGGACTCGCCTGCCTCGGCCAACCAGCAGGGAGACAAACAGGGACTGGACACATTACAGGCACTCTGCAGGAAATGAGTTTCCTCTTCCAGTCAAATTAAGGCTGATCTAAGAGAGCTCCCTGCATTTTCAGCATAACCCAAACATAGGAGGTTCTGAGAATGACAATGACTCTGGGCTCAGCAGGGCCAGCAAGGAGGGGCCCTGTGAGTGCCAGCCCAGGCTGGCACCCGGCGATCTGGCTCCAGAGAAATGCCGTCAGGCTGACATGCTTTCCTCAGCTCCTCCAGGGAATTCTGTCAAAAACACAAATCTTGCAGGCTCAGTCAAATGCTAAATATAAAGAAATATGGGATCAGATAACAACTCTGGTGGCTTAACTATGTGCTTCTCAATCAAGAGCCACGTCTTTCTGGCACCGCACAGCGGGTGCCCAGAATACATTTGTTAAAGGAACCAATGAATGAGCAAACACAAACACACAGCTGTTTAGGAAATTCCTGAATGCCAAGCTCTTCTCTGGGTCCGGGATGAAGTGGATCTGAAGGGTGGGTAGAGAGAGCTCATCACTTTTAATATAATTTGATGCACTTGTTACTTTTCAGAGATTTTTTTTTTTTTGAGACAGAGTCTCAATCACTCTGTCACCCAGGCTGGAGTACAGTGATGCGATTTTGGCTCACAGCAACCTTTGCCTCCCAGGTTCAAATGATTCTCCTGACTCAGCCTCCAAAGTAGCTGGGATTACAGGCCTGTGCCCCTACACCTGGCTAACTTTTGCGTTTTTAGTAGAGATGGGGTTTCACCATGTTGGCCAGGCCGGTCTCAAACTCCTGACCTCAAGTGATCCACTTGCCTTGGCCTCCCAACGTGCTGGGATTAAAGGTAATTTTCATAGATATTTTAATTACATGAAGAATACCTACACTAAGAATACCTTTGCTGTATTCTTATAGCTATTTACAAGGCAATTGTGAAATGATCTCCGTTTTCTCCTCTGAAAATCAAGGAGTTAAAATTAAATATGCAACATCTCTGTCTTCAACACTCCAGGATTCCATATGCAAAATATAACACAGCTCTGAGTAAACAGAACAGTCATTAATGGTCCGAGGGTTGATGATGAGGAGTGATGGCAGCTCTGTAACCTAATTTAGAGTAAGCAGTACCTGATACTTAATTTTTAAGTGAAAAGAGGCTACCATGCATTTCTATGTCATCAGCAATCACTCAGGGAGAGGACCACACGCTTTCTCAATAGGTGCAAGTATCCTCCCAGTCGTATCTTTCGAAGATTAAAGAAACAAAAATTGGGTGAGCTACTAAGCAAAACAATCTAGAATTCATTTGGTACAATACATCTTGCATTTCAAACCCAGACAGTCCCTGCTTGTGTCACACATTGGTGATGCCTATCTGTTCAGCTGATAGACTCCAAACAAAGAAAGTAGCCTCAGAGATGAAGCGTTAACTGTAGTGGGGGAAGGAGAAAGCGAAAATCAAGATAGTCAGGTATGACGGCCCCAGACAACAAAGAGAAAGAGAGAAAAGTAACGGCTGTTTTCCAATTCTAATTAAGTTAGGAAACAAGTCAGAAAACATTGCCAAAGACAGTACTCACTGAAAAGAGATGCCACTAAAAAAGCTAAACAGATTGTGAACAATACTTTTCGTGAAAAAAGAATTTCATCATCATGACTGATGTATGCAACCTAAATCGGAAAACTTTTTTTTTTTAAAGAGACAGAGTCTTACTCTGTCGCTCAGGCTGGAGTGCAGTGGCACTATCAGCTCACTGCAGCCTCCAACTCCTGGGCTCAAGCAATCCTCCTGCCTAAGCTTAACTGAGTAGCTAGGGTTATAGGCGTGCACCACACACTAGGATAATTTTTAATTTTTTTTTTTGTGGAGACTGAGTCTCACTATGTTGCCAAGCTGGTCTCAAACTCCTGGCCTCAAGCAATCCTCCCAATTTGGCCTCCTAAAGTGTTGGGATTTCATAAGCCACCATTCTAAGCTCCAAATTGGAGGACATTTTAATTAAAAAAACAAACAAACAAACAAACAAACCAAAAAAACTTCCTTTTAGAGAGAAGGCAAGTAAAAATTATATATTAATATATAAAACCTCAAATCACTAAAAGTACTGTTTTTAAAAAGATAATCCTATGTAACAATAAGAATGCATTTACTATAGATAGTAGGTTTGTAGGTTGATCAGCTTATAGACTATGTAAAAAAAAATTTAACATACTTGTACCTTAACGGCATTAATACATGAAGGGTCTATCAATACTTTGATGTTTTCAAACAATCTGAAAAACCAAAACACACCATCCGATGTTCTTCCCCTTTACTCAAACACTGAAACAAGGTAAAAAATAATAAGTATGATTGGATAACAATAAGGGAAACTCATTCCGGGAAAATCTAAGTTTATATTACCAAATTTCACAAAACCAGTATACTCTTGTACTTGGAGAAGAAAAATTCAAATTCTTAGGGTTTGAAGAGGTTGAAGAACTGTATACTACTACATATTAAAATACACTCATGCTTAAGGGGTTTGCTCTTCAATGGTACTCAAGTCAGATCAATACCTAAAGCAAATAAGGAAGCAAACTCAATTACAGCTGAAGTCCAAAATCAAATCACACCTCTGGGAAGTGTGTATGTGTGCACACATGTGTTTGCATGTGCACATGTGTGCAAGAAGAGTGGGGGTTCTCACTAATCTATCCCATTCAGATCAGCACCTTAACTACTCTTTGGTTTTCAGAAACTTTCACTTGGCATGATTACAAATTTTGAGAGGTGGCTGTATTATTCTTACCAGCTTAATCTCATGACAAATCCTAACCTGTGGGCAACCATGAAATAAGGCAAATTTACTTTAAAAAGTCAGTGATTTTTAAGACTGCTGATGTCTACTGTTGGAAAGAAGAACACTTAGCAAGTTCAGTTTTAGATTTCCACCATGAGGAATGGTATTATCAAGTAAGATAATAAGTCTTGATTTCACACAGAATATAAAATGTCTGGCTGAGCCTGGCTCTCTCCTGTGAAATGCAAACAGACTTGCTGAAATTCAGGCGTAATACTGTTCTCTGCCAGAATATAATGATGTTAATAGAGACAGAATGTTTTCATCCCAAATTAGCTGAGAAAAGATGTAGCAAAGGACACTGATAAAACCACTCTAAGAGGTGGACTTAAGTCAGCATGAGAGACGTGGCACCATGATTCTGAAAGAGAGGCTGCCTACTCCTTCCCTTGGTGTGTAACTGATATAAGGGTCTACAGGAATACAAGTCACCACTGCAGAAACAGCAAGTGTAGTAGCATTATTGCTTCACATCAGGACCTCCTCCATAGAGGCCCGGGCTACTGCATAGGGAATGCTGGGAGAACAAGAACACATGGGACCTTGCACAAGGTCAGTCTCATAAGGAGGAGGAGTTGGGGATGGTAAGATAAGGAGGGGGAAGGGGCAAGCAGGGAAGGAGGGCAGAAGGAAACAAGAGACAGATGACTCCAGCCCATCGGCATCCTAAACTTAGCATAGAGCAAAGAACAAGTATCACTATCACTGCACTCAAATGCACATGTTACTCCCACTACAATGTCTTTCTTTATAGTTTAACTGTACTGCTAAAGGTAAATTTGAAAAGTCATCATATTCTCAGCATTCTAACAAATGGGTTTTCACATCTTCAATTCCTTTGCTGCATTTTCAATTCAGTTCCCATCTGTACTGAGCATGCTTAATGCCAGGCCTGGGTGCTAAGATAACAGGACAGGTCTCTATGGCCAGGAGGGCTCAGACACATTCACTTTCTAAGGTGACTTACAGTGAATTATGCATACTCTTTTCTTTAAAACACATTTTTAAGCCAAGTAATGTCATTAGTTTCAAGTATACGAAAAACAAATGTGTGAAACAAATGGTAAGAAAATTCTCTAATATACCAAGGATTCAAATGTGTCTTTAGTTCAAAGTAGAGGAAAATGAATGCCAAAGTTTGTTAAACACATCTCATTTAATTTAGGTATGAGATGACAGGGTCAAATGTTAATAGATTTCAATTTGCTTGCTTTAATCATTTCATAACAACCATATAACATAAGTGAGCATTTTCCAGTATACTTCCCATTTAAGGATGATAAAAAATATTGTCTAATGAGAGAACAAAATAATTACTACTATCTTTATTCTTAAGTTGATTTTTAAATTTCATAAAAATCCAAGAATATATTGCCTTTTATATTTAAAAAGTAGCACCTAATAAGAATAAAAGGATTTTTGGACACATAACTCTTGACTATTCACTCTAGTAGTCAATCATAACCAAAGCTTTTATGAATGAGCCTTTGTGACCAAAGTTTAGACAATGACTTAAACTAACGATGAGATGACTGAACTTGCGGCCATTCTTCCCTACTACTATTAGATATTCCCCCACACTCTGGGTCACAATGTCTGTCCCATTCTGAACACATTTGCTGATAGTGCTATTTTTACTTTACCATTATCACGGAGGGCTCTCAGTTACAGAGTATGCACTATGCGCCCAGCACAATGTATTTATATACACCACCTCATTTAATGCTTACAGCAACCCTCAGAAGTAGGTATTATCTCCATTCTGCAGAAGATCACAGTACATAAGCTACTAACATACCTTAAACACTTCTCATGTGCCAGCTCATGTAGCAACTCACATTCCTAACAACAATCCTATGATCTGGGCACTATCGTAATTCTGCTTTGATGGATGAATAGGCTGGCACATCAAGTAAACAGCTTTCCCAGGGCTGTACCTATTGCACATGGCAGAGTCCAGGTCCTGACACAGGTCCTTCTAACATTAAAGCCCACACTCTTACCCTCAGCACTGAGGAGTGTGGCTCTCCAGGACTGCTCTCTGTCACTAGACATGAGAAGAATTGAAACAATGGACAGGAAAGGGGTCAGGGCTGGTTTGGGCAGAGCCAGACCTTCCGACCCATAAGTCAGCTGATAAATCCAGCTGGGACACTCCCCCTGCCCAAGTTTTCCTGAAGGAACTCACCATAAGAAAACAGAAGCCTTGCTTCAAAGCTGGCAACTCAATGATACCCGGAGCACAAGACCCAAATGACAGGGTTTCTGAGTGTCCAGGGCACTAGGCATTCCAGGATAACAAGCCTTGGTCTAGACAGATGCACCATGCCCATTCAATGGTCATCTGTCCCTTAGTTACCGCAGCCCACTGTGTCCCTCGGCCATAGTAGGCTCTGGACTACTGATTTTGTTACTCAGGCTCTTGGTTACCCAGGCCTGTTTCAGGAGGGACTGCTGGAATTTACGGCAAAATTGTTTTGGGATATACTGGTGGGCATCCAGTGATGGGAGGGCTCAATTCCAAGGGCGCGTGGGGAGGTTAACAAAGGCTACCAGGGAAAGGTAGTAGGAGGGTTGAGCCTGAGACCAGCAGCAATGCTCTGGCATCCCAGGAGGGAGGCAGGAAGCCAGGGTAAGAGACGGTCAGCAGGAGGAAGACGTGTGGCAATCAACTGACTTGCAGCTGACAGCTTAATGACAGATGAAAAAACACTGAAAAATAAAACTATTTTTTTTTAACTTTTTAATAATAGCCATTCTGACTGCTGTGAGATGGTACCTTGTTGTGGTTTTAATTTGTATTTTTCTGATGATTAGTGACATTGAGTATTTTTTCATGTTTGTTGGCTGCTTGTTATGTCTCCTTTTGAGAAGTGTCTCTGCATGTCTTTTGCCCACTTTTTACCGGGGCTATTTGGTTTTTTGCTTGTTGAAATCATTTATGCTCCTTCCACAGAGGAAAGGGAAGGATTATACACTGTTGGTGGGAATGTAAATTAGTTTAGACACTGTGAAAGTAGTTTGGAGACTTCTCAAAGAACTTAGAACTACCATTTGACCCAGCAATCCCATTATTGGGTGTATAACTGAAGGGAAATAAATCATTCTACCAAAAAGACACATGAATTTATATGTTCACTGCAGCACTATTCACAATAGCAAAGACACAGACTCAACCTAGGTGTACATCAATGGTGGACTGGATTAAAAAAATGTGGTACATACACACCATGGAATACTACAGAGCCATTAAAAAAATGCAATCACGTCCTTTGCAGCAGCATGGACACAGCTGGAGGCCATTATCCTAAGTGAATTAATGCAGGAACAGAAAACAGCATGTTCTCACATATAAGTAGGAGCTAAACATTGAGTACACATGGATATAAAAATGGGAGCAAAAGGCACTGGAGACTACTGGGGGGAGTTACAGGGGGAAAAGGCTGAAAAACCTATCGATGGGATACTATGGTTGCTACCTGGCTGATGGGATCATTTATATCCCAAACCTCAGCATCACACAATATACTCATGTAACAAACCTGTACGTGCACCTCCTGAATTTAAAATAACAGTAGACATTATTTTTTAAAATGAAATCGATGTCTCAAGAGCCACATTGAAGTGGATTTACCACAGAAGTTCTCAGCTTAGGGAGAAGTTCACCACTCCTGCCCACCACCCAAGATAAGGGTGTTCACCTTGCCACACGAGTCCAGGTTCTCTATGGAACACTGGAACAATTAATGCATTCCTAACACAATGGGAGGTGAGCGCTCTGGACTACAAAGTGACTACAAAACACCATCAAATAAACCAAGTGCATAGGTGTGCCAGTGGCCCCCAACTCATAGACATCATTATTCAGATTAACAAACGCCAAGAACAAAAATAAGTCACAATATTTACCAGAAATTATGAAGTCATCTTTACCCCAATACTTTCACTCATAGGGTTAAGGCATTTAATACAGACTGAACACCTGAACATTAGTATGTGCATGGAGAAAAAATAATTAAAGAATGTGCACCTAAATCTAACCAATATTTTCTCTGGAGAGTGGCTTTTGAGTAGAAAGTTGCATTCTATGCTACCTATCTGTAACATTTATTTGTTTGCAATATTTACATTATGTTAATAATTAAAAATATATATACTAGGTCCCATGTCCAGTGAGAATATTCACATATTCAGTAGTTGGGGAACAGTACACTGTTTCTGTTTTACTTATCCCCATGAGTGATTATAATTCTAACAGTCCCAATTGGGGAAGTTAAATGTCCACTGAGTGTTCAGAATTCTCAGGTAAAAAAGCCACTGCAAGTGAACACCCAGGCAAGTTCAGAGGGCTGGGAGAAGCGCATGCATTTCAAGGCCAGTGGGGATAGTGAAGGTGGGGCAGGTGCCGAGATCAGCCTCAGCCAAACCAATGGCAGAGCATCTGCCCCCCAGCAGCCGGCACAGAGGCTGGGGAGCCAGTTCTACAAGGATGGTTTTTGCCAATCTCCCCATTCCTGCCAGGGCATGGGAAGTTGGAATAAAGTGTGTGTGCTTAGAACAGTGACCAGCACAGGGCAGAGTCCACAAAAGTTTGCTAAATGAATATATGAAAAGGAAGGGGGAGGAAGGGAGAGAAGAAAGAAGGAAGGAGGGAAGGGAAAGTATTTAAGAACGAAAAAGGTGGGAAAAATTGGGGAATACCTAAATTCTGCTCAACATATAAAGGATCAAATTTACTTTATAACCAGATTCCTACATGATTTTAATAATAAATTTTTAATGTAATTACCTTTTATTTCCTTTTCAGGACTTACAGAGCTTGATAGTTTCTAATTCAAGACGTAGACAGAACAAGAATGCTGCTCTGGATGTCCAATTTGGAGATTTCTAAAAGGAAAAAGACGCAGATTAAAAATTATGCTGGAGAATAAAAGTGATTAAAAGGTATCATTCAAAAGAAATTGTTTTTCCTTGAATCACAGACATTGTATTTATCTAAGGATAAACTAGGTTCAAAGCCTGTTTCTAATTCAGCTGCTCCAGGAAACTAAAACTGATTCCAAAAGGAAACAAAAATCAAAGTATGAGGCCAACTTCATGTATTCAATGGAAAACAAACTAAATGAGAGCCTGTGTATTTCCATGAGCCTGGGGAACCCCGGCTTTGCACTGCTTCATACTCAACATCCCAGAAAGGACATGTCACTCCTTCTAACTCACAGAATCATGCAGAAAATGATGGAGCCTCCTCATAAACAACTGCAAAACTGGCTAGGAAAACAGCTACACTGTCCTCCAGAAACATCGTTAATATTTGCAAAGGGAGAAGATATCACAAGACAGGTCTAGTAGCTCCTTCTGTCCTCCAAATGCAGTTCAGACCCAAGGTCACGAACAAACACATGTTTCCGCTGGTCCTGGACTTCTTTTTCCTGGATTGAGGACAGATCTTGATGGCCTCAATAGTCCCAAATTTCAAGTACAAACTATTTCATTATCAGCAAAAATTAACATCGACTGGACCGAGAAATGACTCCTTTTTACAAACGGGGAAAGAAACGGAGACTCCTGGAGGAAAGCTGCTTCTGCTGGACATGTTCTGCTTTCGCTGCACTTGGAGATACTGGGACGAGTCATGAAAGTGATGGTTATCGGGACAGCTGGCAATGCTAAAGAAAATACTGTGTTGAAAATCTTAACCGTCTTCTCCTCCAGCATCTGCTTTTGTCAGATACCATCAGTCCAAATGACTGCGTCTTTGTTTACTCAAAAGCAGGAGCCAACAGACAGGGAAGGAAGTGTCCTGTCTGCAATAGATATCTTCTTTATTGAGATTTACTGTATATTTTGCAGGTTTATAGGAGGAACCAAGAGAAAAATATTTTAAGGAGGCACTTGGGACTCCAACAGATAATGGCTAAAAAACTACTTCATTAAGATCTATGCCAGCGTCCTCAGCACTATCATCGCCTTTCTGGAGAGATGTGTAATGAATGATACACTAAACATGTATTAGGAAGGCTGTAAATCCTGACCTAGATTTTCTATCGCTTCAAAACAATACAAAGAGCCTGAAAATGCCCATTTAAATAACAACTAAGATTGATACTTTCCACTCACTTTCAAAACTTTCAAAACAGCCTACTTTCTCCTGTCCCATTACCTAACAAGGTTCAACAAGAACACAGAGTAAATTAGTATTAGATTAAAATAGAAATATAAACTCCAAGTCCCATGGTTCTTTTTATTGCTTTAATACCTGAAATTTAAGATAGTATTTTATTTGCTTGCTGAAGTATATGGGATTTCCAGCAACTCAAATTAATGAAATCATGTGCTGTTATTATGTTAGAGAAATATTGATTTAAAATATATTTGGGCCCATATTAATTTGATTGTGACCCATATAACAAAGCAAAAGGTTCTGTATTTTAATATTTTGCAACCAATACTTTTATTTTGGCCAAAAATTATATCTAAAATCCCTGTTCATTTTTCTCATGATTTTTGCCTTATCCTTCTCACACTTTTGAAGGGAGAAAATAGCAAAGAGCTGAACACTTACTAGAATGAATTCACAGATAGAAAAGTCACTCAACTGTGATTAAGACAGGGAGTAATACCACATATGGAGAACTTCAAGATTGGATTTATCTTCAAAGTTGCCATGTGAAATCAAAACGATCCTAATACAAATAACTCATAGCACAGATGCTTGAAACTTAGGGATCATACGGTCATCTGCTCCAGTTGACTCATTTCACAGATGAGAAAAAGAAAGCCCAGAGTGGTTAAGTGACCACTTCAAAGTCACACAGCTAAGCCAGCTCCAGATTCCCAGGTTTTCTAGGTGTAAATCCAGTGCTCTATTAGATCATAGCGGATCTTTAATTTCCTAAATAACCTCTTAAGAGATTACAATTTCATCTATTTTAGTGTAAAACAAAAAAAAAATCATTTCTAATCAGCATGATTACAACATCACGAGTCAACTCAACTTTCTGTCAATATAACCCACTGTTAAAAGTTATCAAGGGCATACGCTGCCTTTTGTCCCACTGATAAAGCTAGATTAAAATATGAATGCCCATGAGAAATCCAAAATGAAATTTGGGATATTCTTAGGTTGTCTAACCTAGATAAATTTAATACAAAAAGAGTATATAGTTTCCCTGTCTTATTCATAGTCAGATCATAATCATAGGTTTGCTGCAACACATTTTCAAGTCGATTTATAGAGTCTCTCAAGCAAAACATAGGTGTTCTATACACAAAGCTCACATAAGCAGTTTTGAAAGTAGAATTTCAAAATGATTTAGTATTAGTTCTATCAGTTCAGACTGAATTCGTATTCACTGAAACCCTAGAATCACTGCAGAGCACTTGGGTCACCCAGGTCAGCAGCTTATTAACAACAGTCATGTGTTGACTCTCCCATTATTTATTGCTGCACAGTGCTAGGTGCATGAGAACCGAAAAGCACCAGATGGTGTCCTGCCCACTGTGGGCTGATGATGGAGGTCACCAAGGAAGGCCTTCAGAGCAGCACTGGAGTTAAGGTTTGCATGGGATGAGAGTGTAACTGTGAGTGTGTCTTTAGATGGGTAGTTAGTAAATCCACATGCGGTTTTCCTGGGGAATGTGAACTGACAGATTCCGCAGAAATAAAGAGTATGTGCAAGGAAGCAAGGTAAGATAAATGAAATCTGGCCAACAGATGACAGAAGAACTCCTCTACGCATGCCCAAAAAAGCACACATGCACACACATGGTCAGGAAACAAAACATCCAATAAGAAATACTCCTTTCTAGAAACCGTGAAAGCAACAAAATATTTTCCTTATATTTCTTTTTATAAACTCACTATTGATATTAAGACTAAGTGCCAAACAACCATATTAAGGGGGGAAAAAGGACAAGATGTCCATTCCAACACATTTCAATAAAGAAAATAGAGATGCCAAGTAAACACAGGAAGAGATCTTCAACATAATTAATCAGGGAAATGCAAAACAAAACCTTAATGAGATACCACTACATACCAAATAAGATGGCTAATTTTAAAAGGTTTCAAAATATCAAGTGTTAACCAGGCGCAGTGGCTCACGCCTGTAATCCAAGCACTTTGGGAGGCCGAGGTGGGCGGGATCACCTGAGGTTAGCAGTTCAAGACCAGCCTGGCTGACACGGTGAAACCCCGTCTCTACTAAAAATACAAAAAATTAGCCAGGCGTGGTGGCAGGCGCCTGTAATCCCAGCTACTTGGGAGGCTGACGCAGCAGAATCACTTGAACCCAGGAGGTGGAGGCTGCAGTGAGCCGAGACCGCAGCACTGCACTCCAGCCTGGGCAACAAGAGCAAAACTCCATCTCGAAAAGAAAATATAAAGTGTTTATAAGGATATGAAACAACTTGGTTCTCCTACAATGATTGTTGGAAATTCAAAATGTTACAAGCACTTTGAAAACTAATTTGGCAGTTGCTTATAAAGTTAAGCACGTACGATATGACCCAGCAATGCTACTACTAAGTATATACCCAGGACAAAATTTAAACACAGAGATTCCACACAAAGATTTGCACAAGAATGTTCACAGCAGCCTTATTCATAATAACTCCAAACTTGAAAGAATCCAAACGTCCATCATCTGGTGAATGGATCAACAATTTGTGGTATACCACACGAAGGAATACTACTCAGTAATAAAAAGGAAATAATTACTGATATATACAACAACGTAAAGCAATTTCAAGAGGATTATACTATGGAAAAGAAGCCAAACACAAAAGACTACACGTATGATCGCATTTATATGAAATTTTAGAGAAAGGCAAACTGGAGCAATAGAAAGCACATCAATGATTGGCACAGTCACAGTGTGGGGGAAGGGACTGACTGCAAAGACGCCCGACAGAACACGCAGGGTGATGGAGATGTTCTATTTCAAGATTGTGGTAGTGGGTGCATAACTGCCATATTTGCGAAAATACATTAAACCATACACTTAAAATCAGTAAATTTAGTTATATATACATTGTAACTCACAAAAGTGCTTTAAAAAAAAAAAACTCAGTGTTCCCATCTTTTAATATTCACGAACTTCCTCAATCAGCCCTGGGACTCCTTCAGTGGATGGTACTCAACATCTTCAAATACTTAATAAGGATTATAGCAATCAATGATGGCTAAGTATCTGGAGACCACAAAAAAGAAAAACCAATAATCAACAATACTGCTTATAAGGAAACTAAATTATTCCATTGTTCTACAACTTCTAATAAGTTGTGACCTTACAATAGATTTCCAAAATGTATTCTAATCCTATTTAGTCTACAATAAATTTCTTCAATGTAAAGGGATAAACTTTCTAAAACTCTTGATAATCCATGGAGAGTGACATACAGGAGAGGGAAGATGTAGCCTAAGGTCCCTGGGTTTTTGGGTAAACACTGTGAAAGACTACCCACTTGTCCCTGTTGCACCTTGAGTTCGTGTTCTTTTAAAAAGAAGAAACTCAGCCCCAGAAAAACAAAAAACAGTTGGATCCAGGGATGTCAGAGTTGGAGATAAACTTTGACAAACTCTCCTCATCACCATACTAAAAACCCTGCCTGAGGAGGAATTTATTTGCAATTTTCTATACATGTGACCTATGTAGAAGCATGACCATATGTAGAAGTTTGATTGTATGTAGAAGATTGATAATATGTAGAAACATGACCAGAAGCTGCATCTGCACTACCTTTACCTCTTCATACAATGATAGCTAACCAGCCTAATGAAAGCGCTGTTTTCACCATAGTTAGGGAAGGCACTGCTCTGGGAACTATCCTGGTGTCCATACTTCTTGCAAGTAATACAATCCCCTTGTTAAATCCAGTTGTGGTCACGGGACTTTCACACACCAAGAAATTGAACCCACCCATAAGACAGGCTTATCAAAGTGATTACAGATGATTCAAGGTTGATAATGACTAAAATGATATACAATAGAATCACGATTCCAAATGTGCTAAGCTAGAACAATTTCATAGTACTAATATCAAGTGCAGATCAAAATAATAATCAAACTACATTTATTCAACACATATTTCCTGATGGGCTGGCATGTGTTAGTCACTATACTAGATGGAAAAGGACACCAAGATTAAGTAAAAAAGAGTCCTTGCCCTTACAAAGTTCATCATCCAAAAAAGGTAAGTAATGCAATTCACAGTAGAAGCTCAAACTATTTTATGTGAAAAAAGCCTGCAAGTTTGAGTTTATCACTCAGCTGTTAGCTATGGCAGAAATACTAGAGAAATTATAGGGTGCACTATCAGAAGCATTGAGTTCAGTACAAATATATACAAGCACTACCCTGTACTCAATGGGTCAACCCATGTAGCAGGGGTAAAGGGGATGTTCTATTATGTTGTGAATGTGCTCATTACAAGCCCTCTTCTAAAGCCCAGCTGAAGGTGCCAGAATCTTGTATAGTGTTGCTAACCCCCACTACTAAGTCCCTAAGATGATGCATGAGTCTGGAAAGACCATGGACCTCCTGCACAATCCAAGTTGATAAGATCTAGCAGATCCTGAGAAACTGAGGCATGGGTGGATAGGACATGGACCTAAAAATATTTACATCAACTAGGGAAGTGCCTGTCATGTGGAGGAAGAGACATCATTCTGAGTAGCAGAAGTTATAGAGAGGTTATACAGCTCATGATAAGAACATCCTGGCAATTGAACAATCTCAAATCTGAATGGACTGCCTGCTAAGGTAGGGACACCTGGCAGCAGCTACAAATTTAGTAATACTCTCATCCTAAATTAATCTCAGTGTGACATTCAGGTCATTACCATCACCTCACAACCTGTCTCCCAACACCAGCCTTTCAGCAAAATTAATCTTTCTCATATCCAGTTGTGACCATGCCCTCCTGCCCTCATGCCTGTAATTTTTACACTTTCACTGCTCCTCATCACCTACAAGATCAAGGCCAAACATTTCTCAGGATGGCAGACAAGGTTGCTATGGATGGAGTCTCATCTACCAATGTCCCCATTTGCTGTGTTCCAGCTATTCAGAGGCACTACAGCACCCTCTCATCAGGCCATGCTTCTTCTTGCCTTCCCACTGTGCACATGCTACCCACTGTCTGAAATAATACCCCTGTCTCCTGCTGTGAGTCTGGAGACTTTCGGCCCATGCCCCCCTAGTTCAGACAGTGCTGCCTTTGAGAAACATTCCCTTGACCTCCCTGAGCTTTGACCACTTCTCCCCTTCATGCCCATGGTGCCTTGCTCATCTCCACAAAAACATTTGCCCCAGATATAAAGGTTAGTTATAGCTGTATCTCGTCACTAAACCACAAACCCCTGCCTGGTTATCTTAATCACTGGGATGTGGCCCAGGATGTGACACTTCATAGATATTTTTGAATGAGTGGGATTCCAAGATAGTAAATTAGCCATGTTGTTTATGTCCTGTCTGCAGTGTATCAACGTGGGTTATGCAGCAGATATAGTGTAAGCCCAGGCAAATACCATTATTATAAGTCTACAGAAGATAGAAGGTGAGCATCTCTCTAAAGGATCCAGGCTGCCTTAAGTTGGGATATAACATAAGAACCAAAATGATTAGCTAATATACTCTCTTTGGCATTCTGAAATCAACTGAGTTCAAAGCCTGCCTCCATGGCACTATGTGACCTTGAGCAACTAACTTAACCTCCTGGTCTGTAAAAAGGTAATTATAGCCCCTTCCTGCAAGGGTCACTGTGAGAATCAAATAACAATTTATTATAAAAAAGTGGGCAAAGGAATAGGCACAGGGCACACACTCACTCAATGCTGGCTGACTGTTCAGCAGCAGCACTGAGTAAGGCAGAGTTGTGTTAAGTCCTGGCCACTATTATTCATAACGTACCTTGGACAAATCAAGTTAGGCAATTCATTTTTTCATCAACAAATAGAAATAATGCCTACTTTGGAGGAATGTATGTCAACAAAATAATATATGTAAAAATGCCAGGCACAGAAGAGTCACTTAATAAAGTTCTTTCTATCTCCCTTTTTGGTTATGGATCATTGATTTCCCAACAATTGGAAAATTTTCCTTTTCTTTCCAAAAAAAGGCAGGCTTATACAATTAGAGACATCTCTCTGAGGTTCAAACTAGTAAGACCAAAATCCCCTCTCTATAATGCTCCTCACATGCTATGGAAAAAGACAACTTAAAAAGCCTTTTATGTATTCTAATTATTTATTTTTATTTGGACCGAGTTGAAACAGATCCGTATATTTCTCTGGGTTTTACAAAAAAAAAAAAAAAGCACAGTGAAAGTTTCATTAAATTTACTCAAATGTAGCCCATCACTTTTGTTCATTGATTCTCTATAAACAATAACATTTAGCAAATCCATATATGGTCAAAGAAATGTTAAGCCAAGATAGAAATTCTGGAAAATGCCATGATGGAAAAATCTGTAAGTGCTTAGTACAATGTCAGTGTCACAAAATCTTTTTAAGGATAAATATACTTGGTTGCAAATTAAAGATAAATACACCTGGTGGCAAAGAATACAGCTTTTTAAAAAGAGTGCTACACAGCTCACAGTTTCATTTTTAACACTCCTAAAAATGGTACTCAGACACGGCTTAGTATACAAATACATGTTTTCAAAGCTAGCACATTACTGACTGGATATGATCTAATTAATAATGTTGTCATTTTCCACGATTTCAATGATTTTGAGTCAATAGCTGGAAATCCTAACTCATCTAGAAAAGAAGAATACAATAACAAAGCAAACACAGAGTTTATAGTAAAGTTCCCAGCCAACATGTGAGCAGCAGCTAGATGGGACTACTATTTAGATCCCCATGTATGAATGTAAACAAGGGTAACTCTGATATGTTCTGTGGGACTACCATGCTATTCTAGGCAGGAGAGAATGGTAGGGCCACCTTCCTTAAAAACGTTTGAACTTGTGCAGGACCTGAGATTCATGAGTCCAAAACTATATTGAAAAATATTTACTTTTTCATTAGCCCAGTTTTTCCAAAGTCACTGTACTTTTTTGTCCAGCAGAAACTGTTGCAAAAAAACATGTATTTTGTAGCTGCTCAGTTTTACATGCAAAATCCTTTATTAGCTGACATCATAAAAAATACTTATTTAAAGTAAAAACATAGGGGTAAGGAACTCACAAAAACCTAAAGTAGAAAGCACTTCTCTTATCTGGAGGCTGATCTTTTAAATTATTATTTTTAAATGACTATCTATTAAATCACTCACTGTGTTGCTTGAAAAATAAAAATAAAAATAAAAATTATGTAATAGTACTTAAGTAACCCTAGAATACCATGCCAAGAAATTAAGTCAACAAATTTGTTTTCCACTATGATTATAAACTGGCAGTTTTCCATCCTTCCAAGTATTAGAGAGTTCTGATGAAGTTTATCTCTCTTTAAATTTTTTTTCCTTAAAAAATTAGTCTCCACAATATATTCAACATCAGATGCAGGGACTCTAAGTCTCATATAATCTGTTTGAAAGACACACAGGCTGCTGGGGTTCATCACCTGCGAGGGCAGGGCTTTCCCACACTGTTTTTCTGCCCCTGGAGAGACTAATCACTGTCTAACAACCCCCTGGGTTTGGGCTTTCTTGTCTAGAAGTATAATTGGAGCCTTCTTCAAGTGCTTTCCAGAGCAGGTGGCAATGATTTCAGGCCAAAGAATTTCTACTTTTGGCCTTCCCTAAGAAAAGCTATTCATCTCCTTAATAAGCAAGTGTAGAACAATGCCAATATCAATACTCATGTTTTCTGCTGTTCTACAAAAATTAAGCATAATGTTAGTAAAACCAAACAGAATCCACTGGATACTTTTTTTAAAGGCTGAAATATAAATTTTATTGAGACATCATGTTTTATATTATTAAATTTTTAAAACTGAGGTAAAATGTATATAATGTAAAATTGACCATCTTAACCATTTTTAAGTATACAGTTCAGTGGAGTAAGTACTATCACACTATTGTACAACCATCGCCACCACCCATCTCCAGAATTCTTTCATCTTGCAAAACTGAAACTCTGTACCCCCATTCACCCCTACTTCTTCCTGCCTACAGCCCCTGGAAACCACTATTGTACTTTCTGTCACCACTGACTACTCTAGGTACTTTGTGTAAGTGGAATTATGCAGCATTTGTCCTTCTGTGACTGGGTTATTTTGCTTAGCATAATGCCCACATGGTTCGTCCATGGTGTAGGACTTCTTAACTTCTCATGTCAAGGGACATTTAGCTTTCAGAATAGAAGCACAGAGTTCGGTCTTTCTCACCAGTAAAGCTCTTGTGCATGAACAGGCTAAATACAAATCACTGTGTTTATGAAAGTGAGAGCCTGACTACACTACTAGCAGGATTCAGAGAGACTAGCACCAACAGCACCCCAGAATGCTGCTCACAGCTCAGCTCCCTTCTTACTTGTGCACCCCAGAAACTCTCAACACTGGCTCCCCAGCAAGTGGAATGCTAGAGCCAGGCCATAGAGTATGTGTGTAAAACAATTAGGGTAAGGTTTCACCGCAGATTGAACTTTCCATATTTAATGTCTGCTATATGCTCTCTAGAACTTCAAGGAAATTCATGTTAATGTTGTTAAATGTATTATCATTTAGTAGTCAGAATAAACCAGAGTAAAACTGAGATTCCAAGTTGGGGTTGGCTGCAAAATATACACCTTTAACCATTGTGCTATAAATGATACCTTGCTCATCCAAGTTGGTATTGGATAAAATAATACTGGTTGATCAACTTGGTTGAAGAAGGTAGCATTTATAGCACAGTGGTTAAAAGTGTATATTCTGTAGTCAACCCCAACTTAGAATCTCAGTGTTACTCTGGGTTGTTCTGACTACTAAATGACAATATATTTAACAACATTGATACAGTACATGAAACAGTAAATAATTACATTTAAACCATAAGTAGTAGTAATGCTAGGAATCGGTTCTGTGTATGTGTCTTTAACTTTTCATGTTTTCTGGCTTACATGTGATTGGGCAGTTCCATAACTGAAAAAGAGTGTCTCAGGGCAAGTCCTACAGAGCAATGCTTGGTTTTATTTATTTATTAATTTTTTTACTGCCTTTCAGATATCCTTTTTGGTTGGCAGGTATCAGTAACCAGTGGTGACCCAATAGAATAGCACAGATACCACAGATTTTTAAGTTGGATAAAAGAAAAATTAGAAGAATGTCACTTAACACATACAACTGGGCACTGATGGTCATCCAGTGCTTCCAACTGGTGAAACCCAATCAGCATCCGGGGGCAAGAGAACTCATTGACACTTTACACTTTGGGGCACTTGCTTTAAAAATGTATAGAAGATTTCTGTGTCTAATTAGAAGCACAAAAAAGCCTTCCATCCGATGGCAACAAAAAATTTTACCTGGACAAAATAAAAAGTTACTTTTCTATGGGCCTAGCAAAAAATAATAAATGCAAAGGAGCCTAAGGCCAGGAAGAAAGTAGCCTTTTCTGGGTGAGCTGAAAGCCATAGCAGCTTCCTTATCTGAGGACGCCTCGTCTAGATCAGGAGGAACAAGCCATCAGAGAGAGACTCGCAGTAATAAGGAGAGAAAGACAAGCCTCAGACAGTGGCATGCACTGGTGGGACAGATTGGATGCTAGAAGAACAAATGCAAAAACAAATTACTTTCCTAATAAGCCTTCTGATCTACCACCACCTTCCCCCAGCCTCCCAAATTAGACAAAAAAGCAACAGTGGAAATGTTAGAAGGCTGAGAGAAATCATGTAGCCCATATACTCTGATGATGCTTCATTCAATCTTTTAATCCAACAGGAAATCAAAGATCTAAAATTGTAGACCAACTTTCTCCCAGCTGAAATACTAACACGGACTTGTTTTTAAAAGGCTGATTAGGTGAACTCAACCTAATTAAAAGTGTAACTCCAACCTTAACTAAATGTTCAGGAATCTGAATATACAGCTCTTTAGCCTTATCTCCATTAAGAAGAGAGCTTGCACTCTTGAGAAATGAAACAAACAAATATTATTATTTTGTGTACACCTGGAATACAATTTAAAAATTTAAAACTGAAAATTTTTAAAATTTCAAAATACATTTAAAATGGGAAAATATTATCCATAAGTAAAAATAAACACAGTCAGTAAGAACAGAATCTCCAATGACTCACTTAGTGAGCTCACTAGTGAAGGACTTTAGAACAACTACGTCAAATATATTAAGGCGTTTACAGCAAATAAAAAAATCTAATAGAAGAGATGGAACATTTTCAGACAGAAATAAAAACCGTAAAATAGCACTAAATAAAATACAAGACTAAAATATAATATTTCAAATTAAAAATTTATTGAATGGCTTGCTAATTGGACTTTGTAGAAGGAAAAAAAACACACAAATTTACTAAATCATAGACAGAAAAGCAACTGGAAAAAAATTAAGTACAAGTGACTTGCAAGATAATACCAAACAATAAAATATACGGGCAATTAGAGGAGAGGAGAAAAGAGGGAAGGATAGGATTAAAAATATGTGAACAAATGTAGATGAAATGTACCAAATTTGGAAAAAAATCAACCAAGAAGCTCAGTGAACTCAAAGCAAATACAAAGAAAAACCCACCTAAGCATAATGGAGTCTAACTGCTGAAAATAAAACATAAATGAAAATAATTCTAAAAAGCAGTAACACAAAAAAGACACTATATACAAGGTAACAAAGATAATAATGATAGCCAACTTCTTTTTAGAAACAAGGGAGGCCATAATGGAACAACATATTTACAATGCTGCAAGAAAAAAAAGGAAGCTGTCAACCTAGAATACTACATACTCAGCAACAAAATGAAGGCAAATTCAAGAAGTTTTCGGCTAAATGAAAGCTAAGAAAGTTAATCACCAGCAGACCTACCCTATAATAAACAATAGAGAAAGTTCTTCAGGCTGAAGGGAAATAATACCAAATGGAAAAAATTTAGATCTCAGGAAGAAATGAAGCACACAAGAAATGGCAAATGTGTGGATTTATACATAAATATTTTTTCTTTTTTCTTTCTTTTCTTTTCTTTCTTTCTTTCTTTCCTTTTTTTTTTTTTTTTTTTTTTTTGAGACAGAGTCTCACTCTGTCGCCAGGCTGGAGTGCAGTGGTGTGATCTTGGCTCACTGCAACCTCCACCTCCCGGGTTCAAGAGATTCTCCTGTCTCAGCCTCCCGAGTAGCTGGAACTACAGGCATGTGCCACCACACCCAGCTAATGTTTATATTTTTTTTAGTGTAGATGGGGTTTCACCACGTTGGCCAGGATGGTCTCGATCTCTTGACCTTGTGATCTGCCCACCTTGGCCTCCCAAAGTGCTGGGATTACAGGCGTGAGCCACCGCGCCTGGCCTTTTCTTTTTTACATTTACAAAAAGATATTTGGCTGAAAAGTAAAAAATAATGTATTGTGAGGTGTACAACAAACATACAACTAAAATAGAGAACAGCACAAAGGACAGGAGGAGCGTAAAGGAAAATATACAGTTGTAAGATTCTTACATTTAATGTGAAGTGGTAAAATATTCATTCAATGTAGATGGTGATTCTCTATCTATCTATCTATCTATCTATCTATCTATCTATCTATCTATCTATTGTAATCCCTAGAGCAACCAGTAAAAAGTAAAACCAAACCTTGGCTAAAATGCAAAGGAGACAAAATAAAATGCGAAAAATTACTAGATTAAGCCAAAGTGAGGCAAGAAAGAAGGAACAAACAGATCAAACAAATAGAATACAAAAAATAGGGTAATAGACTTAAAAATCAACCGTATCAATGTCTAATATCATTGTAAATTACAATCAATGTAAATGGACTAAACCCCTCAGTTAAAAGGGAAAGTTTGTCAAGACTGAATAAAAAAAGCACTATCTAACTGTACACTATAAGAGACACATTTAAAGGATAAAGATGAGGTATACTAAAAATAAAGGAATGGAAAAAATATATACATATATATACCATGCAAACTCTATAATCATGAGAAAGCTGGTGTGGCTATTTCAATATCAGACAAAGTAAACTTTAAGACAAGAAGTATTTCCAAAGACAAGGAAAAGGCATTACATAATGATCAAAGAGTCAATTATTATAAAGACCTGAGAGTTCTAAATGTGCATGTACCTAATTATAGAACTTCAACTAAATGAAATAAAAGTTTATATAACTAAAGACAGAAACAGATAAATCTACAATCACAGGTGAAGATTTTTAGCACTCTGCACTCAATAATTGATAGAACAGGCAGAAAAAATTATAAGGATATTAAAAAATTAAATACATTTGTTTGAGCATTTAAAAACAACAATTAACTAAATTACACATTTTTTCACATTCTATAGCCCTGTGAAATACAAAAACAATAACATTTTTGGTTTTGGGGATAAAATGACCCAATACACGTGAAGAGCTTAAAACAGTACATTATGACATACAGAGCAATCCTTAACAACAAAACACTCTTTTGAATAATTCTTAGTAATTTTATTCTTCATGTTTTTCTCTAGTCCTGGGGAATCTCATGACATTATTACCAGTCTGGTCTTTGTGTTCAGGTATTTCTCAGCTTTTGATTCTAGTACCAGTATTAAATACCTCATTAGCACCTTTCAGCTACTCATTCACATGAAATATCAAATCAAACCAGATATCAAAAATCCAATTGTGTGTTGATTCCAAGATACTGAAGCTTGTGGATATCTTTCTTCACAATTTATTTTTTAGAGACTTTGAAAACATCTTCTAAGAGATTGAGGCTGTAATGTCACTCAGAATTTTCCAAACAAAAACATCTTTTGGACTTCATGCCCCTCAGCACATACAGAAAAGAAACTGCACACCCTCTTCCACAATTCCTCCACTCTCACTGATGTCAAGTTCAAGTTGAGAGCAAAGCTAAGCTCTCCACTTCACCAATAGTAAAGAGTACCTGAGGCCCTTCCCCTAGACATCAGTAAGTCTAGGGTGGAGGCCTGAAATCTTTATATAAAATATGTGCCTCCAGTGATTCTTATGAAGAACTGGTTCGCATCTTAACTCGACTTTCAGGTTTTCACACAGATGTAGCCCTGCTACTCACTGGCCACATCACCTTGGGCAAGTCAATTAATATCCCTCAGCCAGTCTCTTATCTATAAAATGCAGACTTATCTACCTTTCAGGGTTCAATGAAGCGGCATAATGCCTTAAGCCTTGTAAATGCTCAAATCTTTGTTGAGGAATGAGTAAGAAAACATGCATGATGGGCAAGAAACACATGCATCCAAGCTGCATGACTGAGAAGCACTAACTCCCTTACCTACCACACTAGCATCTCCAGTCCTGGCATCTCTCCCTAACTCAAACATTTCCCTAGGCACTGAAAAAGTAAACTGCTAAAGTTCTCCAGACTTGCTGTGCTGTTTCGAGCCTCAGTCTGTTCACTAAGTCTGTTCTATCTGCCTAGCATTTCCTTCCTAAATTTCTCCCCCTACTCCCTGCTTCCAGCCTACTCCTTCACCTGGCTAACATCTACCTTCTCTTAGAAGGCAGGCACATCTGATTCAGCTCAAATCTGACCTTCTTCAGGAAAGCTTTTCCTGGACACACTCCCTCCCTCATTCAGGCTGTGCCCATGCTGCTCATTGCACCAGCTTCTCTTGGGCCCTGGGCTTAGCCTTTTCTCTGGTGCATCATGAGCTCCTGGAGGGCACAGAACATGACAAACACAGACTGGAGCACTTCCTGGCATGAGGCAACACCACGAGGCAAACAGGATGAATACGTGGAGTTGGGTAGCTAGCCAAACTGAGACATTATGAAAGATCTTCCTTCAGGTTCTTGGCTGGCCAAAAATTTGACCTGCAACCAAGCAGCGCCAGGATAGGCTTAAGCTGGGGAGGAACTGAGCTCCCCGCTCCCACCAGCAGGTAGCATCAACTCTCCAGTCAAAGAGCTGAGCCAGAGCTTAGCCACATTGGGTGCTGGAGCCTCCAGGCTCTGTGCAGCCTCAATATGACTGCAACCCCAGCCACATCTGAGAATAACCTCCCGGGAGGCCCAAGCCAGAAGCTCCCTGCTAAGAAACTCCGAATCCCCACAGAATGTGAAGAGAGAAAATCTGTATTATTTGAGCCACTAAGTTTTGGCGTCATTTGTTATGCAACAATAGATAATACAAATTTTACTTCCACACCTGGCTCTCTTTGCCCAGTAAAATCATTTTCTAAAAGCATTTATTTCATAGATTTAAAAAATACCATCAAAGTGGCAATGAGAGCATGTGTTCCAGTTCCCTCTGGCCAAATCCACCAAAGAGACATCAGATTTCTCAGATGCTAAAACTGATTAAAAGATACTCTACATAGCTTTGTTTTCGTGAGGTATTAAGATTAAATGGGTCAAATATATAATTAAACCATATAAATAGAATGAGTTGAATGATACAGTTAGGAATAGTTAAATATTCCAAGAGTTAAATTTATTTCCAAATAGGACCTATTTTAATTATGTAATACTCATTTAACTGGATTTCACTTGAAATCCTCATGCCTTTTTTCTTTTTCTTTTTTTTTTTTTTTTGAGACAAAGTCTTGCTCTGTCACCCAGGCTGGAGTGCAGTGGCACAATCTCAGCTCACTGCAACCTCCACCTCCTGGATTCAAGCGATTGTCCTGCCTCAGCCTCCTGAGTAGCTGAGATTACAGGCACACACCACCACACCTGGCTAATTTTTTATTTTTAGTAGAGACGGGGTTTCATCATGTTAGCCAGGCTGGTCTCGAACTCCTGACCTCAAGTGATCTGCCTGCCTAGGCCTCTCAAAGTGCTGAGATTACAGGCATGAGTCACCATGCCCGGCCCCTCATGCCTTTTCAAGAACACGTTTTAGTTAACTGAGGGCACTTTTACTTAAGGACCTAAGACTAAATTTAGAAATTATCTTCACTGTATTCCTCCAAAATTAATCAATAGTATCTGTATCCATTTTTGTTGAAAAACAAATGTTCTGAGAGTATAAATTTAATGTCACCTTTTCTGAGAGTGTAAATTTAATGTCTTTTTTTTTTGAGACAGAGTTTTGCTCTGTCGTCCAGGCTGGAGTGCAGTGGCGCAATCTTGGCTCACTGCAACCTCCACCTCCAGGGTTCAAGCGATTGCCCTGCTTCAGCCTCCCGAGTAGCTGCGATAACAGGCATATGACACCATGCCCAGCTAATTTTTTGTATTTTTAGTAGAGACAGGGTTTCACCAGGTTGGTCAGGCTGGTCTCGAACTTCTGACCTCAAGTGATCCACCTGCCTTGGCCTCCCAAAGTGCTGGGATTACAGGCGTGAGCCATCGCACCCGGCTTTAACGTTATCTTAAACAAAAACTGCCCAAGCTGTCTGAGCATAAAGAAGAACATCAACTCATCAACTAAAACAATTAAAATTCCTAAGAAAAGAAAGTTATTTTGTAAAAATATTTTTAAATCCAAGGAAATAAGTACATTTTCATGGCCTAAAGTCTTGATGTTAGTAAAAATTTCTAATAATCACTACACTTATAAATATTTTATTTATAGCAGAATATGGTACAAAAACATTTTCTTTTAAAATTAAAAATAAAGATAATAGGTTTGCTTCCAGATGTCCAAAATGTTTAATAAACGATAACCCCAAAACCAAATCATAATTGAACTTGCATTTTAAATATGAAAATCTACACAGATTAAAGAAAAATGCAAAGCAGTTAGGGAAAACATACATGTATGTGACTTATTAAACAGAAGTTTTATTTTAAAAATTAGGAACTGCACTGAAGATTCTCAATGAGAAGGTTAAAGCCTGTTGCATCAAAGGTCATCTTCTCTGGGAGAACTTTTACAACCCTTTCTGCCCTTTGCAGCAGTTTCCCTGCAAGACATCCACCTTTATAACCTTATGTCCGGGGACACAGACCTAGCACTACACACTTTTCAGATGAGGACTTCACCCAGACAGGCTCAGGATCACCAGGGAACTTGGCGAAAATGCAGATCTCGAGGCCCTCCCCAGACCGTGTGAATAAGAAACTCTGGAGCAACTGGCAATTTGTTTGAATAGCCCTCCTGGTGACTGTGTGCTACAGTTGACAAAGCACTGACCCAGATCCAGGGTTCCTAAAGCTACCTGTGCATCAGCATCCCCCAGGGAGTACCCTGCGCAGTCCCACTGATTCCCGCTAGGCAGAGGGAGGCCCAGGAAGCTCTATGATCCTAAGTGTTCTTACTAGACAGTCTGGATCACTGAAGCAGGTAATCCGGAAGGGCTCTTCGAGGAAGAACTGACATGGGTTACGCCAATTTAGGTCTGACAGTTCTAGTTTGGCTCGGGCCTTTTCCAAGCCAGAGAGAACGGATGACAAAAGCATGATCATCACAAGCAGATGCCACGTCTTAGTGCACAGTCAATCCTTGTTCACAAGAGGCCCATGTCCCAGTCACTTTCACAGCACAGTGACAGGCATGCCAGCACGAAAGGCCAGCTACCTTACTCCTTCTGTACTCTGCGTACAAGCATTTATCAGTTTATTTTGGTGTTAAAGAGAGAAGTGACCTTATTTTCCAACACTTTGTCCCTGAGAGTACCTGAGTCTACCACAGAGCAGGCAGGCTCAGAGCTCCATGATAAAATAAACCCAAAATGAGAAGTAAAAAAGGTGGTGCCAGAAATAGCAATAGCAACTGTAGTTTATGGGTGAGGATGATGTGTCAAGATAAAAAATATCTCGGCTTCAGCATGCAGGACCAAAAGATGACTGTGCAGCCCCACTGGACTCCCCCTCTGTGTCCCTGAACAACAGAGGGCCCACTTTATTTGGCAGCCCATCCTGGTTTGGGTCACCTGGGACTGCACATTAAGCTGAAGCCTGCTTCCCCACCACTCTCCCTCGTGGATTCAGCAATGTGGTGAACGCACATAATTCACAAATCCCTCCATCCCACCAGGGCCTTTCCAATATATAAACAACTATTTACTGAGCCCCAAAAAGTGCGCCAGGCTGGGACTACTGCCAGAGACAGGACAACACCCACTCCCCACCATAAGCCCCTGATGTGTGCCCAAAGACCGCCATGGGGACAGCCCAAAGCTGCCCCTTTCATACTCTTCTGCCAGACTTGACATTTCTTGCGATGATACTGATGATACTCCATCTTTGATCCACTTTGGGGAAAGATTCTGTAACAGCAGGCATTTGCCATCTAGTGCAGTAAAGAGAGAAATCTTTGTTGATAAGCAAAGCTCAGCCAGCCTCAGTTCTAGAGACATCACACAGCATTTCAGGAGAAGGAGATCCTAGAGAAAACCCATCAGGGGCCTTCCACAGCCCCTCCCAGGTCTGGGGGGAAGGAGGATTTGACAGAAGTGACAGCCCGGGGGGAAGCACAAGTTGGGGCCACTGGGAGCCATCCCAGCAGGGAGACACCAGCCTGGGATGGCAAATGTCATAGGAATGCTCACTTCACCTTGCCAAGCTCAGGTGGGATAAGACCTCAGATTCCAGGAAAGGGAAGAACAGACTGGGGAGGATACCGGGACCCCAAGCTCTGGAGCCATTTAGACCCTGTCCCTCATCCACTCCTCCACTCCCCAAACAACCTGAAGAATACATCTTTGCACCAATGTCCCTGTTACTAAAGTGTGACCACAGTAACACAGACTGCAGCATTCCTCTGAGGAAGAAATGGGATAACCCCAAATGTCCTCCAGCAGTCCTCCACAGGCCCAGGGACTGAAAGGGCTGTCTGCCACCACACTTGTGACCACCCAACAGGCCCGGAGCAAACCATTTTCATGGCCCAGAACCAGCACCAAATCCCCTTGGAGGTTTTCTACTCAAAGAAATCATTCTTAATTTTTTTTCCCCTAGGACTCAATAAAACCTTTTATTTTGAATGTGAAAAAAGTACACAAATATTTTTTCTCACCTATCAAAATAAATAAATAAAGATTAAAACATTGCCCACTCCTGATTTAGACATTTAATATAAAAGTTTGAACAAAATAACTTCCATCTTCTCGGTGTAGAGTTTAAACACAACCAACTACCAGCCAAAAATGACACTAAGAAGATCTTTAGTTTTATCTTAAACCCTACCTTCTTTCCCAAAAATATGTGAGATATTTCAACAACAAAAAAAAATCAGGAAAACAGAAAATTAAAATTATAGTACCTAGAGAAAATTTAAGCATATAATACAGAGGTCAAGCTAGAGAAGAAACTAGTCAGAATTTCCTACCAACCTGCTATAGTTTCACCTCAATTTTGCCTAAGTTGACTGTTCATCTTTCTAATCAAATTACTTGCCTTGTAGGTTTTTGACATGTTGTTAAAGGTGTGTAAAGTGCAGAGTACACTAGGCAGTAATGCACGAGGTCCTCACAAAATCTCTACCAAAATACAGTGAGATGTCGTGTGGCCATCTCTGGAATATCCTTCAGCTGAAGCAGAGCCTGTGACAGACGTGAGGGCTACTCAGTCACGAAGGTGATTCCGAGGGGGTCTAACATAACTCCTTGCCACCTGTATGCTGCCTAGAGTCACTTACTACATACTTAGAAGACACAAGCTGATGGAAGCAAAGCCATGGATGGGCTACCTAAATCCTTGAAATAATCTTCCAGAACTAAATGTCATCCAAAAGACCAGGATGGCTAAAGAGTAGAAAGGAGAGCTCTACTGGCAATATTGGTTTGCTGGCGTGGAAGAGAAGATCTTGGGTGTGTGTCAAAGGTTCTCTTTCTTTCTTCAAAGATGGGAGGACTGCTCAGGTTTTATGCCTCACAGGGTCTGTATCACACGAGAGTCCTACACATTCCACAGGTTTGGAAGGAGCTGAGTGCGTGCACAGTGGGTAAACATATACGTAACATACATCTCGTGTTCACTTTGGGGTGAGGTTTTAGCATTAAAATGAGGTGGAATTTGGCTCTTTATGTCAAAAGGTGAACCATAGGAAACAGAGTTCCTGCGCAGTCTCTAAAAGCATGCTGAAACCGTTTAATGTCTGCAGTTGCTTATTAGAAAAGGATGCTCGAAAGGCCAGCGCTCTATCCAGTCAGAGTTGCAGTGGTCTGGGTGGCAAATGTGTTAGGAGGGGTTTGATAACTCCTACTGTTAGGGAGCTTAGAGCCATAGGAATTTAGAAATTTGCCATGCCAGCCAGGGCTCTGAACCCTCAATCCACAGGCAACGTTGTTTCTTTAACCTTAGGGTCTTTCTTAGTTGAGAAAAGGGCATCTATTTTGGTCTCTCAAATCAGAAAACAAACCTCCTCGATTGTAAAGAGCTCAGTAGATTCCTAACTCTTAGCTAGAGTTCAAAACACCTGACCAAAATGTAGACTTCTTTGCTTCTGTAAGGATGCCGCCAAACAGATACCATGTAGGCAAAGCTAGATGTTCTTTGAGAAATGTTTGAAGGCCACTCTAGTCCTTGGGCCCAGTACACCTCCCAAAGAACAGTGTCACGATAATTTTGTCCTGGAAATTTGTCAAAGCAGACATTGCCAAGCTTTCCACCGTAGCTGTAGAAAAATTTCACATAAATGAATTTTCTAAGTTGTGAGATATGAACAATTAAAGATAATGATTTTAGTTTTACAACAATTAAGCCATTCTTTATGGCAGGAGTTAGAAATCAGGTTTCAAGTGGAATCTTACCAAACCAGCAGAGCTGGGAGTGATATTCCTAGCCCAGTCCAGCACCCTACACACATGTGCCTCTAATGGTGCGCTACCACAGGGACTATGGTTTCATTTAAGCTGTTTTCCTTCCTCCTAGATGGAACTTTAAGATTACAGATGACATCTTATTAATCTTTACTCCCAGCACCTAGCACAGTGCCAGGGCATGTAAGTACTCCAGAAATGTATTCAATGAATGAGCCCCAGATCACTCAACAGAGTATGGCTCATGGGGCAGAACCTTCTAGAGCACTAAAAACCTGACCAAACCTGATCTCTTCCCAAATGAGGCTAGTGTATGTTCCCTCACATTCCTGAAATGAAGCAAACTCTATAGGAAGCTGGAGGACAGCTCAGGCTGTTCTTGACACAACCATCAAGAACTGAGAAACGAGACCGGGCATGGTGGCGCACACCTGTAATCCCAGCACTGTGGGAGGCCAAGGCGGGTAGATCACTTCAGGTCAGGAGTTCGAGACCAGTGTGGCCAACATGGTGAAACCCTGTCTATACTTAAAAAAAAAAAAAAAAACTAGCAGGGCGTCATGTTGCGCATCTGTAATCCCAGCTACTCGGGAGGCTGAGGCACGAGGATCACTTGAACCTGGGAGGCAGAGGTTGCAGTGAGCTGAGATCATGCCACTGCACTCCAGCCTGGATGACAGAGTGAGACACTGTCTCAAACCGAGTTTCACCAGCTACAGAGAGAGCCGTGCCATCAACCACAACTCAATGCTCTCTAAAATGCCTTCGACCTGATCAGAGGACACATTTCAAATGAGTTACGGAAATCCAAATATAAACCTACAGAAGTGTTCTGATTTTCTAGCCAAGTAACCCTATAAAAAGAAAAAAAAATGAGGTCAGTTTGGCATGATTTGTTCTTAGTAGAATTATTCTTGCTTTCAGTTATTACTACTTTCTTTCCTACAAGTACACAACCATCTGCTTCGCACTATGTTTTAGAATGCTGCCAAGGAGATGGAGCAAAATCAATGAATTACAGAGTCTAGAATGGCACCATCCCATGGAAATATAATGTAAGCCACAAATGTGAACCATATATGTTATCTTAAGTTTTCATGTAGACATATTTTTAAATCAAAGAATAGGTGAAGTTAATTTTGATAATATATTTAACCCAATAAATCCAAAATATTACCCTTTCAACATGTAATTAATATAAAAATTATTGAGTTATTTTACATTCTTTTCTCAAACTGAATCTTCAAAATCTGGCATGTTCTTACACTTTCAGGAGGACATCTCAATTCAGGCCAGGCACATTTCCAGTGCTGGGCAGCCACGTGTCCCGTGGCCCCTACACTGTACAGTGAAGGTCTAGGATTTCTTGGTACCTTCTGCAAAATCCAGGCATTTACCTCGATCCCAGTGCCTTTTGTGTTCTCCACAAACTCTCAGGTTATTATCAACAGTGGTACTTCGCTCCCATCTGCAAACTCCTTCAACACCCGAGATATAATCTACCTAAATCTCCAGATACAAACTACTCTCAAAGCAGCAGAGAGGTTTAAGACCAAAGCAGATATTCACAAGACTCCGCTGGCTGGAATGTGACTTACGTCCCCCTATCAAGTCCCCTGTCTAGTGGTCAGGCAGAGATATAATTTACGTCTGTGCATTCAAGTTACTTGAGCATCATAAAGATGGGGTTGTTTCTTCTCTTGTCTTTATTCAGAGGCAGAGAGAGCAGAGAGGAAGGAAAAGATGACCAAGGCCTGAACTAAGGTGGAGGGGTACCCAGAAATAGAGAGGAGCCAGACAGGAGAGGTATTTCAGGGTCAGATAAAGAAGAAAAACTAGGATGAGGGATGTCAATGGGGACTCGGGCTCTGGTGAGCTGCTGAGCATCAGCTGCAAGAACACAGTCTGCGGATACTGGCCTGTCTTCCACCTGCAGTGTGGAGGCCTCTCCCACTCATGGAGCTCATACCTGGTGTCAGCCTTAGTTCAGATGCACGGAGAAGTATTCATTGAGTCCCCTCCAAAATTACAGCTACAGAGGAGGAATCAGTTCTAGTGTTCCACAGCATTGCAGGGTGACTATAGTTAACAATAATTTATTACACACTTTCAAATAGCTAGAAGAGAGGATTCTGAATATTCCTAACATACACACAAAAAAATGTTTGATGTGCTGGGTATGCTAATTACCCAGATTTACTCATAACACATTAGATACATGTGTCCAAATACCAAGCTGTACACCATGAATATGTATAACTATTAGATGTTAATTAAAAATAACAATTGAAAAAATGCAGCCAGGCGCAGTGGCTCACGCCTGTAATCCCAGTACTTTGAGAGGCCGAGGAGGGTGGATCACTGGAGGTCAGGAGTTTGAGACCAGCCTGGCCAACATGGTGAAACCCTGCCTCTACTAAAAATACAAAAATTAGCCGGGTGTGGTGGGAGGCGCCTGTAATCCCAGCTACTTGGGAAGCTGAGGCAGGAGAATCGCTTGAACCCGGAAGGTGGAGGTTGCAGTAAGCCGAGCTGAGATCACGCCATTGCAATCCAGCCTGGGCGACAAGAGTGAGACTTTAAAAAAAAAAAAAAAAAAAAAAATGCAAGCTTTTCACGACTCCTACACTGTCATTTCATTAGACCACAGAGCTTCAATGAATCTATTAAACATCTATGAGCACAGATAAAAACTGCCTTGCTTGTAGCTATATTTGCTATTTTAGGCACGAGAAATTTACCTTCTTGTTGATAGAAAAAATATATCTTACAGGAATTTTGTTACTTTACGTATAAATATGTAAAGAAGAAAATAACACCTTCTGACGTAACATTCTATTTGCATTACTTTTTGTTACAAGTATTCCCAGCACCTAGCATAATGCCTAGGTGCCTTAGTCCATTGGGGCTTCTATAACAAAATTCTGTAAACTAGACAGCTTATAAACCACACAAATTTCTCACAGTCCTGGAGGTTGGAAGCCCAAGATCAAGGCCAGCAGATCCAGCGTCTGATGAGGGTCCCCTTCCTGGTTCCCAGGTGGCACCTTCTCACTGTCTTCTCACACAGCTGAAGGAGGAGGGGAGTCCTCTGGGGTTTCTTTTACAAGGGCACTAATCCCATTCATAAGGGCTCCACCCTCATCATCTAATCACTTGCCAAGGCCCTACCTCTGAATACCATCCCCTTGAGGATTAGATCTGAATATATGAATTCTGGGGAACCACAAACATTCAGACCATAGCAGAGGGATGGAGGGGTGGAAAAGTGATGGTAAAAAGAAAATGGGATGAAACCTCATTTTTCTTCCAAACTAAAAAGACGTATCTTTGTTCCACTGATGCTGCATCACCCGCGTCTGGTAGGAAACAGTGGGACCCACGTGATCCGATACACAAAGTGCATGGACAATTTCAACAATAGCAATGGACTCTAAAGCCATTTCTTAAAAAAGGCAACAGGACATTTCAGAGGGCTCATGAGGACAGAGCACCTGTGAGGGCAGTTCACTTCTGTTACACCAGGCAGTGACTTGGGGTTCAGACCAGAGAAGTGACGTTTTAAGAGATGGTGAAGGTGAAGATGACATTCCAGCTAAGAGAAGAGGCCCATGGGGCTTACAGTTACCCAGTACTTCAGGGCGAGGGAAGACTCGACTTCCACCCACCTAGGTAGCAGCATGGTGCCTGGCACATTGTAGGCACTGAAATACTGGTTGGCTAGGAAATGGCAGCGGTGTCAGTGACTAGGGACATCAATAATCACCATATCAGCTGACCAAAATGCAAACTCTGGTTTTGGAAAAATATATATATATATATATATATACCAATTAAGCCAGGCCCAGTGGCTCAGGCCTCAAGCCTGTAATCCCAGCACTTTGGGAGGCTGAGGTGGGCGGATCACCTGAGTTCAAAACGTAGAGATGCAGAAACCTTGTCACTACTAAAAACACAAAAATTAGCCAGGTGCGGTGGCACGTGCTTGTAATCCCAGCTACTCGGGAGGCTGAGGCAGGATAATCGCTTGAACCTGGGAGACAGAGGTTGCAGTGAGCCGAGATCGTGCCACTGCACTCCAGCCTGGGTGACAGAGTGAGACCCTGCATTGAAAAAAAAAAAAAAATCAATTAAGGGTGGACTTCAGGTCCTAATACTGAAATGTCCTTAGTGAGAAGTTTTAGCTTTATTACACTTGGACCCAGCCAGTTTTACCCTAGGAGGTCTAGATAAAACTCTTCCCTGGGGTTTAAAGACCCACAGTCAGCCTACTGAACCCTGCCATGGCCATAGCACTAGGGTGCCATGGCCACCCACTACTGTCACAGTCCCTTAGGCCTTATCCCAAGCCAGTGTCTGTAGTTGATTCTAGTCTCAAACTAACTCCTGGACCAAAGAGGAACAGATGAAGAGCCGTTGGAAAGTCCAGAGCATTCTAAACAAGTGAGTCTAAAAGTGAACTCAGAGAAATTATTAAGTTTTAGTTATATGCAACTGCTCAGTTCTTTACTACTTGACACCTAAACTCTCAGAAAGCAAAGCTAAAATTGCACATAAGCAGGAGCACATCAACTATTTCAACCATAAACTGACAGAGCCATCACGCAAGTACAAAATAGTGCCAGGAAATAGTAAGCATGATATAAGGATCTGCCTGAATAATAATATCATTGTCATTATTATTATTGTGATTGATTTCATGTGCTAATGGAGGAAAAGCCAGCTGTGAATGACAGTTTCTGAAAAAAAAATGATAAAGAGCCCTGTTCCTTCCTGATATCACCACGTTAGGCAATAAATGGTAGTTACCATCAAATCAAATAACTATCTTCTGTTATACCAGAAAATGTTATTTTCAAGTTTCAGAACACTTCTTTACCTAGTCAAAATCTGAAGAGTAAATAGGAATGAAACCTCTAAATAAGATGTAATTGTACGAAGTAACTGCCATCACTTTACACCTGAATGTAAGTTTTGTTGGGGATAATTCATAAAATGGAGACTCAGACTTGGTAAAAGTAAGAGATGCTAACGGCTGTAATAGTCATCTCCATGTGCACCTTACAGAGACCACACAGATTAGGGAGGAAAGGGGTATCAACGACACCACTGTTTTTGTTTCATAGACAATGTTCACCATGGAAAAATACACAGGCATACCTTGCTTTACTGCACTTCACTTTAACATGCTCCAAAGATAATGTTTTTTTACAAATAGAAGGTCTGTGGCAATTCAGCATCAAACAAGTTCATCAGTGCCATAAGTATGTGCTCACTTCTGGTCTGTGTATCACATTTTGGTAATTCGCACAATATTTTAAACTTTTTCGTTATTATACCTGTTAAGGTGATGTGTGATCAGGGATCTTCAATGTTACCATTGTAATTGTTTGGGGCACTACAAACCGTAACCACAAAAGATAGCAAACATAACCAATAAATGTATGTGTTCTGACTGCTCCACTGACTGCTCCCCGCCCCTGCCCCAATCTCTTCCTCTGCTCAGGCCTCCCTATCCTCTCAGACACAACAATATTGACATGAGGCCAATTAATAACCCTACAAAGGCCTCTAAGTGTTAAAGTGAAGGGAAGAGTCACACATCTCTCACTTTAAATCAACCGCTATAAATGATTTTGCTTAATGAGGAAGGCATGTCAAAAGCCACGACAGGTCAAAACTAGGCCTCTTTAGCCAAACAGTGAACCAAGTTGGGCATGCAAAGGAAAGTTCTTGAAGAAAACTTAAACTGCTACTCCAGCTAACTCACAAAGGATGAGAAAGCAAAACAGCCTTATCGCTTCTCGGGAGACAGTTTTAGTGGTCTGGATAAAAAATTAAACCAGCCACAATATTCCCGTAAGTCAAGGCCCAATCCAGAGCAAGGCCTTAACTCTCTTCAATGAAGGCTGAGAGAGATGACAGAGCTGCAAAGGAATAATTGAAAGCTAGCAGACGTTGGTTCATGAGGTTTGTTTGTTTGTTTGAGATGGGGTTTTGCTCTGTCGCCCAGGCTGGAGTGCAGTGGTGCGATCTCAGCTCACTGCAATCTCCGCTTCCCGGGCTCAAGCAATTCTCCTGCCTCAGCCTCCCATGTAGCTGGGACTACAGGCACGCACAACCAGGCCTGGCTAATTTTTGCATCTTTAGTAGAGACAGGGTTTCGCCATGTTGGCCAGGCTGGTCTTGAACTCCTGACCTCAAGTGATCCACCCACCTTGGCCTCCCAAAGTGCTGGGATTACAGGTATGAGCCAGTGTGCCCGGCAGTTCATGAGATTTAAGGAAAGAAGCCATCTCCATAACATAGAAGTGCAAGGTGAAGCAGCAAGTGCTGATGTAGAAGCTGCACAAGTTATCTAGAATATGGAGCTAAGATCATTGATGAAGATGGCTACAACTAGACAACAGGTTTTCAGTGTAGACAAAATGGCCTTATATTGGAAGAAGATGTCATCTAGGACAGGGGACCCCAATCCCTGGGTTTAGGAACTAGGCTGCACAGCAAGAGGTGAGTGGCAGGCAAGCAATCCATCTTCTGTCAGATCAGTGGAGGCATTAGATTCTCAAAGGAGCACGAACCTTATTGTGAACTGTGCATGCAAGGGATCTGGGTTGCGTGCTTCTTAGGAGAATCTAATGAAAAATGTAATGAGCTTGAATCATCATGAAACCATCCCCCTCCCCCACCCCATCCCCCAGTCCGTGGAAAAACTGTCTTCCACAAAACTGGTCCCTGGTGCCAAAAATGTTGGGGACTGCTGGTCAAAACTTTCATAGCTAGAGGGAGAAGTCAATGTCTGGCTTCAAAGCTTCAAAAGACAGGCTGACTCTCTCATTAGAAGCTAATGCAGTTGGTAACTTGAAGTTGAAGCCAATGCTGACTTACCATTCTGAATGTCCCAGGGCTCTTAAGAATGATACTAAGTCTACTCTCTCAGTGCTCTACACAACAAAGCCTGGATGACAGCACATCTGTTTACAGTATGATCTACTGAATATTTTAAGACCATTGTTGAGACCCACTGCTCAGGAAAAAGATTCCTTTCAAAATATTACTGCTCAATTACAATGCCCCTGGTCACCCAAAAGCTCTGATAGAGATGTACAAAGACATAAATGTTGTTTTCATGCCTGCTAACACAACATTCATTCTGCAGCACATGGATCAATGAGTAATTTCAACTTTCAAGTCTTATTACTTAAGGAATACCCTTTGTAAGGCTATAGCTGCCATAGATACTGATTGCTCTGATGTATCCAGGAAAAGTGGAAAAGTAAATCAAAAACCTTCTGGAAAGGATTCACCATTCTAAATACCATTAAGAACGGTCATGATTCATGGGAGGAGATCAAAATATTAACATTAACAGGAGTTTGGAAGAAGTTGATCCCAACTCTCATAGATGACTTTGAGAGGTTCAAGACTCCCATGGAGGAGTAATTGCAGATCCGGTGGAAATAGCAAGAGAACTAGAGTTACAAGCGGAGCCTGAAGATGTGACTGAATTGCTGCAATCTCATGATAAAACTAACAGATGAGGAGTTGCTTATTATGGATGAAAAAATAAAGACTCATTTCTTGAGATGGAATCTACTCCTGCTGAAGATGCTCTAAACACTGTTGAAAGGACAACAAACAATTTAGAATATTACATAACTTAGTTGATAAAACAGTGGCAGGGTTTGAGAAGACTGACTACAATTTTGAAAGTTCTACTATGGGGAAAGTGCTATCAAACAGCAACACATGCTCTAGAGAAATCTTTGGTGAAAGGAAGAGTCAGTTGATGCAGCAAACTTCATTACTGTCTTATTTTAAGAAACTGCCACAGCTACCCAAACATGCAGTAACTGCCACCCTGATCAGTCACCAGCCATCAACACTAAGGCAAGAACCTCCAGCAGCAGAAAGAGTATGACTTGCTGAAGGCTCAGATGATCATCAGCATTTTTTAGCAATAAAGTATTTTAATTAAGGTATGTACATTGTTTTCTTAGACAATGCTATTGCACACTTAATAGACTACAGTATAGTTTAAGCATAATTTTTATATGCACCCAGAAACCAAAAAATTCAAGTGACTCACTTTATTGTAATACTCACTTTATGGTGGTGGTCTGGAATCAAACCCACAATTTGTCTCCAAGGTATGCCAGTAGATACTGTCTTCATTGTGGATGAACTTACTGTCTTACAGAAGATACACTCACAAAACCAAGAATACACCAAAAATGCTGCCATCAATTGGTTCAATAAAGGAAGTGTTGGTCAGGAAGGAAAAAGTATGATGTTGCTAGCACTACTGAGAAAGACTTTGTAGAGAAGCAGGACTTAGAGAAGTGGTACCTGGTGTTAACACTCTTGGAGTCAGCTCATTTAAACCAACTTGGGAAGTATACTTTTACAAAAATGTTTTAACAAAACCTGACTCTGATTGTATTACAGATATGTGATTGTTAATTTTATGTGTCTACTTGATTGGTCTACTGGGGTGCCCAGATATCTTGTTAAACATTATTTCTGGCTGTACCTGTGGGTGTTTCTGGAGGAAATCAGCATTGAATTGATGGACTGAGTAAAGGAAAAGGCCCTCCCCAATGTGGGTGGGCATTATCCAACCAGTAGAAGGCCCAAATGGAACAAAAAGGTGAAGAAAGATTGAATTCTCTCTGTCTCTCTCTCTGTCTCTCTCTTTCTCTCTCTCTCTCTCTAGCTGCTTAGCTAATACATCTATATTTTCCTGACCTTATACTAGAACTTATACCATTGGTTCTCCTGGGTCTCCATCTTGGAGACAGCAGATCATGGGACTTCTCAGCCTCCATAATCATGTAAGACAATTCCTTGTAATAAATCTCTTTTTTTCTATGTATATTCTATTGGTTCTGGTTCTCTGGTTCTCTCACTAATACAAGGTATATGTGAATAATTAATACCATCTGGTAAAATGAAAAGTCCAAAGAAAATGAAGATACTTAAGTATCTCTGGCACAAAACGTATAAAGGTATTTGCTAATATGCCGGTATGCTTAATTAAAGGGCCCTGCGATTTGGTCCCTTTATGGATAACTCACAGTACCTAAACAGCAGCATGCTTCACACTGAAATTACTCAGAAAAAGGCTGGTAGAGATAACAACCAGGGATGAACAATCAAAACAGTTCGATCTTGTAACGCTAGTGAATCCTGGAATGAAAAATACCTGTAAGAAAAATCAAACAAGCAAATCAGGCCACATGAGTTAAAACACATGTCACATTGAGGCAAGGGCAGAGCCACTTCTAACTGGAAAAACAGGAAATGCTATGTGTATACTGAACACTAGGCCCCTTTCTCACACACACACACACACCTGCACACACTAGCTCCATGACAAGTGTGGCACTTTCACTGCTTCCATGGAAAATTCATTTGAAGTCAATTTCCAAATAATACAGGCAGACCACAGATATTCTCTGGCACTACCTAAAAGAACATTTCAACTACCCACAAAATATATATTTATATGACTGTACTACTCTCCACCAATAAGAGAGGAACATACAGATTCACTAAGAAGAACTAGAAAAAAAAATCTTCATTAAATTAAGGAACTAAGTTACTAGGCAGGCAGTCTATCCCCGCAAAAACTGTGGCCACTTTACCAAAACATTATAAAACGGTTTATGGTTACACACCCGGGTGCATGTTGCAGGTTGGAACAAAGCCAACAGAAGCTGTGAAGAGCACCCATGACTAGTCATATTAACAACCCACACAATGATTTCTCTTCTTCTATCATTGTCACTAAACAAGAATAAAATGTATTGGGGGGAAAAAATCTGATTTTAAAATCACAACATTCCAATAAATGATCATTTGAAAGGACACTGGCTAGGGATAGATTAAAGGAATTTTTTTTAAATCCCCAACTCACAGTCAACTGTACAATGAACCTCCCAACTCTCACCTTGTTTTAACTATGTGGTAAAAACACACAAGCGTAATCAGGATTCACTGGTATTTCCCAAAATTGCTGAATGCCCAATTTCCAAATGTCTCTTTTTGACCAAGAGTAGAAATGGTGGCCCCCGTGGTAGCCAGAGAAAGTAAACTGACTAACATGTCTGGGCACGTGTGTGACTAAATATATATACACATCCATGAATGTGGAGTGTCTACAAAAGGATTGAAGATAAATCTTGGCATTTTATTCATTAAACTTCACCCAAGGATTGTAGTCAACAAGCAAAAACTGTGCAAGATTAAAAGCCTGAAGAAGAATACACAAATATTCTTATTTCTAAAATGAGTATGATTTCCTGTTGAAAAATACAAACAGCATCAAAATCAATGTACTAACAAAAGTCATTACAATGAGATGTGATATCATAAGTAACATAAAAGAACTTAGCAGAAACTGAGACAATAATCTACCATCCATCATCCATCATCCATCTGGCAGCTTCCCCTATACTCAAACTAAATGGAAACACTCCACCCCAACCCCAACTCCGCTGTGGTCCATAAGGCCCTGCTGACCTGGTTCCTTGGCTGCTATCTCCTGTTCCTCACAAGGGCAGGTTCTGCCTGTCACAGGGCCTTTGCATGGGCCATCCTCAATGCCCAGAGACCTTGCAGAGGTCATTTTATAAATAAGAATTTTTAAAATAAATACTCGTTTTATAAATAAGAATATTTGTGTATTCTTCTTCAGGCTTTTAATCTTGCACAGTTTTTGCTTGTTGACTACAGTCCTTCGGTGAAGTTTGATGAATAAAATGCAAAGACTTATCTTCAAACCCTTTTGTAGACACTCCACATTCATGGATGTGTATATATATTTAGTCCCACACATGCCCAAACATGTTGCCTTCTTTTCACTGAAGTCAGCTCTAAAGTCCTCAGTAAAGCCCTCCCAGACCACCAAGCCCAGATGGAAAAGTGGCCCCCATTCTCGACTGCACTTATTACTGCCTTAAATTCGCTTTTCATTTATTCATTTAATTTATTATCTATTTTCCCACTTTACACAATAAAGCCTCAAAGAGGAAGGAACCTTGTCTTTCCTGACTGATGTTTATTCAAAGTACCTGGCACACAATACGTCCTCTATCAATATCTGTTTAATATAATCATCATAGTAGAGGAACTTAGTAAACTATGTTCTTTTGCATAATTACTTATTTTTTATTTATATTAAGTTCCAGTTAATGGGACAAAAAAAAAATCACTGGCGAGAATGATCGTTTTGAAGGCTATATGTGATTCCTCCTAAAAAATAAAATTAAAAAGATGAAATAAACTTCTAATGGGGCTGTGAGGAAAAAAATGTTTTGCATTACAACACAACCACTCAAAAATTTCCCATATGTCTGTGAATTGTATTTTTAAAAGCCTCATCTGGAACTGGACAATTTCAAAACCCATTGATCTTGCCCTGATGTATAAAACATACCACAGAATTCTTCTGATTCTTCCAGAAACCTGTCTACCAAATGACATACTGTTTCCTTTTGCTTAGGTATTCATTTTTGAACTTCTCTCTAAAGTGTTTACAATTTTAAAGTCATAGATTTAATGCCGGTTTAAAACTGTTTAATCATCCACATGTTCACTATTTTTATCACCAAACATACTGAGCAAAGAAAGTAATTTGCTTCACCTACTAAAGTTTCCTTTAAAACAACAACAACAACAACAAAAAACAAGGCTTATGTCTTTGAATGCCAGTTTCTTATGGGAGTTTCCTTATGAGACGAACTGTAAAATGTGAAAAACGTAAAAATCTCACTCAATCCCTTCTTCCCATAAGTATAAGGAAATCTAAGATGTCAAAATGACATAGGCATGATTTAAGTTCATTAATTTTATATTACAAAAGGATCATTCAGAAACAAACTCAGGTTGTTTTAAAACAGGATGAAAAAGAATTCTGCAACAGTGGAGAAGCCTTATATCTTAATTATCTGTAATCGTTTGGATGTTAACATTCACAAAGAATGAAAAACTAAGTTTCCTACAACTATTCCCCAAAATCTTTCATGCAAATCATCCCATAACTTATCCTTTCAAAGTCTAGAGTTAATGCTACATTTAGCTTCTTTGAGAAACACTTTGGGTATAATATGTGTTTTCTTCTGAACAATTCCCAAATATTACATTTTTGTATTTCTATAATGTTTTCAGTACAAAAAAATCAACATTAAAAAATTATATTAGGCTCTGCCTAAAGTCTAAAATAAAATAAATGAATATATGAAATGAAGATTTGATTCAATGTTTCCAAAATCATCATAATCCCCTCTGATGTACTTAAGTGATCAAAATGAATAAACCTCCTTTAACCTAAGGGAAAGAAAGTCACTTGGCATAGGGGGAGCTGTGCTGCTCTCAGAACACCTGAGCAACGAAGCCAAAAACAGACCCAACATTCTTTATTACTTCTAAATCTAAGACATTTTTATCAGAGTCTACATAGTTCAAAGAAGCTAAATGTGCCATCTCTCTCCTCAACCTTCCTAAAACAAGTGATCTTTAACAAGGTATTGTGAAATCTTAAAAGGTTTCCCCTGAAAACTAAAAGTGGCGTACCTTTTCTCATTTTAGACTCTTTGATAATCAAATGTTAACCACAAAATTCAAAGTATGTCAATGAGTTATAGAGAAGAGATTTGTTGACATCAAACCTGAAAAGAAGGTATGAAACACAAACACTTCCAGCAACTGAATGTACAAGGCAGAAGTTATTCCTCCTGGCATGACAGAAAGATTCATGGGGTCTGGAGACACACACACCTTGCTACATATTAGCTATGTGACTCAGATAAGTCACTTCCCTTCACTTGTATTATAGAAAGGGGATAACAGCACCTACTCTCTCTTAGAGGAGACACCACACCCACCATCAACCATCGAGGATTTTGCTGGTCCCAGAGCCAGCCCTTAGAGATAACTGTTATTATGAACCAGAAAATCCTTTTTCTGAGTGTACTAGATTTCTAGCCTTGGTGTCTGTACTGAATAGAATGAATGTATTTTTCTTGGATGAGTCATGACTTTGCAACACTTCAGTCTTCATCCTGAATATCAATTCTCACTGCATCATACCAGGAGCCAGAAGAATGATGCAAATCAAAGTAAATGAGAATTGGCCCTAGGAAGTTGTTTTCTTAAATAAATTCAAGATGCAAGTAGGTTTCTGATCATTTGTTTCTCTCTCCTAAAAAGTTAAGTATGAAAAAAAGTTCAGATTAGTTGGAGATCTCTAGGCTCAGCTGATCAATCTGACTCTACAATGGGAAAATAAAATAAAGTGAACAGTTTCATAATAATATTTTTACAAGCAATGTTTGTCTAGCACCTAAAATGCGATGGCTTTCAGACAGAAAAATGGCCAATAGTCTACAAATGTTGAACATATAAAGTACAAATTTAAAAACAAACTGTATTCCCAAAAAGATTGTTGGACAGTGTCTGGTTGGTAAGAGTATGTTTTGGGGGGCAGCAAACAATGGGATTGCTAAATTAATCCCTGGGATTCTACTAGACCATACATATGCCTCCTCCACCAGCCTTGTCCACAGCACCATCTACTGCCAAGCCACTGTGCCTACAGCAGTTTTGCTTCTGCAGGGCCCTAAGAGTTAATACCATGCCTTCGCTTAGCTAAGTTATTTAGGAATCACGATTTTTTAAAAAGTCACTTCAAAGTTAAAGGGGAAAGGAGAACATGAAATAAGAGTAAACTCCTGACAATCATTTAAAATATCTAAATAGGAAACACAATCTTTGGTTACTAACACATGGCAAATAAGTAGTTTTAAATAAGTGAGTTTTCTTATCTTAGCTAGTTAGGCTATAAATCCTGCTCTAAAATATTTTAAAGCATGAAAAAGAATTAAATGCTCTGGTTGTTGTATATACAGTAGACATATTTATCTTTTATCATCTTTTAACACTGTGAGAGTTACTTAACTCTGCTGTACCAACGGTTCTTTCCATTGGGAATTGGAAGTGGGATTCTAAACCTAGAGAACAAGGGAGTGCAGGGGAGGTAAGGAATGGGGTTCAGAGCCCAGGTCTTCCCTAATGTGGAGGCCTCTCTTTAAACAATTAGGCTCTTAAAGACAACCAGGTCTCCTTATGAAAGGCACCAGGGCATGACTGGGTTCAAGACTGATGTCTTGCCCTTAGAGATCCAATATATAAGATGAATTAAATCAACCCTCACCATGCATAAGGATACGCAGAGAAGCCTGTCAGTCATAGGCATAATAACAACCCAACCTCAGCCCTGATCTAAAATTAAAACCACAGACTTAAAATAGATCATGACCTAACAGATCAGAATTTTAAAAATCAAAACGACCATTTTCCAAACAGAAAATAACACATAGCTTGATAAGAAAAATTAAAAGTAATATTAGCTGACACCTAGAACTATATGCAAGGCACTGTTCTAAGCACTTTATGTCAGGCTAACAAGGCACCAACCACCTCTCTGTTCAATTAGTGACTTTACATGTACAATCTATAGTAATACTACAGATTAAATACCGTAGGGTAAACCAATGGGATGTTATCAGTGAAGGATTCTAGTTTACCATTAACTCACCTTTATTCTAGAATAACTATGCTTAATAAATAGCTTACCTGAATGACCAGGGGTTGTGATGTCACAAAAATGAGTACAAGAAATTAATACAAGTATCTTCCCAGAAATCACTACGTGTAAACTGGGGGGAAAATAATAAATACCTTCTTCACCAACAAAGGAAACGAAGAAAATGGAAGTCCTACTATCCATACTGCAAAAATGCTTATTCTACTATCATATTCCCTTTTGAGAAATAGACCAGTTACGCCAGAAGTGCAATGTTGTCACAGATGTGTGCCAGATTTTGCAGAGGACATAAGTTGGCTGTGAGGAAGAACACAGAGGTTGCCTATTTTTTAGGCAGGAAAGAAAGCCTGCACTTTTCTGTGTGTGTGTGTCAATAAATCTGAATAACAACTTGAAAGGGTTAAAAAGCTGAGCACCAGGTGTTTTCTTTCCACTTTCCAGAGTAATTTAAGCACACTGCAAAGTTATCTCCCTTCCTTCCCCACGAGCCAGCTTAAGGGAGACCTGTCACTGCCATTTACACTGTACAGCTCCAGCTCTAAACAATAGGAGGGCACCAGGCTGGGCAGCAGGCATCGCGGCTTCCCACAGCCTGTATGGGCTTTGTTGCCAAGTTATGAGCTCCGCTGGGTGATGGAGACACGAGTGAGCCAAGGAGAATTTAATTCTATTTCAAATCTGTATGCTTTCAAAGAAAATAGAGACAATTGAGGCCACGGGAGGAGCTGGAGGGGGTAACCAAAAACAAACTTTCGGAACCTCAGAATCTACATTTCTAGCAGTAATTCTCAGCAAAGGATTAGGTGGTATTGATACTCTCATAAAGTATTTAACACCGAGATTAGAGACCATTCAGGAGCGGTGGCCGAGCGGAGTCCCCATCCTTCGTAGTCCCACTCCTCCAGCAGCAACCGGCGGCGCGCTTTCGGAGCCCACCTCCGCTCCGCAGCGCGGCCAGCTTCCCCCCGCCCTGGCTCCAACCCCGGCTCCAGCCCCGGCCCCGTGCCCAGCCTCCTAGCCGAGCCCGGGACGTGCAGCCAAGCCGAGCGCAGAGGGGGCGCGGGGCAGGCAGCGGCGCTGCGCCTCCCCCGGCAGCCCAGAAAGCCGGACGGGGTCCGCCTGGGCCAGTGAGGCCGGGCTCAACGGAGACCCGGGCCGGGCGGGGAAGCTGCAGGCGCAGAGCCGGCTTAGCTCCGCGCCGCCTGGCCGCGCGCAGCTCCCGCATTGTCCGCAGTCGGGGCGCGGCGCGACCACTGAACCCGAATCCCAACCCCCGCCCAGCAGTCTCTCTCCCGGCCCCCACGGCCCAGTCTTACCTGGGCCGCTCACCCCAGTCCCTGGCGGTGCGGCCCGAGCCGGGAGCCAGGCTCCGGGGGACTGCAAGGAGGGAGAGTCGGGGCCCGCGAGGGACGAAGGGCCGAGAGCGGGCTGTAGGGGCCGCCGAGTGTTCACGGTCGCCGCCGCGGGGCCGCGGGTAGAGAGCAGACGGGGCTGGCGGAACGGGCCCAGGACGCGCGGCCGCGAAGGGCCCGGCTGGCGGCGGCCGCGATGGTTCGGTCTGCACCGAGTGGGAGGGCTCAGGCAGGCTTCGCCGGAGAGTGAGGGAGGGAACTTGGAGCCAGTTGCTGTGGCCGAGAGCGCGTGTCCCTGAGCCAGTGTACACGCCCCTCGTACACCCCGCCCCGCCTCCATCCCGCCCCCACCCCACCTTCCGGGTCCCCACCCTTCTCGCACCTCCACTCCAAGCCCTGCCTCTCTCTCAACATCTCCACCCCGCTACTGATGCCCATCCCACCCCATCCCTGACCCACCCCCCATTCCACTCGGTCGGCGCCTCCATTTCCTCCCTATCCCCCACTCCCACCTATGTCCGCACGCAAGCACCCCCACCCTGCTCCCACCCGGTGATACCGCTGGATCTCGGACTGCCACCCCAGTGCAGATCGCTCAGCACTGGAGACGTAGAGCCTGTGCCCTGAATGAGATAACCCCACCTGGTAGTCCAGCCATCCAAACGTCTTGGTGCTTGACATTTTCTGTTTACTAACTTTCATATACTCAGATGGAGCGTCCTAGCTTAATTTCTGAAGGCATTTTTAAGACTTCAAAAAAATGTTTGGAGAAAATAGTAAATAACGAAAAATATCAAGCATGATGTACTACCTCTGAAATGTGGGCCAGCTGATGTTTTAAAATGAAATGCTTTGGGGTGCGTCATTATTAATCGCCTAATATAGTATTTGAGAATACTTTCTGCTTAGATTTGCTTAATAACTTGGTTGTTTCAGGAGAGGATTTGTTTTAGGAAGACTAAACACATTGTAATTTAATTTTGCTATTGGGAAGTCTAAAAGATAAAATCCATCTTTATCAAAATGAATTTGAATGGGATATGGACTCACAAAATAATTGTTTCTTCTAGAAAATATTGAGCAAGGATTTCTTTTTAATCTCTGGTACATTAACAATACGATTTCACTCATCTCATTTTCTCAGAAAGATCGTTTATATTTGAATTGTGCTTCAATTCAATGAATCTATTGTTTCATAATAGTTAAGAAGTTGCCAACTAAATAAAACTCAGACTTTATAATAATATATTTTTTTTCTATTTAAAGATTACCATTTTAAGAAAGTGACATGATACTGGGATTTAAATGGAACTTTCCTTTGGCATACTAATACATTCCTTGTTATCACAGATTACGTTGTGGTCTCCATTAACTCCAAAAGTCATATAACAATAGAAATAAACTATTTTTCATCATTCCCATAGCAAATGGAACCAACTTCTCTCCCTCTCAAGTATACTTTTTTTCCCCACTTCTTTGCCCCAATCCCTTCCTTTTAGGAATTTCCCCCTCCCATTGGGTGTGACTAGCCCACAGAGCTTCCTGACATTGTGAGGGATATGACCCAGGCCAGCCAATTAGAATATCGTCTGAGAACAAAGGAGGAGGGTCCTTTCCCTGACTGACAGGGCAGCTCCTGGGACCATATCATATATGCGTGCAGCAGCTGGAGTCAACTTACTGGAGAATAAAACAAAACCAGAAAAAAAGCCAAACTGAGCAATGGAGACAGAAAAGTGCCCTGATGACATCAATGGCCATCCGAAGACAGTCACCTCTAAAACCAGTCAAATCCTGAACTTCTGAAGTAATGCACCAATAAATTGTCTTTCTTGCTTATGCCATTTTGAGTTAAGTTTCTTTCCAGAAGACTCACTTATAAAATCATAAAAGATTCCCCTATGATCGATGCTTTGAAAATCAGGAATGTAACCAATGAGTTTTAGCTTTCTTTCTTTTTTTTTTTTTTTTTTTTTTTGATGACAGAGTCTCACTCTGTCACCCAGGCTGGAGTGCAGTGGCATGATCTCCACTCACTGCAACCTCCACCTCCTGGGTTCAGCAATTCTCCTGCCTCAGCCTCCCGAGTAGCTAAGATTATAGGCACGGGCCACCACGCCCAGCTAATTTTTGTATTTTTAGTAGAGACGGGATTTTGCCATGTTGGCCAGGCTAGCCTGGAACTCGTGACCTCAGGTGATCCACCTGCCTCAGGCGCCCAAAGTTCTGGGATTACAGACGTGAGCCACTGCGCCGACCAAGTTTTAGCTTTTCTATTGCCTAAACTACTTCTTGATAATAAAGTATATGCCAAGGAGTTCACTTAGTAGGACCCCTAACTCTTATTATTAAGGTTCTCATTTAGGGTTTTACTATTGCCCAGTGTAGATTTAATAGCCCCAAATTGTCATCACCAAAACCAAAAACCAATAAAAGATGTGGTTAAAGAGACAGAGAGAACACAGTAAAACATCTATGCTGGAATATTTCAGTAAATATTGTCTTATCAATTATGCCAATAAAACTGCTCTCATAATCCCTAATGTTTGCTGATTTAGGACATAGTTTTCTTGTTTTGGGGACTGAAAATGTTAAGGACTGCTACAGATTTTCAGAGAATGTTGAAATTAGTTGTTTGTACTAGAATTTTATTGTGTTGTTTATTCTTCAGAAGTGGGCCATTATCCTAGGCTTGGAATTCTTTTGTTTCACAGAGGTTTCTGTCTCTAAAAGTATGTAACAATATTTGACTAGTACCCAAACAAGCATCCATACACGAATCAGAATGTAATTTAACCATTATTCACAGGTGACTCTGGACAGTGGGACTATTCCTAGCAAGCAGGGAGCCTAGGGACATGCAGTTATTAGCTCTAATCCTCTGACTGCCAAAATGGTTTCTTACGGGAAAATGTGAGCTTGAAAAGACATGAGCTCAGAGTTTTCACTAGTCTTTCTCCAGATGGGTACGTACCTAAGTTGTGTCAACAACTAGGGAAACTTTAAATGTATAAAAGCCCGTAAGCTGAATAATAACATATTATAAACAGATGCAAGCCTCACAAAAGGAGAGCATCTCTGAAAACAAAACAACCAAAGCAGCTTCAGAGGAAAAGTAAAAAAATAAAGAGTTCTGGAATCCAGTCCCCGCTCCAAGTGGCACTTGTTCTAATGATTGGCTATGCCAGGGAAAATGTCAGTCAAATATCCAGAGTACCCCCAGCATGCCTGTATTGGATCAGTGGGATGCTTGTACCCATTTTCTTGCCTAAGAGTGGTACAGCAGTCCCTCAATTAACCCAGGGTCAGTCAGACCACCCTGTCTGTCCAGAGCTCCCCCTGAAATCCTGGCATACATCAGCGGTTTTCAGACCACGAAACACAATCACCTGCAGTACTCCCAACTAATGCCAGGTCTCTAGGTTGAGGGAGAACGGATAGGCCTGTGTTGTTTTTTTTTTAAAAGATCTGCCCAAGAGATTGTAGCGATCTGGCAGGGCTAAGGTAAACAAAGTCTGTGAATCTGTGCTCTTAATTCCACAGAAAAAGACTTGAGAACCCCTCAGCCCTCAGATCAGACTCCATTGTCTTAGAATTGTATGTAAAATTAAAGTTATTGATTGAACAAGCTCAATTTGTCTTTTCCCCTTAACAACCATAGTTCTTCTGAGGAAATAGAAAAAAGCAGCGAGGAATGCACCTTAGGAGGAGCTGGAGGATTTGCTAGAAGCAATCACACTGAAAAAAGGCAGCTCACAGCAAGGCTGAGATAAGAGAGTCACTAAATAGAAAAGCATTGTCAGTTGCTGGACTAAGAGGCCACTCCACTCCATCCTGGGCAACAGCCCCTGGGGGTTCCCTCATGTTGCTTGTTTCTCAGCGTAGTGCATGTTCAGGCTGGCGACCAGAAGATCAAAACGATCGAATTATGTTCTTGAATGCTGACCTCCATCATTTAATACTAATAACTACCATTTATTGAAACTTTGTGCTAGCAGTTTATATGTTTCATTTTCATTTTCAGTGGTCACAACGGCCCTAAATGTACATAATATTGATTACCATTTTATGAACAAGAAGTTCATGCCCAGGAAAGAGACAAATCCAAGATCACAGAGTTAGTGATTAGAGGACTTAAAGCCTGGCCCATGTGATCCCAAAGCCTACATATCTTTACTATAAGCCAAGCTTGCCAATGAATCTCACATATTACCTATACAATAAGAGAGCAGTAGTCACATGAGGCTATTGAAATTTAAATGAATTAAAATTTTGTGGAATTTACATTCATTACATTAAGTTAATTAATTAATTAATTCCTTTTTTTTTTTTTTTTTTTGAGAGGGAGTTTCGCTCCTGTCGCCCAGGCTGGAGTGCAATGATCTCAGCTCACTGCAACCTCAGACTTCAGGGTTCAAGAGATTCTCCTGCCTCACCTTCCCAAGTAGCTGGGATTACAGGCACGTGTCACCACGCCTGGCAAAGTTTTTTTTTACTTTTAGTAGAGACGAGGTTTCACCATGTTGGCCAGGCTGGTCTCGAACTAGGCGATCCACCTGCCTTGGCCTCCCAAACTGCTGGGATTGCAGGAGTGAGCCACCACATCCAGCCTCATGACATTTAGTTTAAATTCATTGAATTAAAAACTTTATTTTGTAAATGAGAATAAATTGCAAGTTTCTCAGCTACACTGGCTACTTTTCAAGTGCTCTGTAGCCACAGGCAGCTGATGGCTGCCCTGTTGGACTGCGCAGATAAATGCTTCCATCATTGCAGAAAGTTCTATTCGATGACTCGGATGCTGCTCAGATTTATCAGTATCATCATCAATTAAGGCAGTGTTCTTCATGAGTGAGTTTTCCAAGTAAATTACCCCAACCCTTTTATGTTAACTGTTTTGATGAAATTCTTTCTAAAACGGGTAATATGTTTCTGTGCCAGCCTTAATCAGCAGGTTGTACTGAACTGAGTGCCTCTGTGAGGCATGCAGGGTCAGGAGACCACCTGCAAGGCACCGGAATGCCATGCTGGGGAGCTGTGCTTCTCTTCTTCCTGTGTCATCTCAGTTCTCACCTTTAGTCTTTGCTTCTGCAGAGTACCTACTTGCCATTGGCCAAAGTATGGTGTTTGCTAACGCTCTGCCTTTAGCCTACTTCTGTCTGTCCATTTCCTCTCCCTATTGGTTTTTTGATTTTCCAATTCTATGTTTTCAACTACTACTGATTCGCCAGTGACTCCAAAATTTTATGTTTAACTTCCACATCTTTTTCTAATCTGCAGAGCAGTTTTCTTTTCTAGCTCTCTACTAGGCTAGTGCTACTCAAAGAGCTGTCTGTGGACCAGCAGCAGTGGTTCGTGAATTGTGTGTGGCTACTCTAGCACAAGATGAATTTAGAAAGTGAAAGCCAATGCTTGGCATGGTGGTTCATGCCTGTAATCCCAGCACTTTGGGAGGCCGAGGCAGGTGGAACACCTGAGGTCAGGAGTTTGAGAGCAGCCTGGCCAAAAAGGTGAAACCCCATGTCTACTAAAAATGCAAAAATTAGGCAGGCATGGTGGTGTGCACCTGTGATCTCAGCTACTCGGGAGGCTGAGGCAGGAAAATTGTTTGAAGTCAAATCAAGGGAGGCGGAGGCTGCAGTGAGCTGAGATTGCACCAGTGCACTCCAGCCTGGGTGACGGAGAGAGAAGGAAGGAAGGAAGGAAGGGAGGGAGGGAAGGAGGGAGGGAGGGAGGGAGGGAGGGAGGGAAAGAAAGGGCACCAAGGAAGGAAGGAAGGAGAAAAAGAAAGGGCGCCAAGCCTGTGTTTACAAGCTTTTACAGCAATTTGACATCGCTAGGACATTATTGTATTGTATTGTATTGTATTGTATTGTATTGTATTGTATTGTATTGCATTTTATGTCTAAGCTGGAATGAAAATTTAAAAAAGTAAACACACAAGAAATACTGTACCTGGCTCCACCTGGGTATTTCCTAGGACACCCCCCACCCCCCGCCCACCCCCAATGCTCATTGCTATCACCTGTCAGTAACCAAAGTTATTATTATCCCCAAATGCATCAGTCAGGTTTCAGCTGGAAACAGATAATTTAACCCAGGGAACGACTTCCAAAGGTCCTAGAGAGCTGAAAAGGCAAACAACACAAAGTAAATTGACTTAGATTTTGGCAGGAGCAGGAAACTGCTACCACAAGAGCACAGATAAAGGAGATGATGTCCCTGGCACCCAGCTGTTGGACCCAGTGAAGGGACCTGATCAATAACAAGAAAAAATAAGGACTGCTCCCCAGAAACTGAGACCATGGAGGACACATAGATGCTGTCTATTTAATCGGACTGAACTGAGTTAACTTTTGTCTCTGTTACTGACATTGAACAGAATGAAAAATTGCCTGAAGAACTCTAGATTGCCAAATATTATGAATAACCAAATAATTATGCAGATGGGGGTTGAAACTGCTTAGGTTCTTTCCAGCTATAAAACTGATTCATGCTTGGGAACTGAGATGCTGTGTCCACTTGTATGAAATAAATACATGAGCTCTTATTTTTTTTTTTTTTTGGCATGATACTTTCACCTACTTTCAGATTTACAAATATTTTAAAAGGATTATGATGTCAGGATTATGCTTGCGTTGTATGTGGAATAATAGGTTAATCTATGCACCTTTCATATTTTTACAGTATGAAATAAGGCACTAAATATGTGACTTCTTTTTAAACTATTTGTGGTAAGAAAAATTTAGAACATTAGAGTGCTTACTTAATAGAAATATAATCCATCTATTTGGCATAGAGCTCACCAATTCTCATTTTCCCTGGAATCAAAAATCAAGGGTGGCATGAATTACTGAAATCCCTAATTTCATTCAAACCTCTTCCTAATCAAATATTAAGCCAGTTCATTAATAGTCAAAAAATGATTTTTTTCTCCTTTCTACCATTATATAGCAGAGAAGCTAATGAACAAAATAGATAGCAAGCAAGAGAAAACAAGGAGAGAAAGACAAGTAGGGAATATTAGGTTTCTGGGCTACCGATGATACCAACACATCATCACTATTTTCCTCTTTTAAAACAATTTTAAATTATGTACACAGACTTGTAAGTCTTAGAGTTCAAGTGTATTTTTTCCAGAACTTTTTTTTTAACATGTATGTTATGACTTCTAAATGTTTGGTAAAGGCGTAGTCAGAATTTCATGTAGGCATTCTATTTTTCAGTTGTCTGTATCAGTCTAATGGATGAGCAATGGTACTTCTGACATTTGTAGAAATCACCTGCAAATTACAGGAAAATTTTCACAAAATATCAGAGTGCTTTTGGTGTAGATGTGAATTTTAGTTTATTCACCCACTCATCCTCTCTCATTCATTCTGTCACCAAATCTCTCATTTTCAGTGTTTCCCTCACCCATCTCGTTATTCGCATCTTACGATAGCTTTTCCAGTTAAACATGCCATCAAACAACCAGTCAAGTGTATTATTTATTACCACTTCTATGGTTATTCTTCCATTCCCCAAAGAAGTAAAAAAATCAATCTTCTCTGCAGTAGTTTAGTGTCCCCAAATCATTTTTACATATTCACAAATTACACATTTCCCGAATTTTCTGCTAGTTTGACCACTAGCAGCCAAGACTTTTAAGTAGATATCCTTTTCAAAAATCTACTTTTGCAAATTCCCAGCTAGTTTGTCATAGAAGAGGAATGCGGTGGAGGAATTAATAGAGGGAGAGAAGTTAGGAGAAGACAGAATAGGGTAGGGGAGAGAGTAATTCTACTACCAAGCTCATCATTCCACCCAATCCAAAAGCTTCTGAACTATCTGGTGACAATATAGGAAGGCTAAATCAGAGTTTGTTGAATTTTTTTTTTGGGGGGGGGATAAAGTAAACCATATGTTGCCCTTTAGATTTTTTTTTTTTGGTAGAAGTATGGATACACACACACATCAACATAGGCTGCAAAAATATCAATGTATAACTGTGACATTTATCCATATGCACATCTTTCTCTGACGGCCTCTACTTCCTATTTAGTTGTTAGGAGTTTTATGCTAACTAGTAAGCAGAAATTTTAAATATTAACACAATTTTCTCATAATCACGAAGCATAATAACTTCTCAGGAATTTTGGATTGGCCGAATTCCCAAACTCTTAGTAAATGTCATAATTGTGCTATTCTTAGAAGGTCTTCCTGTGTTATTTTGGATTTGATGATGGTTTATTTCTCAGAACTCAAATTCCACTATGCACTAATAAGTTATCCAATGCAATTAAGTACCTGAGGAACAAATATGGTCTCGGGTGGCTCCTTATTAACCTCACTAGACTGTCAACTACATGAGGATGGTAATGTAGCTAACCCCTTTTGAAATTTCCCTCATTACTTAGAAAAATCAAAGCAGCTCACAAAGCTTCATCTGATACTCTTTGAGATAAATACACATTCTGATAGTGTTATAATTACTGTGTCACTTTACATGCAGAAACTTCTCATCCCTAGGAACTGCTATGGAATCTCTGCTTTGCAACATTTCCTGCACAACTGAGTCCTGAGCACAGAACACACTGTTATCATGGAGAAACCCCTAATCTGAGTGCAGCTACCAAAAGCCACGAAGGCATCTTTCCCAACTGAGGACACACATCAGAAGCCAGGAGAGAATGAGAATGAGGGATTATAGCAACATCTGACTCTTATGTGGATTTAGAAAGATTCACAAAGCCACATAATTAAGAATATGAATGGCAAAATATTCTTGTTAATTTCTAGTGAAAAAAAGGTGTTATTTTTCTCTACATCAAATATTATATTTCAGAAAGTAGAGTTGTGATGATGGTCCTTGAACTAAACAATGCGTGAATCACCCAGGCACAAGTGTGGGGCTGGTGGGGGAATGCAGGAAAGTGAGCTTTTCAGAATGCTAGAAACCTGGAGGCAGAGATGTTCTTTGGGTATGCCTCACAGATAACTCTGCTTTCTCCCCCTAGGAGACTGTGGCCTAGGTAATATTTTCTTAAATTGTAATTTTAGGTTTTCCAGAAAGGAAATGTAAGCTTCAAGTATAAAAGAGCAGAGGCAGAAGAACTATTGAGCTTGTCAGATCCTGAAAGATGTTTTCCTAGATGGCCTAAGTTAACCTATAGCTGCATCCGATCAATTATACAGACAGTCTATGTCTTCTATTCTAGACTAATTAAATTGGCCTATTAAACTGGGCTAAAGTGGGTGGATTAGTCAGGGTTCTTCAGAGAAGCAGAACTGAACCAATAGAGATATATTTGTATCTCTTATTAATAAATAAGATCTATTATTATTTATAATACTGTTATAAAATTAACAGTATCTCCCATATAAATTAATACATATTAATTATGGAAATTGGCCTACACTATTATGGAGACCAAGAAGTTCCATGTTCTGCTATCTGCAAGCTGGAGAACCAAGAAAGTTGGTGGAGTAATTCTGTCTGAGTCTGAAGGCGTGAGAACCAGGAGTGTCAATGTCTGAGGGCAGGAGAAGATGGATATTTCCAGCTTGAAAAAAGCAAATGTGCCCTTCCTCTGCCTTTTTGTTTTTTGCAAGTTCTAGTGGCTTGAGTGATGCCCACCCACATTAGGGAGAGCCATCTGCATTACTTGGTTCACGAATCAAAATGCTAATCTCCTCCAGACACACCCTCAGAGACACACCCGGAAATAATGCTTTACCAACTATCTGGGCATCCCTTAGCCCAATCAAATTGACATAAAACTATCACAGTGAGTATGTATACCTATGCACCCTCTTTTCCCATGTGTCTCAGTCTTGTTTGGGCTGCTATAACTGAATACCTTAAACTGGGTGGCTTATAAATGACAAAAATGTATTGCTCAACAGTTCTGGAGTCTGGAAGTCCAAGATCAAGGCATCGGCAGATTTGGCGGTTGGTGAGACCTCACTATGTGATTCATAGATGACACCTTCTAAGTACCCACATGTTGAAAGGGCAAACAAGTTTCCTCAGAGCTCTTTCGTAAAGGCACTAATTCCATTCATATGGGCTCTGCTCCCATGACCAAACTGCATCTTAAAAACCTCAGCTCTTAATACTATTGCACTGCAGATTGGGTATTAACATGTGAATTTTCAGGCGGACACAAACATTCAGACTATAGCAGCATTAGTTGCATTTTCCATGTAGCTTTATAAATACGGAGAGGTTATATTATACAAACATATACAATCTACTCTTTCATTTGCATTTAACCAAGTAAGGTGTTGATGAAGTAGGTATTATGTTTATTTCCCTGTGCCTTGAAGTCTTACAAAAAGGATTTATGTTAGAAAGCATTTTAAAAAATAATGTTAGGTTATAAATCTTGATTTTCAATGTTCTATGTGGTTGAATAGTGTCTAAAAGATACTGTTACATAAAAAAACCCAGAACATATAGTTAATATGAAAGCTCAAACCTGTATTAATTTAGCAGAAGTAGTTAATTTTAACTTCCATAAATGATGGTCTTATTTGGAGACTGAAATATCACTACAAAATATTTTCCTATTTTGAGATGTAATCCTCGTATAAGCAAGACACAATTTTAATGGTTATATGGCAGGACGAGTGACAGACAAGAATCCCTCAGACACCGAATTGTAGAAGGAAAGGGCTTTATTCAGTCAGGAGCATCAGCAGACTCATGTCTCCAAAAACCGAGTTCCCTGAGTGAGCAATTCCTGACGCTTTTAAGGGCTTACAACTCTAAGGGGGTCTGTGTGAGAGGGTCGTGATCAATTGAGCAAGCAGAGGGTATGTGACTGGGGGCTGCATGCACCTGCACTGGTAATTAGAACGGAACAGGACAGGGATATTCACAGTGCTTTTCCATACAATGTCTGTAATCTATAGATAACATAACCGATTAGGTCAGGGGTCAGTCTTTAACTACTAGGCCCAGGGTGTGGCGCCGGGCTGTCTTCCTGTGGGTGTCATTTCTGCCTTTTAGTTTTCACTTTTTTTTTTCTTTGGAGGCAGAAATTGGGCATAAGACAATATGAGGGGTGGCCTCCTCCCTTAGTTACGGTATAGTAGTAGAAATTTAGACTATGAAAAGTACTTAATATTTAGAGGCTTGTCATATATTTTGTGCTTTATTTCTTAATTCTATGTTATGTATATGTATTTTAAATATATAATTTACTTCTCATTGATATATCTTATTTTTCTTTTCTACCAAATAAAATGATTGGTAAGGACCATTGTACATTCTAACATCATGGATTACAACAGATTGACTAAATATCCATAAGAGTTTGAAGACTACTTAACTGAGCAGTGGCACTAAAGTTCAAAATTTTATGATACCTTTTTGTATACTCTCTGGTTTCTGCAGGGCTGCCATATAAAACCACATAGCCTACACTGTTTAACTCCACAGACCATGCCACAAACGGCACCCCCTGGGGTAAGGCTCACAGCAACCCTGGTGTTAAAAATTTGATTTTGGAAATTTTTCTGTCTTTTTCCCCCCACAGAGTCTAATTTCTTCTCAGGTATAACAGACTCAGTGTTGTAGCCGAAAGTATACTACAATCATTTCACAAAATATTTTGTGACTTACAGTGACATTTCTGAAATGAGTCAATGTGAAGCAACTAACTGTGTTATTCATAAGCTTGTAAGTATATGCCAGCACCTATCTATCTATCTCTGTATAAGTAAATGTATTAATGATTTCAGTGAGAGAAACTCTTTACTGTTCTTAATGATCGAATCTGTTAAGCAAGGACAAACCAATTTCAATGCAAAAACTTACTATAATTTAAAAGGGCATTTTAATAAACCATTGCATCAAGAATAGATTAGTGCATATAGACCTCAATCTTCAGCCTTAATTGTAAAAATAAATAAAACAATTATATAACTTATGAAAATGTATTGCATCTATAATCGTGTACATAATGAGAGATTTTCCAATGATCCATTCATTAAATTGTGTAATGTTCAATATGCATAAAATGCAGAAGGCCTGAGGGGAATTATAAGCAAATTATGAAATGTGATTTCTATCTACAAGTAATTTTCAGTTTCTTTAGGTAACTGAATAAACTCAAGAAGAAAACTGGACAGATGAAAAAGGTCAAATAAATATAACGTAAGATCTAACTCAAATAAGTTTCAAATAGGTGGCTTGCAGTCAGGATTATGATAGCTTCCTGCAGGAGACGAAGTTTTCTTTGTTGTTTATTTTGAGACAGGGTTTCAATCTGTCACCCAGGCTGGAGTGCAGTGGCTAGATCTCAGCTCATTGCAACTTCTGCCTCCAGCCTCAAGTGATCCTCCCACTTCAGCCTCCTGAGTAGCTGGGAACACAGATGTGTACCACCACATGCAGCAAATTTTTTTTTTTCTGTAGAAACGGGATTTTGCTATGTTGATCTCAAACGCTGGGCTCAAGTGATCCTCCTGCCTCGGCCTCCCAAAGTGTTGGGATTACAGGCATGCACCATTGCACCTGGTCAGGAAACAAAGTTTTAACAGGACTTCATATAATGAAACCGTTAAAAAAAAGGAAAATAAGTTTCCTCTGGTAGAAAAATTACATTGTGAATTAAAGAAGGTGGAAATAAGAAAAAGATTGCTAACTTCTCTAAAGAGTCCATGATAGACAAAGGTTATAAAAAGGAAAGCAAGTGCATAAATGATGAGAATAAGAATCACTGGTGATGGCCAATAGCACACCAATCAACTGGATGCTCACTTTTAAAACGTTTCAAGAGATTATAGATGGCCATAAGAGTTAATAGCTATTTTTCTTTAACTTTAATATAGAATAGTATTGTTATTTTTTATTTTTGTTGACTTGCACAATTAAATGTACAAATAAAAACAAAATTAAAATATGCCATAATATGAATCATAATTATATGATTTAATATCCAACACATTTTTATATAAAACAATTATTTTGAAATGATACATAAAAAGAACTGTGAAATTTTGAAGAAAAGATTTCAGCCTATACTTTTGAAATCATCTTAATTTAACATTTAGATTAGCATATCTAAACCAAAAGTATTACAAATATTAAGCCCCTATGAAATTTTAAGATTCCCAAAGAAAAATTAAGCAAATAGATGTTTAAGACCTTCTATGTTCTCAAGATTGAATACAAAAAGAAAAGTTTGTTTTGCTTATTAGTAAAATTGACAAGGGACCTTTGAAACTGTCAGAAATTAAATCAAAATTAATTAGTTTTGATTTCTGGGAACCATTTTTTAAAAATATTTTATACTGAGGAACATAATACGTAGGGCATAAACTCTGGATACACTGTACACATTAATTTCTCCTCCCCAATAATAGTACAAACAGTGAGTTATCTAGAGTAGAAAAGTTGAACATTTTCTCTTGTAAGCAAATCTGGTATAGTAATAGCTCAGATTTTTTTTCTTTTTGTCTTTCCTGATGGACAGGTACTCTGTATACTCCCATAAATAAATGACTTCAATAAGCCTAAAGGCATTTTCTCACGTATGTGGGGTTGGAATTTTTTTTGGTTAAGGTAAGGAGAAGGTAGAAAAATAATTTTTTTTTAAAAAAAGAGCTTTTGTAGGTTAAAAAATATTCTTTTAAGCAAATAGATGTTAATTATTCAGAAAAGATTACAGCATATTTTGTGTTTATCATAAAATATTTGCAAGAAAGAATAAGCTGCCTAAGTTACATGATACTGTAACTACACTCTGCACAATGAAGGACTTACTGTATTTTTCCACATGTTGAGGTAAGCCACATAATGTACAAGTAGTGGAATAACTCCAGCCACAAGTATGCCTGTATATTTCTAGTTTCTGTTCCTTTTGATTTACTTGGATTTCTTTCCTCTGTAATGATAAGAAAAATTTCAAAACTCTTAAAAGAGAATCTAAGAATACATTTTTTTAAAAGAGAAATTTCAGGTATTTATAAAGCTACTTCGATAGCAGAAAGAGTAGGAAGTATCTTTGATATTTCAACAAATGACAGGCAAAGCCACTCAATCATTCACAGCAACGCAGCTAATCAAAGATTAAAGAATCTAAAACATTTATATGCTGAAGATAATGTTTGTGTGATTGTATAGAAATAGATTTGGAATTCACAAAGCAGGATGATGCCTTAACAGTTACGTACTCAACAGACTGTAAGCGTAAGTTATATGTAATGTCGTTTTTAAAAAAAAGTTGGAATTAGGAAGAAGACTAGAGGAAAATGCAAAAAGAATAGACATATTGTAAAGAGAGCTCACTCACTCATTCTCTTGTTCATTAATTCACTCATTCATTCAGCCAACGTATATTGCAAAGTTTCAAATGACAATGGAGGTGTGGAGTTTAGTTTGATCAGGTGGTCAGGAAGGGCTCACTGGGGAGTTGGCATTTGAGCTGGGATCTTAGGAAGTAGAAGGAACCAGCCATGTAAAGATGAGAAGAAAGTGAATTCAGGCAGAGGGAATAGCCATTGCGAAGGCTCTCAAGCAGGAATGAGGTAGGTGTGTCTGAGAAAAAAAGAAGTCGAATATAAGTTTAGTGAACAGGGAGTAGTGGCAGATGAGGCTGGAGAAGAGAAAAGCCCATTGTAGGACATTTACATTTTATTTGATATTTTATTTTATTCCTGAGTGAAAAATCATGGAAGTTGTACAATCCCCTTTATGTTCCTGTAAGGTCACTCCAGCTCAGGCATCACAATGGGGAGTGGTGAAGTGATGAGGTGCATAAGAAGTAAAGCTGGGAGACTGGAAACTCCACAATAGTCCAAGGAAGCAGAGGTCAGTCGTTTGCACCAAGTTGGCAGTAATGAATATGAAAAAACATTTAACACATTTAGGTTGTATTTTTGGAGTAAAGCCAAGAGAACTTGAAAATGGATTGTATTGTAGAGGTGAGATGATACGAATAGGGAAAAATGATAAATACTGACAATAGAAAATACAATATAAATAGAAGCTGAAGAAATGCTGGCAGGAAAGGTCTTGGGTATCAAATGATCCTAGCTGAGATCTTAGAAGATATCTTGTCCAACCTCATATTAAAATGCCTACACCATTGTGGGCTGATGGCCATATAACTTCTGGTTAAACACTCCACTGAGGAAAACACCTTTGGAAAGTGATATTTGATTAATGACAGCCAACCTCATTCACTTGATCATAGCTAAATATGAAAGAGTTTTGAGACCTTTTGTTTTAAAAATGTCAATATGAAACTGGAAAGGTATATTTGGCAAAAAATGTTAATTTCAAAGTCTGAGAAATAGCCCTTCTCTTACATTGAAAACAAGAAGTTTTGAAACAGTAGACAAAACCGTCTAGTTTTTACTATCACATTTTAAAGGTAGCAAAGGTAATTGGAAGTAGGTTATAGGAGGACTGAAAAGAGACAGACCCTTAAAGTTTTTATAAGCGCCTGGGTGGTATGATGGAGAACAGGCTGATCAGTTGTTCTGCATTTCTGTAAAGGACTAGGTATGAAGGGGTGACATCAATTAGAAATACAAAATATTCTGTTTTACTATCAAGAACTTCACAGATTTAAAAAGCAAAATACTTCAGTATTCTTTTGAGTACTGTAGCCTTATTAAGTTATAAAACAATTAGTTCTGGATAATCAAGACCATCTATTAAAAGCAGAAGTCCTTATGATTCTCTAATGTTCAAACAGGGTTATTTGTCTAATGAGTGAATTAAAACCCTCCCAATTGCCTGATGTGATTGAGCATGGGCCAAAGTGTACCAGAAATGCTGTTATTTCCTTTTAGGGCCAGGAGGGATTTTATAGTTAGCAGAAGAAAACAGAGAAAGAGATATTTTATCATAAACATAAAAATTTCACAATTTATAGATCATTTTTCTAGTAAAAATGATGATATAAGCTATAAGCTACTAAAAGTAACATAACCTTATTGGATAAAAAAGGCACAAAGAAAACAACTGGGGATTTGGCAATTGAGCTGGCATAAATAAAATAATAAACCAAAATATATTACATTAAAGTTAGGAAGTTCTCTTCATCAAAAGGTAAACCACAGAGTAGGGGAAGACATTTACAATACATACAACTGACAAAAGATTCATATACAAAGTATGAAAAGAACTCAACAGATTTTAACAGACAACAAAAAAAACTGGACAAATACTTCAACAGACATTCACAAAAGAGGATATACAAATAATCAGCATGTTAGTCCATTTTCACACTGCTGATAAAGACATACCCCAGACTGGGAAGAAAAAGAGGTTTAATTAGACTTACAGTTCCACGTGGCTGGAGCGGCCTCAGAATCATGGCAGGAGGAGAAAGGCACTTCCTTAACTTGGTGGCAGCAAGAGAAAATGAGGAAGTAGCAAAGGCAGAAACTCCGGATAAACCAATCAGATCTCATGAGACTTATTCATTGTCGTGAGAATAGCACAGGAAAGACCTGCCCCCATGATTCAATTACCTCCCATTGGGTCCCTCCCACAACACGTGGGAATTCTGGGAGATACAATTCAAGTTGAGGTTTGGGTGGGGACACAGCCAAACCATATCAATCAGTAAGTACACAAAAATCAGAGAAATGTAAATTAAAACTACATTAAGTTACCACTACACAATCATCAGAATGGCTGAAATTAGAAAACAAAAAACAAAAAAGCGAACAGGTTATAAGATGACTGGACTTTGGATACACAGTAGGTAAGAGTATTAATTTTTACATGTACTTTGTCAATGTCTACTAAAATTTAGCACACTCGTATTCTAAGACCCAGCAATTCTGTTTCTAGATATACATCAAAAAACTGCATGCATAAGAATGTTCATAGCAATAACATTTATAAGAGCTAAATAATGGGGATAAACAAATGTCCTCAACAGTAGAATGGATAAGTCAGTTGTGGTGTATTCATACAATGTAATAGTAAAGAGCATGAGTATAAATTAGCTACTGATATGTGCAACCACAAAGGTGAAACTCACAAACACATCATTAACTAAAAGAAGCCAAATACAAAAGAATGTGTACCCTATAATTTCACTTATGTAATGTTTAATAACAGGGAAAACTAATCTATGGTTTTAGAGTCAGGATAATAGTTACTTTTGGGGAACAAACTAGCATTTGTAATTGGGAGACAGCAAAGGGGGAGCTTAAGAGGTTCTAGCAATTTGATGTTTCTTTAATAGGTGGTTGTTACATGAGGGTTCACTTTATAATTCAGCAAGCCTACATTTAAGATTCGTATATTAAGTTATACTTTAATTAAATATATAAAATGTAAATATGTATTAAATAGCATTTTAATTAAATATATCTAAGTATATGTGTGCATGAAAGTTATCTTTCAGTTAAAATTTTCTAAAAGATATACAAAGAAATGACTTAAATAACGCTTTAAAATTTTTAATCAGAAACATAGCCTATTGCATCTCAGAAAATATAAAGTTGCATATAATTGAACAAAACAAACAAACAAAAAATCCTGACAGAAACAGGTTCTAAGGAGATCTCAACAAGTTGGAACAATAAAACCCAATCTACAGAGTGAAGTTTAATTGGTATAAGTATAAAGTCATCCTCATGTGTTTATAGGAGCAACAAATAACATACCCTTAAGTAGCCAACAGCACATGTAAAAGAAATCCAAGGGTTACGAGTGGGGAGGTTGAAGTGGTTTAAATATTGTCTAGGTAGTAGCTCCTAAGTGATTCCCATTAACCTCTTTCTAAAAAACCTATAATGATGCTAAGAATAAAACAAAAAGACCAAAACTGTCAACCTATTTCAAAAGTGAGACAACACTCTGAGATAATTTTCCATAAAGTATTAAAAAATCAGTGGCATTGAATTAGAATTGCAATTGCTAGCCTGAAGCTATTTGGTCAGAAGAAATGGAGCAAAGCTATTGGCAAGAATAAATGTTGCATTCTTGCAACAAGAATAAATTCAGCATTTTCTCCCTCACTTCCTGCCAACTGCGACAGAAAATGAGTCTGTACCATTCAGAGAACAAACAACGGCCTCCCTATTTGATCTCTTCACTTTCACCAATAGCTCTCTTTCTAGCTTGGAGACTGCAACCCCCTGAAAAGAAGAAGGAAGGAAGTTGAATATGGGACCAGCAGCGCCCACTCTAAGTCTAGGCAGAGTCTAGATGTGAACAGCCTTGTCTTTGTGAATGGTATGAAATAATCTTCTCAGAAAAATAGGCGTTAGGAAAAAGAAACCCCCATCATATTCCAGTTGAACTTCATTAAATGAAAACCTGCTAGACTTTGATAAATGCAATGAAGGCAACAATATAAATTGATATGATAAATTCTCTATGGGGGAGAATCTTGCTATTTAAAATGGGGAGCTCAAGGAAGCCACTTCAATAAGTGATCTTTGAGTTGAGATCTGAATGACACAATGAAGCCAGCCAAGTGAGTGGAACATTCCTGGCAGGGGAAAAAACATGCATTATAGCCTCATTTAAAATAGCGTAAATTTCTTTGATGGCTTCCTACTGTCTTCAGCATAAAACCCAAACTGCCCAGGCTGCAATGCAGTAGATGTTAAGTAAAGACATGAGTGAATGGATGGTTCCTGAAATTTCTAGATAGGATTGATCCATAGTATTTCTCTTTAGTCTCCTGGCATCTTTCTCTTTGTCCTCGATTTCTTTAAAAAAAAAAAAAGTCACCACTAGTAGTTCTAAAATAGAATTTGCTTAGTTTTTTGATAACTTGGACTGGGAGACATGAATCTCAGCCAGGACTAGTGTGAGACAAGTGAGGTGCCCAGGGCACAACATTTAAGGAGGCTCTCACTCTCAGGGTGGTGCAAATGCCACCCTCAAGGGAAGAGGCAAGTAAATGGACCTGAGAGAAAAGGTAAAGAATGTGAATCTATTTTGTGTTCCCTGTGAATGCTTACTAAAGAGCAATCTCAGCAGAGGAGGAATGAATAATCAGGTGAAGAGGATAACCCTTTCTATGGATACCAGTCAGCTTCATTCCCCCAGCCATCCCTGTCACTGCCTTGTGGGCTCATGAAAAAATGACCACAGTGGCAAGGATGGCAGTTATGCATAGGATCAGCAACATAAACTTCCGCTCACCAGGTCTGACCTGGCTACTGCCCCTGCTGGGTGCCCTATCTCAGAAACCAACACTGAGCTTCCAGTACAGCACCATTCCCCAGGGTGATGAACCAGCTGCCTGGTGGCAGGTTGATCACATTGCACCACTTCCATCATGCAAGGGGCAATGGTTTGTTCTCACTTCAATGGACAACTACTTAAGATATGGATTTGCCTTTCTTGCCTGTAATGCTTCTCCAAAACCACCATCCATGGACTTACAGAATGCCTTATTCCACACAGCATTGCTTCCATTAAGGAACCTACTTCATGTTGCCCCAATGAAATGTGGTAATAGGCCCAGGCTCATGGAATTCACTGGTCTTACTCTGTTTTCCACCATTCTGAAGCAACTGGTGGAGGGGCCTTTTAAAGACTTAGTTATAGTGTCAGTTAGGTGACTGGAGAAATTTCCTCCAGGATGCAATATATGCTCTAAATCAGTTGCTTCTTCCCAACCCAAGAATCTAGAAATCAAAGATTGGAAATGTCTTACTCTGACTTCTAATGATCCATGAGAAAAATCTGTGCCTTCTATTCCTGCAACTTTAGACTCTGCTTACCAGAGGACTTAATTACAAAATGAGGAAAGCTTCTATCAGAGGTTACAATTGCCTTGAGCTGGAAGTTGAGATTGTCACCTGGCTACCACAGGATCCTCAAGTCTTTGCCACCAGGCAAAGAAGCTATTACAATACTAGCTGTGATGACTGATCACAACAATTAAGGGGCAATTAGGTTGCTACTTCACAGTGCAGGTAGGGGTAGTTTGTCTGGAATGCAGGAGATTGCCTCAGGCACTGCTTAGTAATTTCAGATTCTGAGATTAAAGTCAACGGAAATTCAAAAACTTAAAGCAGGAATGCTAATGAACAGACCCTTCAGGATTGGAAATTTTGGTTACTCATCAGGTAAGGAACCATCAACAGCTGAGGTGCTTCCTGAAGGCAAAGGAAATGTAGAATAGGCAGTAGAAGAATTTAGTTAAAAATGCCAAGCTATGACTATGTAACCAGTTAGAGGTCTGAGTACTGCAATAGTTATGAGTATGTATTCCTTATTCTTATATTTTTATTTTCTTTCCCTTTCCCAGTCTTCTCCTTTCTAACATGTGTTAATAATAGTTAACTTTATCTCAGTATCTATGTCTTTGACTTACAAGACATCAAATGAAGAGTGTTAATCATCTGGAAGGAAGATAAACAATCTAAGAAAAAGGAGGGTCTTTACGGCTACTTTTGGGGAAATAATTACCTTGATTTTGTTGTGTGGCTCATGTTTGGTTGAAAGTAATGTTATGATGATTTATATTTGAAAGCTAAGTATGTTTTAAAGAGATATGTATGGATGACAAGTTGAGAAGGAATGAGCTGGGGTGGTTTTGCAATGTGTCAACTTTGCAAGGATGTACTGTTTCCCAAGATTCCCTTCCCTGTATAATTCCAGTTACGGAGAGCCACAAGACATATTTTCATGTAAGATTTGGAATGCAGAAGTGAAGCAGCAGCTAATTTGTATATATGCTTGAGAAGTTGGAGTAGACACCTTTTGTAGCTAACTCCTATTATTGCTGCTCATCAGCTGACTAACCTCACAGATGTGGGAAACACCTAGGCCTGCAACTGCTCCCTTTTCCCTTGAATCCTCTTTCAGCTTCTACTATCGAGCCAGTTGTGTGTTGATGTCCATGATTCAGGGTGTCAGCCTCTGTAGGACACACATTGCATTCAGGTGAAGGTAATGAGAACTATATGTCCTTACAGATTCCAACTTATCTTTATTCTTCCCCACTTTACAACTATCTTCCCATCATGATTTCCTGCCCTGTTCTGTTTAGGTTGCAGCATTAAACACAAAGACAATAGTCTCAAACTCCTACAATCGCATTAGATAAAGTTTCTGTTGTTCTGACTCTCTTTTTGAACCCTGGCTGACACTTGGGAATAAATTGAACAAAAAAGTTTCAAGACCTTCACACTGTAAGCTACAAAACATTGCAGAGAGGAATTAAAGAAGACCTAAATAAATAAATGGAGAGATATATACCATGTTCATGGATTGGAAGACCCAATACGGTGAAGATGTAAGTTTCTCGAAATTGATATAAGTTTCTCCAAATTGAAGATGTACATTTCTTCAATGTAATTCCAATAAAGACTCCAGTGTGCTTTTTTGTAAATATTTTAAAAGCTGATTAAAAAAATATATATTTATATATAAATATTAAAGTATATATAAATATATAAATATGTATAAATATATAATATACAAATGTATTTATTTTTATATAAATACATATTTATATATTATATATACTATAGATTATATATTTTATATAAATATATACTTATTTATATAAAATAAATAATCTATAATATATATATTAACATGCAATGGGCTGAAATAGATAAAACAATTTTGAAAAAGATGGCCAATGTTGGAGGACAGTTGGAGGACTTACCTTATTTGATTTTAAGGCTTTCTCTGAAGTTACAGTAATTGAGACATTTTGGTATTAGTGAAAAAATTAGCACACATACTAATGGAACAGAATAAATAGTGTGTCTGAAATGTAGATGATTTCCAATGGTACTTCTTATTACTTCCATGTTCTGTGAATAAACCTACATGTATGTTATCATTTGATTTTAAGCAAAGATGTCAAGGAAGTTCAATGGTAAGAAAGTAAATCTTTTTAACAGATGGTGTCAGAACAACTGGATATCTGTGTCAAAAAAAGAAAAGGAATCTCAACTCTTCATATCATAAACAAAAATTAACTGAAAATGGGTCATAGTAATAAATATAAAATTCAAAACTATAAAATTTCTAGAAGAAAACACATGGAAAAAAATCTTTGCAATCTTGAATTAAACAAAAATTTCTTAGGCAGATCACTGAAAGCATGAAAGACAAAATAAAAAATGGATAATTTAGACTATATCAAAAGTTAAAACTTTGCTCTTTGAAATACACCATTAAGAAAATGAAAAAGGGCCAGGTATAGTGGCTCACACCTGTAATCCTGGCACTTTGGGAGGCCAAGGTGAGAGGATCACTTGAGGCCAAGAGGATCACTTGAGACCAGCCTGGGCAACATAGCAAGACCCCGTCTCTACAGAACATTAAATAAAAATTATTTGGGCATAATGCCTGTAGCCCCAGCTACTCAGGAAGCTGAAACTACAAGAATTCAAGGTTACAGTGAGCTATGATCATATCACTGCACTCCAGCCTGGGAGGTGGAGCAAGATCATCCCATCTCTTTTAAAATAAAAGGAAAAAAATACAATGGAAAGGTAAATGACAGACTAGGAGAAAATGTTTACAATATATATATTAGACAAATAACTGATACCCAAAACATACAAAGAATTATTATAACTAAGAATAAAAGAAAAGCCCAATTAAATAAGACTTTCATGTTCAGTTCAAAAATGGATGATATGCACATTAAAAGATAGCCACCATCATTAATCATGAGGTAAAGGTAATTTAAAACAATATTGAAATACTGCTACAAACCCAATTGAATGACTAAAACTTAAAGACTGTTTCTATCAAGTGCTGGTAAAGATATGGACCAACTGGAAATCTCATGCACTGCTGGTGGGAATGTAAAATGAATTTGTCAGGAATGTAAAAATGTTTGGAAACAATTTGAAAGACTCTTAAAAAGTTACCAAACATCTCAGCCATTCCAGTTTTACGTAATCACCCAAGAAAAACATAAGCATGTGTCCACATAAAACCTTGTGCATAAATGCACATAGCAACTTTGTAATAGGCCAAACTGAAAACAACCCAGATGTCTATCAGCAGTTGGATAGCTAGCCAAATTATGGTATATCTGTACAATGGAATACAACTCAGAAATGAAAAGCAACAAACTATTAATGTATACAACTACATTGATGATTTTCTTTCTTTGTTATTTTTTGAGACAGGGTCTCACTTTGTCACCCAGGCTGGAGTGCAGTGGCATGACTGTAGCTCACTGAAGCCTTGAACTGGGCTCAAGTGATCCTCCTGCCTAGCCTCCTGAGAAGCTAGGGCTACAGATGCATGGCACCATACCGGCTAATTTTTAATTTATTTGTATAGACAGCATCTTGTTATGTTGTTTAGGTTGGTCTCAAGCTCCAGGCCTCAAGTGACCCTCTCGCCTCGGCCTTGCAAAATGCTGGGATTAAAGGATTTTCAAACTCATTATCTTAAGCAAAGGAAGCCAGTCCAAAAACTATTCTATTTAAACAAAATTCTAGGACATGCAAACTAATCTTTAGTAAGAGTAAACCGGTCACTGGTTTCCTGGGTAAGTGGTATAGAGAGGAATAAGTTGCAAAGAGACTTGAGGAAATTTTGTAGGTGATGAAAATGTTCATTATGTTGCTTGTAGTGATGATTTCAAGGGTGTATACATTCGTCAAAACTCACTAAATTGTGCATTTTAAATATGTGAAGTTTATTGCACTTCAATTTACCAAAATAAAGCTGTAAAAACAAAATAAAGCAAAACAAAAGCTTTATCTGAAGAAGTTAACACTGACCTAGCATAATTTCTGATGCTTGACAGGCATCCAATTATGGAGACAGAGAGGTGTGACCCAGGCCATTCTGGTCATGTTACTGTCCCTGCCACGGAGGTAGGCATGTAACCCAAGCCAAGCTGCTCTGTGTTCTTTCTCAAGGTTAAAATAGAGCTGGTGGAGAAGACTGTTTCTGCTGTTTGTGCCCTCAGGATATGAGCACAGGGCCACTGGAAGCCTTGTTTCCCTACTCTGTGGAGGATGTCTGTCTGCACTTAGAATAGAGCTGGTATGTAAAAGGAGTAAAGGAAGGGACAGAGGGAAGAAGGTGGGGAGGAAAGGAGAGGGGAAGAAAGGTGTTTGAAGAAGGAAGGAAGGGAGGAAAGGAGGGAGGAAAGAAGGAAGGAAAAATAGAGAGACGGAGGAAGGAGGAGCAACAGTTGAATGTTGTTGCCCTTGAGGCCAGTGTCACCTCTGCCCTTTCTGCAGTATAGAATATCTGAGCCAATAAACTTCCCTCTGGCTTGAGATGATTCACACTTCTCTCATTTCTAACAGAAAGAGTCTCATCTATTGCACGCAATATTATTTAGGGCCACTATTTTAGCTGAGGCTAGAGATGTGTATTATTCTCTTTACCTACTGTGTTCTTACAGCTTATAAAGCAGTTCTTTGTGGTCTAGATTTGGTACATAAAAGATGAGATCCATTAGGATGCATTTCTTTGAGGACTTTTCTCTCTTTTCTTACCTAGAGTATTTTTTTCTTAAAATTTCTTTGCCTTGTTGGATGTGGGTTGTATTTTCTACTGGCAGTTTCAGTCTCTGATGGGTAATAGGGATGGAAGTTTAAAATGAATGAGTTAGCTAGAGAGAGATGGTGGTAGTAAATCAGAATGTTTTCCTAATTCTTTCTTCGCAGCCATACTGTAGTGTGGGGTGTGACCCATGATTCTTTTTTTTGAGACTTATTAATGCAATAATAGTAAAATTTTGCCCTAGACCCTGGCCTATTGTGTGCCAGCCTTAGTTTACATTGTAGATATGTGCTTTTATGTATTTTTTGTATATTGTCTAGGGATATTAATGGAAATCTGGGAAAAGGTGAATCAAGTGGTGTTCAGATCCTTCCTTAAAAAGTGGGAAGCTTAACTTAGTCTTTTAACATATGAGCTATTCTCTGTTTCCCTCACGCTTGTAAGTCTGGACATATTTATAGACTTTTACTGGTGTTTCTCTGTTAGGGAAACCCAAAGGTGTGAACAGATAGCCAGCCCAGTATCCCCCGAGATAGAATATACTTGTTCTATTATCTTTACAAAGTTGGCCCTGCTTCCAACAGGTGAGGGCAGAGGGTACAGAAAGGACGACTATCTCAAGAGTCTCAGGAAAACAGAGGCCAATGGAAGTCATCCCCAATTTAAACTCAGAGGGTGCCTCCATGCAGAATCTCTTTCCTGGCTAGCGCCCTCCCATGACAGATGTTAGTTAGGGAGGCAAGTGATAATCGGAGAGGCTGAGAGGGTGTGAGAAAAGTCATGCAAGAGGTAACTTGCACCTGGATTATTTGTTTTGGGGGCTTAGCATATTTTTTTTGTTCAGGATTTCCCAGCTTTATAATTTGATCCTACCTACAAGAGAGTATTTTTATCTGAATTTAGAATTATTAAAAGAACATCGCCTAAGTTCTATTATGTATTATACTTGCCCAAAAGGAGCAAATAGATTTAGTGAGAAGCAAAAAAACCCTACAGATTGTGCTTACAGAACTCAGCTGGGCACAGCACACGGGGAAACCTGACTCTAAAAAACCTACCTGCTGACCCCGCCACCCACAGGGCTCCGAGAATTGCATTTGAATTTCACCCATCTTCTTAAAACTCATGAAGAAGGAAATTATATACAGTGTGTAATCAGAATATTTGTTACAAATACTAAAATATTTCTTTCATTATGATGTCATGAAGTCTGTTTTTCACAATGGACATTTAGTTAATTACCCTGATGCTGGATGCTAGCTAGCTTTGTCTTGATAGCATTAGAGATCTCTTGCAAATTTATGCTCAGAGAACTTATCTTTGAAAAATGAATTTCTAAATGAACAATATTTTTACCTGTTAAATTTAGGATATGAAAGAATACACAGCAAACTTTTCTTCTATGTTAATCCTCCTATTTTCATATGCTTTCAACTAGACTGGGAGAATACGACATACACTTAATAATAATCTATGTATAACTTTTTAAAATTTTAAACTGGTGTGCATAAAATACATTAAACAGCAATTAAATTCAGGTCAGCATGCTGGAAACCTTCTTCACAGACTCTAAAATAGTTATAGGTACATTTACTAGGGAATTTTCAATATAAATTTTAATTGGTTTAGTAATGTTTCTAGTCACTATTTATTATGTGATTTAAAAATCATGCTGTACCTTGCTGATGTTTTTACAAAGCTATTGCTAATATGATTTATTTATAAAAGAAAGTGAGAAAACTATACTACTAATCCTCATGATCCAGTCATAAATCTTTACCATTTTGCAATAAAACACATTTCCAATAATGCTGATACACTTTCTATTGCATTGGGTTCTCTTGGGCTTTAGCCCTGCATGTCTTTAAGATTGTGATATATGTCCCTAAATGAACCAGATGTTCTTCAGACTCTAAAATGAAAGATCTCATTAAAATGTGTGTTTATGTGTGTTTGCACTTGTGTGTGTGTGTTCTGATCTTGAGGTATTTATTTTTTCAAACATTTTAAATGCCAATGACTTTCAATTATTTATTTACTTATTTATTTAATCAACAGAGTTTGCTGAAGAGAGAGTAACTGGACACAATGACTGAGAAAATTTGACTATGTTTGGGGACTAGTCCAAAAAGGTTGTATATATGGTACTTCCTCTCAGACTTGTCCTCACATTCTTTCAAACATTCAACAACATGTATTACGGACTCTCTTGAATCTGTTTGCCAAAACTTGTAAAAATGATGCAAAGATATTCTCTGTCCTCCTAGTTAAGAAGTTCATTATGTGGGGAAAACATAACAGCATATTGGAAGAAAGCATACATTCACATGAAAAAGAATTCAAGTGGATTTACTAAGACTATTTTTACCTAAAATTATTTTTACATAGAAATATACATTCATAGAATTTCTGCATTACTCATTGTTGGTCCTAGCTTCTTGTAGAGATTTGAGGCATATGCAGATGCTTATAACAATGAACCATAGCTTGGACTAAAAATATGTTCGTATATACTCATTTCCTTCATAGGGTGCATGTCATTTAAGTACTAGAAAATGCAAAACCAGGTCAGGCAGGTAAGGAGGGAACACAGAACCTTAAGGGTCATAGAAAGGGAGGGTTATAAGCACAAGAGCAACATGATCCTGACCATGACCTGACCCTGCATTTTAACAGAGTCGCTCTGAATTAGGTCCCCCCATTCTTCTTCTTAGTCACTTTGGGCTGCCATAACAAAAATACCATAGACTCAGTGGCTTAAAAAAAAATTTATTTCTTACAGATCTGGAGGCTGGAAGTCTGAGATCAGGGTGCCAGAACTGTCAGACACCTTGATACTAGAGAAAGCTCTAGTATCATTCTCTTATAAGGACACTAATGGCCAGGTGTGGTGGCTCACACCTGCAACCTTAGCACTTGGAGAGGCCAAGGAGAGAGGATCTTTTCAGGCCACGAGTTCAAGACCATCCTGGTAACATAGCAAGGCTCTACCTCTACAAAGAATTAGCCAGGTGTGGTGGCACACACCTGCAGTCCTAGCTACTCAGGAGGCTGAGGTGGGAAAATTGCTCAAGCCCAGGAGTTCAAGGCTGCAATGAGCTGTGATTGAGCTACTGTACTCCAGCATAGGCAACAAGAATGAGACCCAGTCTCCCAAAAAAAAAAAAACAAAAAAAAGCTTTAATGACCTCCTTATGGGGCTCTATCCTTGGGACCTCATCTAAACCTAATTACCTTCCAAATGCCCTATCTCCTTTTACCATCCCATTGAGGGTTAGAATATCAACATGCAAATTTGGGGGAATACAAATATTCAATTCATAATTCCCTCTTTTAAAATTAAGGAATATTGCTATTTCAAAGTTCCTTTTGTGGAAAACACTGTTGTCACCTTCTAGCACATATGAACACATTAAATGATTTAACTTTTCCTGTCCCTCGCACATCAGTGAGTGTATTGTAACTGCATCAGACTAATCTGGTTCACTTTTTTTTTGTGTGTATGGGGGGATAGGGTGTCACTTCATCCCCCAGGCTGGAGTGCAGTGGTATGATCTTGGCTCACTGCAACCTTCACCTCCCAGGCTCAAGCAATTCTCATACCTCAACCTCCAGAGTAGCTGGGATTGCAGGCATGTGCCACCGCACCTGGCTAATTTTTGTATTTTTAGTAGAGACAGGGTTTCATCATGTTGCCCAGGCTTGTCTCAATCTCCTGGCCTCAAGTGATCCACACACCTCATGCTCCCAAAGTGCTGGGATTACAGGCATGAGCCACTGCGCCCGGTGTTTGTTCAACTTTTACATAACAAAGTTGTGAATTGTTTTTCAGTTGCCATAAACTCCTGGGTTGAAGGTCACATAATCTGAGCATGCCCAGATGAACCAAGTGTGCAACCATAGCAGGAACCTAAGTGCTCAGGCTGAGGAGCAGGGACTGAATTAAGAAGTAAACAGCACATGGCAGGATCCAGTATCTAATCAGTTCAAGCCTTGGCATCACCCCTGGGCAGAATCTAAAGGATGCTGGTATGATCCTCCTAGCATTACTTCATTGCAAGAGCCAATAAGATCATTTATCATAATACTACGCTTATAAAACCCTACCCAAAGCCCAGCCTAGGGAGACAGATTCGACCATTGCCTCCTCTCTCCTTGTGAGTCAGTTCACAATAAAGCTTTTCTTTTCTCAACAGCTGGTCACGTGGTACTGGCCTCCATGCACATCGGGCAGTGAGTATATTGATTGCTCTGTAACAGTATCAATACTTTATCACTGGAGTAATATTCAGGATCATGAATTTATCTGATATACAGAGTTTTTTCTCAATGAATATTTTAGTATTTATCTATGGTACTGGAATGTCAGATTCAAAGTTTAGCTCTCAAGATTCCCTGATATGGTTGTTCAAAATCATTTTTTTAAAAATTAAGCAAATAAAACATTTCAGTTTGGTATCATGCATTATATTTTTGTGACATTCTGCGTATGCTCAATGAAATAAAATTGCAATTTATCTCTAGTCACAAGTTGTCTTTATGAGACATTCTAGCACATGTGACATTACTACTGAATCAGAGTCATCAGAATTTGGTTTCAATAAAAGTGAGTTTCTGGTCCTTCATGGTATAGATTAGAAAATAGGAAACCTGAAGTTGGAAACAGAATAAGGAATGACAGAGAAGAAGTGGGGGTTTTCAAAACAAAAAGGGAGAAAAAGTAAGGAAAGATATAAAGAGCATTCACCTCCTCTTTGAAATTCCCTCCATTCTCTTTGTCCTGTTATTTTTGTGGATTCTTTCTCCCTGGCCTGACTTTTTTTTTTAAATAGCTTTATTGAGAAATAATTCACACACCATACAATTCACTTGCTTAAATTGTATAATTCACTGGCTTTTGATACAGTCACAGAGTTGTGTTGCCTGATTCTAAGCACTACCTGAGCCTACCCAAATTCACCATTCCTTCTTTCTACCCATCCCTGTCCTCAATTCAACCTTTCCAAACCTGTGCCAACTCTATTCCTTCTTTCATAAGTAGATCAGATGATGGCATTGTCCATACTGTTCAATTTAGCTAGCAAGCCCAGGTTAAATAAATGCCATGTTTCTCTTCTCACCCAGTGTGACAAATCTAGTAGATGCTACCTTTGAAATGTCTTTCTAATCTTTTCCCACCCAACCTCACCCATTTCCAAGCTTTGTTTCAGGCCTCCTGAGTTCTCAGTTGGATTGTCAGAAAGGTCTCTCAAATGATTTCCTGCCAGCTGACCCTTCCTCATTTTCAACTACTCTTCTCCTGGCCCCACCAAATCCAAGTCTGGTCTTCTCTCTTCCTAAACCTTTGCCATCTTCCAGTGACTGCAAGGTAAATCAGATTCTTGGGCTGATTATCCAGATCCTTCTCCATCTGGCTCCAATCTGCATTTTCTATCTCATTTCCTACCACTTTCCTTGTCACACGTGCTAAAAATTCCAGCCATTCTGTTCTGAAACAGTAGATCTCAGTGTATTTCTTCATGTGGGAACATAATTTTCTTTGTACCAAGATTATCCCTTTTCTCTCTTCTCTGCCTGGGGAATTTTTCCACATCTTTCAAATACCAAAGATGATATCAGCTTGGTGAAACCTTTCCTGAATGCCAAAGATCTTGTTTCCAGATCTTTTAAGCTGCCACTGTACTATGTACAAACTTCTGTTTCTATATGGACATAATAGTGCAATAATTTGTTCCATATATATTTCAATTTCTGGGGAAAGTTCTTCAAGACCAGGGACTTTCCCGTGTAACTCAGTGCCTGTGTCATTCTCAATTCATAGTGGGAGTCAGATATAATTGCTGAGGATGAAAGCCAGAATCCTATCCAAGTACATCCTCACTACAGGCAACATCACATTTATTAGCAACTGGCTGAGTAACCTCTTTGGGACTGATCTGCTTTGGGATTTTCAACTCTGTGTTGGTTTCTCTTCTTTCCCATTTCAGTATTTAAAAATAGTCCTCCCAGTAAGCAGAAAGCAAGGCATCTGGTCTCTTCTAGACTAAGGCAATTTAGACCTAGCTGGGTAGGGAATAAGAACTGTGCGACTTCTTTGGGCCCTAAGTCCCATAGAGCCCAGCTATAGGTTCAGCCAGAGAGGTCAGTGACAAGGAAGGAGCGGGGAAAAGGAAAAGTTGGAAAAGAAGACTAAATGCAACAGAACTTTTAGTAAATTTATTGAAGGTTTGGAAAGAGGAGAGATGAAGAGAGGGAACAGTGATACACTGTGAATGTGACATTCAATTTTGAGCATAATTATATTTTTTAAAAAAACTATTTCTCAGTAAATGCTTATAATATACCAACCAGATGGTATTTTTTGCTTTTTAAGATTTTTAACCTTTAAATTTATGCTGGATTGATGAGGAGTTATTTGAATTTTAATAATCCAGATTTACAACAGAAAATTATTGTCAATATAGGTTGGGGTACCTGCCTACTCACGTACATTTCTGGGGGAGTGTCCCTTCCCCTCACACAATCCCTTCCAACCCAGGTGGTGTGTTTTCAACCACATGACCCTGCCTTAATTGTTTTCCCACATTTCATTGGATGGAAATTCAGAAGAACCCCAAGTTCAGCCAATCCATAATCATTGTCTATAGCTCTGGTTTAAAATAATAATAAAAAAGAAAGTTGGAGCAATCAGACTTTGAGTCTATTTTATTGTTTCCTTTTCAAGTAACCAATTTTTGGCCATACTGATTTCAATTATGATATAGTTTCTCTAATTTCTGCTCTTTTAAAAAGTCATCTCATTACTTTCATTTTCTTTGGATCAATTCTTTTTGTTTTTCTCTACGGTCTTAACCTTGACAATGAGCTCATTAAATTTTAACCTTTCTTCTTTTTTAAGAGTTTAAAGCTATTTATTTCTCTAAGTGCTGTTGAACTATATTCTACAAGTTTCATTATATATAATTTTCATTCAGTTCTAGGTATTTTCTAATTCTCCTTACTATATATTCTTTAATAAATTTATTATCTAAAAGTATAATTTAAATGTTCCAAGCATATTTCTAATGTGTTTTTTAATTATTCCTTGATTTTGTTATAGACACCACTATAACCCATATGATATTGGATGTGGTCAAACATTTATGAATATTTATGAATCTCCATGTATGTGTGTTTAAGAAGGATATATATATTCTCGAAAAGTTGGGTAAATCTTTCTTTTGTTATTTTTATTTTTATTTTTTGAGACGGAGTCTCGCTTTGTTGCCCAGGCTGGAGTGCAGTGGCACAATCTCGGCTCACTGCAAGCTCTGCCTCCTGGGTTCATGCCATTCTCCTGCCTCAACCTCCAGAGTAGCTGGGACTACAGGTGCCCGCAACCACTCCCAGGTAATTTTTTTGTATTTTTAGTAGAGACGGGGTTTCACCATGTTAGCCAGGATGATCTCCTGACCTCATGATCCGCCCGCCTCGGCCTCCCAAAGTGCTGGGATTACAGGCGTAAGCCACCGCGCCCGGCAGCTTTCTAATTATATCTATTAAATAAAACATTTTTTCTAGCTTGTAAACTATTGGAGAATGTTTATTCTTCTAAGTTGTGAGAGTCGTGTCACCTGTAAATTCTTTTCACTTCTCATAGTTGTGTTTCTCTATGTGTTTTCCTGGAGTAACTAAATCAGAATACCCAGGGTGCTTCATAAATAGGCAAATAGATGGGAACTCCCCTCCCGCCCCCTAGAGATTCTGATTTGATAGGTCTAAGGTTCTAGGACCAGGAATCTGCATTTTAAGACAATTTATAAAGTTCGAGAATCAATGTTATAAACTAGTCCCCTGGAAGAGATTATGTAATATTGTTAAACCCTAATGTTTTCCTTGTTTAATCAGAAAATCTTTTTTGTTTATCAAGTCAGTAAGATTTTGTTCCTCAAAGAATACTTGCTTAGATATATTAAAGATGTTTAAAGACAGTGATAATTATCAAATGAACCAGGAGAATGTAATTTCCTGTGGCATATAACAGGGTCAGAATCTTTTTTCTTCTTTTTTATACTCTAAGTTCTAGAGTACATGTCCACAACATGCAGGTTTGTTACATATGTATACATGTGCCATGTTGGTGTACTGCACCCATTAACTCATCATTTACATTAGGTATATCCTAATGCTATCCCTCCCCCTTGCCCCCACCCCACGACAGGCCCTGGTGTGTGATGTTCCCCTTCCTGCGTCCAAGTGTTCTCATTGTTCAATTCCCACCTATGAGTGAGAACATGCGGTGTTTGGTTTTTTTGTCCTTGCAATAGTTTGCTCAGAATGATGGTTTCCAGCTTCATCCATGTCCCTACAAAGGACATGAACTCATCCTTTTCAATGGCTGCATAGTATTCCATGATGTATATGTGCCACATTTTCTTAATCCAGTCTATCACTGATGGACATGTGGGTTGGTTCCAAGTCTTTGCTATTGTGAATAGTGCCACAATAAACATACATGTGCATGTGTCTTTATAGCAGCATGATTTATAATCCTTTGGTATATACCCAGTAATGGGATGGCTGGGTCAAATGGTATTTCTAGTTCTAGATCCTTGAGGAATCACCACACTGACTTCCACAATGGTTGAACTAGTTTACAGTCCCACCAACAGTGTAAAAGTGTTCCTATTTCTCCACATCCTCTCCAGCACCTGTTCTTTCCTGACTTTTTAATAATCGCCATTCTAACTGGCGTGAGATGGTATCTCATTGTGGTTTTGATTTGCATTTCTCTAATGACCAGTGATGATGAGCATTTTTTTGTGTGTCTGTTGGCTGCATAAATGTCTTCTTTTGAGAAGTGTCTGTTCATGTCCTTCGCCCACTTTGGGATGGGGTTGTTTGTTTTTATCTTGTACATTTGTTTAAGTTCTTTGTAGATTCTGGATATTAGCCCTTTGTCAGATGAGTAGATCGCAAACATTTTCTCCCATTCTGTAAGTTGCCTATTCACTCTGATGATAGTTTCTTTTGCTGTGCAGAAGCTCTTTAGTTTAATTAGATCCCATTTGTCAATTTTGGCTTTTGTTGCCATTGCTTTTGGTGTTTTAGTCATGAAGTCCTTGCCCATGCCTATCTCCTGAACGGTATTGCCTAGGTTTTCTTCTAGGGTTTTTATGGTTTTAGGTCTAACATTTGAGTCTTTAATCCATCTTGAATTAATTTTTGTATAAGGTGTAAGGAAGGGATCCAGTTTCAGCTTTCTACATATGGCTAGCCAGTTTTCCCAGCACCATTTATTAAATAGGGAATCCTTTCCCCATTTCTTGTTTTTGTCAGGTTTGTCAAAGATCAGATATTTGAAGATATGTGGCATTATTTCTGAGGGCTCTGTTCTGTTCCATTGGTCTATATCTCTGTTTTGGTAGCAGTACCATGCTGTTTTGGTTACTGTAGCCTTGTAGTATAGTTTGAAGTCAGGTAGCTTGATGCCTCCAGCTTTGTTCTTTTGGCTTAGGATTGTCTTGGCAATGTGGGCTCTTTTTTGGTTCCATATAAACTTTAAAGTAGTTTTTTCCAATTCTGTGAAGAAAGTCATTGGTAGCTTGATGAGGATGGCACTGAATCTATAAATTACCTTGGGCAGTATGGCCATTTTCACGATATTGATTCTTCCTATCCATGAGCATGGAATGTTCTTCCATTTGTTTATGTCCTCTTTTATTTCACTGAGCAGTGGTTTGTGGTTCTCCTTGAAGAGGTCCTTCACATCCCTTGTAAGTTGGATTCCTAGGTATTTTATTCTCTTTGAAGCAATTGTGAATGGGAGTTCACTAAGTGAAGGAGAAATAAAATCCTTTGTAGACAAGCAAATGCAGAGAGATTTTGTCACCACCAGGCCTGCCCTACCAGAGCTCCTGAAGGAAGCACTAAACATGGACAGGAACAACCAGTACCAGCCACTGCAATAACATGCCAAAGTGTAAAGACCATCAATGCTAGGAATAAACTGCATCAACTAATGAGCAAAATAACCAGCTAACATCATAATGACAGGATCAAATTCACACATAACAATATTAACCTTAAATGTAAATTGGCTAAATGCTCCAATTAAAAGACACAAACAGGGTCAGAATCTTAACCCTTTCAGTATGATTTAGGAGTTATTTCTTTTAGTTCAATGTAATTTTTTCTTTCTAACTGAAAGTGTCTTATTTTAATATAGTGACAAAAATGCTGATTTAAAAATTTATAATAATTCATTTGAATTCAAATTAATTTTACTCTAGATCATGGCATTTGGTATTATAATATTCTTTAATAATTTTGTATCCATTGGTCTTATCTCCTTAAATAAAATGTATATTCTTTGAGATTAAGAGCTAACTTTTATGCATATTGATATATTTATTTCATCATCTAGTATGATGTGAGCAGGTATTAGAGGTAGTGAATAATGTTTTTATTTTTATTATTTTATTTTTTTGAAACAGGGTCTTGCTCTGTCACCCATGCTAGATCACAGCTTGCTGCAGCCTCAACCACTCAGGTTCAAGCGATCCTCTCACTCCAGTCCTTTGAGTAGCTGCTACAGGTGTGCACCACCACAGCCAGCTAATTTTTGTATTTTTCTGTACATACGGGGTCTCACTATTTTGCCAAGGCTGGACTGGAACTCCTGGGCTCAAGCAATCTCACCGCCTCGGCCTCCCAAAGTGCTGGGATTACAGGTGTGGGCTGCCACACCTGGTCTTGAATAATGTTTTAAAATGGATAGTTTTCAAAAGTTATGTGTTTTTTCTTTGTATGTATTTTTACATATTTTTTCAGGTAAATTAATTTCAAGGTCTTGAAAAATAGTATCTACTTCAAAAGTAATAGGTAAGCTTTTTTTATATCAAAAATAAGTAATAATATATTTTATTATATAACATATAGATAAAGCATTCCAGAAATCATAGCAGACAACAATAGCTAAATAAAATGTCTACGTGAATAACCTTCCATACTTTAGAGAGGAGGATTCAAAGTTAATACGATTTTAAATGAGTATGGCTGTTCAAGAACTGTATTTTCTAGGCAACAAACAATATATGATGCAGCATTTTATGACAATCACTTAAATATATCAGTGCAAAAAAAAAATCATGCCAGAAAACAATACATAGAATCAAAGAAAGAGTTCTCCCACTCTAGGATGAATAATGGTGCTAAGTAAAAATAGATGTCTAGATTCCTATTCAAATGAAATAAAAACAAAGTGAGATATCCACAAATAAGTTAATAAAATGTGTATATAACAGTTTAGTGTTGTGATGTTTCTTTATTACAAATAAGTTCTTCAAGAATTATTCATTAGCTTTTTTCTTTTTCTTTTTTCTTTTTTTTTTTTTTGAGACGGAGTCTCGCTCTGTGGCCCAGGCTGGAGTGCAGTGGCGCAATCTTGGCTCACTGCAAGCTCCGCCTCCCGGGTTCACGCCATTCTCCTGCCTCAGCCTCCCGAGTAGCTGGGACTACAGGCGCCCGTCATCACGCCTGGCTAATTTTTTTGTATTTTTAGTAGAGACGGGGTTTCACCGTGTTAGCCAGGATGGTCTCGATCTCCTGACCTCGTGATCCGCCCGCCTCGGCCTCCCAAAGTGCTGGGATTACATAGCTTTTTTATTTTTCAAATACTCTTTTAAAATATTTTTTCTACATTTCATTTATAAGGCAACTTAATTATTTTTATAATTGAGAATAAGCTCTAAAATACTACCACTTGGTGTACATTCATTTTTATTACAAATGATTAATAAATACACCTTTGTTAATATAGCTATTGAGAAATAAACTGCTTATGTTTTGGATTCATTATTATAACACAAACAGAACTCCAGATGAGAGATTATGTGTCAATAGGGAAACAGTAGTTGGAAGTAGTAATGGAGAGAGTCTGGTGGTATTTTGTTTTGCCTTTTCTTACTTTTAGTAACTACTCAGAGTTCCATTTAATGCTTAATTTTCCTTTTTTTCTTGATTTTCCTTTAGGTATGCATTTTTAAATTTGTATTTTCACAATCTCCATTGCTGCAGCATTAGTTTTCATTCTGTGAGATAATTGAAAGAAAAATACAGTAAATGCATTGACACACTGTAATAATAATAACATTTGTAACTACTTTACTGTACAAAGTGCTTCTTCTTTTTAATTCATTTGGTCATAATAACAGATCTGTGAACACTAACTTTCATTTATTTTTGAGCAATGATTCAGAGAGATTTAATAGTTCAGACTGGCTTGCTTGATAGCAAAAGGATCTTCATGTTCCAAGATTTTTGTCCACATAGTAATACAAGCACATCAAATACGGACCAGAAAAATACATTTCATAGAACAAATGCTAATAAGAATACAAAAGCAAGTAAAAGACGAAACTAAATTAATTCCACTTGTGGAACAAGAAAGACGTGCATTTGGAGGTCTGGAAATTGGTCTCACCAAACAATGTGTGAGCAGATCTTATATCTATCACGTTGGTTAAATGAACAGAGTTTTGATATGTTCTAAAGCAAGTGGAAAGATTGTGACTAGCTCTATCAGAGGAGAAAAAGCATTCTGTGGCTCCCACACTGAAGCGGGCTGCATCACCATGCTCAGCATTCTGATCCATCCAAGAGTACAGCTCGTTTATTCTGATCTGATAGTCACTGATAGGGCTTTAAACACGAAGTCCTTAAGGCCTATTATTTTAAAATACAAGGCTTTTCAATACCAGGTCCTTGATGCTGATATGATTGAGCAGAGCGAGGTTTATGAGTGTGCTAACCTTGAAACTTATTAACCTCAGCAGCTTTTACAGATTTGCATAGCAAACTCATGTGCCAATACAATCTTTGCTTTAAGTGCAGTAAGTTTATCAGGATATTAAGAAACCACCGAGTACACTATTAAAGAATCAACATCTAATAATAACAACTCAGAAAACCAGGTTACATTTTGTTTCTCAGTTTGTAAATGAGAAGAATAGATTATGCCCAGTTGCATGCTTGAATCTACTGTTATCCTTTGATTTTACCTAGCAATATTGGACCTGCATAGCAATGGAGTTGCAATAAGCTATTTGGAGAACACTCTAAATTGTGTCTAAATTGTGAACATAGTGAAATCCATATCTAATCAACCCACTTGGAAATTATTCACCATTTCCCTGTTTCCTAGAGACAGTTCTGAAATGGGACACTTTAAAAGCACTCTTCTCATAGCTATAGCTGAACTTTAGCTACAGATAGGTGAACCAAAGAAGCTCCAGAATTAAATGGTGCTGCACAATGTAGCCTGGGAAGGACTAAGCTTGTAAGTTCAAGCTGACATCTGCAGAACATGTTTACACTTTTCCTGTCATAACATGGCACTAAGGACACATTCTTATATTATAAGCCCCTTTATGTAAATGCTTCTTTAGGTTGAAAGATGTCATTTGGCTAAATATTGGTCACACTTGGCATCCATTTTGAAAATCGCATCATCTTTAAATGCATCAAATTCAGTATCTGAGAAAAGTAACTGTGGAAAAGAATTTAAAACTTCATTCTCACCACAAAATGCAGTTTGTAATGGGAAGTTTCATGACTAACTTTACTTTGTCATTATCTACATTAAGTGGGTTTGGAAATGTTATGCAGACATGAAAATAGAGATTAAGCTTTAAGAATGTCTTATAACTAAGAAACTTCTTTCTCTTTATGTAGAAGTATTGAATTGAAAATCAGTGCAATAACAATCATATAAATGAGTTGTGCATTGCAATATGATACTTCAACTTTATCCAAGAGTATACTTTTAAACTTAATGATGCTTCATAGACCACTAAAAATATTTTCATAAGTGGATTCTTTTTAGCTAAGAATGTACAATAACATTTCTACTCTGAAATCCCTTGAATTTTTTTTTCTGTTATTTGAGTGTAATTTAAGACCTCTCAACGGATTTTCCTTTTCTACTAAACCACTGAAATGAAAACAGAAGAGGATAATTTGCTTAACCTACCAACATTTCTAGTGAATGGCAATTATTAGCCTAATTAAACAAATTGACATAAACTTGGTAAGCAAGCATATTAATTTATTACCTATTTTATCCAGTTAAGAAATTCAGATAATTTTTTACATGGCATGACTTGGAGACAAGATAATTTATCACTTCTGTAAGGCAAAATTCATGAATTTGATTGAAATGAGATATTAAAGACTTCAGCTTAGAGTAAGAATGTTGTGATTTGAAAATTTTCCAAGTTCAACTATGCCTGACTCGCTTGCTTAGGGTGAGGAAGCTATTACTAGACGCATTCCTAAGGATGTAGGGTAGAGGATACTCCCTCAGAACTTTCCAAGTCCTAAATTACAAGTCCAAGTGGGGTTTGGCCAGGGATAGGTGTGTGCATGGAGTGGGGTGGGATGTGTGTTGGGGGGTTATTCTGAGTGCAGAGCAACTACCAGCTGTGTTTGGCGAGAAGATTGAGTTCGTCTCTCCTACATTTAGCTGAAAGCAAGTTCCTGGTACCGTTATCAGAATCAGCTTAGGCAGCAGCCTTGTTTTCTGGAAAGTGTATGGGAGCAGTTCTCTCCCTGTCCATGAGGTGGGTGCCATGAGGTGGGTGCAGCATAGCCAATGTGTTTTCTCTTGGCTGTGGCGAAAGGAAGCTTGGGAAACCCCTCTAGGGTTTATAATATAATTATAATATATAATAATAAAAAAATTTAAAAATCTTCTAGACACTGAGTAAAAATAATAATGACTAAACAATTTAATAACTAAATAATTAGGCTGACGGTGGACACTCACACCTGTAATCCCAGCACTTTGAGAGGCCAAGGCAGGAGGATCACCTGAGCCCAGGAGTTCAAGACCAGCCTGGGCAACATAGCGAGATGCCATCTCTACAAATAATAATAGTAATAATAAAACATTAGCCAGGTGTGATGGCACATGCCTATAGTCCCAGCTCTTCGGGGGCTGAGGCAGGAGGATGGCTTGACCCCAGGATATTGAGGCTGCAGTGAGCTATGATATAATAGTGCCACTGCACTCCAGCCTAGGTGACAGAGTGAGTCCTTGTCTCAAAATAAATAATAAATAAATAAAATTCAATAAAAACAAAATAATTTAGACATCCGGTGAGTTAGTCAGAAGAGGAACCAAAGAACAAGAGGAAAGAAAAGATAGAGGATAGGGAAATAGAGAAGAAAACCACGAATTGCAGTTTCAGCATGTGCTCCTTATAAACTAAGATTTGACTCTAAATGAAAATTTCATGTTAAGTGAAGAAGTAAGAGGAAGGAGAGATTCGGAGAACCTGCGAAAATGGTTTGAATAAAATATCACATTTATGTCCCATCATGTCCTTGTCCTTCCAATATGTCTCTTAAATTCAAATGGAATTGAACATTTCCTCAATTATTTTTTTTTTCCAGAATTAAGTACTTTTAAAATGGTGGAATAAAAAGTTCCTAAGGTTTTGAGTTCATCACTTGAAAATCTAAGAACATGCTTCTTTTTGTCTTGTTTTCCTTTGTTTTTAGATTTCCCCACAGACAGTTCCATTTATGAGTTGGGATTATACACAAAGAAGTGCAAAATGTTATAGTAAGAGTTCTTCCAGTAATCTTTACAGCTCAGTGGGAAATAGGGAATTGTAGAAACTGATGAGGAGAAAAGTGCAGATTTAAGCTCTCTCCAGTAAGTTGGCTACACTTTTATAGACCAAGTTTTGAAGAGACGTTTAGAGAAAGCAGCCCAGTATAGGACCAGTCTAGGAATTTTTCATAGTTCCCATATAGATGGAAAGCCTGGATGAACTGTAGTTTACTGTCTTGCCTGTGTCAAAAATTGAATCCACAAACAAGCAGGTATTTCTGACCTACTAGAAGGTGTTATGAACTTGAAGTGGACCCTGCCTTAGCCAAAGTGGCTATCATACGTCCAGCACTTACACTTCTAGAGGAAATTCACTACCACCAGAACTCACCCTGGTCGCTACTGGGAAAAGGGCTCACCTGGGTTGACTAAGAAATTCAACAAGCAGGGCCACTGGAAATTACTAAAAGCTGAGCTGTGGGATTGGTGGTGATTGTAGGGGTGTGAGAAGAGAGTCAGGCCCATCCTGTGGCAGTGAGAGGTGATGAGAAGTGAAGCTAGGATTGCAGCTGAGCAAGGTAGAGGGACACCACAAGTGAACAGAACATGTAGAATATCTCTGTGCTTTTGTGATGAAAGGCAGAAGCTTTGACACGTTTCCATCTGGGCCAGTGGTCCAGATGAAAGTATTTGACATAGAGGGTGTTTTGGGAAAGCATATTGTGCCACGCACCAGGATCAGTCCCATGATCTGAGCCAGAGACTGTGATGAGCAGGGTTGTTTTCCTTTTGAGGCACAGATCTTTTGAAAAGTCTAATGAAAGCCACAAACCCTCTCTCAAGAAAAATGTACATGCATGCAACCAACTTCAAAGGATTCACATGTTGCTTGATTTCTAACCCTGCCTCCAGGTAAGACACAGCTTCTGTGAGAGCTGGGCGGTTCTGCAGAGGTTGGCTAGTTTATTTTATGGGAGAGGAAACAGAGCCCATGCAAACTGGTGCAGCAGAATCATGACAGGAAGGTGGGGGAAATGCTAGTGTAGAAGCTGCACTTGACCCTTACCAAGGAGGTAATGGGGATGCCTTTTCACGCTTGTTTGAGTGGGGAGAAACATGATAAAAGCACTTTCTGGAGAGCCTTCACAAGAGCAGGATTTGGAGTCCACATTATGCATCTTCCCCTCATTTCCTTAGATGGTTCCTGACTTCACAGACCCCTAGTTGTAAGGCCCAGGGCTTGTGATGGGAAATTGGCAGCACGTGCTGGCTTACTCAACCTCTCTGCCTCACTATGGTGGATCTTACCAATCCATTGTGATCCATGGCTCACCATCCTGACCAACTAGTGCTCCAGGAAGACTTCCACAGAAATTGCATTTATCATGCAGGATGAAACCATCTTGCCTTCCTTGGATTATACAATGAAAATGGGACCGTCACAGACCCTCAACTCTTTATATAGGACACTCTTGACTATAGCCTTCCCAAGGACACTATGAGGGGGTGAATCCATCCTAATGTATCCTTCCCTCTGGAAAAACATCACTTTGTCTCTGTGTATCTTAATCATTCCATCTCTAGAAATATGCAATGACCTATCTGATGATTTTGGAAGGAGAGTCTGAGCACATTAGCCCAGATACTTCCATTTAAGATGAGTTACTTATAAGGAATAAGCATTCCCAGGACTTCCCATACAGGCACAGACTTTGTGAGGGAGAGAAGAATAGGAAGGCCAGGTCTTCTCTGTTCCCAACCTGTGCCTTGTCACCAGCTGCCCTGGATGACATCTTAGGCTCAGTATTAAGAAGCACATTTGCCTGAGGATATGAGCCACATGATAACACTTGTGCCTTAGTCTTCATCTCCCTAATTTCATTGTCTTAATTCTCAATTGTTCAGATCCTCAGTAGAGATCACAGTGGTGATGGTTACTGTGCTACCTAAAATCCCAACAGATAGGCGAGTATGAACTATAGAGAACAACACAGAGCATTCAGGGTAGCTGTTCTGTTCCACCAATAAGTATAATTTAACTGAATTTTCCAGAATCCTAGAGCTGGACAGGCCCTTCTTGGTAACAGACTGTTATATTCAGGCAATAGACCATTGATGACAGCTTTTTCTGGGCAGAGATAACAAATTGTCACGATAGTCTCAAGGTTCTCTAGCCTTATCCTATTTTCCCCTTCCCAAAGTGCCAATCAATCCCAGAATAGTTACTTACTATACACTCAGAATGAGGACTCATAAATTTGATGAAAATGAAAATTACACATTTAAGTTGTCAACATATCAAATCTATTTATTCATTAGTTTAATGAACAAATTCAAATATTCTTTAGTAATTTCAGAAATACATGAATTATAATATTTAAAAAGCACACATTTATTTTTATTTCTTAGGGAAGGCTGCTGAAGACCACCTTACTGTATTTACCACCTCCAAAATAAATAGGTTTAGGTGAGCAAATTATACATATATATATATATTTTTTCACATAATGACATTCTTTTTCTTTTTATTGAGATGGAGTCTCACTCTTGTTGCCCAGGCTGGAGTGCAATGGTGCAATCTTAGTTCACTGCAACCTCTGCCTCGTGGTTTCAAGTGATTCTCCTGCCTCAGCCTCCCGACTAGCTGGGATTACAGGCGACTGCCACCATGCCCAGCTAATTTTTTTGGATTTTTAGTAGAGACAGGGTTTCGCCATATTGGCCAGGCTGGTCTTGAACTCCTGACCCCGGTGATCCACCTGCCTTGGCCTCCCAAAATGCTGCAATTACAGGCGTGAGCCACCGCGCCTGGCCCATGTAATGATTCTAATCTGTCTTGAGAGCTAATGCTAAGGTGAGCCTGACTTACCGAAATACTAAGCAAACCTTTTGTATAAGCAACAGTTAATTTAATGTTTTTTAGATTTTTAAATTTATATGATTCTATATTGCTCTTCTTTTTAGAATAAATGGATTTCGTGTCCTCATGTAACTAATATTCTAGACTGAAAAATATTTTGTTTAATTGCTAAAGCCATATATTGCAGGCAAAATTACAGTTTTCATATGAGTGAATATATTCTTTAATCTTATACCTAAGAACTTGCAAATGGTAATCTCATTGATCACACTTAATTAAACTTGCACCTGCCACTTATGCAGAAAAACATTGAGCTGAAAGGGAAGAGACCACACAATAAAGTCTCAAAGAGTGCTCTAATCAGCAACTGTTTAAGTTGAATGTTCCTGTGTATTGCATGTTATACTGAGAATAGACAGGGCATGTTAAAAAACTGTTTCTTTAAATGTAATAAGAAATACAAAGGAAAAGAGGGGAGGTTTCATTATCCAGTCATTTTTATTCAAATTTGTCATGATCCGTTGACTGTGCTGTGTCTCTCTCCTATCAATGTTTTGTGCAGCCCTAAACACTCATTTATGGAAAACACTTACCACAGGATTAAAGGGTTGATTTTTCCACCACTCAAAGACCCATTTCATCAGTTATAAACGCTCTTCTTTGACATGGAGTATGGCAGTAACCTAGCTAGGCCTGGAGCATGTCAAATACCACAGATTTACCCATTAGAATTAAGTTTAGGTTTATCCTTTTCCATAAGAACTAAAGCAATTGAAAATTATTTAGCAACTGTTCTATATGCTGTTATATGAGTCCTATAGAGATGACTGTATTTTCTTATCTTCTTCTACACACCAGTACATACTGAATATCAAGAAGGCAGTGCATGGTATTGGAAGAGACACAAAATATAGGTAACTACACCTCACCTGTTATATACGTGCCTTGGAAACTTCTGTACACCTGGACAAGAGTTTCTTTAGCCCTGAACTGTAGTTTCTGTAGTCACAGCTTTCAGTCCTGTCTGCACCAGCAGCTCAGTACCACTGGGATGATGTCCCCTCCTGTTCACCACCCCACAGCTCCTGTGGCATTCCCCTGATTCATCCTAGGAACATGGCTAGGCTGGAGTGTAATTCCTCTGACCACATTCTTTAAAAGTGCCATTGTTTCAGCAGTTCTTTGAAGTGGTCTATTGAAAGGCTATGTGATATGAGTTGGATCTGTTGTCCCCACGCAAATTTCATGTTGAATTGTAATCCCGCATGTTGGCAGTGGGGCCTGGTGAAAGGTGATGCGATCATGGGGGTGGATCCTTCATGAACGGTTCAGCACCATCCCCTCAGTGCTGTCTCATGATAGAGTTCTCACGAGATCTGGTTGTTTAAAAGTGTGTGGCACCTCCCCGCTCTCTCTCTTGCTCTTACTCCAGCCATGTGAGACATGCCTGCTTCCCCTCTGCCTTCCACCATGATTGAAAGTTTTCTGAGGCCTCCCCAGAAGCAGAAGCTGCTATGCTTCCTGAAGAGCGGCCTGCAGAACCATGAGCCAATTAAACCTCTTTTCTTCATAAATTACCCAGTCCTAGGTATTTCTTTATAGGAATGTGAGAGCAGTCTAACACACTGTGATAACAAATAACACTGGAGGAGGCACTGTGAAGCAACAGGGTAAGACATTTAGGAAACCTTTGCAACTGCTTTTTGTCTGACTTGCTTCCCATTTCCCAGTGTGTTAGAGGCTTGCTCCCTCTGCTGAGAACACACCCATTGTCCATGATACAATTTACCAGGGATGGCCCCTGTCAGAAAGAGCCTCCTATGCTTGTAAGATAGACTAGATACTTTTTAAAATTTTTCTTGGTGTAGGCACTCACCAAAGGCCTGTGATGCAAATGCAAACTTCTTTGCCTACAGGAGGAAGGAAAAAGTGAGAAGAACCAAGTAAGTCTTCTGTATCATCTTTCTAGGCAAGTGAAAGAATTCCTCCTGTGATCAAAAAATGGTGGTAGAACCCAGCCAAAGGGGGGGGAAATATTGCAAGGAGTGAAGGGAATAGGAGGAGAAAACTGCACAAAGGGTGCACTCCCTTTGCTCTTCCCAGGAGTCTGTATAAGTCCCTTCTAAAGAAGGATGTGTTCTTTCACCATCGAGGAACACATCCAGGCCCTGGGAGAAAAAGTTGTCATCCATAGGCAGGCACCTGAAATCTGATGTTGAATGAGAAAAGACGCCTGACAAAGACTTTCCATAATCACACTTTAGTCAGGCTCCTCAAGCATTTTTTTTTTTTTTTTTGTCTTGGCTCCCTCCTTAGGCCTTGTCCTCAGGAGCAAGATTCCTGCTAAGTCCATTTAGTGAGAATGCTCCACCCTTGCTATCTGATCAAATACCCCAGCCCCCTCCGTTCCCCAGGTGATAACAGGCTGGCCTGCCTTCAGCAGGAATCCTGTCAAGTCAGTTTAGCTAGAATTCTCCTCATCCTGATGTTCCTTCTTAGTAATTTTCTTCTTTTCTCTTTCTTTCTTTCTTTCTTTCTTTCTTTCTTTCTTTCTTTTTTAGACGGAGTTTCACTCTTGTTGCCCAAGCTAGAGTGCAATGGCATGATCTTGGCTCACTGTAACCTCTGCCTCCTGGGTTCAAGTGATTTTTCCTGCCTAAGACTCCCGAGTCGCTGGGATTACAGGCATGTGCCACCACGCCCGGCTAATTTTTTGTATTTTTAGTGGAGACGAGGTTTTACCATGTTGTCCAGGCCGGTCTTAAACTCCTGACCTCAGTTGATCCACCCACTTTCGGCCTCCCAAAGTGTTGGGATTACAGGCATGAGCCTTTGTGCCCGGCCCTTCTTAGTAATTTTCTGTTTACTGACCCCCACCCTGCTCCTCGGCTATAAATTGCACTTTTCCTTGTTGTATTCAGAATTGAGCCCTGTTCTTTACAGAAGCCTCTTTTCCCTTGTAATGACAGTCCCTGAATAAAATCCTTTTTTACTGGTTTAATGACGGTCCAGCTCTAGTTTTCTATGAACACATCTGGCAGAACTATGAAGCTTGGTGACTGTGGAGGAAAACAGGGGAGGCCCAGAGTAAGAGCATGGATTGAGAAGGTTCTAAATTCTTTTATTTTTATATTTTCAATTTGTATTTTAGATTCAGGGGGCATGTGTGCAGGTTTGTTACATGGGTATATTGTGTGATGCTGAGGTTTGGAGTATGAATGATCCCATCACCTAAACAGATCTCTGGGCATTTGGAGCATCTGCTTGCCTGGTTCAGCAGCCTGAGCTGCCTCAGTCTTGCTGTGCAGAGATCCTGGTGGAGGGGGGCCCTCTCTGCTCCATGCCCAGGCAGATCCCCAGACATTTGGAACACCCACTTGCCTGGTTCAGCAGCCTGAGCCACCCCACCTTTCTTGTTCAGACACTGTGATACAGCAGGGCCTTTTCCTCCCCATGGCCAGGCAGATCTTCAGGCATCTGGAACATTCACTCTCCTGGATTAGGAGTTTAGGCCCCACCTCCACCCCTGCCTCTTTGGGGCCATGGAGGTTTTCCATTTCCAGGCTTAGGTATACTTCTGGGTGCTAGGTGGCTTCCCACTGGATTCTTCTTCCATACTCATGCTTGTACCTGCCACTGGGGGACCTGTAGGTGGGCCTCCTCACTCGTCTTCCCTCCCTCTCCCTCTGGAGCTGAGCAGGGAGCTCAGACTGCTGTGCATTCCTTGGATCAGCCCATTGCCCAAGGCAACAGAAAGCTTCTCCCAGTAAACAAGGATCAAGTATACACCCAGCGACATTGGCCACAGCCAACTCCTACCCGTAAGTGTCATCTACTAGCCTGTAGGCCAAATCACACATCCCAGTATGAAACATGCCAAAAGAAGTGCATAGGGCTAGAGAAGCAAAGCCAAAAGACCCTACCCAACATTCTTTACAGTTCCACCCCCTAGGGAGGTGGGGAAAAGGAAAGGGAAAGAAAAAATCCCAATAATATAATAAGGAAAGAAATAAGGAGAAAAAATCCTACCAGTAGAAAAATAATTACAAAAACTCGAACTGCCAGCATCTCCAGATAAAAAAGAACCAGCACAAGAATTCTGGCACCATAAAAAATATGAATGTAGTGACACCATTGAAGGATCACACTAGTTCTCCAGCAATGGTCTCTAAACAAAATGGAAACTCAGAAGTGACAGATAAAGAATTCAAAGCACGGATTGCAAGGAAGCTCAACAAGCTCCAAGACAAGGTTGAAATCAACACAAAGAAACTTCTAAAGCAATTCAGGAAGTGAAGGAAGAAATCAGTCAGGGCTTCTGGAATTGAAAAACTCACTTAAGGAATTTCAGAATACAATTGAAAGCTTTATCAGTAGACTAGAATAAGCAAAAGAAAGTGTTTCAGAGATGGAACACCAGACCTTCAAACTAACCCAGTCCAACAACAACAACAAATAATAATAATAATAATAATAATTTTTTAAAATAAAGTCTTGAGAAATATGGGATTATGTAAAGCAATCAAACCTATGAATTATTGGCATTCTTGGAGAGAAAGAGAAAATGTAAACAACCTGGAAACATATTTGTGGGAATAATTCAAGAAAATTTCCCGAATCTTGCTAGAGGTAGACATCCAGATACAAGAAACCAGAAAACACCCATGAGATACTATACAAATGAACATCACCAAGGTATGTAGTCACCAGACTGTCCAAGGTCAACACACACATACACACACACACACAAACAAAAAAACAAAAAAACCCTTAAAGGTAGCTAGAAAAAAAGGTCAGATTATGTTCAAAGGGAACTCTAGGAGGCTAACAGAGTACTTTTCAGCAGAAACCGTACAAGCCAGGAGACCTTGGGCGCCTATTTTCAGCAATCTAAAAGAAAATAAATTTCAACCAAGAATTTTATATCATGCCAAACTAAGCTTCATAAGTAGATAAATAAAATATTTTCCTGACAAGAAATCACTAAGAGACTTTATTACAACCAGACCAGCCTTACAAGAGATGCTTAAGGGAATTCAAAACATGGAATCAAAAGAACGATACCTGTTACCATAAAAATGCACATAAGTACATAGCCCCTGGAGCCTGTAAAGCAATCACACAATAGGAACTACAAAGCAAGCAGCCAACAGCTTCACCATGGAATCAAAACCTCCCATATCAATGTTAACCTGGACTGTAAATGGTCTAAATGCCAACAAAAGGCACAGATCTGTTTGTTATCCTCAAGAGACGCATCTTACACCCATAGGCTCGAAGTAAAGGGTTGGAGAAAGATCTATCATGCAAATGGAGCTAAAAAGAGTAGGGTTCACTATTCTTACATCACATAAAACAGACTTTAAGCCAACAATAGTAAAAAAGGACAAAGAAGGGCATTACATAATGACAAAGGGCTCAATTCAACAAGAAGACTAAACTATTCTAAATACATACACACCCAACATTGGAGCACTCAGATTCATAAAACAACTACTTTCAGGCCTAAAAAAGACTAGACAGCCACACAATAATAGTAGAGGACTTCAATACCCCACTGACAGCATTATACAGATCATAGAGGCAGAAAACTATCAAAGAAATTCTGGACATAAATTCAATTCTTGACCAATTGGACCTAATAGACATCTGCAGAATACTCTACCCATCAACCACAGAATACACATTCTTCTCAACTGCACATAAAACATACTCCAAGATCAACCACATGCTCAGCCATAAGGAGTCCCAATACATTCATAAAAATCAAAATCATACCACCCATAATTGCAGACCACGTGGAATAAAAGTAGATGTCAATACCAGAAGATTTCTCAAAACCACACAGTTACATGGAAATTAACTTGCTTCTAAATGTCTTTTGGATAAACAATGAAATTAAGGGAGAAATAAAAAATTATTTGAAATAAATCCAGAGACACAACATACCGAAGTCTCTGGGATGCCCCAAAAGCAGTGTTAAGAGCAAAGTTTAGAGCATTAAATGTCTACCTCAAAAAGTTAGAAAGATCTCAAATTAATGATCTAATATCATAGCTAGAGGAACTAGAAAAACAAGAACAAACTCACCTGAAAGCTAGCAGAAGAAAAAAAATAACTAAAATCAGAGCAGAACTGAATGAAATTGAGACCTAAATTATTATTAAGGGAAAGCAGTTTAGGCTGTCTACGTGGGAATAATAACCAGAGCAAATGTAACATTTCTATTCAATTCACCAAATACTATTGGGGGTACTGGGTTTGGTAGGTGATTAAGAGGTAAATAAGCCTGTCCTTGAACCCATGAGAAAACGGGAAAATTATGAAAATGACATGACGTTTGTTTTCTTTTTTTTTTTTTGAGATGGAGTCTCACTCTGTCACCCAGGCTGGAGTGCAGTAGTGTGATCTCACCTCATTGCAAACTTCACCTCCTGAGTTCAAGTGCTGCTGCTGCCTCAGCCTCCCAAGTAGCTGGGATTACAAGTGCCCACCACCACACTCAACTTCTTTTTGTATTTTTAGTAGAGACAGGGTTTCACTGTGTTTGCCAGGCTGGTCTCAAACCCGTGGCCTCAAGTGAGCTGCCCAAGGGCCTCCTAAAGTGCTGGGACTACAGGAAGGAGCCACCACCACCAGCCTGACATGACTTTTTATATTTATTTATTTATTTAGAGATGGAGTCTCATTCTTGTTGCCCAGGCTGGAGTGCAATGGCATGATCTGGGCTCACCACAACCTCTGCCTCCTGGGTTCAAGTGATTCTCCTGCCTCAGCCTTCCGAGTAGCTGGGATTACAGGCATGCATCACCACGCCCAGTTAATTTTGTATTTTTAGTAGAGACATGGTTTCTCCATGTTGGTCAGGCTGGTCTCGAACTCCTGAGCTCAGGTGATCTACCCGCCTCAGCCTCCCAAAGTGTGGGGATTATAGGTGTGAGCCACCGTGCCCGGCCTGACATGACTTTTTCTTAACGAAGAAATGTCACTTTTATTTTAATTTTTTTTTACTAACACTATATATAATTACTTCGGAATTATTTTACTAACATTACATATAATTATTTTGGAAAAATGAAATTACACAGAAGAGCAAAATAAAGACAGTAAAAAATTATTCATTGTTCTATCATCTAGGCATAACAACCCTTATTTATGTACTTCTGGGTTCATGTTTCTATTTCTCTATGTATACTCTTAAGAAATCAACTTTGTTGAGATAGAATTTAGACACAATAAAATATCCCACTTTGAGTGTGCATTTTGATGTGTTCTGACAAGTATATACAACCGTGTAACCTCCACCATTATTAAGGTCTAGAATATTTCATTGCCCCCAAAGTTTCACTTTTGCCCATATTCTGTCAATCCCCACCAATACCACAAACCTCAGGTGTGCACTGCACTGATCTGCTGCCCATTATTATAAATTGTTTTCACTTTTTCTAGAATTTCACAAAATGGAATTATATAGCATACACCCTTTTGTGTCTGACTTATTTTGCTCACCATAATTATTTTAGCTTGCATCACATTTTTGCAAGCATCAATAATTCATTTGTTTTCATTGTTGTGTAGCATTCCATCATATGAATATACCATAATTTGTTTATCCATTTGTCTGTTTTTGGCCATTAAGAATAAGCTGCTGAATATTCAAGTTCAAATTTTTGTTGGAACATATATTTTTTGTGAAGAAGTGGGGATACCTAGGAGTTGAATTGCTGGGCCATAGGGTGAGTGTATGTCAAATTTTGTAAAGAACTGCCAAGCTGTTTTCCAAAAAGTGTTCGTACCTTTTGATTGTCCTAACAGCAAGGTATAACAGTCCTCATGACTCCACATCTTTGTCAACACTCAGTATTGTCAATCTTTTTAATTTTAGCTATTCTAGTAGATGTATAGTGATATCCCACTGCAGCTTTAATTTACATTTCCCTGATGAGTAATGACGTTGAGCACTTTTTTCAAGTGCTTATTGGCACATCAGTATATCTTCTTTTGTAATGAACCCATTCAAACTTTTCGCTTTTTTTTGAGATTCTCTGTTTCTGTATTACTAAATTATAAGAGTTCTTTATATATTCTGGATACAGGTTTTTTTTTGTGAGATTTACGTATTGTGGCTACATTCTGCTGGACTACTGCTTGCTTTTTCATTTTCTTAACAGTACGTTTGAAAAAGCAGAAATTTTTATTTTGATTAAGCCCAATTTATCAGCTTTTTATTTTATGATTTATATTTTTTATGTTCTATCAAAAAATCTTTTTCTACCCCAACTTTATGAATATATTTTCCCATGCTTTTCTACTGGAGGTTTAATAGTTTGTTTACATCTATGATCAATTTCAAGTTAGTCTTTATATTTGGTATGAGGTATGGGTCAAGATTCATTTTTTATTTTATTTTTGTATATGGAGATACAGTTGTTACAGCACCATTAAGTGAAAAGAGTATCATTTTCCTATTGAATTACCTTGGTATATGTTGAAAATACATTGTCCATAGAAGTGTAGACCTAATGCTGAAGTCTATATTTTTTCTACAACTCTAAATGTCTATTCTTATGCTAATAGCACACTGTCTTGATTGGTACAGCTTTAATAGTAACTCCGAAGCCTCACCTACCAGCACTGCTTTGGGGAATCTTAAGTGTCTTCAGAAATCTCCGCTGTGATGGTCAAGCCAGTTTCTCCCAAGGATTGCCCCTATAAAAGTGCACCTCATCTTTAATAAGACTTTCCTTTCCACAGAGGCCCTTTTCAATCCTAATTGAGCAACTAGACTTTAATAATTGTGGAACGCACTCACTATGTGGATAATGCACCTCATTTGTCAAGTATATTCCCTATGTGGTTTGTTTATGTCTTCTTCCCCTCTTTAGCATTGTGAACCTAAGAAAAAATTCTCTTTGTATGGCAATAAACTGTGTGATTTGTGAACTCCTACTTTGATCATCTTATTTTCACCACACAGAATAAATAGAGAAAAATGTTATCAGCTAGAAACCGCAAAGTAATTAGTATGATGCTGCTACCTGGTAAAATCTTTGAACATAACATTTTTTTGGTGACTTATAAGCAAAGGGTAAGAGATGTTAGGACCATGTTGGTTTACAAAGAAGAAATCATGGTAAGCAAACCTCCTTTCTCTTTTTTGTGGATTTTTAAAAATAGACTTACTAGACCGGTATAATTAGAGAATAAGAAAAACAAAGAGTATTTGGAAAGGCAGCAAGGTTTGTTAGAAAGAGCATGGATGTTGTCCATGAGATTTAAGTTTAAATTCTGGTTCTTTTCTGAGACCTTTGGCAAGTTATTGAATCATTCTAAGCTTTGGTTTATTTATCTGCAAAATGGGAATGACAACATAGATTGATTCTGGAATGAAATAATAATGTATTAGGAAATAAATGATTATAGATAGGTTCATGAAAATAGAGAAAATCCTTATTCATTTAGACACTTCCCTTTTCATGATTTGTGTGAAAAGAAATAGCTTTTCTTTTCACACAAAAAGGGTAGATGCTTCTACTTAGTAAAAATGTAGACACAGCCCTTACTGAGTGTATACTTAGTGTATAGTGAACAGAAGTGTAAAGTTTATTATTTTATCAATACTAAATGAGCTGAGGCATGAGATAGTGCTCAAATAAGTTACTTTTATTAATGGCTAGTGTCAGGCCTCTGAGCCCAAGCTAAGCCATCATATCCCCTGTGACCTGCACATACACATCCAGATGGCTGGTTCCTGCCTTAACTGATGACATTCCACCACAAAAGAAGTGAAAATGGCCTGTTCCTGCCTTAACTGATGACATTATCTTGTGAAATTCCTTCTCCTGGCTCATCCTGGCTCAAAAGTTCCCCTACTGAGCACTTTGTGACCCCCACCCCTGCCAGCCAGAGAACAATGCCCCCCTTCGACTGTAATTTTCCTTTACCTACCCAAATCTTATAAAACGGCCCCACCCCTATCTCCCTTCGCTGACTCTCTTTTCGGACTCAGCCTGCCTGCAACCAGGTGAAATAAACAGCCTTGTTGCTCACACAAAGCCTGTTTGGTGGTCTCTTCACACGGATGTGAGTGAAAGCTAGAATCACCTGTGGCAGGTAGGAAGAAGGGTGCAGAATGCAGAACTTCATGGCCGAAGAGATGACAGAAAACTGTCATATATCAATGTCCCTTTATAGATTTATATACCAAATTATAGAATAAAGGCAGTTGTTAATACTGTCCAAAATTGGGTGGACAAACTAAACTGTAACCCTGCTGAGGGGCTGCCCTGCTCTCTGCTCACTGAGTGCTAAGTGCAGAGCATTTCGGTTGCTTCCAGCAGGCAAGGTGATCCCATTTGTCCCCAGCTGAATGACTATCATTTTTGTCTTCTCATTTATTTCTGTTGGGCTCAGAATAAGGGACAGGGAGGAAACAAATGATATACATCGTTTGTCTTGGTGCGCTGCCTCTGTCTTTGTTAACTGTCAGCTTCCTTTGGACTTGCTTCCAGGTAAAACTCTGCCATCACACACAAAGAACCACAAAGTTATTGGAGTTTCTGAAAACCATGAAAAACACCATTAATCATTTTGGTTAGTACCAACAATGTCAGCAAAGGATTTGACAGTATTTCCTACCACATAAGTGCAGATAAGATGGAATCACAAACTCTGAGAAATAGAAGGGATTTTGAATGGGTAAAGGGTAATGTTTGCATAAACAAAGTTATTCAGATTTTTCTTTTGCAGGAATTCTCAAAATCTTTTATGTGCTAATATTTTGTAAATCTCCAAGAGAGAAAATGTAGTAAATGATATTTCATAAACTTGTTATAGCATTCTTTTTGTCCTTTAATAGGACTAGTTTTCCTTAGAACCCCTTCTGAAAATTCTCAAAATCCCTTAGAATCTATGTACAGGATTCAGAAATCTCGCACGTGAATATCTTTTACAGTGATTCTTTGTGTTTGAATGTTATCACCACTTGAGCACCAAGTGACAGGGGATTTCTTATAAAACAACTCTTTCAATTTTAAATCTGCATTAGTTTTTGTTTTTAGCTTGTGTACTTTAGTGTAACCTAAAAACTCATGGAGTTAAATAGACTTATTGCTAAATGTCTAATTATACTGTTTAATGAGTCAGTATCAGCCTTCACAGAGGTTTGCTGCCTCACCACTGGGTTTAGATCTAGCCTTGTCATCTTTATTTTTATCAATAACTTACAGCAGAGATTGACATGCTTTTTCTGCAAAGGGCCAAGGAATAAACATTTTAGATTTTGCAGGTCATATGGTCCTTGCAAAACGACTCCACTCTGCCATTGTGGTGCAAAACCAGCCACAGGCAATATGTAGACAAATGAGCATGGCTGTGCTCCAAGAAAACTATCTGCTACAACAGGCAGCAGTCCAGTTAGGCCCATCAACTGTGGCTTGCCAACCCATGATGTAAATAAAGACAAAGAACATGTTTATCAGATGTGCAGATAACACGAAGCTGTGAGGGGCAGCTATTACTTTTTGATCTGTGTATAGTGTGTGATATACCTAAATTAGTGCTTTTTATTATTATTGTCATTCCTACCACATTACTGAGCTTCCAAATTACCTTAAAAGGGTGAATAATGGGTAAAAAGCTCAATATTAAAATTAAAAATGATACTGTCTATATTTTTTCAAGAAATCCTTTGGAATACATTAAATATTGAAAAATTTGCCTTGAGAGAAGTTCATGTGATAGAGTGTATGGGTAGTTTCCAATTAAGATGGCAAATTAGACACATGTGTTTACCTGTGTTTTTTGTCAAATCCATAATAAATTGAATTATTAAAAGATCGTGTGTGTGTGTGTGTGTGTGTGTGTGTGTGTGTGCCCACAAAGGAAAAGAAAATGGAAGAGATATCTGTAAAGCTGGAAAGCAGGTGGTTACTGATTTAGCACACCCACGAAAGCTGAATCCCGCTGGCACTGGGAAAAGCTGAGAAGCATCTGATTACTGGCCAAACTCCTCAGAGTAAGGACTGACAGCACCAGGTACACCTGTAAAGTGACTGAAGGAGAAAGCAGAACCTAGAAAACTTCATGAAAGCATTTTTAAGAAGCTGGTAACTCCCAGATTCCCTTCCTGGTTGGGTAGAAGACTGGATGTTAGTCTCTGGGGGCGGTAAAAGAGTGGCTCTCTGGCTGAACAAGAGGACACCTGGTGGAACCTAGAGCTGGTGCTCTCTGTTGAAACAGGGAATTATGTGACAGTGTGCACTTATGGAATACTGAGACCCCTTACCACCACCTCCAGACTTCTTCCCTACACATAGGATGCTGGTTTCTTCACTCTAGGAAGAGATTAGATAATTCTCTGTTAAGCTAAATCATCCCTGGAGAAAAGATCTAAAGGTGTTATCATTAGCATTTCTCTAATTAACTGGCTCAGCCAGATCACCCAAAAGTGAAGCTCATAATTGACAAACTTTGTTCTGTTTTGTAGAGCTTCCAAAAACTTCTGGTTGAACAGCTTTTTGGTGCCCAACCAGGAATCATGGAATATGAAAAACAGAGACCAAAACAAGTGGATGTGGGACGGGGGGAGAGGAAAAGTAATTTGGAGGAAATAGAGAAAAAAGATAACTTAAAAATGAAAATAAAAACTATTATCAGAGAGTTAAGGGAAACTATATTATTGAGGAGACAAGAATGGGGTGCCACAAAAAAGCATTCTTGAGCGATCAACATATGTGCTTTTAAAAATTAAAAGCATAAGCACAGAAATGGAAACCTCCATAGAATGGGAGATAAAGCTGAAAAAAGCTCTCAGAATGCAGAGCAAAAGACCAAGTATAGAAAATTGAGATAAAAAATAAGAAAATTAGGCCCAACACTGTGGCTCATGCTTCTAATCCCAGCATTTTGGGAGGCCGAGAAGGGCAGATCACTTGAGGTCAGGAGTTTGAGACCAGCCTAGCCATGTATGGCAAAACCCCGTCTCTACTAAAAATACAAAAATTAGCCGGGCATGTTGGTGGGCACCTGTAGCCCCAGCTACTCAGGAGGCTGAGGCAGGAGACTTGCTTGAACCCAGGAGACGGAGGTTGCAGTGAGCCGAGATCAATAGAGTGAGACTTTGTCTCAAAAAAAAAAAAAAAAAATTAAAAGATTCAATAAGTTTAAAATCAGAATTATATGGGACTTAAGAAGAAAGAAGTATGAAAATAGAAGTGAGAGAATTATTAAAGAAATGTGCCAGAACTGACGGACTCCAGGATTCAGACTGAAAAGGTTCAGAGAGTATCCAGACACAGTGTATGAAAACAGTTGCACAGCAAGATGCATAATTGTGAAACTTTATAGTACTGGCAACAAAGAGAAGATCACAGCATTTTTTTTTTCAGAGAGAAAATTATAAGACTATATATGAAAGTTCAAGAATCTGCTAGATACCAGACTTCTCAATAGCAATGGAAATTGGCAGACAATGGAGCAATGCCTTCACAATTCCGAGGAAAAATGGTTCCTAATATTAGAATTCTATACCTGAGAAAACCATCAATTAAGTGAGAAGGCAGAATAAAGACATTTTTGGACATTCAAAATCTCAAATAAATTATCTTCCATGCAGCCATTTACAGGAAGCTACAGAGGAATGTGTTCCAACAAAATATGGGAGTAAAGGAAGAAGGAGGAGATCATGGTATCTAGAATACGGAAAGTCAACCAAAGAGAGAAATGAAAGGCATTCACAGGATGAGAACAGAAGTACAGAGTGAACAGCCAGGTCTGATGAGAGACAGTCAGGAGATCTGGGAAGGATTTCTTAAGGAAACTGTTAACCAAATAAACATAACGTGAATTGGATGAATTGACAGGAGGTTTATACAACTGAGGAAGAAAAGAATTTTGAAAACCAAACAAATAAACAAAATTAATATCAACTCCAAGGAAAACAAAAAGCTTTTCAGGGGATGGACACTACAGGACTCAGCTGTAATTATTGCATTCATTATCATGACATGTAAACACTAAATATTTATAACCAAAATTGTAATATAACTACATTGGGAGATTGTAAGGAAAGGAATACGCCTGTATGCAGTGTGGGTGAGGATGTGCTAGTGAAAGAGAGATAAATCTTCACCTTTTGTAGTGGAAAGTCTATAGATAATGCTTAAAACATAGAAAGAAGCAATGTAAACTTGTTTAGAACAGAAAGCCATATACAAAAGAATCAGCTGAAAGAGTTAAAATACTACTTTGTTTTTCTGGTACCGTTCTATTTCATCCCCTCTAAGCTGAAGACCACGGCTGACACTTCAAAACGTCCCTGAGCCCAGCCCCATGCCCTTCTCTAGTCACACTTCCATTTTTCCCCAAGAGGTCAACACCATCGTGACTTTTCTAATAATCATTAACTCATTTTGTTTTATAGTTGTATCATCTATAGATGCATTCCCAAACAACTCCATTTTGAATTTATATAGATGTAAATATACTGTGTTCTTTTGTGTCCTGCTTATTTTCTTGACCATTCTGTTTATTTTTATGTAACTGTATACGGTGTCCTGTTATTTGAATCATTTTTTAAGAGAGGAGAATTCACACAATGGAGAGTGTGTAGAAATTAATAAAAAGAACTGTAAGATCTTTGTAAACCATTTCACTCACATGAAGAAATGATAATGTTTAAACTAGAATGAAATATTTGGAAGAATAGGACAATTCTCTTCATAGAGGTGAACAAACTGTTCATTCTGTTTGATTGTAGATAACAGAATTTAAGGTCATATAGAAACTACAGCTAGATTCCAGTTAAATATAAGAATGAGGTTGCTAACAATTAGAGTGATTGGAACAAAAAATGTACTGCCTTGGGGGTGGTAAATTCCCTGTGCAGAGGCAAAGGATAGCCCAAGGGAAGGGGCCACAGATGGGGCTCCTGACTTTGTGAATTTGGATTTGATGATTATTAAGGCCCCTTCCAACTTTAAAGTTCTTCTGCTCTCTGACCTCTTCAGGTATTGAAGGTGGTCTTAAAGACCTGATAGCACAATGTGCACACAGAACCTATTATCCAAAGGATTGGGGAGCAGCTGTTTTCAATTTCCACTGCTGACAGACAGGAAATGGCCTTTGGCTGGAGCAGTGGAGATGTCAGAGTAGAGGAAACATAAACACTGAGAGTCCAACACTGTAGAATAATTGCTGGAGAACTTCAAAAGGTTGACACTGTCTCTCTCTAATGATCTAGGCACATGATGCCATTCAACTTGTGGAAGCTATGTACACCAACAGTAAATATATATACATATATTTGATATTAGAAGCCAATGCATACACAGCCACTTCTAGCAATTTGGTGTGAGTTGCAGCCCACTTTCTATAAGACTCCAGCCATTAGAAACAGCCACATAATGGAGCACAGAGAGATGGATTGCTTAGATGAAATGTTCCTTCATTAGGGAGCACCATCTCATTTACAGATTAGGAAAGTGGAGTACTTTGCCTTCACTTTGCTTTGTTTTGCTTTCCACAGAAAAGTTAAGTGCTTTGCCTAAGTCATACCTTCAGCAAACTGCCAGAAATGCTGTGCTCTTTCTCCCTCACATACTGCCTCTTTCTCCCCATTTAGGGCTGTTAACTAATTTCTTGAGAATCCACAGCATTTTGGATACATAACTGTTATCAAAAGCTTATTGCATCTCTCATGCTGTTGATAGAATCTTATGGTAATCCTGATTTAATTGCTTTTGAAATTTCCCTCAGGAAAAATGTTATGTTTTTGCTATGTATGGGCATTTGTGAATAATGCGGACGGAACAATAAAAAGGCCGAATGAAAATTATTATAAACCGTGATTTTAGAATATGAGGTCAGATCTTAAACAAGGTTAGACAAGGCTAATTCTTGTATCATTTCATTAAGTATTTCATAGAGGAAATTAGTGACTTTCCTATCACCACCAAATCTCATTCATTTACTCATTCAGTGACATAAAAGGTAGATTACTTTCTGCCCCATATTGTCAAAAATGATTTTGGGGACACTTGATTCCTTCTTCAGAATATATAAAATTCTCAAATCTTTAAACTACTTATTGGCATTATATAACTGTGACCAATTGTACATTTTGCTTAATTTAGCTTATCTCTAAGAAATATATTTTATTGTATCATTATGATGCATGTATAAGCTAAAGTAAAATTTAATCCTGATGTTGAAATTATTTTTATAGACAATTTTATGGATGGTTGAAGAAATAAAGGCAGCAAGGTAATGTATAGCATTTTCATAACTTCTGTAATGTTTTCCATTTTGAAACATATCATTAAAGAGGATAATATCTATAATAATCAGATGTCCATAATTATCTGAGAATAATTTAACATAAACATGCATAATTTACTATCATATCCAAACTGGTTAATATAGTCACATATATTTCAGATCATGGAATTCATTTAGTATATTTACAGTTTATAAAGAAATATCATTTAAAATAATATGCTTACTGATTAAAGCATCTTTTTATCAGAATTGTAACTACCTAAATTTCTCATTTCAATGTATATGTTATTAATAGTAACAGAGTTGTTAAGTGAGAAAATACAGAATGTAGAGTCACGAAATTAAATCACAAAACTTCTGGTTAAAACATTTTCACGTTTCTCTTTTGAGGGTCAACGTGTGGTTGGCAGAATTCTAAGGACGCCCCCGCACACTTGTCTTCCAGATATTCAGTCAAAAGCGAATCCAGACATTGCTCCGAAGGGACTTTTCAGATGGAATTAAGATTACTAATCAGCTAACACTAAAATAGGGAGATCATCCTGGATTATCCGGATGGACCCAGTGTCATCTCGTGAGACTTTAAATGACAAAGAGGAAGGAGCCAGCAGTCAGCGCTGAAGAAGAGTGGAGCCGAGAGAGACTCCAGGTGTGGAAGGGGCTCAACCCTAGGTGTTAGCTTTAAGATGCCGAAGCAGCCAGGAGTCACCAGTGTGGAAGGCATCAGGACACTGAGAGAGACCCCAGCGGACAGCCAGCACAAAACAAGGCCTCAGTGCCACAGAGGCAAGGAGCTGGAATCAACCACCACATGAATGACCTGGAAGCTAATTCATCCCTGAGCCCCCACAAAGTCACATAGGCCCCCTGACTTCTTGATTTCAGCCTTAGGAAAACATGGAGCACATACCAGCCAAGCCCACTCAGACTTCTGACCTACCAACTTCCAGATAATACATTTGTGTTGTGTGGCCTACATTTGTGGTGATTTGTTCTGGCTGCAATAGAAAATGAATACAAAATACACCAAATCTAACTAATTTGTTACTATGGTAGTAGAAAGAACCAGTTTACTAAAAGAAAAAAAGAAAGCAAAAAAAGAAAATGAACTAAAAATGTTACTTTATTTCTGATAGCCCATATACACAGCCACACCAAGTGGCAACTTTTCTATTAGGACTGGAGCAAGCCAGTGCTTTAGGTGACACAGCCTTGTATTGTATTGCTAGGCACAGACCAGGTCAGCCCATGCTTTTATCCCAGACTCAATCCCACTGTGCCAGAACTTAGTCTAGTATTAAGTCTTAACACTCAGAAAACTGCTTTGCATTGTGTGAGGCTAAATAGATGTGAATTTCCTACAGACGCACACACATCCTACAACAGTAAGTTGTTAAGGGTGGGGAGACTTCAGCAAATGCTTCATCGCTAATTTTGGTTGGCTGGTCAAATATAAAATCTAGGCACTGTAATGGAATTTGATTGTCTCGTGTGTGAAAGACATGAGGGAGTTTAGCACATACCAATTCTGTGACCTGGGGCAACTTACACAACCCTTCTCTGTGCTTCAGTTTCCTCTTTTGAAAAAAGGAGATAGAGATACTTCCTACTTCAGGGACGTGATGAGATGTGAGTTTATACACACACAGGGCCTTGGCCATCGCCTGACACATGGTAAGCCCTGTGCAGCAGGGAGCTACTGGGATTTTCCATTTATTAAAGATGTTGTGGGTGTTTTAAAAGGAAGGAGTCAGCCTCTGCTCTGTAGGGACAGGGCTGCTGGGTTGTGTGCCACAAAGAACAGGAAAAAGAGAACAGTGAAATTCAGAGAGCACCTTGGACATTTCAAAAGTGGCCCCAGCCAGATAAAGTAGTGGTCATCAGGGAAGGTTTCCTGAAGTGGCATTTCAGCTAGGCCTTTCCTGTGGGCAGGATTCTGTGACCCAAATGGGACAGTCAGGTCAGAAGAGCAGTTGGTCAGCACAAGGCAAAGACAGATCTCTTGGCTCCTTAGAATCTGGCAGACCGCCCCAAATTCTAGTATCACTGAACCCTGAGCAAGCGGTTAACAATAAAGCGTGCTTTCTCACTAACTACTCGGGTGGCCAGTTTCATTTTGACTTGCTATAGCATTATGAATATTCAATGACAATAGTAGAGCTATAAGAGATCATTAAACACCTTTAGTAGTTTTCAAAGCAGACTTGTTTTATTAGTCTAGGGAATTGCTTGCATCTGCTTCAAGGGTCAAGTCTACTTTTCACTTTACTAGATTCGCTCAATTCTAAATAAAAATTTTAAAGCGCATATATTTTAAGAAGCAAGCCAACATTTTGTGTTTGCCTGCTCTACTGTAGACACTCTCTTGGAAATACATGTGGGAATGTTATTAATGCCCTAGACGTGTTATTTCCTCTCCTGCCTCTTCCTGCTCAGGGTAGAGGATCTGGGTGGCAGGTCACTGTTGTAATCCTGTTCTTCTCCATTCTGTGTCACAGGCTGTGTGGTTATTAAATTCCTAATTTATTGGAGTTTTTGTCAGAAGGACTTTCCCTCATCTATAACAACTGAAATGTCTTACTGACTAATTTTTTTTTCATGATCTATGCTCTCTTGTAGAAACTCAAAGTCATGTTTAGCCAGTTGCAACTGAGAATCTGTTGACACAGAATCTCTCAAACTGAATTATACTTCAATTCCTTAATCCTCCATATTCGCGTAAGATTAATGACAAACATCAATGAAATTCTAGTGATGAAATTTATGAGAAGCAGATGGCTATTAACATTTTTTAAAACTCAAGTTTATATTAAAAATATATATTAGAACACAAGTGCCCCTGGGAGAGAACTTGTGTTGGAAATATTTGAACGTTCCTGCTTTTCTGTAATGCTGAAATTCCAAAAAAAGAGTCACTTTTTATCACCAAGTGAAAGTAACACTGTGAAATTATTGTATCGATGACCCAAATTCAGAGCTTCAAAGTGGTGTCTAAATCAAGTATCAATACCAAAGCACTAAGCACATATTCAGGAACTGTGCTAAAAAATATTACAGTACAGTTCAGAGAGTAGCTCTTTTTTTATCATTATTAAAATGTGTTTAGGTAGACTGACAGGCTCAAAGTCACAGATTTTGGAAATATTAGGAGAAAAAAACTCCACTACCTTAAAATTGTGTGCAGGAAGTTTAAATTCATTGTTGTATCTTCAAAAGACATACACATCAATTACAGGTTTAGATGATTTTAGTTTTTTTCCTTTTTAGTTTACAAGGCTGATAAAAATATAATTAACCACTGGATGAACCCAGATTTCTAATTTGAATTCTATTTCTGTGTCAGAATTAATCTTTATCAATCTTTCTCTCATATCTGTGTTGCTGTGCATAATGAGCATGTCATAATTCATGTGGGTTTTCATTCTATACTTTTAATAATACAGCTATAGCATCAGGAAGAGTAAAACTGGCAGGTAAACCTGGAAAAGTACAAAAGCGATTTTCCTTCTCCTTCCTCCCTCCCTGCCCCCCCCTTCTTCCTTCCTTCTTCCTTTCTTCCTCCCTCCCTTCCTTTCTTCCTTCCTTCCCTCCCTCCCTCCTTCCCTTCCTTCCTTCTTCCTTTCCTCCCTCCCTACCTGCCTTCCTTCCTTCCATTTTCCTTCCTTCCTTCTTTCCTTTCTTCCTTCCTTCCTTCCTCCCTCCTTCCCTCCCTCCCTCCTTCCCTCCCTCCCTCTTCCCTTCCTCCCTTCTTCCTTTCCTCCCTCCCTCTCTGCCTTCCTTCCTTTTTTCCTCCCTCCCTCTTCCCTTCCTCCCTCCCTCCTTCTTTTCCTTCCCTTTTTCCTTCCTTCCTTCCCCTTTCATCTCATCTACTTTCCCCCTATTCCTTAACTGCATTTGGTGATCATCAGTACACTGATATTAAAGTTAAAGTGCTTAAATATTTGCTATTGATCCTGAAATCATTTGTTTATACTTTAAAAATAACTTTAGCCTAATCATTTGCTCTTTTTCCCAAAGCTTTCCCTTTTTTTGCCACTAATGCAACCAAGAATGAATCACTTTAATTGGAAAAAATGTAAACTGGCTCCTAACTATCAGACTAGGCATTAAAGGAGATACCATTTATCTCTAATATATTTTTTAAGTGGTATTTGCTGTTTCAAACAGCCTTGTTATCAGGGCATGACTTCATTCTGGTCATGTATTATCAGTTATTCATAAACAGCCGTAAGCAGATGTGGCCACGTGCCCTACCCTAGAGGCAGGCTCATTCTAGCCTCGCTTCTCATCAAAACCCAGTCAAATGCAGCTGCCAAAGGCTCTTATCTTATTCTCCAAATGCTTGTAAACTGGAAATATCAGACTTAGTGCTATTTAAAGATCACATGCTGACTACACTGTGCTCAGCAGTAACATAGCCAAGCACCATGGGGAGATTGTGGGAGCTGCTTGGCCCACTCCAGAGGTGAAGCAAGTGAAACAGTCACCAAACTGGAAGTAATTCCACCATGGCTTCCAGAAAGGCAAAAATCTAAATGCTGTCAGGTCGAAGGCTGAACTTTGCCAAGGAGAAGAAAGTCATGCAGGTGGGCAGATGGGGTGCAGGAATCTCCAGCCCCCTGAGATATTCTTTCATTTCCTTCCCTGTGGGAAATTCTATCCCTACCTTGGAGAAGTTCACAGTTTAGTGTGGAGAAGACAGACAAATAAAGACATTATTACAATGGGATGGAAATAGGAAAGTGTTTCTCCCTCACTAGAAAGAGTGGCCTGTGGACCATAAACAAAGCTTTTTCCTTCTCTCCCAGGGCTGACCTTAAATGCTTATGATTTAATTGATAGTAATAATTAGAAAAAGCAGATTGAGATAGAATTTCAAATTATGTCTGAAACCTACCACTCACCCACTCAACTGAGTTAAAAAGCAAACACTTGGCCAGGTGCAGTGGTTCATGCCTGTAATCCCAGCGCTTTGGGAGGCTGAGGCAGGTGGATCACTTGAGGTCAGGAGTTCAAGACCAGCCTGGCCAACGTGGTGAAACCCTGTCTCTACTAAAAACACAAAAATTAGCCAGGCATGGTGGTGGGTGCCTGTAGTCCCAGCTACTTGGGAGGCTGAAGCAGGAGAATCATTTGAACCCAGGAGGCGGAGGTTGCAGTGAGCCAAGATGGGGCCACTACACTCCAGCTTGGGGGACAGAGTGAGATTCCTTCTCAAAAATAAAATAAAATAAAATACAAAATAAATAAAATAAAATAAAAGATTTTTATTTTTTTTTTTTTCCTGAGAAAATTGCTTGTCTTTTTGATGGGAATAAGCCAACTTTCCTCTTATTTCCAGTTATGAGGTAATGAGCACTATTCTAAATAATGGAGAATGTATTTTCTTGAATCTAGGCAGAAAGCTTTGACTAGAACCAATTCAAATTTCTGACTTGATGTGAGCAGTATAAAGAAAATTGCAGTCCACTTAATTTACAGTAGAGAGGAGAAATTGAATTGGTGATTCAGTAAGGTGAACATCCAAAAAAATTAAGTATTTCAGAGATTAAAGTCCCTAAATCCCTGGATTTGACAAAACTAGTTGACAATAAATAAAATGAGCTAGTTATAGAGTTATCAGAGAAAAAACATTATGCTTTATGGGGCTCTGCCTTTTATATTTTGGGTACTGTCCAAAACAATCTAGGCAGGACTTTTACTTAGTTAGGAAGTGGGAGGAGTAATCCCAACAACTTTCCAAATGTCAAATTTTTCGTAGATTTAAGACAGCATTGGGAGCAAGTCTAGGAGAGGGTTCATTGTAGTATATATTGAAACCAGACCAGTGTTCTTTTTATAACTATGGTTGCTGATCTGACATTTTTCATTGGAACTAGAATTTCACTGAGTGTTTTATGTAGGAAAAGTGACATTTGCAGTCATCTTTTGATGTAATTGTTTCTTCATGTTTTCGGGAAAAGGATTTTTTTTTTAATAAAATGAAGTCTCTATAGAAAATTGCATTTCCTTGGAAAGCCAATGATTAATTCACTAAACTTAAGACTTTAGATATATGTTAAATTAGATTTCTTAATAATCAGAAATATTCCAAATACCCACAAAATGCAAATTAGGAAAAAAAAAGTGGTTGATAGTTAAATGTGTGAGACTGAATATACCAATGGATAATGGCCCAGACTACATGTGACAATATAACTCTGACCCACAACTTCTGTAGAAAACAGCCCAGAAATTGAAACCACAAGCTCTTCATCAATAGGTCCAGGAAGGTTGGGCCTTGGTTAGTGACTGCCAGCTTCTCTATTTTTTGCCACTCCCACTCCTAATCCAACTCAGGACCATCCAGAGAAAGTCAATTATGTTCCCCAAACCAATCATATACAATATCCAACTTCTAATTAGCTGCCTCCAGCTTCTCCAGGCTAACAGCCTCCTCTCCAGGCACACCCAAGGCCTTCCTTTTCCACTGTAAAGATTTCCCACAGCCTGAGTCTGTTCTGGCTGCAAGTGATGCTGACTCTCTTCCTCTAACAAACTGAATAAATAGTCTTCGTTTTGTTCCATTTGGGTAATCTTTGTTTATTTCCTCAAGTGGAAAATATGTAGAACTACAAGTTTCTAGAAAATAAGCTGAAAGCTCAGTGGTTTTATGCTCTATTATCCATTGAAATACTAAAAACTTATTAGGCTAATTATGTGACATTTGCCTATAGTCAATCAACCAACAAGTATTTATTGAGACTTGACACTCTGCTCTGTGTTTGGTGGTGTGGAAGTTATTGAAATTGTATTAGAGCAAACTGGTATTAAAGAGCTGCCAACAATCTAATTTGTGCTGAATACCTGCTATAATCAAGACTCAGGGGTCAAACATTCCATGAATCAACTCTTAGTTTTGCTGTTTACCAGCTCTTTGACCTTAGGCGAGTAACTTTGTTTAAAAACTTCAGAATAATCATTTTTAAAATGGAGAATAATAAATATCTACCATAAAGAATTTTTGTATTAAACTAAATGATTCAGCTAAAATGCTAACACTTTGCCTGATAGTAATAATTGTACATTATGTGACAACTTATTATATTACATGCCCACCACTATTTTAATATGTAGGAGGTGAATAAAACATATTTGCTATCCTTGGGAGAATTACCTATTTGTGAGGAAAGAATATATGAGTAGTATACATGGATTGGTTAAAAAAGTTTTTTAGACAATGCATAATTCAATGTTGAATCGATGGTAGTGTTTTTAAGTGCTTTGAGGCTTGGTAGAGGGGAAATTAATGCACACTGGAATGCTTTGGAAATAATTTTGGGAAGAGGAGGCTGTTGACATGGATTTTGATGACTGGCAAGATTGGGATAGGTGGAGTAAAAGAGGCAGAGCTTTCCAACTCAGAACATCACTCGTGAAATCCCCATCACCCCTGTGAATCTGTGAAGACCTTGGCCTGCTGGGAACAGATAACTTGTATTGGCAAACTGGGAATTAACGAAGACTGAATTGGAAGGGCAGATTATGGATGTAGATCTTAAGAAAGTTAGAGACAATGAGGGCTACTCTAAGGTGGTATTTAAGGAAGTTTGATTTAGCTGTCGGGTGGATTAGCAGAGAAGTCAGGGAGACTGAAGTTACTAGGGAAGTATTGAGTCATCTAGCTATGAGCCGAAGCCTGCCTAGGTTAAGGTGGTTGTGGCAAAAATGAAGAGGGGAAAACTTTAGAGGAAGGATATCTAAGATTTGGCAAGTGAATGGTTATAAAGAATTAAATAACAATAATAAGAATTACTACTTATTAGCACTTGCTATGCAGGCAGTATTATGTAAAAGAAATATCCAGGCTGGGTGCGGTGGCTCACACCTGTAATCCCAGCACTTTGGGAGGCTGAGGCAGGTGGATTACGAGGTCAGAAGTTCGAGACCAGCCTGGCCAAGGTGGTGAAACCCCATCTCTACTAAAAATACAAAAATTAGCTGGGCGTGGTGGCAGGCACCTGTAATCCCAGCTACTCAGGAGGCTGAGGCAGGAGAATCACTTGAACCCGGGAGGCAAAGGGTGCAGTGAGCCGAGATCGCACCACTGCACTCCAGCCTGGGTGACAGAGCAAGACTCTGTCTCAAAAGAAAGAAAAAAAAAAAAAAAAGAAAGAAATATCCTTTACATAAGTAACTGGCGAAAAACGTAGATTGTGTTCACAATTCGAAACAACTTTCTTGAAAATTGCAGGAATTTTAACTCTGTTACTGCTCATGGTACGAACTTTACAGTTTACTTACTTTTGATGTTACTTTTTAGTAGAATAATAAGTTAGAGTTATTATTAAACAAATGCATGCACATATTTTATGAATATCTAACATCATTAGACTTTCGTAAGTCATGTAGTAGGTTACCAATAATTACCCTTTAGTCAAATGTATAATTAAGAATCCCCTGGAAGTAGGCATTGCACTGCCCTGAGAGCCAATGCAAGGACTGCACTTTTGGAGCCTTTCTCTGCCCACCTGTTGGCCTTTCAGGAGTCACCAGTTGCCACAACTGATCCTATTTTAAGAAATCAACTCTGGATAATGTTATCATTTCTCCTATCAGCCTGGTTGGCTTTCTTAAAGGCATAGATATAAACCAAAATGTTTTCTTCTTCTTATTTCCATAGGGTCCTTTCTTTGAAATAGATTGCACTGTTTTGTGGCAGCTTTCAGATTGACTCACTAACTACATGGTGGGGTAGAAAAGCAGACACATTCCTCAAATGCTCCTCTTCTCTATTTTTCATAGTAAGAACCTGTTGAGAACTGAATTTCGTCCTCTCCAAATTCATATGCTGATGTATTTAGATGCCCCACTGTGATGGTATTAGAAGGTGGGGCCTATGGAAGGTAAATAGGTGTAGATGAGGTCATGAGGGTGGAGCTCTCATGACAGGATTAGTGTCCTTGTAAGAACAGACACTGGAGCTCTTTCTCTTTCTCTTTTCTCTGTCTCTGCCTTGTGAGGACACAGCAAGAAGGTGACTGTCTGAAAGCCAGAAAGAGAGTCTTCACCAGAACCTGACCATATTGGCACCCTGATCTCAGACTTCTGGCCTCCAGAACAGTGAGAAAATACATTTCTGTTGTTTAAGCCTCCAAGTGTGTGGCATTTTGTGATAGCAGCCCAGGTTGACTAATATAGAACCTCAATACTTAAAGCCCTTAACATACATCTAATCTCGTGCTCGATGTTTTTGCACTTTATCTCATTTAAACCTTACAATACCACTGTGAGACCAACTTTATTATCCCTAAGTTACAGATGAATAAACTCAGGCTCAAATTGATTAAAATAACTTGATCACTGGCACACAACCAATCGGGGTAGAGTTAGGATTTGAACTCAGGTCTTGCTCCAAATTCCATTCCCTTAGCAACTGTACTTCTTCTTAAAGGCAAGTATAAAATTAGAAGTGACTTCAAGTACAATATGGGAACTGTGAGGCCCTTGCCAGAGATAGATAAGCTAAGAAAGAGAAACAGTTTCAGGCAAAGTAGGAGGAAGGATGTTGCTAAATTTAATCTAGAATATGTTGAATTTGGGGAGATGAATAAATATTCATATAAAAAGTTAGCACAGAGGCTGGGTGCAGTGGCTCACACCTGTAATCCCAGCACTTTGAGGGCAGAGGCAGACAGACCGTTTGAGCCCAGGAGTTTGAGACCAGCCTGGGCAACATAGTGAGACCCTGTCTCTATAAAAATATAAAAATTAGCTGGCATGGTGGTGCACACCTGTAGTTCCAACTACTCAGGAGGCTGAAGTGAGAGGATCAGTTGAGCTCATGAGTTTGAGAGCAGCCTGGGCAACATGGTGAAACCCTGCCTCTACAAAAAAAATACACAAATAAGCTGGGTGTGGTGGTGTGTGCCTACTGTCCCAGCTACTCAGGAAGCTGAGGTGAGAGGATCACCTGAACCAGGGAGTTCAAGGCTACAGTAAGCCCTGATCATGCCACTGCACTCTAGCCTGGGGGAAACAGTGAGAGCCTGTCTCAAAAAAAAAAAAAAGTTAGCATAGAATATTACCTCCATACACCCATTTTTGAATAATACATATCAAGACAATGGCAATATTCATTGGCAGTTACTATTAAGAGATATTTCATAACCTTGTGCTAAGATCATATGGGAAAAGATATGTCAGAGAGATCCTCTTTTCTTGTCAGACAGACTTAGTTTGCAATTAACCACAAAGATCTGTCTACTCGCTTTTTCCTCTTTTCCTTTAGTGCTGGCAGCTCTATCTTTGCTCCTTTTACCTACAGTTGAGGTATTTATTACTGTGCTAAGTCACAAAGGCCTTTAAGGTTTTATTCAAATCCAAGAATGATGTAGAACTGATTAGATGGGTTATTCTCATCTGAAAAGAACCAAGGGAGTCAGAAGAGAGAGACTCAATTCAATACTTGGTATAAGAAAGTAAGCCAGCTGGAGAAGTTCTCCGATTAAATCTAATTCAACATGACTTAGAAAGAAAGTCCACCGGGGACATAATTCATCAGTAAGGCTCAGACTAGACTGCCTTGCTATGCCAAATGAATTCGAGGTACAATGCCACTTTGAAAAGACAGAATTGCTGTCAGGACTCATGCATAATAACCCTGAGCAGGGCTAGTTTTATAGATTTGGAAAGCATCTCATCTTACTCTACGCACTTAGGATGAGTCAATCAAGATAGGATTTATGAAAATTCCTTTTGTAAGAAGAGAGTTTTGTGGGAGGATGCAGCTCATTTTTTAGTTTTAAAGATAAAGACTCATCCTTGAGAAATAAAGAATGTGAAGCCAGCTGTAGAGCTAGTAAAATAAGTAAAAACCACTTCACCTACTCAACTGTAAACTATAAATTGAAGCATTATATTAGCTGATATTTAGATACAGTAAAATTATTATGGCTTAAATATTAGGAAAAACTGGGCTTCAAACCCTGTCTTTGCAATTTGGTAGCTGTGTAACTGCAAGCAGGTTACCAAAGCTCACCAAGTGAACGTATTCTAACCTCTAAAAGGGAGATAAAACTATTTTTGTGTGTGTGTGTTGCGGGGTGGGGTGTGGGGGGGTGTTAGGAAAACATGGAACAAGTGAAGTATGGCGTCTGGACAATGTTAAGTGCATTTTACCCCATAATCTAGAATCTATGCTTCAGCAAAGTCTGACTAAAGTTTAGACACCTTCTTCCTTTCTGGTTTCATGCTCATTCCTAGTACCAAAACAGGATGCTGCTTCCACTGACTTTGGGCCTATCTTATCAACTCAGAGATTGGTCAAACCTTTTTGGATCTCCCAAAGCCTTCTCACTTCTCTACACATTACCTCATATGATTAGGAGTGTTGTTTGGAAGAGAATAGCCTAGAAGTCACTAATAGTCTGTGATCAACCTGCTGCTCACCTAACAGCACCTTGAGGAGGGGCCAAAAAGAAATAAAGAGAGAGTTAATATAAAACAGTGAATGGAGGTACTGGGATGAAGTGCAGAAACAGGATTCAAAATGAGTGTCTCTATGGCTCCCAGAAACACTTGTGGATCTTGAAATATCTAATGCCTGGGCCTGTGGTGCATCCTAAACCTACTGAGTTGGAATTGGAGTTCGGGGAAAATACAGGGGACAAGAACTTGTGTTTTCTGCAGTGCTTTCTTGGCATTTACCTTGCCAGGAGTATGTTTATTTTATTACTCTTTTCCAACAATTCATTTTCACTTTGTTTGTTCTTTACACTAAAAAATTTTGCAATATTTAAATTTACAAAAGAGATGAAAAATATTGCAAACTTATTGTATATTCCTCACCCAGCTTACCTTTATGTTAACATCTTATATAACTATACAACATTTATCAAACTAAGAAATTAACCTTGGTACAATACGATTCACCAAATAACAGAACTTCTTTACATTTCACCAGTTTCTCTATAGTGTCTTTTTCTGATTCAAGATCCCACATGTATTCAGCTGTCATGTCTCTTGATCTCCTCCAACCTGTAATAGTGCCTCAGTCTTTCCGTATCCATTGTGACTTTGGATAAGCCTGGTCAATTATTTTGTAAATTGCCTCTTGCTTTAGGTTCTGATGCTTTCTTATAATTAGATGGAGGCTATGCATTGTTAGAAAGGATTCCATTGAGGTGATGTATGTGCCCTGCTTAGTGCATCATGTCCGGACACATGCTCTTGATACATATTGCTGGTGATTTTAACCTTGATCACCTGGCTGAGGTGATGTCTGTCAGAATTCTCCACTGTAAACTTATTATTTTTTCCATTTGTAATTATTACACACATTGGGGGAACATTTGGAACTATGCAAATATCTTGTTTGTGCTTACTCTTTCACCCTTTAATTTTACCATTCATAGTGGATTTTGCCTCCAGCAGTTATAATGCTGCTGTTTTGATGGTGATTTTCTATTTCTCTCATTCTTTCTACATTTATTAAAACAGAAATCTAGGTATTGCTGTGAAAATATTTTGCAGGTGTAATAAAAGCCTACGTATAATTACCTAAAGATGTAGTCAGTGACTTAATTTGGGGATGATTTTCCTGGGTAATCTGGGTAGATCTGATTCAAGAAACTGAAAGGCTTTAATAGCAGGGCTGAGGCTTCCCCAGAAGAAAGAAGAAATATGCCTGTGAACAGCAACTTTAGTAGAGCATCTGTGGAGGTTCTACTTTCTTATGATCTTTCCCTGGTTGCCTGTGGATAATAGCTTTGGCACTTGCTTGTGAGTTCCAGCTTTGCCAGTGGTGGTCCTGTCTTGACTACTACTTGGATTTCAGACTTCTGCATAAGGCAATTGTTGTTATTGTGGTTGTTTCTATCTGTCTGTCTATCTGTCTGTCTATCTATCTATCATCTATCTATCTATCTATCTATCTATCTATCTATCTATCTATCTATCTGATCTTCCAATCTTTCTCCTTCTGATTTTGCTTCTCTGTTTGTACCCTGAGTGACACAACAACTTGATAATATTCCATGATTCAAACCATGAACATGGTATATCTTTATTATTTAAGTCTCTGATTTCTTTCATTATTATTTGTATGTGGTTTTCAGCAGAAAAATCATGCCTATGTTATATTAGTTACACTTAAGTATCTCTTTGGTGTTATTATACATTTTATTGCTTTTAAAAATGTTCAATTCTTATTATTTATTGAGAGTATATAAAATATAATTGATATTTGTATGTAGGTATTCTGCAAACATGCTAAACTCATTTATTAGTTCTAGAAACTGTATAGATTTTTTGGGAGATCTATACAGACAGTATTGTTGTCTAAAAACAGAGACCATTTTATTCTTTTCTGAAATATAAAATTTTTGTTTTCTTGCTGTATTTCAATGGCTAGAACTTTGAGTACAATGTTGAGTCTAACTGGTAAGAGAAGACATCTTTGCCTTGTTCCAAACTGTAGAGGAGAGTACTCAGTTTTATACCATCAAATATGATGAAGCCCTTTAGCAGTAGAAGCCCTTTATCAGATTCAGACAGTTTCTTTCAGTTCCTAGTTTTCTCAGAGTTTTAATTTTGAAGGACTATTGAATTTCATCAAATAATTTCTGCATTGGCATTAATGTTTTTTTCCTGCTTGTTTCTATTTTATTTTAAATTTAACCTTAATTTTTTTTAAAAAGTAAGTTATGGATTCACAGGAGGTTGTGCACACATTGACAAATTATTGAATGCTAAACTAGTCTTACATTCCTGGGATAAGCCACACTTGGTTTTGATGTATTTTCATTTTTATATATTAATGGCTTGATTAGCTAGCATTGTATTAAATATTTTGTGTGTGTGTGTATATATGTTCATGAAGATTATTAGTCTGTAGTTTCCTTATAATATTTTTGACTAGATTTGGTATTAGGGTAATGCTGGCTTCATAAAATGAGTTGGGAAGTCATCTCTCCTCTTCTGTTTTCTGGAAAAGATGATATATAATTATATTATTTTTTCCTTCAATGTTTGGTAGAATTCACTAGAGAAGATATTAGGCATGAAGATTTCTTCCTGAAAGTTTTTAAAGCAGGGATTCAATTAATGGAATAGAATCAGCACAACTGAAGTTATCTACTTCATTTTGGTAATTTGAATTTTTTAAGGATTGACCCATTTCAACCAGGTTGTCAAATGTATGTGCAAATAATTTTGTAATATTCCTTTATTCTTCTTTTAATATTTTTGGGATTTGTACTAATATCCTCTTTTCTTCCTGAAGTTGGTAATTTGTGTCATCTTTTTTTTTCCTTTGTCAATCTGGCTAAAGATTTATCAATATTCTTAATGTTTTTAAAGTATTAACTTTGTTTTTATAGATTTTCTCTACTGACTTTTGTTTTCAATTTCATTATTCTGTGCACTTATCTTATTTCTGACCTTCTGATTTCTTTGGGTTTAGTTTGCTCTTCTCATTTCTTAAAGTGAAAGCTTAAATTATTAATTCTTAACTTTTAAATTTTCTAATATAAGCATTTAATGCTATAAGTTTCTGTTTAAGCACTACTTTAACTACAGGCCACAAATTTTGATGTGTTATATTTTAATTTGAATTTAGTTCAAAGTATTTCTTAAATTTTTTTTAGACTTCTTGTTTGACCCATGGTTACTTAGAATAATCTTTTAAATATCCAAACATTTGAATATTTTCCACATATCCTTCTGTTATTGATTTTCAATTTCATTCCATTATGATCTGAGAACACAGTTTGTATGATTTTCATTCTTTTAAATTTGTTGAGGTTTGTTTCATGGCCTAGAAGAATATGGTTGCCTGTGGTTGAGATTTGTTGTTGCTATGGTAACTCTCAGTGTACCACAGGCTAGAAATTGCTCTGCTAGAGGTACCTTTTGTTTAGGGTCAGAGTCTGTCTGCTGAACTCTTGAGTTTTAGGTCTTCCTTTTGCACCTCAAAGAAGATCTATTTGAATACTCTTGTTCTTCTGTTCCCTCCCATTGGTATTCTGCTGTAATTTAGCTTGGAGCTACAGAAAGTAGTCTGTTGTTTTGATTAATCCTCGGTTTTAGGCATGCATTGCTTATCTGGAGCTTGGGGGTGCTGCTCTCTCAGTTCTGCCTTTTCCCTGGCTAAAGTTTTGGGCTCAGTGTAATACTACTCCTTCCCTAGGCAAAGTATTTCCCTCTGTTCCCTTCCACCAGCTGCCAGGAGTTTTCACAGGTGCCTTGAGAGCAGCAGTAGTTTCTTGCCTCTCTTGCTCTCTTGCTCTTGTCCTCCCTAATGTCCGCACCCTGGTGCTTCTTAGAGCTCTTCTTAATCTTTCCTGTGAGCAGCCAATGGGGTTTGTAGAGAAAGAGTCTCCAAGTAGACACAGAGTCAATTTCTGCAGCCCCCAGAGCTTTCACACTGTCTGGCCAGCCCATGCTTGTCTCAGTTGTTCAGTAGGTTCAAAAAAAGTCGTGAATTTAAAGTGAGCATGGTTGATTTTGTTCTAATGGGGAACAAGGGTCTTCCAGCTCTCTGCAAGTTGGGCAGATGCAGAAACTCTCTGTTTGCATTTTAGTTAATTTTTTTTTTTTTTTGCTCTTTTCTTTATATACTTTATCTTTTACTTTTTTGGGTTTATCTTGCTGGGCAATTTTTTCCTCCGAAATATTATAAGTTATGTGTTTAGTTTATTGCAACAAAACAAACTCTAATAGGCCTATATGGTAAATCAACACTATTGCTACAACCCTGTAAATAAGGCCAAAGCTAATGAGACCAACCTTGCTTTGTGATCATGAATAATCCTTCTGTTTTAGTATTTTTGATCAGAAGGAGGGTGACTTTAAGAAAAAAATTGCCCTTCTATGGAAACCTATGCATTGTCTATAAATAGCACACCCTTCCGGGTTATCTGATTCTATACTTTCATTTACTAGGAATTATTTTACAACTCTGCAAGTTGTAGGTAACTGATAGCAATGCAAAATAATTTTTGATTGTAGACATGCAGATTCTGTTCTGCCTGGTAGAGGTTTAACTTCCTTTCTCCTCTGTGAAAAATAAGTTTTTTTGTTTGTTTGTTTTTCTTTTTTTTTTTTTTTTTTTTTTGAGACGGAGTCTAGCTCTGTAGCCTAGGCTGGAGTGCAGTGGCGCGATCTCGGCTCACTGCAAGCTCCGCCTCCCGGGTTCAGGCCATTCTCCTGCCTCAGCCTCCCAAGTAGCTGGGACTACAGGCGCCTGCAACCACGCCTGGCTAATTTTTTTTTATTTTTAGTAGAGATGGGGTTTCACTGTGTTAGCCAGGACGGTCTCGATCTCCTGACCTCGTGATCCGCCCGCCTCGGCCTCCCAAAGTGTTGGGATTAAAGGCGTGACCCACCGCGCCCGGCCGGAAAATAAGTTTTACGTCAATTTACACATTCTTTTCAATATTCCTAATCTAAAAATGTGTCTGTTCTTTGGATTCTCATTTGAATCTTCTTGGTTTTCTTACTGATTAAAGAATTAAATATTTAACACAAGTCAGTTTTATATCTGTATGAGAATCACGGTTTTACCTTTAACGAACCTTATTGATACGGTTTGGCTCTGTGTCCCCATCCAAATCTCACCCTGTAGTTCCCATAATTCCCATGTGTTGTGGGAGGGACCTGGTGAAAGATGATTGAATCACGGGGGCAGGTCTTTCCAGTGCTGTTCTCTTGATAGTGAATGGGTCTCATGAGATCTGATAGTTTTAAAAACAGGAGTTCCTCTGCACAAGCACTTTTTGCCTGCTACCGTCCACGTAAGGTGTGATTTGCTCCTCCTTCTCTTCCGCCATGATTGTGAGGCTTCCACAGCCATGTAGAACTGTGAGTTCTTCATTAAACCTCTTACCTTTGTAAATTGCCCAGTCTCAGGTATGCTTTAGCAACAGCGTGAAAACGTGCTAATACAATTTTCTTTTTTTTTTTTTTTTTTTGGAGACGGAGCCTCACTCTGTCGCCCAGGTTAGAGTGCAGTGGCGTGATCTCGTCTCCTTGCCACCTCCACCTCCCGGGTTCAAGCCATTCTCCTGCCTCAGCCTCCCGAGTAGCTGGAATTACAGGCACGTGCCACCATGCCTGGCTAATTTTTGTATTTTTAGTAGAGACTGTGTTTCACCATGTTGGTCAGGCTGGTATGGAACTCCTGACCTCGTGATCTGCCCACCTCGGCCTCCCAAAGTGCTAGGATTACAAGAGTGAGCCACCGCACCTGGCCACTTATCTTTTAACAAGGCTATGGATTTGTCACTAAGTAATGCTTTTGCTACATTTCACAAGTTTTGTTAGAAAACATTTTAGTCACTGGTCATTTATAAATGTTTTATACTTTGCATTATTCTTCTTTGATCTCTGACTTGTTTAGAATTTTGCCAGATTTGTAAACATGTTTTTTTCTCTTGGTTTATTTTGTCTTTGACTTGTAACTAATTTGCATTGTGGTCTGAGAATACACTCTGTATCTATCTTGCCATCCTTTGAAATTTGTTAACGTTAACTTAATGGTTTAGAATGTAGTCAGTTTTCAAAACTATTCTATTTGTGCTTTAAAAGAATGTAAATTATTTAATTATGGGATGTAATATTCTCCATATGCCCATTGGATGAAACATATTAATTTTTCTTTCTAAATCTTTTATGGCTAATTTTATTGTCTGCTTTATCTATTGAGTACTGAGAGAGAGGTATTAAGTATTCCATTGGGATAATGGATTTATTTATTTCTTGTAGTTCCATTAAGTTATGTAAGTGCAGAATTGAGTCATATGTTATTTTAGAATTGTTATATCTTCCAGTAAAATGAGCCTTATATCATTATGAGACTTTTGATCCCTTTTTGCTCTAAAGTCTGTTTTGTTTGTTATTATTATGCCCACCTTACTTTCTTTTAGTTAGCGTTTGTTTGATGTACTAGTTAAGATACAGGCTAAATTACAGTAACACAGATTCCCACCTAAGAATGGCTTAAATAAGAGAGAAGACTATTTCTCCCTAATCTGCAATGATCTGAAGGTAGGTAGTACAGGGATTATAGAGCCCAGGTGCCTTCTGTCTCAATGCTTTGCCAGCCTTCTCGTGATGACCTTATTCACATGGTCAAAGATGGTTCACCCCAACCCTGACTCCCTCTTCTCTGTTCTGTTGAGAAGGAGGTAAAGTGGAGTGGGAGGCATATGTATTTGAAGATTTGACCTGGAAGCTACGTAAGTCACTTCAGTTCACGTCTTATTGGCCATATCTAACTATAAGAGAGGTTAACGAACATGGTATTTAGCAAGATGTGCATGCGTCTAGTTAATATTTGGACATTGAAGGAGAATCACGGTCTGTTATAAAATTAATGTATCTTTCTCCAATCTGTCTCCTCTCTGGATTTTATGATTTATATTTTAGAGCAGGAGTCGGCAAACTTTTTCTCTAAAGAACCAGACGTTAAATATTTTAGCTCTTGTGGGTCACATGTAGTTTCTGTCACATAATCTTTTTTCAACCATTTAAAACTGTAGAAACCATTCTTAGCCAAAGAGTCATGTATAAATGTGCTGGGTGTCAGACCTGGCCCACGGGCTCTCAGACATGGGTGTCAGACATGGCCCACGGGCTATAGTCTGCCACTCCTCTTTTGGTCTTTCTTATAAACAACATTTTTAAAAAATCTGATTAAACAACATTTTTTAAAAATCTGATTAATTTTCATCTTTTAACTCAATAGTGTAACCATTTACTTTTATTGTGATTTCTCATATGTTTATATTTATTTCCTATTACATGAATTCTATTTTTCCATGTTTCTCTGTTTCCTTTTTTCTCCCTTCCCTTCTCTCTACCTTTATTTGCCTTCTTTTTGGTTGAGATTGTTTTTTCTTAAAATTTTGAAAAAATCAACATTGGTTTGAGAATTATATACTTATGTCAACTCTTTAATTGCTATTCTACCTAGTTTAAACACGCATGTTTAGCAATTTCTTTGGATAAAATCAATATGTTTACTGTCTTTCAAATAATTCTAAACACGATTATCCCCTCCAAAATTCTATACACTTTCACTTTTTTATCCTAATTCTATCTTGTTTTTTAGCCCCACAAATTTGATATTATTATTCTTTTATGATCAATAAATACTGAAATTTCCATATATTTACCAATATGTTTGTTTATCATTTCTCCTTGCATATCAAAGCTTCCATGTTAGCACATTTTCTTTTTTAAAAAGTGTCTCCTTTAGAATGTTCTCTAGTGAGGATCTAGTAGTAAATTCTCCTAGGTTTTTCTTATTTGAAAAATGTTGATTTTGTCTTTGTTCTTATAAAAAGGTTTTACTAAAGATGAAATTATAATTTGAGAGCTATTTTCTCTCATATTGATTAAAATATTGTTCCATTTCTTTCTATTTCCATTGTTGCTATTGAGAAATCAACTTTCAGTATGAAATTTTCATTTTTTGTGTTTATTTTATCTTGGTAAGAACACGGCTTGAAGTCTACCTTCTTAACAGAATTTTAGGTGTACAGTAAAATATTGTTAGTTAATATTGTTGCCACAGTGTTGTACAGAAGATCTCCAGAACTTACTCATCTTGCATTACTGAAACTCTATATCCATTCAGCAACAACACCCCATTTGCTTCTCCTTGCAGCCTGTGACAACCACCATTCTGCTCTCTGCTCCTGAGTTTGACTCAGATTGCACATTCAAGTGGAATCATGTAGTGTTTGCCCTTCTGTGACTGGTATAAATTATTCTCTTGTTATCAGTCTATTCTCTCTGGTTGCTTTTAGTTCTTTTTATTTTTTGATATTCTATAATTTGGGAATAAAGTATCTAAATGTGTTTTGGGGTTTCTTGGATCTGAAGATTAATATGCTTCAGTAATTTCGAAAACTTCTCATCCATTTGTCTTCAAATATTTCCTCTTCCTTATTCTTTTGTTATTTCCTCCTAGAACTCTAATTAGAAATATAATAGACCTTTTCACTTTATCTTCCACATCGCTTAATCTCTTTTGTACTTTCTAATATGTTTTTTTGTTTGTACTGCATGTGGATAGTATCTTCTGATCTGTTCTCCCTTTCAAGAAATGCCTCTTCAGATGTGCCTGGTCTATTGTCTAATCAGTCTATTGAGTACCTTTTAATTTCAATAGCCTTGTTTATGGTATGGACCATTATTGGTGAATTGATGAGGCTTCTATGTGTGGACAGCAAAGGGGAGACAGTGGCAATTTCTCTGTAGTCTCTTCCTGCCTGGATTGAGTCTTGATGAATTCCTTATTGGCCTATAGCCATCAGCTTATGGATGTGTTCCACAAGAATCTATTTGTTCTTGACTACTTTTCTTTTTCCTTTCAGGTACAAGCTATGGCACAAGCTTGTACCTTTCAGGTACAAGCAGGTGGCAGTGTATGTTCTCAGTAGATCTGTGGTGTCTGCTGAGTGACCGATGCAGAATTCTCTTCCTCCTCCTTCAGGATACCTTCTCAGGCACGTGAGCATTGGCATTGTCCATTCTGTTGCCTACATCTTGTGTCTCCCTTCTGTAGACCAAAGTGTTCTCCTAGCTTCACGCCGGGAATGACAATCAAAGGATTACAGGTCACCAGTCTATCCTTGATCCCTTTCTGCTTCAGCTGGCAGAGGTTGGATTGGTGACTTCACTGACCTTCTCTGGCCTTGAGTCAGAGGGAGACCTTACAGAGCTTACAGGAAAGCCATTGTATGAATTTCAAGTTTTATTATATTTTTGATTTCCAGAACTTTTCTGTGGTTATTGTCACATCTGCCTGGTGTTTATACCTGATAAAAAAATGTATACAATTGTCTCATTGAGAGAGAATTTGTGTTTGGTTCTGCCAGTTGTCCAAAGGCACCACTATCCAAAGGCTATCAAATTAAAATTTTCATGTGAGCTTTTTTCAGACAACGCAGGTGGAATAATTTTGGACTACCCTGCAGCATGAGAGCCCTTTAGTAGCTATGAATTTTTAAGAGGGTTGTTATTTTCCCCCTCCACTCAGCACCAAACTTAAGAAAGGCAAATTTCTTGACTAGCCCATTTTGATACATTTATTCTTGCTTATCCAAACACTGAGGGCATAAACCACTGGAGTTTCAGTTTCACGAGAGGGATTCTATCAGACTTCCCAGCAAGAGGTCCCTGGCTTTAGCCCTTGTGTATCCTTCAGAGCAGAAGCCCAAGATTTCTAGGCCTAAGCAGGTATCTTCAAAGCACAACTGGCTTTGGTACTTGGTTGCCTATGGGAATCCTGGATTCTACTTTGTTTCTGAGCCCTACAAATCACCTATTACTATGTTAGCTTGTATTTCATCTAAAACTGTAGTTTACCTTTTACGAAACATCTCAGTTTTTTCATTAGGAGAGTTATGAAATGTTTAAGACCATTTTGACACTCTTCAAAAATTATTAAAGGTCCAGAGTTCTATTGATTATGTGGATTGTATCTATTAATATTTACCATATTCCAAAATAAATCTGAGAAATGTTAAGGATATGTATTTATTAATCCATTTATGATGTAATAAACGTTATATGTTGTCTTAAACTTTTACGGACAATAACTACATTTTAAAGAAAAATAGATGTGACAAGAGTGGCAATCCTTAACATTTTTCAAATCTCTTTAATGTCTGACAAGAGAAGATAGATTATCTTACCAGCTTTTGCATTTTCATCTGTTATAATGTCAAACATTATATAACCTCTGGAAAACTCTACTTCACACTTAAGGGAAAAAAGTGTAAAAAAGACAGATAACACCTTAGTATTATTATGCAAAGAATTTTGGCCTTGTAGCCCTCTGACAGTATCTCAGGGCCTCCAGGGGTACCTAGAACACATTTTGGGAACATGAAGTCTCAGGAACTTTTATTTAATTTTTAAAGCTCTATATGTTATTCTGCTGAGCGTATCTGGATGAGACCCATTGAGGAATCCTGAGCAGCTTCAAAGAATTAGATATTTCAAAAGGGAGGGGGCCACAGATGGAAAACAGAAAGGCCCCAGGGCTCAACTTTACTTTCTGCTTGCTTCACTATTTCTTTTGGTATTGACATTTCTGATCTGTTTCTCCCTTCAAGTTCACCGTCTTTTTCTGCCAGACCTTCAAAACTGCTTTGCTAGGCCCTTTGGAAAAGTACAGCTTACTCTCTCAGATAGTCTGCATTGAAATTAAAAGGTCAAAATTCTGATTATTTAAGAGAAATAATAGTCTCAGAGCCATGCTAGTAAAAATGAGACTGCCTGTGCTCCGGTTTCAGAATTCTGATTTGTTTACATAAAAATTCAGCTTCACGCTGCACGTAAGTGATGAGTGAGTTTCTGACTTTTGTCAGTGAAAGCAATTTCTTTTATTTAGAAAGATGATTTTATAATTATCAAAGCCAAGTTCAAATCATGAGAGGTCTCTGAAGTCACTTTATCTTTTAAAAATATGGGCAAATGGAATCTGAAAGCATCAGTTTATTGGATATTTATGTACAAGGAAAATTCTTGGCTGAAATTCTTACATTTAGTAGTCAGTCTTTTAAACAAACATATACCCTAGTTAAAACACATGGTTTTCTCACAATAAGTCTTACTCTTCAAAATTACAGTGTGTGATTATCTCTAAAAAAAAACCGATAAAGCCTTGATTTTTACGGTTGATTAAGAAGGTTATTGCAAATCACGTCAGCTTTGAGTCTGGCATGTCTCCCAGAATTCAGACTTCCCAGGCAAAGCTCAAAGTTTCTTTTTCCATAACAAAGATTTGAATCCATAAAATCCCTTGGGAATTCTTGTGTCCAAAACAGACATTTCCCAGGGTTTCATATGGTTTTCTGGAAAGCTCTTGACCCAACAAGTAGTTCCATATGGAGGCATCTGAGCTAATGAAACTTCATTTCCTGTGAATACATCTTACTTTAGATATTCTATTCAAGTCATTCTTTCAATAGGCATCAGTCTCTCCTTCTGTCCCATCCTGTGTCACATTGAAGGAAGCCGCAGTTATCACCAGTGAATTAACAAAGAATGTTACTTCTTATTATTATTATTTTTAGCAATCAATTTAGCAGGGCTTGTTATTATATCCTTTGGGATTTATTAGGCGACTTTGTGTAGGTTTATAGTAGAGTCTGCACAGAGTGAGTGGCAATGAGGTTTCAAGTATACCCTCTGGTTAGTAGGATAGCAGGAATATTCAAAAAAAGCAAGGTTTCTAGACAACGGAGGGCTCAACACAATAGTGATATTTTAAGTTTGAAGACCTATATCTAATTTCAGATTTGTCTGGGGGAAACAGTCTTCTTGCAGCAGTACTGTCAATGCTCCACCTAAATCCTCCTGAATCCCTTTCACTCTATCTTTGCACCCAGCCCCCAAGCTTCTGTGTGCTTTGGCTTCGAGTGATTGGCACCTGTGACTCTTTGGAGACCTGTTCTTAAGCTCCTGGACCCAGTTTGCCCTAGACCTGAGAGCTGCTCAACACGCCTGGGAGTATCCCCTCATCGCACTCCCCAGGGTGGCTCACTGCCAGTGACCAGTGATGGGGACATAAGGTGGGAGTGAGTGTAAAGCCTTGCACCCTTGCAGGGCTCTCCTGCCCCATCAGGCGAAGGCTGGGACTTGCTTTAAATCCCCAGTGTGAAACTGGGAGGTTAGGGGAGGGGACTAACTCTCACCTTAAAGGCTTACTGTAAAAATGAGATGGCATAGCATTTGTGGAAGTATTGGTAAATTGTAAAATGTCCTGACCCAAAATGACTTGTTCTGCCCATGGGGCAGGGATGTCATATATGTAGGGCTGCCTGAAGCACTGAGTTGACAATGTAAACCCTAAACTGGGCCTAGTGGATTTAAATAAAAAGGCATGAGTAGTTAACATGCAGATCAATTATTGGCTGCTTTTCCTGTAGGTCTAAAATAAATTAAAATAAATAGTGCATGCTGATAGAAACTGGGTGGAAAGACATTTTTGAGATGCCTAAAGAAACTGAGTGAAAACCTGTCAGGTTGAACCAAACTCACCTTGGAGCAATGGGATTAACTTCTTGGCTTGCTAGACCCCATTTTATGCTGGTGAAAGCCCTGATACTTTACAGAAGAATGCACATATGATAAAATTTGCGTTGTATTTCCGGGGATGCAGATCCCCACAAAATACAGTTCTTTGGTAAAGAAAACTTGCAGGACTTTGCAGCCTTTTTCATGCCATGGACCCTTTCTCAAGGATGATGTTTTTAAACTCTAAAATAAAATTCAAAGAATGTCAATGATGGTGCAATTCAGTTCTATCCACAGATCATGTTGGCATCTGCAGACAGCAAATCCAGAGCCTCTGCAGTGAGGAAAGGGAGGGGTTGAGAGCCTAACACCGTGATCTCCCTGGGACAGCTGCCTCACTCTTGACAAGGCCCTGGGCCCAGCTTAGGAGGCCTCACTTGTGCCTTCCTATCCTGATCTGTGGCTGTAGCTGTGCACTGCCACATTGGTGATGACTGGCACTGTGGACAAACTTGGAGGAAGCTTAGAGAGGTGCACATCAGAAGCATTCAGGGCTGCCAGGGACTTGACCTGAGAAAGTTCAAATGATTATAATTGGGTTTACATCCTGAGTTTGAACCAAAACAAAATAAAATAGGTAATATTTAAAAATAAATTAACCACTTGGTTGCTAAAATTTATTTAAATTAAAAGTTTTAATTTTTTAACATTAAAAATTTTCTAAACACAAAAGTTTTGATATTTTTTAGAATGTATTAGTTCAATATTTCTTAAGAGAGTTTTTTAAATGATTCATGGTTATCAAAAGTTGGGATGTTGGGTGTTGCATAGGGCATTGAGCTTTTCCTGTTATGACAGGGTGGATGGCGTGAACCCTGAAAGAAGGAACATACCACTGGGAGGGTCCAAAGACTTTGCTTTATTGAAGAAATCTCTGATATAGCATTGCATATTAGGGACCTGCTTTTTCTCGTGCAAGTGAAATATAAAATGCCATGATCACCGGCCTTCCTGGCCAGTACAACAGCAGCTTCTTGTTTCCAAATTAGTTGTTACATGAAATGCCCACAACCATCTCTCAATTGGTTTTCTTTATGTTCAGAAAATTTCCTTCTGTATCTTCACCATCAATGTCTTTGAGTGTCAGGATCTTTCCAAAAATCATCTCATATTTTCATTTCATGTAACACATTTATGTAGTGCCTACTGTGTGGTATGACTGTCTTTGCAGAGCTCATGTTCTAGAACCACACATCAACATGTCAAAAAATAAATGGTGATGTAACATGGTAACTGCTTTGACAAGTTACTAACAACATACCATAAAGGTGCAGTATTGCCCAGCACTTGATTTAACTACGAAGATATGGGAAAGACTCACTGAGAAGGAGATATTTAAATTGGATGATAAAAGATGAATAAGGACTGACAGATGAAGAATGGGGTGAGCAGTGTTCCAGGAACAGGGAATAGTGTATACTACAGCCCAGAGAGTGAGGAGCTATGTTCAATTTGGGTGCATGAAGGTGAGTAGTGGAAATGAATCTAAAAAGGTCACTTGTAGCCAGATTTTCAGCAGAATTTGGGTTTCAATTTGCAGCTATGAAAGAGCCAGCTGGATTTTTTGAACAACTCTGTCTTCCATGTGTAGGGAAGGAATTGGTGACAGATAGATTGTTGTGTTGGTTCGAAGTAACAGATGATGAGGCCTCGGACTCAGGCACTGGTAATAGGAAGATAAAGGAGATGCTGGAATTGAAAGGTATTTTCTGAGAGAATTGGTAGAATTTTGTGACCAATTTGATGTGGACGGTGAAAAAGAGAGAAGAATTGAAGTGTCAAACATCATTTAAAATGCCTACAAGTACTTTCAGACTGTTGAATTCCCACCACCTACTCACTTACCAGGTGACTTCTGGGATATATTGTCTTAAATATGATAAAACTGTATGGTTTTTCTTGGTACTTATCCTGCCTGGTGTTCTCTGAGCTCCCCGGATCTGTATATATGGTGGTGTCTGTCATTAATTTTGAAATGTTCTCAACCATTATTACTTCAAATATTTCTTCTGTTCCATTTTCTGTTTCTTCTCCTTAAGGCATTTAAATTGTGTTTATAATATACTTTTTGTCTGTTTGTTTGTTTGTTTGAGACACAGTTTCACTCTGCCACCTAGGCTGGTGTGCGGTAGCATGATCTCTGCTCACTGCAACCTCCACCTCCTGGGTTCAAATGATTCTCATGCCTTAACTTCCTGAGTAGCTGGGATTACAGACATGCGCCACCATGCCTGGCTACATTTTGTATTTTTAGTAGAGATGGGGTTTTACCGTGTTAGCCAGGCTGGTCACAAACTCCTGACTTCAAGTGATCTGCCCACTTCGATCTCCCAAAGTGCTGGGATTACAGGCATGAGCCGCAGCGCCCAGCCTATGATATACCTTTTGATACTGGCCACAGGTACTGGATATTTTGTTCTGTTTTTTTTTCCTCCATTCTTTTTTCTCTTTGCATTTCAGTTTGAGAAGTTTTATTGAATATTGAAGTTCACTGATTCTTTTCTTGGCCATGTCCAGTCAACTGGTGAGCCATCTAAGGCATTCTTTATTTCTGTTACGGTATTTTTGAATTCTAGCATTCTCTTCTGCTTTTTTTCTTAGCATTTTTATCTCTCTGCTTACAATTTCCATCTGTTCTTGCATGTTACCTAATTTTTCCATGAGCACCTTTAACATACTAATCATTGTTATTTTAAAATTTCTGTCCAAGAATTGTAGCAGCTGTGTCACATCTTCATCTTGTTCTGATGATTTGTCTCTTCAAACACTGTGTGTGTGTATATTCTTTCTGTCTTTTAGAATGCCTTTTCATTTCTTGCTGAAATGCAAGCATGTTGTATTGGGTATGAAGAACTGAAACAAATAAGCCTTTCATGTGAAGGTTTATATTAATCTATGCTTAATATTTATTGTAGCTATAGGTACCAAATGTGTCAAATCCCACCCGAATTTGTGTTTTTGTCTCTTCTCCTCACTTTGGGCTTCTCTAAGTCCTCCTCCTCAGAGAGAGTCTGCATCATGCAGTGTGCTCAGCTGAAATCAACTGTCTTTATATTGGCGTCCTATTGGCATGGTAGTAAGGAGTAGGGGAAAAAGAGCATTTTATAATTTTCTGATTAAGTCTCAGTCTTTTAGAGGATCTGGGGCTCTGGCTTGTGACTTTCCTAAGTGTTTCCGCAGTGGTTTAGCCTTTATTTCCCCCATCCCCTTTCCTCCCTGATTGTAGTATTCCCAATCTATTTCCTTGAAGTCCTGGAGTTGGAAGGCATCTTCTTTGTCCAGCTGAACTAAGGTTTCAGGATTGAGACTTTACAAAGTCTCTTTACTTGGACAGTAGGCCTTTGTTATAGAGAAAAATTTAGTAGTTAATCTTCTCATCCTCTGCTAGAATCAAAGGTGATATTTTAAGAAATTTCCTGGCTGGGCACAGTGGCTCATGCCTGTAATCCCAGGCCGAGGCGGGCAGATCACCTGAGGTCAGGAGTTCGAGACTAGCCTGGCCAACATAGTGAAACCTCATCTCTACTAAAAACACAAAAATTAGCCCGGTGTGGTGGCAGGCACCTGTAATCCCAGCTATTTGGGAGGCTGAGGCAGGAGAATTGCTTGAACCCAGGAGGCAGAGGTTGCAGTGAGCTGAGACTGCACCATTGCATTCCAGCCTGGGTGACAAGAGTGAGACTCCGTCTCAAAAAAAAAAAAAAAAAAAAAAAAGAAACTTCCCACTGTAAGAACCTGGTGGAATTCCTGGAGAGAAAACCCAAGGAAGTGAGGAGGATTCCCTTAAGACTTCAGCCTCTAGGAGTTTTTCACTTTTGATAGACCATATTCATCCTCTAGCAATTCATCAACATCACCATTTAATCGTTTCTACCAGTTTATGACTCTAGTGGCTTTTGCTTCCAGGTAGGAAGATCTGGGTTGCTGTATTTCTCCAGATTCACCTGATTCTCCAGATTCTGGAGTGACAGTTTTCCCAATGAGTTCAGTTTTTTGATTGGTACAAGGAAAGTCATTGATTTTCAGTTTGCCTAGCTTTTTCTTATTGTAAGGACAGGAATGACAACTTCGAGGCTCTTTATATGTTGAAATGAAAACTGGAAGTTGATTAATTCTTTGGAGAAATGAAGTCAGGTCATCTCATCATGAATCAATGTCCTTAGTCATTCTCACAATGTCAACCCTGGGTGGCTTCTCTAGACCCTTTCTTCCTCTTAATTTCCATATGCTCTATGCTTTTGCTTTAACATTCAAACTCCTAATTTTTCCCTCCTTCCTTCCAAACGTTTTCAGTATACCCTTTCAAACTTCTATTCTCAGGCAGAAAGACTTCATTTCATCCTAAGTGTAATGATCCAGCTTTCCCAGCAACTCTCATATGAGATTGCTACTTTTTCCTCCACCTCCCACTTCCCCTGGGATGAAGTAGAGACACGGCTAGTCTGGCTTCTGAGTGCTGCTTCCAGCCCAATAGGTAAAGTCCTCATTCTTGTGAGCTCCAGGAAAGCAAAAAATGTGTTTGCCTTCATTGCTGTATCCCAGGCACATAGGTTATACTAAGAAAAATGATATGGATTTGTAAATAAGTGCAAAAGCATATGACATATTCTTTCAAAGTCATACTGGGGTATCATTTAATAAACTCACCTAGAAATCATTTAATCTTCCAGCAGAATGTATCATTGTCTGACTTTGCTCTTTACTATTAATTAAAGTCTCAGATTCTAAAAAGACCTATGTTAACGTATTGATTGTGTCCAGTCAAGATACAAATAATTTCTGTCCCATGGAAAAGATAACTTTAAAGGTTACTGTTTTTTTTTTTTCTTGCAAAACTTAACCAGTTTGTATATGTTCTAGCAATCTTTTTTTTTTGTTGTTGTTGTTTTTGAGACAGAGTCTTGCTCTGTGGCCCAGGCTGGAGTGCAGTGGCACAATCTCGGCTCACTGCAACCTCTGCCTCCCGGGTGCAAGCAATTCTCCTGCCTCCGCCTCCCAAGTAGCTAGGACCACAGGTGTGTGCCACCACACCTGACTAATTTTTTTTTTTTGTATTTTTAGTAGAGACGGGGTTTCACTGTGTTAGCCGGGATGGTCTCCATCTCTGGACCTCATAATCCGCTCACCTTGTCCTCCCAAAGTGCTAGGATAACAGGCATCAGCCACTTATTGTAGCAATTTTATTCTGGCATTCTCTTTTTAAAGGACCATATAAATCTCCTTCCCTCAAAATTTCCTTTGAGTCAGCTTTACTATATTACTGTTTGCCTTGATAATTAATGAGTCGAATAAAATCTGTGACATGTGTTTATTCTATGTTTGTTTAAGAGTCATGGTTTTCATTTTTGAAAATTACATTTTGATAATCATTACCCTAAATATTATAGTTGCCAAGTAAATAATTGTGGAATGAATGAATACATAATGAAGGAATGTCTTTTACATGCATTTTGGGAAACTTGTCCAAGTATCTCATTAAGCTAATTTTTTACCATGAAACTTCCTGCTCAGGCAGAATGGTCACTTGTAATTTTGGTAGATATTGTTAATTACCAATTTTAGAAGTTTGATGCCAATTCATAGTTCTGCTGACCATATAGGAAGGTACTCTTTCTCCATATTCTCAACCTGATGGGTTCTTCATTATCAAACTTAAATTTGTTGCCAATCTGAGAGGTGAGAATGTTTTGGTTTGCATTTTAAAATATGCAGAAGAAGCTCTTACAGTTTTATTGATCATTTGTTGAAAATTTGCATCTACTGTTTGACCTTCAATCTGCTTAGCTCTTTTTATATGTGTTTCTCCGTCTGTCTGACATTTCAGACAACTTGACCTCTCTGCTCCTATCCATCAGCTTTCTTCTGTCTTTTTTTCCTTTTCTTCCTTGCCTTAATTCCATTGTGTCATTCCAACCACTTACACATATCGTAACTGTGTGTCCCTCCCTGGTACTCACTCTGGAGCAGCACTGTTGACTCCCAGCCCCCAACCTCAATCATTTTAAAATATCTACATCTTGGCTGCTGAGTAATGCTGAAGAAAAGACAAAACCCACATGACCCAGCAGACTTTTGCCTCTACAAATTACGAGATTCCAATTTTTTTCCACAAATTTTTTAAGTTGGCAATTTGTTATTCTACAAAAAGTCCTAATAATATCTTATGTACTCTTTTAAAAAAATACCTCCAACCCTGCCACTTCTCCCCTCAGTTTTAGTAGATGACTCACTTTCTACTTCAATGAGAAAATAGACATCAACATTCTCAGTCAAAACTCCCTCTCCTACATGCCACTGCCCTGAAAGCTTATTTGCACCTGAGCCCATTCTTGCCTTCTTCCCCTTGGTTATGATGAAAGAGGTGGCCCCGAACCAGTCCCAGGCCTAACTCTCCTCTTAGGTGCAGAGTCTGTCTTCTCCCTGCTTGTTAGGAGCATCACCCATCTTCTCACCTTCCTGCCTCTTCACTTTCTCCCTTTCTACTGGATTCTTTCATTCGCATGTTAGTATACTAATCTCCTCTGTCCTCTTTGACCTCTACTTCCTCCTCCAGCTTCTGCCCTGCATCTCTCCTGGGCTCAGCTAAGCTTCCTGAAAGAATTGAAATGTTCTTTCTCCTTAGATGCTGTAAAATCTCTGGGCTCTTTAGCGTCTCCTTAGTTTCTTCTTTGCTCTTCCTCCTCTGCCCAGCCTTTACGTTTAGGGTTGCTTTCATGTTTTTCCCTCTTCCTCTTGCTTCTTCCCTCCTTAGTCTGCATATCCCACTATCAATTTTGTCTTTTCCCAAGGCTGAAATGAAAGCTATGTACTGCTGTTTACACACTCTGTCTCTCCTGGCCAGACCTCATTTTGAGATATGGAATGCTAAGTTTAACTGATTAAGGAGCATTCACATCCAGATGTCTGTGCTCCAGGCAGCTTCAACCTAACCTGCTGCAAAGAGAAACAATCCCTTCCCCACCCTCCATCACACGGTCAGAACCACCGACACTTCTATGTTCCTAAAGATAGGAATGGAGCCACATTCAACGCTCTTTCCCGAGCTATGACCCTGAATGGCATCTTTGATTCCTTGTTAGTCTTTACCCCTATTTTTAATGATGAAGTCCTCAGCCTTGGGAAAGGTTATAAGAAGACCAGGGAACCTCTTCTGTTTACTGGAACAGTTTCCAACTTGTTCAGTGAGGACCTGGATGTGGGCAAAAGTCCTACTGTGTGCACCCTCCTAGAGAACTATGCCTCTCTCCAGGAGCCAGAGTTTGCCAATTAAGGAAGCCGCTACTGCTAATGCAATTTTGTAGGTAATAAATGAACTCTGGGAATTAGTATTTTCTTGAGCTTTATTGTAAGCACTTTTTCTGGTGACTAGTTCTATTATCTGTCTGTCTGCCTATCTATAGCTATCATTTATCTATCATCTATGTATCCATCTATTTACCAACCATTACGTAGCTATTGTTTTAATAGATAATACATTTATATAATAATTTATACAATTTAATAGGTAATAAGTTCACATAATACAAGTATAAGGCACAAAAAGTTATCTAGAGTGAGAAGAAAGCCCTTATTCCACCCATGTCCTCTAACTCACTCCTTTCCCAGATAAAAACCCCTGCTGTTCGTTTCTTGTGTATCCTTTCAAGGTACAAGCACAGAAACACCATGCACACACCTATGCAGGTTTTTTTTTCATATATATATATATCTTTTTTTTTTTTTTTTTTTTGAGATGAAGTCTCACTCTGTTATCTGGGCTGGAGTGCAGTGGCATGATCTTGACTCACTGCAACCTCCGCCTCCCAAGTTCAGGCAATTCTACTGCCTCGGCCTCCGGAGTAGCTGGGACTATAGGCACACACTACCACACCTGGCTAATTTTTGTATCTTTTAGTAGAGACAGGGTTTCACCATGTTTGCCAGGCTGGTCTCAAACTCCTGACCTCAGGTGATCCACCCAGCTTGGCCTCCTAAAGTTTTGGGATTACAGGCGTGAGCCATTGTACCCAGCCTTTTTTCCTTTTCTTAATTTGCTACACAAACTGTCCTGACCTTTCTTTTTCTTCTTAATACACCTTAGATATCACTCCACATCACTGTAGAGAGTGGCCTTATTTTTAAAAATAACTGCATTGTGTTCCTCTTTATCACAATTGATCTAACTATTCCCCCATGGATAGACCTTTCTTAGTCTTTCACTATTATAAAACAATGCTGCATTTAATATAATTATATTATAATTTCTGTTTATGTTTTTAAAAAGTTCTCCTTATTTTAATTATGTTCATTATTTTAATTTGGAAAGTCTGATTTTAAGCCTTTTAGTGGTACTATCATAACTAGATTTATAATATACTTAATACTCTATTTATAGGGCAGCATCTATTTATTACCCACTATAAGCAAGAGCGAAATTAGTGTATTTTCACTTTTTGCCACTTTGCCTCTTTTTCCCACCAACAATTTTTATGCTGTCATTATCATTAGTTTTTCAAGTGCTTTCTTTTTTAAACTATATACACTTCTGTTAACTGATTTATCAGTTTTAAGTAATATCTTTTGAAGCCCTTCTTTAAACATTATTATATCATCATATTTTTATTGCTTCTCATAGCTGACCACCACTCCCACCTTTTAATAGTTATAACTATATTTATAGGTCTGCACAGTTTGTAGTTTTAAAAAATATTTGCCTTCTGCTTTATAACCATGTGCTGGTTTAACCCCAATCCTATACTTAAGGGATCCAGTGCTAAAGAACTTACTGTTCTTTTGTCATGATTTCTCCTCATCTATTCATTGGCTCAAGTTCTTCTAATATTTATTTAAGAAGAGCTCATGGGAACCGTATTATTTAAGTTCTTACATATATGTATCTGCTGTTTAATTTTTTAGAAGTTTTTATTTTGAACTCATTTTAGACTTGCAGAAAAGTTGTTTTTACAACTTTGTAACATTAGATTTCCTTAATGTAAACATTTCACAAAATTAGAGCACAATTACTCAAACCAGAAAATTAGCTTTGGTACAATACTATTCACTATAGACTTTATTTGAATTTCACCAGTTTTTAAATTAATATCCCTTTGTTTTCTGCATCAAGATCCTATCAAGGATTTCTCATTGTGTTTACTCCTCATTTTTCCATAGTCTTCTCCAGTCTGTGGCAGTTTCTCATGACCTTGACACTTTGGAAGGGCAGTGATCATTTATTTTATAGAATATTCTCTAGTTTGGATTTATCCCTGCTGTCTTTGACTAGAGGTGCATGTTCTGGGTCCTGCCTTCTTCCCTGATCAAGTAGAAGGCCACTGTCTTCCAACCCTCTTACCTTCTGTGCAGAAGTCTGAGGCCAGACAGCTATGTTGTTGTTATCTTTAATGAGGTTCTTCCTAGATGGGCATGCAGAGAAGCCTAGGAATCATATGGCCTTCATTTTCCTTCTCCTGGTGTGACCCAGAGCGGCAGCTGTAGGGCTACCCGATGGCATGGCTGTAGCAATGCAGGGTTTGTTTAGTCCTTCTTCAGCCCTGCCTCCCTCACAGTCGGCGCCAAAGGACCTTATAGGAGATTGTACAGCAGGAACCCCGCACTGTTGCAGTTGCATAGCAGGGATCCTGTGTTTATCTCTCAGGTTCCACCTACTCTGGAGGTGCTGGTGCTTTGCCAGGTTGGCTTCAGATGTGCTGGGCACCTCTTCATTCAGTATCTGACTTGGTGCTCAAGTTTTACTGTACTTGGCAGCCATCTTCATATGCACTTGTGTCTTTGTGACAGATATTTACTTATTTCATTAATGTCACATTCACGATTTTGTTTCTCCTCCTCTTTGAAGTCTTCTGGTGTTTTAAGAGAGAAGAGGGCATTAAAGTCTTACCCTTTTATTTTCAATGTGGAAGTTGCCATTGCATGCCTGTTGATGGGTAGGTCACCAGCCCTGAGGTCCTCTAAGGTGGGTGTCTTATGTCAGAGGTGGAAGCAAGCTGAGGCAAAGGCCCTTTAGAGAAGGTGGGTTATTCAGAGCCCCTCATCACATACTACTTTTGCCTTGATGAGGACTTCCGGAGCCTACTCATGGAACCTGCTTCATTAATGACTGACCTTGACCTGTCTATAACATGCAATCACTTGCCCTACAAAGAACCCCAAATACAAAGTGTGGCAGGTGAGCCTCAACATTGATCTGTCTTTCCGTCAACAATAACTGCCCTTGGTTTTCTAATTAAGCCGTTTAGAGTACGAGTGACTTAGCTGCCTTTCTTTATGAAGTGGAAAATAGATTTGTAAGTTATATTCCCTGAAGTTGTTGTTTTGCATCCCATATGGAACCTTGGTTCCCCACTGTCACTTCCTCAGGAAACATACATTACTGAGGGCCCCACTGGGAGTTGAGTGCATTTTTCTACATACACAAAACTGAAAATGGGGTTAATTTTCAATGAAACTATGCTTTATTTAGTATGTTACTTCTGGCTCATCGTGAGTTAGCTAGGCTTTGTGGCCTTGCCTTGGAACACACCAAGCGCAAGGCTATTTCCATGTGGAAGTATACTCCAGCTCCAAATTACTGCCTTAACACACTAACCGGTTAATTGCACAACCTGTTTCTATGTTAGACTCTGCCTACGTGGTGAGAGAGTACTAACGCGCTTGCAGAACACTCCAGCTCACCCTCAGCTGGCAATATTAGCACAAGAAATCTCTTGAGCATAAGCACCAGATATAGCCAAGGAGAGTAGTGGAGGTGACAGAATCTGATGAGCTGGGCATATGTAGATTTTAAGGGGCTTCCCTGTTAGTTGATTGTCCAAGCAGAAGATTTGAAAACCATTTCTTGTATTAGTAAAGGACGAAGCATAAGCAATATAAAATTCAAAGGTTTGCTTATTTCTATATCATGAGTGGGAGATGAGCGCTGGGAAAATTTGGAGGATGGAGATCTTTGAACTTAGCACTTTCTTTATTATTTCCATCTGAAATTGGAGGTTAAAACTAAGTGTTATTTTAAAATTAGCTGGAAGGTCTGGAAGATAGGCATGTGAAGCTACATCAATTAGAAACTTGCAAAGGAAGAAAAGATGTTACTTTCCTTACATTCTCTTCATCCTGTAGACTCTGTCTGATCTTATTTACACAGGTTTTAACTTCTGGAAACATTATAATTTTAGTCCATTTAGACCTGTACGTTTTCTACTACTGGATATTCACCATCACAATGGTTTCTTGAGCTCTCAATTAAACATACACATTCTGACTTTGCAAACTCCCTGTTTGATGTACTCTCAAAAGATGGAAATGGATCATTAATGATTTATTTTCAGTTTAAAAAGTAGCAGATAGCATAATACTTTCATGAATATTTAAACTTAATGTAAGTGTGCTGTATCAATTGTGTCCTGAGACCTTATTAAAAGTAAAGCATTCCTATTTCAAGTGCAAACAAATTTAGAACATATATAGTGTTTAGTGAAAATAATTACATGCACACATGCTCTACTATGCCATCTTGAGGAGAGGGTGGCATTCAACATTCTGCTCCTGAGATGTTTGACTCAGTAAACCGCTGTCCACAGTGTCCCTGTAAAACACAACAATATGCTTCTCATCAGCTGCTCTGATTCGAGCCTTAAGAATAAAAGATTGTCAACTACCCAAGTTGCTGTGCCACAACATAATGTGCAGATGGTCAGGCTCAGTAGGAAGCAGCTGGGAGAGGCCAGTGGGGCTCTGGAGAGCCCAGAGGTCTTGGAGAGGGACCTGCATGGTATCATGGGGAAGAAAGAAAAAAGTTCTAGACTCTTCCAATTTTGTTGGATCAGTATACTTCATTTATTTATTTATTTTATTTATTTATTGAAACAGGGTCTCACTCTATTGCCCAGGCAGGAGTTCAGTTGCAGGATCTCAGCTCACTGCAACCTCTGTCTCCCAGGCTCAAGTGATCCCCTAACCTCAGCCTCCCAAGTAGCTGGGACCACAGGTGGGTGAGCAACCACACCTAGCTAATTTATTTTGGTAGAGATGAGGTTTCACTATGTTGCCAGGCTGGTCTCAACCTCCTGAGCTCAAGCGACCCACTCGCCTTGGCCTCCCAAAATGTTGGGATTACAGGCGTGAGCCACCATGCCCAGCCACAACTTTTTAACATGTTTTATATATATAGGATTCCATATTGTGTGTGTGTGTGTGTGTGTATGTGAAAGCAGGATTTTGCTGCAAAAAAGATTTAAATGGAAAACACTCAACCTAGATCATGTAGCAGTTGTACCTGAGTCGGCATCTGATGACTGATGGCTGAGCAGAGGATTGGCCAAGCAGGCAGCTGTCCCAGGTCCTAGATGACCAGGGGCCAAGGACATGGTACTTGGTGTCAGAGAGCTGGGATGAGGGCAGGGTGGGCTGGGATGGTGTGTGAGCTCACAAGAAGGAGCTCAGGGAAATTCTAAAGGCAGCAGCTGGGAGTAAAGCTGGAAGCTAAATTGAAGGAGACAAGTCAGTGAAATTTTCAGTCTAAAGAGATGGGTCAGTGTAAAAATAAGTCAACAGGATGAAAATAAACACCAGACCAAATTGGCTCAGAACAGAGGCCAGAGGATGAATGTAGATCCACATCACAATGAGACAGTCTGTAGCCACAAGCAGGGCAAGAGTATCCATCAGGCACAGCAGGTGCAGGGGCAGGCAACCAATATACTTTAGGGGCCTGTAGATATGTTTTGTTTTTAATTGTAAGAAAAGAAAGAATATAATCCAGTCTGGAATATTGTCTTTTTACCAATGCAATCATAAAATTTAATTGTTGATATTTTGAAGAAGGAAGGTGTCCATAAAGGCAAAAGTGTCCAAGGTCTCAAAAGTCATGTAGCCTCAACCACAGGAACTTTTAATAGAATCTCTAAGGACTTGTCCATAACTCGGGAGGCAGCTAGTAAGGGCATCCAGGTAACCAGAGAGCAGGAGAGAAACTGGGAAGATAGTTAACTAGAGCCCTGGGCAAACAGGACAAAAGGTTGTGCAGGTGAGGTATTCTCACCTTAGCTGGATGGAGAAAGCTTCAGGATGGGGAGAAGGTGGAGAGACCCTCATCAATTAAACTATGCAGTGCAATGGGTAGAATAATGTGGCATGTCTTGAGACGGCTAATCATCACCTGCTTAACTATTATGAGGGACACAGTGTGAGGGCCTCACTTAGAAGAAAATGCCTCTGACAACGTGAACAGCTGTCCCAATTAGCTTGATGCTGTGCAGTTTCCTGGGGTTCAGGACTTCAGTTCTCAAACTAGGACTGTCTCATCCTACATAACAACCTAGAATACTCTACTAGCCTGACATTAGACTACCTGCAAAATCTTCCTAGGAAGTCTCAGGTAATTTTTCTAAACCAGTAATTATCAAATTTGAGTGCATCCTAATTTCCTGGCAGGTTTGTTTAAAGAGAACAGTGGGCTTGTCCCCAGAGTTTGGGATTTAATAATCTTGAGGTGGAACCTAAGAATTTGCATTTCTAACAAGTTCCCAAATGATGCTGATGCTGCTAATTCCAAGACCACACTTTCAGAACCTCTGGTGTAAACCGCGTAAGTTTCCCCCACAGACTCAGTAGAGTGAAGGCTGGAGCCGTGTCTCTCTTGCTTACTGCATCCTTAGAGCAAGCACAAAACAGTGCCTGATAATTGTTAAAGAACCCAGACCTGAGTGCCCAGAAGGAACCCAATCATTCAGACTTTTAATTAGAGAGGTCACTTATCGTGTCTTTAGAAAAAAAAGGGTTGCTGCTTTTTTGTTAAACAATTTCAGATACTTTATGTCTGAACATTCAGGTTTTTCCTTGGGAGCTATGTCTGCTCAAGTATTTGCTTTGGAATTTGAACCAGACTTCAGTAGGGAGCCCTGGGTCTGCTTTTTCAGTTCATTTTCATTGCAGTAAGAATATCGTGAAAAGGAATCATGGTAGGCATGGGTTAGATTTTTGGTCATCTAAAAATAAATGTCGTTTTAAACTGACTAAGCTAGATTTTGAGGAAATGTGCTGTCAGGTCATTTTGATTGCCTTGTTCTGTCCATGAGTTTTGATAATATCCTGGAGAAAATGTATATTCCCATCTTGAGACATCTGGAGCACAATAGAGTCCTTGTCCTGGGCTTTGGAATTGGGGAGGCATAGTTTCTTTTTGGGCAGTCTGGGTGTGAGGCCCTAGACTTTGAGATGTGCAGATACCTATGATTTCTAATGGTGAGTTTAACTCTTTCCCAAATACTAAGGCTTTTGGCATCTAGGCAGAGATTCTGATTTGGAGTTTGAGCTTTAGGAGAAGCTATTTCTAATAGTGTTTGATTAATCAATTAGTCCATTTATTGAGCTTCTACCACATGTCATCTAGTGTTCTAGATGGTAGGACTCTAGCAGTGAACAAGAAAAGATACACTTCCAGCCCTATTCTAGTGGTAGAGAGATAAAATATACATGAGAATGTAATAATGTATGAAGTAGTGATAACTGCTAGAGGAAAATAAAGCAGGAGAAGGAGGAGGATGGGTCACTGTTATAGGATATTCCTCCTTGAGGAGATGACATTTGAACAGAGACCCGGATGTAGTGAGTGAGAAAGTGGACCCTGCAAATTCCTAGGGTCAGGGAGCTGCAGGCGAAAGAATCAGTGAATTCATAGACCCTTGGGCAGAATTGGGTCTATGAGCTTAGCTCTAAAATGCCCTGCATGGAGTTCAGGGTTGAAGAGAGGTAGAGGGAAAGTGGGAAAAGGTAAAGAGAAGTAGCCAGGAGTCATGTCATGTAGGGACTGGGAGATCATAGTAAGGACTTTGGAATTCCTTGAAAGCGGGATGGGTGGCCGGGTGCGGTGGCTCATGTCTGTAATCCCAGCACTTTCGGAGGCTGAGGTGGGCAGATCACAAGGTCAAGAGTTCAAGACCAGGCTGGCCAAGATGGTGAAATCTCATCTCTACTATAAAAAAAAAATACAAAAAAATTAGCCAGGCATGGTGGCGGGAGCCTGTAATCCCAGCTACTCAGGAGGCTGAGGCAGAGAATTGCTTGCACCTGGGAGGCGGAGGTTGCAGTGAGCCAAGATCGCGCCACTGCACTCCAGCCTGGGCAACAGAGCCAGAGCAAGACTCCGTTTCAAAAAAAAAAAAAAAAAAAAAAAAAAAAAAAGAAAGTGTGATGTGAAGCCATGTGTCCACATAAGTGGAACAGATTGTGTATTACACAATCATGTCATCATTTTAAATTCTGAGTTATGGCATTGCAGGAACTTAAGAAATGAATGGGGTGTTATTCCTGCCCCCATGGAGTCTATAATCTAGTAATGTGGATTTCAGGAAAAATTAAACAGATTATATCTTCTGTCACTTTAAGTGATGTATTTTATGGTCCTGGGTTATCGGGAGTAAGAAAAATTGACATGGCCAGAGGACAAAAATGGAACCAATTTTGTGTAAAACAAAAAATTATAATTGTTAGAAAAAGTAATACTTAACTTTATTAATTTGATTCTAAAACATGGGTTAATTCCATCACGAACAGTCAGTATTGTAAACTGGTAAGGGTAAATGCAGAGTACTTTTGCCGCTTTTCCTCATTTTCTCTCAGGTGACAGGCATTGCTGGTCAATTACACGACCCTCCTCTTCTTATGGGCATTTTCAAAGTCCTCTTCAACCCAGGAATCTAAGCAGCATCTAGCCATCAGCTAGAGTTCAGTGCATGGGCACATTTATAGACATATTTACTATCTGGTGAAGTAACTGGAGACAGGGGCTAAACTGACCACTTTCAAGAGGTTGTATATGCCACTGCATCTATGAATCTGTCATTTCAACAGAAATCAATCAATTCAGTGAAAATGTGCAGCCAATTGTTTGGTGTTGGGTGTAGAAAAGTAGTTCATTTTCTTTTGCCCCTGTGTACATAAAAAGAGAAGTAGATGAAATTTGAAGAAAAGACAAGAAGGTAGAAGAAATTTTTTGAGAGTCAATTCTAGCATTTCCAGAAGTTGGCTTTAAAAGCTCACTAATATTCCAATTAGAATATTCCAAGACGAACACAAAGTTATATCTTGATTATATAACCTTCAGTGAGGAAAGCATGGTATCTTCTAGAAATTAGATTTGTTGTTGTATTTATTGTTCAGTGTTCTATCTTGAGCTATGACAATATATACATTACATAAATTAATATATTTAATATATTCACTCCTTCATAATCAGGATAAATATATTCAGCTAGATAGATGACTAATTTATTCATCTTTGCTCAAAATAGACTTTCAGGTCATTAGGTGTCATACAGCTAAGAAGAAAGGGAAATTAATTGGAGAAAGCACTATTTAAGGAAATCCTGCAGAGCCTGAGGCAGGTGCTCAGTAATTGCAGAGATGGTAAGGATTAACCCGTCATAATCTGTCTTTATTTTTCAGTAATAAGAGCCTTCATTTGTCAATCAGTAGTAGTGCTCAAATTTTTAATTAGTTTCAGAGTTGAATTTATAAAGAAAATATTTCCTTAAAGTTTTTACAATCTATTACTTAAAGGAGCATTAAGCTATTATTTTACCATCTATTACTAATAACCAAAAGCTTGTCCTTGAAAGTATCTATTTGAATATAAAACTATATTTAATGCAAATGATAAACTACACAGATGTCCTCTGTATCCTGGGAGTCCGTAAGAGTCTTACGTTTCCACCATAAGGACCTTGTCTTATCTCTTGTCTTATGCCCTGGTTTTGTTTGTGTAGCTGACCTGTTGGATGCAGTGACAGGTGGGGAGTTAAATAAAATCAATGTCCTGAACTGTTGTGTTCTAAATTTCTCTTGGAAGTATAAGAAAATTGCTCTCTTCCAGAGTCTACCCTGTCCAATTATTGTTCTAAAAAGAATTTTTGGCATAAAATATTACAATTGTAATCTGCATGATGAGTTTTTGATTCCTGTTTCATTTTCTAATTTGTAAGTAGAAACAACAAAGTGGCAAAGTTTGCCAGCTGATTATTTCCTGCTTCCTTTCTCTTTTGAAGATAAAGCCAATGGTGTGTGTGTGTGTGTGTGTGTGTGTGTGTGTGTGTGTGATGACAGGAAGAGAGTACTAACTTAAGTAACTTTAGAAATAAGTGGAGCCTGTAAGACTCAAGGCAGAAGAAACAATATGTAAGCCTTGTAATCTAGTTGATAACGGTGTTTCCCATTGGGTAACAGATTAATAATTCTGATTACTACACGTGTGTACTGGAATTGGACAGTTAAGTAAACAGGTGACAGATGGTGGGTGCCAACTTCTTTTTCACTGTTGGAGTGGAAGATATAGGTGGAGGAGGCCACAATGATCTGTGGTATAATGGATAAGAGTTGGGGACATCAGTATGAACTCATATTTAGCTCAATATAGATACAGATGGTTACATATAGAAATGCCTACAGATATGTGTATATGCACAGATTACTATGCACAAATATATTTCCTTGCCCTGTCAGCTGAGAAGCAGTGAATACCCCAGAAGCAAGAAGCACACTTAGAGCTCGGATCTTTGTTTCTAATACCATTCACAAGTGAAAGGACAATGGCAGGCTCAAGGATTCGGGCAGGAAATAAGCAAGATAATTCTGCAGCATCTTGTAGTGCCATAAAGTAAGAAATTGCTAAAATAAAACAAAAGAAAAACCACCCTTTACACACACACAATGATGGGAATATGTCAAAAGGACAAAAAGCCAATTGGAAGAGCTTCCACTGGTCAAAGCTGGAAGTCTTTGTACAAAAAAAATAAGTAAAGTAATATTGGATTGTAACCCAAAGTAGAAAATAAATGTCCATGAGTCCATATTGATAAATAAAACAAATGGATGAGGGGAATAAATTAATCTCCTTTACAGAAGAATTCAAAAGAATTACCGTATATACCTTGCACTCAAGAAGGTAGAGCATGACTCTCTATTCCTACAATGTGGGCTGCACATAGTGACTTCCTTCTAAAGGGCACGTTATGGAAAGGGGAGAAAGCTAGGGTAACTTTACAGTGAGAAACCTGACAAACCTATCTTATTCATGTATTCAAAGTCAACATCACCAGTGATGAACCATGTTGACAGGTATGTACCCGCGATATAGTATTATAAAAATGGCACTTTAATCTCTGTGATCCTCCTCCCCAAAATACATAATCCCAGTCTAATTAAAAAAACAAGCAAACAAACAAACATCAGATGAATCGCAACTGAGGAACAGTCTACAAAATGCCTGACTGGTACTCCTCAAAACTTCAAGGTCATCAAAACTAAGAGAAGTCTGAGAAACTGTCACAGCCAAGAGGAGCCTAAGGAGACATGACAACTAAATGCAATTTGGTGTCCTGGAGGGGATCCTGGAAGTGAAAGAGGACATTAGGCAAAAGCTAAGGAAGTCTGAGTAAAGTCTGAATTTTAATTGACAGTAATGTATCAAAAATGTACCATACTACTGTACTAATAATAGAGAAAACGGGGTGGGGTGTATGGGAACTCTGTGATATCTCTGCAATTTTTCTGTAAATTTACAACTGTACTAAAATAAAAAAAAATTAAAAATGAATACAATTAAAACTTGCAAATCTAATTCAAATGCTTTATTAAACGTGAATGGATAGTCTTCTGTTTTCATGTGCTTTGTCCTAATGTAATTGGTAAAGTACAAGAAATTAAAAGAGAATGGAACCCTTAATTACTTACTGAAAGTTATGTCTGGCTGCCTTTTCTATGTCCTCTGTAAAGCAATTAAGAACATTTTAAACTAAAGGTTAGCTCTGAAAGGAACATTGTACATGAAAATCAGGACAAATATTTTCTCCCGTGTTTCCCCACTCCGGCTGTAAAACAATATCATCACCTAATAAAAATATTTTTATCTACTATTATCCCAAATGAATATTCTTTAATTATGTAGTAAATTAATGCAGGCTATGTTTGGGTTATCCTCCTATAGCTGTGGGGTTTAAATTGGCAAACTGCATGCTTATGAATGCTGGAAAGAAAATGTTCAAAATACGTAATAATGGTTTGTAAAACTGTAGACAAAAATGGTCTTTCTGAAATTAATTATATATGTAGATATAGTCAGAAGTTTCATTGGCTTTTGCTAGATAGTATAACATACACAAAGTTTCTTTAAATGTAAGGTTGATGGTTTCATTATCAAACATATAAACCGGAATTCCATATTCTTTTTTCCCAATGCCTATTATTTTGGAACATTTTGAAAGGTGATGTTGTGTACAGAAACATAAATGGTTGTAATTTAAGGCACTGTATGCAGTTTGACAAATAGATTTTGACAATGGTACTCCATCAATATTTTACTGAGAATGAAAAATGAACATCAGACCATTTTATCTATTCTCTCTAGAGCCTAGTAACCTATTGCTTTGCTCCAAGGGAAGTCCTAGCTCTTCTAAAGAATATGGTCTTTTTTAACCTCTCAGGGAAACTTCAGTGCCATCTGTCCACTTTTTATTTATGCTTTAATAAAAGCCTTCTAGTCAATCTAAGGCTGGTGGTACTTAGCTAGGGCAAAGCTCAGTGAATAATGGTCCCTTTCAGGACACTCCATTTTGATTTCAACCGAATGGATAATGATGTCTGACATGTGCCCTGCCAGGAGGAATGAAGGTTATCCTCAAGCATCAGCCTGTCCGTGGCCTTCCCGTCAGGGCACAGCTACATCCTCCATCACCTCTGTGGCTCGAAAAAGCCCGGGACCGGGAGTCCGGGCTGTAAAATGACTCTACAGCCGGCCGCTCACTCGCTGCGTCATTTGCATAAATCCCTCCACTGCTCTGGATCTAATTCTCTCACCTGAAAAAAGAGCAACCCCCCACCTCCCAAGAAAATTAGTTTCCTTCCTTCTCAGATTCTAATGGCCTCATGGTACAAATCTAGGTTTAGGAATCATAAATCGTATGCCATTCTTCCTTGTGATGCATTTGGGAAGGAATTTTGAATACAACTGATGGGAGTGCAGTGATGTGTGCAACCGACAGACAGGCAAGTGCGAATCTCATTAGTGTTAAATTGTTATGTAAAATCATGATCAAAAGTGACATGCTTGTTTTTCCTGGCTTGCCAAAAAAACTAATATAAAAATCTTAACCTTAAACCTTGAGAGGTACTTAACGCAGTCTTGAAAAGACATTGCTTGTAAGTGAAGGATGGAGATTAAACAGTTATTGCTGATTATTTCTAATGATACTCCCAGATATGTTTTAAATGTTACCTACTGGTACTATATCCATAGCCACAATTTCCTAGGCAATCAAGTTGATGATGATTTTATAGAATCTTAGATTCTGTGTCTTAGTGAGGAACACAAGACAGATCTGAAAGATGCATCCTATTAATTTAAAATTTTTCTTAGAGACTAATTTTAGCTATGTTATATATATCTACAGTGATGCTCCGCATAATGACGTTTTGGTCAACGATGGAACGCATATGTGGAGGTGGTCCCATCAGATTATAATGGAGGTGAAAAATTTCTATCACCTAATGAGGTCATAGCCACTGTAACATCTAGTGCAACGCACTACTCATGTGTTTGTGGTGATGCTGGTGTAAACAAACGTACCTACATAAAAGTACAGTGCACTGTTACAGACAGTACATAATACTTGATAATGAAAATAAATAAATGTGTTACTGGTTTATATATTTACCATACTATACTTTTTATCACTATTTTAGAGCGTGATCCTTGTACTTGTATGAAAAAAGTTAACTGTGAAACAGCCTCAGGCAGGTCCTCCAGGCAGTATCCAGAGGAAGGCATTGCTATCACAGAGATGACAGCTCCATGCCTGTTATTGCCCCTGAAGACTTTCCAGTGGGACAGGATGTGGTGGTGGAAGACAGTGATATTGATGATCCTGACCCTGTGTTGGCCTATGATAATGTAAGTGTTTGTGACTTAGTTTTTTAAGCAAAAAAAGCCTATAGAATAAGGATATTAAAAAAGAAAATATTTTTGTACAACTGTACAATGTGTTTGTGCTTTAAGCTAAGAGTTATTACAACAGTCAAAAAGTTAAAAAAAATCAACAAACATAATATAAAAAAGTTGTAGTCAGCTAAAGTTAATTTATTATTGAAGAAATAAAATTGTTTTTACAAATTCAGTGTAGCCTAAGTGTACAGTGTTTATAATGTACAGTAGTGTACAGTACTGTCCTAGACCTTCACATTCACTCACCGTTCACACACTGACTTACCTAGAGTAGCGTTCAGTCTTGGAAGCTCGATTCTTGATAAGTGCCCTATACAGATGTACCATTTTTATCTTGTATATTGTATTTTTACTGAACCTTCTCTTTTTTTTGTTTCTTTCTTTCTTTTTTTTTTTTTTTTAGGGATCTCAATATGTTGGCCAAGCTGGTCTCGAAATCCTAGCCTCAAGCAATCCTCTAGCCTCGGCCTCCAAAAGCGGTGGAATTACAGGCATGGGACACCATGCCTTGCCTTTACCTTTTCTACATTTAGATATGTTTGGACACAAAAATGCCCCTGGGTTACAATGGCCTACTGTATTCAGTACAGTAACATGCTGTGCAGGTTTGTGGCATAGGAGCAATAGGTTATACTACAGCTATAGGCTATAGGCCTAGGTGTGTAGTGTGGCTTTGCCATTTGGGTTTGTGTAAGTGCATTCTATGATGTTTGCACAATAACCACAAAATCACTAAATGATGCATTTCGGAGACTGTATCCCCACCATTGAGTGATGCATGACTTTGTGTGTGTGTGTGCGTGTGTGTGTATATGTGTATATATCTCACTTATTAGGCATAAAAATGTTACAAATTTAGATGCTATAGATAACAGTATATCTGATACTGTATATTACTACAGATGCTGTGGGGATTAGAAAGATAAGAATGTCATGACCAACTTTTTATACCACTAAATATGAAAATAGGTGTAATATACAAATTCCTAGAGAAATATGTTACCAAATCCGACTAATATATGAATGCAATTTACCACATTAAGAAATAAAGAAAGCAAAGTTTTATGATCATCTTATAAGCTTCAGAAAAATCACTGGTCACATTCAACAATCATTCAGTATACAAACTTACAGCAAATTAGAAATGGAAAAGAACTTTCAAAACCTGATGAATGACATCTACAGAAACCTACAGCAATATCATACTCAGTGATAAGATTTTAAAATGAGGAACAAGCTGAGGATAGCCACCATCACTACTTCTAATAGACATTATTCTGAAACTTTTATTTATTGTCATAAGACAAGAAGGCAGAAATAAAGCCATGGAGAAGAAAAGAAACCCATTGTCTTTATTTGCAGATGGCATGATTATCTACATAGAAAACCCCAAATCTATGAATAAATGATTAGTATAAGAGTGTTTAACAATGTTCTCAGATGAAAGAACAATATACGAAAGTCAGTTGCATTTTAATTTGTCAGCAATAAACACAATTTTTAAAAGCTAACACTTAAAATAGCAACCACAAAAAGGATACATAGGAACACAACTAAAAAGAGCTGTGCAAGAAATTAGTTTAGAATATTATATAATGTATTGAAAGATATTAAAGAGCTCTTTCATGTTTTGAAATATGTCAGACAAACAAGAGTATATCTAACATAAATGACAATGAAAAGAATAAAATGGTATACCAACCACCAGCTTGAGAACATCAACAGTCTCTTTGAAGTGTCTCCTTGCCCTGCACTGTCCAAAAGTTTGTGTTACTCATTCCCTTGCTTTCCTTTATTCTTTAGTATGTTGCATTTATCTCTCACTATTTATTTGGTTTTGCCTGTTTTGAATTTATCTAAGTGGAATCTTATAATCAGTGACCTTCCTTGTCCAGCTATTTTGGAAATGCATCCAGAACGATCACACAGCTCTAGTACATTCACTTTCTCTAGTAGAGGGTATCTTACTCTATGAACCTGTAAACTTATTTCTGTCCAGTCAGCTCTGAGTAGATATTTGGGGTGTTGTCAGTATTTCTGCCATTAGAAACAGTTCTGCTATAAAGGTCATTCTGCATGGATTCCTGGTGAACCTGTGTAAGATTTTCTCTAGAATACATACCTAGAAAGAGAATTGTTGGGTTGAAGGGTACATAGACAATTTCACTTTACTAGCTAATGTTTTCCAAAGTTTTACCCTTTTGTGCCTCTATCACCAGTGTGTGAGAATTCCTATTTACCTTTGGCAGTACAAACACTGTCAGACTATTGACTTTTTGCCAGTCAGGTTGGTATGTGATAATATCCCATTGTGGCTATAGTTATAATATTTCCTATTGCTGCTGTAACAAATTACCACAGATTTAGTGGCTTAAAGCAGCACAAATATATAATCCTGTAGTTTTTGGAGAAATCCAAAATCATTCTCATGGGGTTAAAGTCAGGCCTTGGCAGCGCTGGTCCTTCTGGAGGCTGAGGGGAGAATCTGTCTCACCATTTTCAGCTTCTAGGTGCCACCTAGATCCCTCGGCTTGTGACCTTTCCAGTGATAATCAGTGGATAATCCAAAGTCATCTTCCTATATCAAGATCCTAACTTAATCACATTAGTAAAGTTTCTTTTGTCTTGTAAAGGGATATATTCAAGGTTCTGGGGATTAGAACGAGGACTTCCTGGGAAGGCCATCACTCTGTCAACTGCAGGAGTTTTAATAACATTTTGTGAAATGCCTTCCCAGTACCTCTCCCTTTAGATTTCCACCTTACTCAGCAAAACACATTTTCTCTGCTAAAAGATATCTTTTTTGCTGGAAGGGCACATTATTTTGATTTGGTGCTTATTTTTATTTTTGTGTTAAACAGATATTTCGGATTATTTTTTTCTCTACCAGACATTGCTAGGACTTTAGTCCCTATTTTTCTACATCTCAATCTAGTGAAGCTACCAGCCAGGCACTGCCTGTAGCATCCACCACCCCACCTCTGACAGAAGCCAGCCAACATCTCTAAAACCATATCTACCTGGATTTTCTCAGTTATATGTAGATTTATCCCTGAGTTCACTTTATCTTTCCTTGGACATTTATGTTTGAGCTGAAAAATAATTGGCCCTCTCTCCCTTAAACTCCTATCTTTAAAGAACTGAGTGTGAATTTATGTTTTGGATGACTTATCTAGGAGGCAAAGAGCATTGCTGTTCTCTTTGTCCTAAACTTTATTTTTTTAACCTGTCCAATCATACAGGTTATAAGCATATTGACTAAAAACTGAAAAATAGGACTCATTAAAGCTAAGAATTTATGTTCATCAAAAGACACTGTAGGAAGAGTAAATAGGTAAGAAAATTGGGTAAAACATTTGCAATACCTGTACTTCATATTCACATTTCACATACAGAAAGAATGCTTATAAGTGAATATAAGGTAGGTTTTCCAATGAAAAAGTGGCCAAATGACATGAACAGAGACTTTATAAGAGAACATATCCCAATGACTTCTGTGCATATGAAAAGATAGGTACTCAACATCAGTTGTAATCAGGGAAATGAAAATTAAAAACATGCCCACCCACCAGAAAAATAAGAATCTTAGAAATGGTCAACATCAAGCATTAACAAGGATGATGAACTATTGGAATTTCCATTCGTTGCTAGTGGGAGTGTAAAGTGGCACAGCTATTTGGAAAAACTCATTTTCTACTAAAGTGTAACATAAACGTATCCTGTGACACAGCAATTCTAATCTGAGTTAAATATCAAATAGAAACGAGTACATTTGTCCACAAAATAACAAGAAAAAGAGTATTTGTGTATTATTTTTGACAGGCCCAGATGGAAATGATCCAAATGTCCATCAAAGGTAGAAAGGTATGTGTGTACATACATACATATGTGCTATCCATGTATACACACGTGTATGCCCACATGCATATATACATATATATGTATAGACACAACACACATATGTACTTATGTATACATGCACACATATGTATATATACACGTGCATGCTTACAGAGGTATGTATGTGTTCATTCAGCTGGCTACTTAAGATTTGTGCACTTTACTGAAACTATATATGCCACCCAAAAAGCAACAGTAGGTTCTTAAGGCAGAACTTTTGGGAAGTGGTTTTAAAGATGTTTATATATTCTTTACTACCCTTCCCTTCAAAAAGTGTATCCCAAATCTCTGCTTCTTGAGTGCAATCTGTACTTGGAGACTGGCTTTTAATGAATAGAATACGGCAGAAATGAAGTTGTGCCCCTTCTGAGACTAGGCCAGAGGGGTACATGCTGGAGCTTTCTCTTTGCTCACTCTCTTGGATCACTTACTCCGGGGGAAGCTAGCTGCCACCTTGTGAGGACACACAGTCAGTGCTTTGGAGAGACCCTGTGGCCAGGGTTGGGTCTTCTGCCAACAGCCTCAGACATAAACTGAGGATCCCTGCCAATAGCCTGTGACTGCACCATCTTAGAAGTGGGTCTTCCCACCCCAATCGAGTCTTGGACAACTGTACCTCTGCCTGACATCCTGACTGCAACCTCATGAGAGACTCCCAGTCAGATCCACTCAGCTACAACACTCTGAAATTTCTAGCTCCCAGAAATTGTGAAGTAATACAATTTTGTTGTATTAAGCTACATTTTAGGGTAATTCATTTTGTCACAGCGGATGACTAGTGCACTTCTCCACTTATGAATCAGAAGATTTGGGCAGGAAACTGTGCTTTATTTTCCTCTTCTCTACTATGGGGAATAGAACTTACCAGAAGTATGCCGTGTAAATATGACCCTACTGGAAAAATACTGATGGCATTATTCCATTCACCAGGAATTCCTTATTACTAAGTTTCCTTTGGAAGAAAACATAATTGTTTGCTCAACTTTATATCTGTCTCCATAATTTGTTAAATATGACTATGATTTAATCACCTCTTGATTTCAGATTCTAAGGTCATAACATTTATCTGGAAAACAAATAAACCAAAATACGGTGTTACAATGTCAGGCAACAGTGATCTCCAAGTGGGAGGAGGGGAGGATTTTATTCAGACCAGAAGTCATCTATGAAATATTAACTCATTCTTGTTTAAAGATGAAATCTTTATGAATAGAGTTAAAATGTATCAATATTGTTCCCCGAAATGTTTAACTCTGTTGGTCTTCTGAAGCACATCCAATAAGTTTTGGTGGCCTTTCCTTATGCTACTTTCCCTAGAGATGAATGCTCTACCATACATGGCAAAAAGTAAGTGGAGAGCTACTTTAATAAAGATTTCTTCCAAGAAATTCAGTCATAATTTCTAACAACAGCAAAATGAGACATAAGTCTCTTACATTAGAAGAATTTGGATAAAATATAAATGGAAAAGGCAAGACATGGCTTGATAAAATTAATTTCTGACGATTTAGCCTATTAAATTGAATAAATCCTCTTACATTAAATGAAGAAAACATGGAAATAGTTCAAAAGAAGAAAACACAATCTCCCCAGAGCATGACAATATAAATGGTGTATTTAAATTATATTTCAATATTTCAATGTTCTTACAGCTAGATTATATTTGTTAACACTTTGTTCATTAAGTTCTGTAGATATTTGAAGTTCTTACATCCACCAAAAGCTAGGTAATATTTTTTAAGTTAAAACTTTTTTTCATATACTTTTTAAAGTAAAAACAGATTATATTCTTGGAGTATAAAATTGTTGGTCAGGCACGGTGGCTCACGCCTGTAATTCCAGTACTTTGGGAGGCTGAGATGATAGGATCGCTTAAGGCCAGGAGTTCAAGACCAGCCTGGGCAACATAAGAAGACCCTGCCTGTACCAAAGGAAAAAAAAAGAATAGCTAGGTGTGGTGGCATGCACCTGTGGTCTCAGCTACTTGGGAGGCTGAGGTGGGAGGATCACTTGGGCCCAGGAGGTGGAGGCCACAGTGAAATGTGATTGTGCCATTGCACTCCAGCCTGGGGGACAGAGCGAGACACTGTCTCAAAAACAAAACAAAACAAAACAAAAAAAATTAACACTAGGTAATCTGAGAACTCTGGCTAATGCAGATGTACTCATTTTCCATTTCCTCTTCTATGTGTGCCTGAACTCAAGTTTGAAATACAAGCCATTAAAAAGCAGGTCAACATCCATGAGGTATGAGAACAGCTTTGATTATAGTTATTTTTGTGAAAGATGAAGATGATTTATCCTATGCTGATTATAGGTTTACCGTCCTCTCAGTGCGAGCTTTAAAATTATTCCCAACTTTATCAGTTGTGTTAAATGAAATCATGTTTGCATTTATTCTTCTTGATAAAAATTGACTGATGAAGAATAATTTTTTTAAAGGGCTGTAATGGAAAGATAATGCACATTGAAGTTAGGCCCTAAGTTAAAGCCTGCTTTTGCTGCTTTCTGAGATACCCCAGATAAGTGACTCATTCTGTGAGCATCAATTTCCCCAACTGCAAAACAGGGCTAATTAGAGTCATTTCTTTGGATAGTGAGGATTACAAACAAAACAATGTTTGCAAAGTTAATAGTGCAGTGTTTGACTAATAGAAAGTGCTTGGTAACCAGCTTTATTGTTCTTTTATCATTTATTAATATTTTAAAATAGTTTTACAATTGTTGTTACTATTTCTTATTACTACTAGTATTTCTTTGATATCAGTTTCCAAAAAAGCATATGCTAGTGATTATTTACATATTGAAAATGATTTTTATGTAGATTGGCTTTTCCTCAGGAAATGCTTTTTATTTACATGTGTGGACAAAGGAAACACATGCATAAATATCCCTGTGGGAGTGAAACCCAACTCTAGGTTGCCCCTAACCTCAACAGGTGTTTTTTTGTCCTGTAATTATATATTAGTTGGCTAAGGTTGTCATAACAAAGTGCCACAGATTGGGTGGCTTAAACAACAGAAATTTATTTTCTTAAAATTTTGAGGCTGGAAGTCAGAAATCAAGACATCAACAGGGTTGACTCCTTCTGAGGTCTCTGTTTTTGGCTTGTAGATGGCCATCTTCTCCCTGTGTCTTCACATGGTCTTCCTTCTGTATGTGTATCTGTCTGTGTCCTAATCTCCTCTTCTTAGAAATCATATTGGCTTAGGGCCTACTCTAATGATCTCATTTTACCTCAATTAGATCAAATCTCAAAATATAGTCACATTCTGAGCTGCTGAAGTATAGGACTTCAACATATGAATTTTGGAGGGAACCAGTTTAGTCCATAATGACTTCCAAGGACTGAGTGTGTTTGAACATTGGGAAAACTCATGACAGTGGCCCAAACGGGCCATTAAGAAAGGAGGTTTGGTTACGCCTGTAATCCCAGCACTTTGGGAGGCCGAAGCGGGCAGATCACGAGGTCAGGAGATTGAGACCAACACCGTGAAACCCCATCTCTACTAAAAATACAAAAAATTAGCCAGGTGTGGTGGCGGGCGCCTGTAGTCCCAGCTACTCGGGAGGCTGAAGCAGGAGAATGGCGTGAACCTGGGAGGCGGAGATTGCAGTGAGCTGAAAGCACTCCACTGCACTCCAGCCTGGGCGACAAAGCAAGACTCTATCTCAAAAAAAAAAAAAAAAAAAGGAAAGGAGGTTTGGTTTCAGGCAGAGTTTTGTTTACTCATGAGGGTGGCGGATGGAGGGTAGTTTAAGGGGATAAAGAGGAGGGTTTGCGAGGCTGGATTTGGCTGCAGAAGCTAATCAAAAAGGGTTTGCCTGACTGTATGGGGCAGTCTTGTTCAAGTGACTTCTTTATTTAAATAGTGGAGTAGAATTTTGTAATTCAGTTTGATGTTGAATTCTGTATCATTTAGCTGATACCGTGTAACAAGCCAGCCTAAAATTAGCAGCTTAAAGTAATAGTTTTTTCCCTGAGATTTGACTTTGTGTCCTTTCTGGTTTGGGTTGACTTAAATGATCTTTGTTGGACTCTGTAGTCAGCTGGAGTCTGGATGATCTAAGGTGGCTTCACTCTCTTGCCTGATGGCTGGCAGGCTGATGGGCTGAGTATCTTGGTTTTTTCCAATGTGACCTTACATCCTCAGGCAGGGAGCTCAGGCTCACTTGCATGGTAGTTACAATGTTTCAGCTGCACCAAGAGAGCAAGCCTCAGCCCACAGGTGCTTTCCAGGCCTCAGCTGGTGTCACACTTACAAAACTTCATTTCCCAAAACAAATTTCCTGACAAAGTAAGTGGAAGTGATTTTTTGTTTTTGTTTTTGAGACGGAGTCTTGCTCTATCACCCAGGCTGGAGTGCAGTGGCGCGATCTCGGCTCAGTGCAACCTCCACCTCCCGGGTTCATGGCATTCATCTGCCTGCCTCGGCCTCCCAAGTAGCTGGGATTACAGGCGCCCAAAATTGGTAATCATTTTTAAAGAAAAATACAACTTACCAAAATTGATTTGGTAGAGCCAGATAGTCTAAACCAGCAGTCCCTACCCTTTTCGGCACCAGGGACCAATTTCATGGAAGACAATTTTTCCACAGACTGGGAGTAAGGGGGTTGGAATAGTTTGGCGATGAAACTGTTCTACCTCAGATCATCAGGCATAAGGTTATCATAAGGAGCGCACAACCTAGATCCCTCACATGCGTAGTTCACAGTAGGGTTTGTGCTCCTATGAGAATCTAATGCTGCAGCTGATCTGACAGAGGGTGGAGCTCAGGTGGTAAAGCTTGGTTGCCACTCACCTCCTGCTGTGTGGCCTGGTTCCTAACAGGTCGCAGACAGGTACGCCTCCAAGGCCCGGAGATCGGGGACCCCTGGTGTAAACAAACTATAGTTGAACCTTGAACAACACAGAGGTTAGGAGCACCAACCTTTCTGTGAAGTCTAAAACTTGTGTATAACTTTTGACTCTTCCAAGACTTAACTACTATTGACTGGAAGTCTTACTGGTAACATAAACAGTCAATTAACACATAAATTGTATGTTGTATGTATAATATATCACGTTCTTACAATCAAGTAAGCCAGAGAAAAGAAAATGTTATCAAGAAAATTATAAGGAAGAGAAAATATATGTACTATTCATTAAGTGGAAGTGAATTATCATAAAGATCTCTTTCCTTGTCATCTTCATGTTGAGCAGGCTGAGAAGGAGGAAGAAGAGGAGGGGTTGGTCTTACTGTCTCACGGGTGACAGAGGTGGAAGAAAATCTGCATGTAAGGAGACCCGTGAAGTTCAAGCCCTGTTGCTCCAGAGTTAACTGTAATTATACTAGAACAAACAAAGAAGTTAGTTAAAGAGCCCCTTGCCCCCAGATTCACCATTATGACTTTGTAGAGTATATGTATTAAACTGTTAAAACAAGATAAGCTCAATTCTATTCAAACTAGAGTATTAAAATACATGGGAAATTTCTAAATTCTTTCTGTAAAGTGAGTATAATTGTGCTGCCTAGCATAAGATGGCAACATAAAAGAAATCACACACCAACTTCGCTTACTAGCATTGACATAAAATCTTAAATAAGACATCAGCAAATGTGATCCAACAGTATGTGGAAAATTAAGAAACTGTGACCAAGAGAGGTTTATTCCAGAAATGCATGGGTAGATCAATAGTGGGCAATTCATTTGTGTGATCCATTATATTATTAGAGTTCAGGAGATAAATAATATGGATTTCTTCATAGATACAGAAAACGCACTTGGCAGAACTCAACACCCATTCATATGAAAAAGACTAAATGGAGTAGAAATTAATGAATACTTCCTTAACTTATAATATGCATGGTGTGTGTGGGTATGGGATATGTGTGTATTTCCTCTTCAAAGTCTTCATCCTACTTAATCGAGAAATGCTAGAGGCTTTCTTGTTAAACTCAGGAGAATGATAAGGATCCTTACTATTCCTTCTTTTATTTTAAATTATGTTAGAAGAATTACTCAGTGCAATTAGATAAAAATAGAGCAAGTAACAGCATAATAATTGGAAAGGAAAAGGTAGAACTGTCTCTACTTGCAGATGATGTGATTATATATTTGGAAAACCTCAAAGAGTAAAATGAATAGTGACTTTACATCATAAGGTAATTTAGTAAGAAAATTTTGTAAAGTAGCAGGTTACAAAAAGCCTCATATATTCATATAGTCAGACACAAATCAGCTAGAAAATATAATGGAATAGAAAACTTTAAGACAGCCAAACAGAAAATGTACCATGGCATTAACTTAATGAGTAATTTCAAAATTCTGTATGTGGAAAATTATAAAACACATCTGAAAGACACAAAATTAGAATTGAATAAATGGAAGGAGGAGTTTATGAGTAGAAAGGTTCAACATCATGAATATATCAGTTATTCCTAAAATGATTTATATATCTAACATAAATTGTATAAAATGCATTCAGGCTTTTTGCTGGCTTTAATTTGTAAAGAAATAAGCATGAATAGCTGGAAAATCCTGTAGGAAAGCAAGGAGTTGGGCTTTTCCCTACTAAATATTAAGAGATAATATGAAGCCTCTGTTATTAAAGTTTGGTACTGGTTCATACAGACTGAGCAATGGAACAAAATAGAACCCTTGTCACAGATTGAAGTGCATAATGACATGTAGCAGCACAACAAAGGCAGCATGTCAAACAAGGGGGTGATAGATGGAATTTCACAATGTGGTACTGGGATTGCTGAAAGGCTATGCTATTGAAAAAACAAGTCTATTTCTCATACTGAACTCTGGATAAATTGCAAAATTCAGAAGCAGTAAAAGAAAAGATTGATAAATTTGATTACATTAAAAATCACTATTGTGTGGCGATTATCCTTTAGTTAAAACAAAACAATAGAAACATAAGCAAAGGAAAAAGATAAGTGATACACTTGAAAAATATTTGCAGTATATTCACAAAATATGAATACCTCTAAAATGTAACAGCTTCTAGAAATAGAGGGGAAAAGGCCAACAACCATGATGAAAAAATATAGGCTAAAGGTACGAACATGCAGTTCAGGGAAAACAAGATATAAATGGCTCTCAGCCATATGAAAAGCATTGCTTATAACAGGGAAAATGCAATTAAAACTGCTAGAGGATATATTTTCTTACTTATTAGATTGCACAACTCCAAAAGATTAAAATATTCTGTTGGTAGATCGTCTGGAAACAGGTAACCTCATTCTTTTCTGGTAGATTGCAAAATTATACAATACTCATGAAGGAGAATTTGGCAATATCTTGCAATATCTTAGCAATAATTTGCTAATTATAAAGCATTTACCTTTTGACCTAATGGGGCCTAATTGAATAAACTAAGGCAAATTAGTTTATTTGTGCATATATTAATGGAATGAGTAATATCTCTGTATACAATTTTGAATCAATCTCTAAAATATACTTTTTATGTAAAAAAACGCAAAATGGGGAAATTTGTGTACAAAAGATTAAAATTTATATAAAAAAGAGGGAAATAAATAAATATACACACAGATATTCTTATATTGAAAGTGCAGGAGTAAGTCATAAATGGAAATTTTCAGGTTATCCCAAGTGTGAGGGAGGAAATAGAGTGGAGGAGAAGGGCATGGAATCCAGATTTCTCTGCAAATGCCCTATTTTGTACATCTGATTCTATAACAATGTAAACCTTTCGCATAACTAAAAAAGAGAATTAAATTTTAAAATGTCACCCTTAAAAACCAGAAGTAAAATGCAATAGATGAACTTAACTCTGTACAATAACCACACGGAGAGTAACTATTCAAAGTATCTTTAACAACCCTGTAATTCTACTGTCCATTTCCATGGGGATACACCCTAAGGACCAAAAGAATTGCTTCCCTCAGAAAATCATAAATGTTTGATGATAGTGCTGGTTTATTTATTTATTTTTGAGCCGGGGACTCACTCTGTTGCCAGGCTGGAGTGCAGTGGCGTGATCTCGGCTCACTGAACCTCTGTCTCCCGGGTTCAAGTGATTTTCCTGCCTCAGCCTCCCGAGTAGCTGCGACTATAGGCGCGTGCCACCATGCCCAGCTAATTTTCACATTTTTAGTAGAGATGGGGTTTCTCCATGTTGGCCAGGCTGGTCTTGATCTGTTGACCTCATGATCCGCCCGCCTCGGCCTCCCAAAAGTGCTGGGATTACAGGCGTGAGCCACTGCACCCGGCCAGTACTGGTTTATTATTCTGAAACTGTGTCTTTATAGTGTACGATGGAGCAAAGGAATTAATTAGCTTTTTTGACATTAAGAAATGAGATTTTCAGAGTATAAGAAGATGTAAAGTGGATGAGATTAAATAAGCATCTTATAGAGCTGATTTTGAATTTAAAAATTTAGTATAAATTCATGACGTATTTTATCTTAAAATATACATTTTCTAGTTTTTCCATTAAAAGAAATAAAAAAGAAGACATAACCAACTCAGACACAATGAGCACCCCTAGGATGCACATTTGTGCTGAAAGAACTAAGGTGTCTTGGAGAATGGCAGAGTCCAGGCATAGGGTGGGAACTGAATCAGTGGTGATTTACATTTGGCCACAGACCAGGCAGCCCTCTTGCTGTCCTTGCTACTGAGTCACATTATCTTCCTACACCCCTGCTGAGCTCAACCCCCCAAGTTCTGCAGTCAGATAATATATTGCCACAATTTTCTGTCTATCTCATTATAAAATCAATGACAGTTTGGGAGAGTAAAACCTCAAGTCCTCCCTGTGCCGGAAGAAGCTGCACACCCATTGAAGACTGCCTTCAAGATGGAATCCTCTCAGAATCCCAAGTGCGATGGAAGCTGGCGGGAGGAATCCTGTGTCTCTGGCTTACTCTCCCTGACTTCTCACCTCAGCTGGTCCTGGGGCCCAAAGGGAAGTTGGTCAGATGCATTTGAGAGGCTCGTGCCTCTCCCTGTTTTTGTTTCTTCTTCCAACCATTTCTTGGGACCAGAAAGGAGCAGGCTTTTCTTTTATTTCCCCTAAATCATATCTTCCTTTTACCTTAGAGCAGCAAGTTTAGGGCTTCTACCTCTCAGGTGGAAAGAATATCTTCCCTGAACTACAGAAAAGAAAGAGCATGGGTCTCCCAGCTCTGTGGTAAATATGCCAAAGGAGGAGAGAAAGGGATTGGGAAACACTTTCCCTCTCGGCAATGCCTGGCCCTCAAGCCTCTTGTCCTGTAAAATCCTGTGAACGTCAGGTGCTGAATATTCCTCATTCTTTCTCATTAACGCCTTCTGTAATAAACACTAATCTCCTAGACATATGGAGGCTTTAGGCTGACCAATGTAAAAGGGCATGAAGAGAGAAAGGTGAAAAGGAAAGCTCATCAATGATTTGCAAAATGTCTTTCTAATTACATTTATTTTTCTTGTTTTACACATATTTTTATAAACTATAGATGAGTTTTAGAAAGTATATATATTTATACATAGTATAAACTCTAAGAAGATGATATTTTAATTATCATTCATTTTAATTCTAACCTACGAGTTATTCTATTTCGTGTGTGTGTGTGTGTTTAAGATATGGCTCAGGTAACTCAACCAAGGGATGGTAATCAGTATTTATGACAAAATCAGCCTGCACAAATTTGCATTTTTATCTGCTATTCAAAAGTAAAAGGTATTCATTTTCCCAAACACAGGTCTAAGCAGTGAGAATGAACAAACATGACTTGATTATGTCGGTGTCCAATCATGGGATAAGTACAGGTTTGTTAAAAAGAGAGAATTTGAAAATGATTCAAGTAACATGTGAGGCGACAAGCAGGAAATGAATTGGGCAAAGCATGAGACATTAATTGATGCAGTTGAAGCTTAGCATTACAGCCAAGGCACATGTTAGAGGGAAAACCTGAGCAAGAGCCAGTAGTTCAACTCCAAAACCAGAGATGAAAACTTAATTCATATTAAAACAAAGAGTCTTGGCTCTCCCATACCCCTTTCAGAAACATTCATGCATGATCTCTTGTAATACAATTTTCCTCATCTGCTGTAAGCTCCATGGCACAAGAATTGAGCCAAAACTGGGCCCTATGGACTGAAAAGGATTACTTTCCTATCACAGGGGACATTCTCCAACAGTCTCTATTCAATTGCTTTGAAGACAGCTTAGTTTCATTATTTTTCATTTATGTTTCTTTCTAGAGCATCTTCTTAGGGCTCTGAATCAGATTATCAGCACTTTGTTATTTTACCTACTAATGATGCTCCTAAATTTTGGATTCTAGTGAATTTAATTTTTGTGTGCTAAGTTTGCTTAAATGACAGGAGTGCTCACTGCATGGTTAAAAAACAGGCACACACACAAACAAAATTTGCTTCTTAAGGTAGAACAACTTACATATAAATACAAGATTTACACATAACCTGACATTAAATGAGATTTTAGCCTTAGTGTAACCCTAAGCTTATAAATAGATTGGGTTCCAAACAATTGTCAGTCAGTAGATTTTTTTTTTTTTTTTTTTTAGCTTAAAAAAATAAAGCATAGTGCCACAGAAAGAAAGTTATCGGTACTGGGTACCTTCCTAGACAGGAAGCCAGAAGTTCATTTATAGAATGTTAGATCTGAAAGCTCTTTAAAAAGCTAATTTAGTCTTCTCTTCTCACTTGTTAAAAGAAGACAAGGAGCCAATCTACAACACAATGAAATAAAATGGGTTGACCAAGGTCACACAGCAAGTAGTGGGTTCAGCTGGGGCTGGGGTCAGGGTCCTGACCCCTGGAATACAGGGCCCTGACCCCTGGCATACAGGGCTTTTTACTGTGGCTGCTGTCTCTCAGCATGTTCGTAACTCATCAAGTTGTTAGAAACCATTAAAAAGCCTAACTAAAATGAGTTTTTATCATGAGCCTGACTTTCTCAGGATAGGAGAGGCTACATAGAGGTCACAGATTAACCCTGGAAATTCCAGTGCCCTAACACAATGAAAGCATGCTTCTTCCTCTTGCTACATGTCCTGTGAGGGTCAGCAGGGGTCCTGCTCTCCGTGGTGGTTTGGGAACCCAGACGCAGGAAGAGTCCAGCATCTGGTAGTTGCAGTATCAGGAACTTGCGGCCTTTTGGCTGTTGCAACAACAGTGAAACACAGTAGAAGATATGTGGGATGAAAAGAACAATAAACACATTTTAAAAATGCTTTTTGAAGGCTAGGGCTTGAATGAAAGCCGATTATCTTGAGGAGGAGGTACTCATATACGTAGATGGTGACGGAGCTCTGAAGGAGATGTTGGAGTGCTTCCAAAGGAGGATTTGGCGAGCTGGGCCTGGTTCTTTTCCTAGATGAGGAGTCATAGCAGCACGATGCTGTGCTTATCAGACTTCATTAGGTGGGTTTTCACTCACATGGAGAAAGGGAACATTCAGTAGACGTGTTCACACATATGTTTTAATTTTAAAGCCTCATTAGGCACGTAAGATAGCTGTTATCATTTCAACTTTATGGATGGTGGCGAAAGCACAAAGAAATTTCAGCTAAAAATACTCATTGGACAGTTGTCAAGTTGTGCTGATGGGGCTGTGGACAGGACAAGGGTGTTTGCCCTCATATGTGTCTGTGGACACAGGCTGGAGGGGCAGAACAAGCCCTAGAATCCAAGTTTCTTACTTTCTGGTCAACAGCTCTCAGTTTTGCCCTGTAGCTGAAACTAATATATTGTTTCAGCTACAGGGCAAATGCCATGTGTGATGTATGATCAATGTCAGGCCTCTGAGCCCAAGCTAAGCCATCATATCCCCTGTGACCTGCATGTACACATCCAGATGGCCGGTTTCTGCCTTAACTGATGACATTCCACCACAAAAGAAGTGAAAATGGCCTGTTCCTGCCTTAACTGATGACATTACCTTGTGAAATTCCTTCTCCTGGCTCATCCTGGCTCAAAAGCTCCCCTACTGAGCACCTTGTGACCCCCACCCCTGCCAGCCAGAGAACACCCCCCTTCGACTGTAATTTTCCTTTACCTACCCAAATCTTATAAAACGGCCCCACCCCATCTCCCTTCGCTGACTCGCTTTTCGGACTCAGCCCGCCTGCACCCAGGTGAAATAAATAGGCTTGCTGCTCACACAAAGCGTGTTTGGTGGTCTCTTCACACAGGCGCGAGTGAAAATCCTAACAAAGGAATCTTTCGTCTTTGAATGTAGATAAAGTCCAGCATTCCTCAACCTTACATCTGAGGCTTTTAGTTTGGCTGAGCTGAGGCCAGGTTCCTATCCATATAAATATCATCCCCATTCTCCTCCCATACCTCATCTTCTCTTCTCCCTTCCCAGTACCTACATGAATCTGGACACACAGGAGAATTTCTGTAATTGGTGAAGGTGGGAGGGGTTTTAGGTGACAGTGGTAGAATACGGAGGAGATATTATGGCAACTGTTTCCCTTCAAATTCCACAGATTGGATTTGAGATAGCATGATTATGGGTCTTTGAAACTGATTTTCATAAGAAACATGGCATTATTATTCTGGGCAAGGTATATGGGATACGAGTTAACAAAATTACTTGGGAGAGACTTGGTGAAACCCAATAGCAGTGTTGTAGGATTGGGAAAGCATGATGTTCGGCAGCTTTGTACAGGGCTCTGTGGACTCTGCCGTGTTAAGGCATGGATGGTTTAGGAATATGCAGCGACTGCCCTTCTGGCATGGGCAGTGGCATTTTCATGATGTACAGTGTTGAAAACAAGGTTTTTCCAAGTGGCTTTATGCATCAGAGATGGGGACATTAAGGTGAGAAGATGGGGAGACAACAGGAAGTTGCCATTGTCTGTCTTGCCTGTTGCCTGTTGCCATGGGGCCCATGGATCCCATTTGTAGAAACTATTTAAGCAAGCTCTCAAAGAAAGAAATGGAGGCTGTTTCAGTGGCAGGGAAGGTGGTTATAAGAACTTGTTACTGAGTATGTGGGAGTTATGGAGCCAGCAGACAGTAGGATTACATGCTCTTAATAGCATGTAGACTCTCCTCTGGAAAAAAAAAAACAAACAAACGACCAAATCTAACCCATCTTAATCCTTAAATCAGTACCCTTCTAAGAAAGGGATTGTTCTCTTTATGATAAAAATAGTTCCTGTACTATAGAATAAAATGCTTGAGATAGTTTCAGACAATGCTTCTCTCTCAAAAAAATGTAGGAAACAATTTCAGAGCAATTTCTGAAATGCTTCTGCAGAAGGTTGTGTTTGTGAAAGAGTAGGGTTCATGCGAATCAACTCCAGCTTGTTTTGGGAACCTGGAAGGGTGTTAAGGGAACATTCCACACGTTCTCATTCTGCCTTTATTCTTCAGTGCTTAATAATTAAAGATGATAGGCTTCCTTTGTTCTCTCCCTGGTGCATTAAATGTGACCATGGCACTGCACAGCATTGCACAGCATGGAGGTGAAATATTCGGTCAGATTGATGTGTGTTCTTGACACATTCTGTCACTACCATGGGTACTCACAGAGGTATGTCTTTTCTTCGGTGAGAAAAACAGGCAGCAAAAAGGCTGTATTTCCCTTTTATGCAAACTGTTACTGCAGCCTTCCTTAATTTACATGTAGAAACTGAATATTTTATAGTAAACACCTACAACATAAGCCTCATAAATTATTGCACAAGGCTATTACCCCATAACTCAAAAAGAATCATTTATTTTCTTGTTCAGGAAGTATGACTTAAAATAGTTTTGCTACCAGAAGTATTAGAATTTTTCCTAATGGACTCATTGTTCCCCAAAATGGCTTCATCATTTTTCAGCTTCCTATCTTTCCAGTTACTCTCATGCAGACCATAATATCTTTAAAATAGCCAATCAGCTTTCTACTGAGAGAGATCTTTCAAACTTGCATACACAGCTAAGAGACTGAAGAGTTAGGTTGCCTACTGGTGTGATTGGAACCTAAACCAAGTGACTTTGTAGAAAGGATGATGAGAAATTATCTTATTTCATGTGTGCTATAGTCTACTTTTTCAATTCAAATTTAGAGAATATCTATATTTTCTTATTTTAACTCCCTTTTTTCAGATGATACAAGTGATACATGCTTTTTGGTTAAATGATGAATTGTGAAAAGCTTGGTTTTATTTTATTTTTCTAAATAAAATTGTTTTTCCTGGCATTATTAGAAGCTTCAAAAAAATAAAATGTTTATTTTCTGTATTTCTTTTCTGGCCACTATTATTGTTATTTTTTATGCCATTTTAAGATTAGTACTGAAAATAATTTTATTGTATAAGGAAGAGAGGTGCTAACCGTGGTCCACACTGGACCACTAGGAAAAAGAGCTGCTTATACCTGAGTCTGAGTTTTGATGCTATTCCTAACTCTGTGAATGTTAAGCCAGCCATTTGATCTTCATAAATCTTCATTTCTTATTGATAAAATTGGGTAATAACAATATCTGTGTCATGAGGTTGTACAGTACCTAATAACAGATTTATGTAGCCATTCAACATATATTAATTCCCTTCCTTCTTCTAAAACAAAGGTTCTGTGAAGTTGTGATAGAAACCCATCCTTCACTGAAGCAGTCTAACAATGATGTCTGGCCAGAAGTTCCAAATCCCTCCTACCGTTCTCACCATATGGCATTGAGGATTCTCTATAAATCAAGCCCAAGACCATGGGGACTGTGTAATTTTCTTAGGCAGGTAAACTCTGCATGCAGCCTTCCCCCTGGACTAACATTCTGTTGACTTCAGCAGCTGTATGACCTTCCCTGAGCCACTCAATCTTTCTGTGCCTCTGTTTCCTCATCTGGAAATGAGCATTTTAATAAAACCTACCTATAGGTTGTTGAAGAAATTAAATGAGTTAAGATATGTAAAATGCTTATAAGAGTGCTGCAGAGGACATACAGTAAGTTCAATAAATGTTAGTTGCTATTATCAATCTAATGAATTTGTATTTAAAATTCCTAATTATTGCAGTAATAATATGGGTGACTTTTAATGTATGCATGTTTTAGAGTATGCAAATATTTTCAGATAATTTATCTATCTCATCTAAGGCCCCTCCAGACTCTATCAAATAGTCATTACCATTCCTTTTTTACAGATATGGAAACGGAAGTTCAGAAAGTTTAAGTACTCTACTTCCCCCAGTGGCCAAGAAAAAGCAAACAATGGAGCTGCAAGTTGGTTCAAATTTTTCTGATTTCAAATTCCACAGTCTTCTCGGTGCCACAAATGCAACCAAAATTTTGATTGGCTTTTGGTATAGCAGATTGTGTATGAAAATCTCAAAACTCATTACTGAGAAAGAATGTTTTAAAAAGCCAGATGAAGGATTTTCCTGTTGGCAATTTCTGTCAGTGTAGGAACAATTTCTTCTTTCCTAGAAGAAAGGCAGCTGTAGATAGCCTCACCAGAGTGGCAGGTCCAGAGTGACAGTTCTTTCTTTGTCTAGTGGCAGTGAAAAGATTGGTTTGTAAACCAATATGTACAATTTTACAGATATGTAAAAGACTCAAGAGACAAGTTTCGGTACGGTGCTGGGAGATTTTCATGTACTTTAACAGAGCAATATAATCAAACTCATGGAATTAAACATCATTGTTCATGGCATTTACATATTGTGGGGAAGAAGAAGAGAGGAAAAACAGAGTTCAGAGGGGTTACCATAGGGAACAGCAGCTTTCAAATGAGATGGATACTTAGCCAGACTGTCTGATTTTAAATAGGGCTTTGAAAATAAGTTGGATTCTTGGATAAGGCAAAGATTTAAACCAGACACAAAAAGAGCTAACCATAGATGCCAAGTTGGTCTTCATTGAAATTATGAACTTGTGTTTATTAAAACACATTGCTAAGAGTGTAAAAAGACAAGCCATGGAGTGTGAGAAGATATCTGTAAAAATTTGCAAACAAGGCATTCATTTATGTTCTTTCTCTGTTACTATAAAGATCAGTAAGAAAAAGGCAGAGAATCCTTTCCCCATCGCTTGTTTTTGTTAGGTTTGTCAAAGGTCAGGTGGTTGTAGATATGTGGCATTATTTCTGAAGCCTCTGTTCTGTTCCATTGGTCTATATATCTTTTTTGGTACCAGTACCATGCTGTTTTGGTTACTGTGGCCTTGTAGTATAGTTTGAAGTCAGGTAGGGTGATGCCTCCAGCTTTGTTCTTTTTGCTTAGAATTGTCTTGGCTATACAAATTCCCTATTTAATAAACGGTGTTGGGAAAACTGGCTAGCCATATGCAGAAAACTAAAACTAGACCCCTTCATTACACCTTATACAAAAATTAACTCAAGGTGGCTTAAAGACTTAAATGTAAGACCTAAAACCATAAAAACCCTAGAAGAAACATAGGCAATACCACTCAGGACATAGGCATGGGCAAAGACTTCATGACTAAAACACCAAAAGCAATGGCAACAAAAACCAAAATAGACAAAAGGGATCTAGTTAAACTAAAGAGCTTCTGCACAGCAAAAGAAACTATCATTAGAATGAACAGGCAGCCTACAGAATGGGAGAAAATTTTTGCAATCTATCCATCTGACAAAGGGCTAATATCCAGAATCTACAAAGAACTTAAACAAATTTACAAGAAAATAAAACAAACCCATCAAAAAGTGGGCAAAGGATATAAACAGACACTTCTTAAAAGAAGACATTTATGCAGCCAACAGACACATGAAAATATGCTCATCATCACTGGTCACTAGAGAAATGCAAATCAAAGCCACAATGGGATACCATCTCATGCCAGTTAGAATGGCAATCATTAAAAAGTCAGGAAGCAACAGATGCTGGAGAGGATGTGGAGAAATAGGAACGCTTTTACAGTGTTAGTGGAAGCGTAAATTAGTTCAACCATTGTGGAAGACAGTGTGGTGATTCCTCAAGGATTTACAACCAGAAATACCATGTGACCCAGCAATCCCATTACTGGGTGTATACCCAAAGGATTATAAATCTTTTCACTATAAAGACACATGCACATGTATGTTTATTGCGGCACTGTTCACAATAGCAAAGACTTGGAACCAACCCAAATGCCCATTGATGATAGATTGGATAAAGAAAATCTGGCACATATACACCATGGAATACTACGCAGCCATAAAAAAGGGTGAGTTCACGTTCTTTGCAGGGACCTGGATGAAGTTGGAAAACATAATTCTTAGCAAACTAACACAGGAACAGAAAACCAAACACTGTATTGTTGTGATTCACTTAGGATGGTGGAGAAATATTAAAAAGAAATATTAAGGAAAGTTATAGGAAATAGTCACAAACCTTTTAGAAAGACAAAAGTTTACATAGCTTGTAATAATTGAACAGGCTGAAGGCAGGCAGTTCTTACCTTAGAGCATTAAGTCATAAGGTAAATACTAAGGACAATAGAGGCTTCCCCAGTGAAGTCTGTTTACCGTACCTTCATTAACTAACCTTTGAGCCAGATAGCCCTCCCAGGAGGAAGTCGACTAAAGATATTGCCCCCAACAGTATTTACTTTAAACAGCAGTACCTGAGCTTTAATAATTCCTAGAACTACTCTCTTAACCACATTAATAATCCACAAGTGTGTTGACTCAGAACTTCTGTTTTTAATTGTATACAAATAAATGCCTAGAGTGCGAGCTGCTCAAGGCCAGCCACAGTAACAAGCCTTTCTTTGTGTGTAGGTGGTCAGACACTCAGCTGGACTGGCAAAACAGAGTACCTGTGTGCCAGTGTACGTTTTATTCACCTGTCATTTAGGTCAAGGTCTGCAGGCAGAACCCCCGCAGCTAATGGCCTCTTGTGAATAGCAATACCTCACCGCATGTTCTCACTCATAAGTGGGAGAGTTGAACAATGAGAACACATGGACACAGGGAGGGGAACATCACACGTCCGGGCCTGTTGGGGGGTGGGGGGCTAGGGGAGGGATAGCATTAGGAGAAATACCTAATGTAGATGATGGGCTGATGGGTGCAGCAAACCACCATGGCACGTGTGTACCTATGTAAAAAACCTGCACGTTCTGCACATGTACCCCAGAACTTAAAGTATAATAATAAAAAATATTTAGAAACAAAACAAAAAAAGAAAAAGGCAGAGAACCCAACAGGAAAGTAGGCAAAAGACATAAACAGGTATTTAATAAAATAGGACTTCTGAAATTCTAGTAAGCATAGGGAAAGGCGATAAACTGTGTTAGTTATCAGGGAAATGCAAACTGTAATGTGATACTACTAGGCACTGACCACATGGCTGCATGGCTGATGAGAACTTAAATCCGTACAAATACCTTGAAAAATTCTTTGGTAGTATCAGTGAATTTGTCGTATCTTATGACCTAGCAATTGCACTCTGAGAGAGATCCTACTCTTCAGAGAAGTAAGTAAATTCATGACACCAAAAACATGTATATGAATATCCACAGTTAGCACTATTTATAATAACCTCAGACTGAAAGCATCTCAAATGCCCATGAATAGCAGGTTGGATAAATGAATTGTGTTATACTCTTACAATGGAATACTAAATAGAAATGAGAATAAATGAACACACACAACAAAATGATTCTCATGTACATAATGTTGTGCTTAAAGAGACAGTCATATAAGAGCACACATGGTGAAATTCCACAGAGTTCAATGCAGGCAAAATTAACCTATGATGATAGAAGTGAGGACAATGGTTAACTTTGCTAGAGAATAAGGACTAGAAGGAGACTCAAGGTCTACCAGGAGGCTGGTAATGGTTTCTTTCCTGACCTGGTGTTAGTTACAATGGGAAGTTCACTTAGTGACAAATTATCAGGCTGTTCACTTAGAAGTTGTGCATGTTTCTGTTGTATGTTGTACTTCACTATAGAATTCAAAAATGGATTGGGTTGCAGAGAATCTTATATGTCAAAGAATATATTTTCTTTTCCCCCTAAGTAACAAACGCATTTCATCTGCTTCACTGTAGAGGAGTTCGGAAAGAAGCTAAATGCAGAAAGCACATTTTATTTAAAAAGGAAAAGGAGATCAAGACCTTTGGCAGTAAGAGTTTCTGTGGAGGCCAGGCGTGGTGGCTCACACCTGTAATCTCAGCACTTTGGGAGGCCGAGGCGGGTGGATCACGAGGTCAGGAGTTGAAGACCAACCTGGCCAAGTTGGTGAAACCCTGTCTCTACTAAAAATACAAAAAAATTAGCCAGGCGTGGTGGTGGGTGCCTATAATCTCAGCTGCTCGGGAGGCTGAGGCAGAGACTTGCTTGAACCCAGGAGGCGGAGGGTACAGTGAGCCAAGATCACGCCACTGCACTCCAGCCTAGGTGACAGAGAGAGACGGAGTCTCAAAAAAAAAAAAAAGTTTCTGTGGAACAGAAGGACAGTGGCCAGTTTGGACATGGGCCCAAGGCAGCTCTGGATTTATGGAAACCACAGATTTTTTTACTCCTCAAAGCCAGCCGAAAGGATCAGGAAAGTTGACTCTGGCAGCCTTAGCCATTTCTCAGCTTAGCATTCGGCAGCTGCCACTCGGCCTCCACCAGCAAGGTTCTGGCCAGATTTGTTCCATTTCCCAAATAGTGGGGCGGCTGTCCTGGCATCCTCCTCTTCACGTCTGGATGGTCTGAGAAACAATGTTCAATTCAGGTTCTGCTGATCTTTCCAGACTAGTAGCTCCGAGTTGAACACAAGTTGTACAGTGTTACCCACGGTTCAAGTGAAAAACCTTCACTCATGAGGGAAATGCAGTGGGAGCTGTTTAAGGCTGTCACTGTTATGACACAGAGGGCATTTCTGTGTTCAGCTGCTTCCTGGTTCTTTGTCTTCTGCTTCATCCCCTTGCTATATTTAAGCTATTTTAAAAATCATTCTGCTAAAATGATGATTTTAATCATGTCACAGTCATTTAGTGGGGACTTTTTGAGCATTTGGGACAACACTGTACTCTTCTGTCCTGTGACAAGGACAGCTCTGCACGGACTACATCACAGTCCCCTGCTGCCACCCCTGATGCAGGAAAGGAAAGCTTGTGAGGACATGGGAAGTGTGTGAAAATTGGTGGCTCACTTACTGTGTGTGACCCCAGTGTGGACCACTGATAGCACCTTTCTTCCCTATACAATAAGATTATTTTCAGTAATAATTTTAAAATGGCATAAATAATAATAACAGAGGCCAGAAAAGAAATACAGACAATAAACACTGTGTTTTATTGAAGCTTCTAAAGATGCCAGGAAAAATAATTCTATTTAGAAAAATATAATAACACCAAAATGTTGCAAATGATCCAATTTTGACTACCATTAAAAATGTCACATTTTATTTTCTTGGATGACTAATAATTAAAAACAAGCACATTTCAAATTTAAAGATATTGCTTAGATTCAGTAAAATGTTTTATGCATAAACTAAAATTTGTAAAATTTATTAATTTTCTAAAACAACAAGTTTGTGTCTAGCACACTGTTTTAAATTTTAGATGTACATAAAAATTCTAAGGGTCATATGGAATGGCAGAATTGAAATAGCTCAAATTCTATTTCTTTGTTGTCATAATTACTGTTCTATCATTTTTCATTTAGAATATATTTTAATGCAGGAAGATGTGGTTCTGTATGGGTTAGAGAAATAAACTGCACCTGAAGTTATATGAAACCTTCCTGTTATAAACATACTCTGTAAAAGAACTTGTGTGGTTGAGTCTGCCTGTCTGGGGGATTGACTGCACAATGGGCATTCTGTAAATTATCTTCCTTGCTGAATATAATGTTTATTAAAAGATAGGTAATAGAAAAGTTCTAGCTTGAAGCATACAAAGAGAGTATTAAAATGCAACAAATCAACAAAAAACCTAAAGCAACCCAATTTAAAAATGAGTAAAAGACTTGCATAGATATTTCTGCAAAGAAGACGTAGAAATGGTCAATAAGCACACGAAAAGATGCCCAACATCAGTAATCATTAGGAAAATGAAAGAAAATCACAAGTAGATACCATGTCACATCTATTAGGATGGCTACCATCAAAAACCAGAAAATAACAAGTGTCGGCAGGATGTGGAGCAATTGGAAGGAACCCTTGTGTACCATTGGTGGGAATCTAAAATTTTGCAGACACTATGGAAAAAGCCAGCGTGACGGTTCCTCAAATGACAAAAAAAAAAAAAAAAAAAGGATTATCGTATGGCCAGCAATTCCACTTTTGGGTATGTACCAAAAAGAATTGAAAGCCATATCTTGGAGAGATAATTACATACCTATCTATGTTCATAACAGCATTATTCATAATAGCCTAAAGGAAGAAGCAACCCAAGTGTTCATCCACAAATGAATGAATAAACAGAATGTAGTATACACATCAATGAAACATTATTCAGCCTTCAAAAGGAAGGAAATTCTGACGCATACTGTACCCTGGGTGAACTTTGAGGACACTGTGGTTAATGAAATAGTCCAGCAACAAAAATATAATTATTGTCTATTTTCATTTACACGAGGTGCCCACAGCAGTCAGAATCAAAGAGACAGAAAGTAGAATGACGGTTGCCAGGGCGTGAGGCAGGGAAGAATGAGGAGTTATGCTTCATGGATACAGAGTTTCAGTTTTGTAAAATGAATGAAAAAAGTTCTGGAGAAGGATGATGGTGATGGTTGCATAAAAATGTGGATGCACTTCATGGCACTGAAATGTATACTTAAAAATGGTTAAGATGGTAAATTTTATGTTATGTGTATTTTACTCCAGTTAAAACAAAACTCAACAGAAAGCATAGCAATGATCTAGAATTTAGACCTAAAAAGATGTTACATAGAAGACTATTTTGTCACTGATATTGTTTAGAAGTATTGGGGCACAGTGATAATGAAGAGCAAACTGGCTCTCAGTTGGTTTTTAAAATTTAAAATTTCATGCAGCCCCAGCCCTTTCTTCAGTACCACCTCTAGGCAGGGCTGGGTGTCTCTCTGCCCAGTAAGGCTTACAACCATCAGGCCTGCAGCCTCTGGGAGGGAGTATAAGAACAGAGCCTCATCAGAAAGAAAATAATTTTGCTATTACCTTGTCATGAACATCGGTCTTGTCCCAAAGGATGCTGTGATCTTTTACTCCATGGAGTCATTTTCCAGCTCCCAGGCCTTCTGCCTTTTCTCACCATCATCTCTGGGTGGTTCTGTCCTTGTCCACTTCCCCTAAGTGGCAGCTGCATTCATTTTGGTGGCTGGAGAGACTTTGGTTCCTTAGAGTTGGTGATGCTTCTTCTGCCCCTTTCTTATGACATAATCTCTGTGGGAGTTCAGGACATGTCACTCCAAAGTATACAACTTTGGCATATTGATTGTTTTGAACAGACTGAAATTAAAAATCAGCCAATGCAGGAAAAGGTTGTTACCTCTTGTATTAGTCCATTCTCATGCTGCCATAAAGAACTGCACAAGAGTGGGTAATTTATAAAGGAAAGAGGTTGAATTGACTCACAGTTCTGCATGGCTGGGGTGGCCTTAGGAAACTTACAATCATGCCGGAAGGGAGAAAACAGATCCTTCTTCACATGATGGCAGGAAGGAGAAGTGCCAAGCAAAGGGAAAATAGCCTCTTATAAAACTATCAGATCTTGTGAGAACTCACTCACTATCATGAGAACAGCAGCATGGGGATAGCCACCTCCATGATTCAATTACCTCCCACTGAGTCCCTCCCACAACACATTGGGATTATGGGAACTACAATTCAAGATGAGATTTGGATGGGGACACAAAGCCAAACCATATCATTCTGATCCTTACCCCTCTCAAATCCCATGTCCTCACATTTCAAAACACAATCATGCCTTCCCAACAGTCCCCCAAAGTCTGAAGTCATTCCAACATTAACCCAAAAGTTCAAATCCAAAGTCTCACTTGAGACAAGGCAAGTCCCTTCAAACTATGAGCCTGTAAAATCAAAAGCAACTTAATTACTTCTTAGATACAATGTATGTACAGGCATTGGGTAAATACACCCATTCCAAATGGGAGAAATTGGCCAAAACAAAGTGACTACAGGCCCCATGCACATCTGAAATCCAATAGGGCAGTCATTAAACCTTAAAGTTTCAAATGATCTACTTTGATTCCATGTCTCACATCCATGTCACACTGATGCAAGAGATAGGCTCCCACAACCTTGAGCAGCTCCTCCTTATGACTTTTCAGGGTATAGCTCCCCTGTAGACTGTTTTCACAGCTGGCATTGAGAGTCTGTGGCTTTTCCAGGTGCATGGTGCAAGCTGTCAGTGGATCTACCATTCTGGGGTCTGGAGGATGGTGGCCCTCTTTTCACAGCTCCACTAGGCGGAGCCTCAGTGGGGACTCTGTGTGGGGCTCTGACCCCACATTTCCCTTTCACACTGCCCTAGCAGAAGTTCTCCATGAGTGCTCCAACCCTGCAGCAGGCATCTGCCTGGACATCCAGGTGTTTCCATACATCCTCTGAAATCTAGGCAGAGGTTCCCAAAACTCAATTCTTGTCTTCTCTGCACCCGCTTGCCCAACATCATGTGGAAGCCGCGAGGGCTTGAGGCTTGCACCCTCTGAAGCCACGGCCTGAGCTGTACCTTGGCCGCTTTCAGCCATGGCTAGGGCAGCTGGGGTGCAGGGCACTAAGTTCCTACGCTGCACACAGCAGGGGGGCCCTGGGCCCAGCCCACTTTTTTCTCCTAGGTGGAGACATTTTCCCTGTTGTCTCGGTGATTACCATTTGTTTCCTTGTTACTTATGCAAATTTCTGTAGCTGACTTGAATTTCTCCCCAGAAAATGGGGCTTTCTTTTCTACCTCATAGTCAGCCTGCAAATTTTTCAAACTTTTATGTTCTGCTTCCTCTTGAAGGCTTTGCTGTTTAGAAATTTCTTCCACCAGATACCCTAAATCATCTCTCTCAAGTTCAAAGTTCCACAGATCTCTAGGGGAGGGTCAAAATGCCACCAGTCTCTTCGGTAAAGCATAACAAGAGTCACCTTTGCTCCAGTTCCCAACAAGTTCCTTATCTCCATCTGAGACCACCTCAGCCTGGACTTCATTGTCCATATCACTATCAACATTTTGGTCAAAAACATTCAAGAAGTCTCTAGAAAGTTCCAAACTTTCTTACATCTTTCTGTCTTCTGAGCCCTCTGAGTCTCTAGGAAGTTCGAAACTTTCCCACATTTTCCTGTCTTCTTCTGAGCCCTCCAAACTGTTCCAACCTCTGCCTGTTACCCAGTTCCAAAGTGGCTTCCACATTTTCAGGTGTCTTTATAGCAGCAACCTACTTGGTACCAATTTCCTGTATTCTTATGCTGCTATGAAGAACTGCCTGAGACTGGGTAACTTGTAAAAAAAGAGGTTTAAATGACTCACAGTTTCTGCATGGCTGTGGAGGACTCAGAAAACTTACAATCGTGCCAGAAGGGGAAGTAAACATGACTTTCCTCACATGATGGCAGGAAGGAGAAGTGCCAACCCAAGGGGGAAAAGCCCGTTTAAAAACCATCAGATCTCATGAAAACTCACTCACTATCATGAGACCAGCATGTTGGTAACTGCCTTTATGATTCAATTACCTCCCACCAGGTCCCTCCCATGACACATGGGGATTATGGGAACTACAATTCAAGATGAGATATGGATGGGGACACAGCCAAACCATATCACCCCCTGTCAACTGCCTAAAGTATTTAATATAAATTTCCCCTTTTGAAAGGAAATTTACATTTATAAAGAAATTTTCAGAGTAAAGATATTGTACCAGGAAGAGAGCTATTCCAAGACAACTTTCATTACCTGGGAGACTCCTGGCATAAAAGGACAAGGCTCTCTCCCTCTCCTTCCCATACTTTGTCTCTACACCCATCCCCCCAAACAAGCCCCAAACCCATATTCCTTTCTGTAGCTCAGGATAATATGTAAGTCTCAATCATCTGGCTCCTTCCTGAAGTCTCATATTTTTGTTGGACTCTAGCCTGTATGTACGTCATTAATATTTTCCCTAGTTAATCCATCTATGTTGATTTAATTTTTAGTTGAGCCAGAGAACCCAAAAGACTAGAAGGAAGCGCTTTTTATTCCTCACATTGTTTGTATGTTTGTGCTAACAAGGACTGTGTCTCTTCACTCAGGCTTAACAAGGCATCCACCTATACAGAGAAGTAGGGAGCAGCATGGAGAAGGAGCAAAAATTAGGGAACTAGGAGGAAAAGAAAGTTGTGCCATAACTGGATTTTAGGCTTTCATCCATGGTTAGGACAGGTGGGAAGACGTCCAAGTCCTTGCACTAAAAAGTAGGTCAGCATGAAAGTCCTGGCAGGCCAGGCTTGCAGAGACCTGCAGGAGGCAGAAAGAGCTGTTCTGCCTTCCATACGCAGCAGGGGGCTGAGTGTTCTGCCAGATTTCTGCGTCCTCTTTGGACAGGACCAAAAAGGAGTACAGCCAGCAATTGTGTATCATCTGGGCTTTGTAGTGAAACTACAAGTGGAGGAGATAACTATTTCCCCAGGGCGAGCTGTCCAAACATGGTACCTCCATAACCTGCCTGCCTGCTCTTCCAAAGAGCATGAAACCTAAAGCTCCAACAGGACTACCCTGACAGTCTTTGTACTACTGAACTTTGCCCCCTTGAGCTTCTCTGCATTTCTGATTTTGTCTTGATTCCATTCTTTTTTTGCTAATGACCGGAATATATTCTCTCTCATGTCCATCCATGCCTTGCATTTGGACCTTGGCTTCTACTATGACAATGATATTGATTTGTCATTCTCACCTTGCCACAGGCCTCTCCAGGTACACTCCATGCACTTTGGCCCAGGCTGGAATGTCTCTACTCACACTCATTCTCCAGAGATGCAAGAGGGAAAACTGGACACCTTTCTTCTCTTCTCTGCCCAGAATTAAATCTACATTATTGGAAAAGTCTACACATTAATTCACTACAAAGGGTATTGAATGTGACCTTATACTGATTGCTGGTCCTTCTTTCTTACAGCTCTCTAGATGTGTTGAACTGGTCTCAGGATTTGCCTTGGGTCTCCTCTTTCTCCTTCTCCTTGCTTCTTGCACTTTCTACACTGTTCCTTTTTCTTGTTTCAGTTCTTTTCTTTTTTTTTTCAGACAAGGTCTCACTCTGTCACCCAGGCTGGATGCAGTGGCATGATCATAGCTCACTGCAAGCTCCAACTCCTAGGTTCAAGTGAGCCTCGCACCTCAGCCTCTCCAGTAGCTGGTACTACAGTTGTGCACCATGCCTAGCTGATTAAAAAATTTTTTTTTGAGTAGAGATGGGGTCCCACTATGTTGCCCAGGCTGGTCTCAGACTCCTGGGCTCAAGCAATCATCTCATTTTGGCCTCCCAAAGTGCTGGGATTACAGGCATGAACCACCATGTTCAGCCCCTTCTTCCAGTTTCCACACTCACCTTTATGTCCCTTATTTCTTATTGCAGGCTTTATCTGGTGAGAATGCCATTTTTGCTCAGGGCCCTATTCATTGCAGAGAATTCTTGGTCTTTGATTATACACTTACTTGAAGTAAAGTTTTAAGTACTAGGTTTTTATAATAAATTTCTGTTTAAGGCTCTGCAGAATGCTGGCTGTTCTACCATTTCTGGCTGCAATCTGAATTACCTGGTGTTTGGCATACTGAATGATCTCCAGGTGATCATCTTTCTCTGTGAACTGTAGGGACCTTGCAAAGCCACTTTGGTGGGAAGGGTTACCTGCTACTTGGAGCAGGAGCTGGAAACCACTGTCCTTATGGGCAGGCCCATGACTCTGCCGGAGTCCAGGTGTGGGTTTCTTCCCAATAATAGCAGCTCACAAGCATTGCTGCATGGTCACTTCTAGGCAAATGTGTACTTCCACTCGTAGAACACTTGTGTTCTAAATTATTATATGTGAAACCCTGGTTCTAAGAGATGCTCTGAAAATAAAAATGGTCCTGAGACAAAAGACAGTTTAGGAGACCTGAAAACCAAACTTCCATCAAGATTTGCAATATACATTAACACATTAAAAGCTCTGAGGAAACTTAAGGTAATAAATCTGCTTGAATTTGTTTAGCCTAGTATCTCTCAGACTTAGTTGATCATACATTATCTTTTTTCTTCATGCAACACCTATTAACTTCCTGCAGAAGTTAGGTTATTCAAAACATTCTTTGAGAAATGCTATGTTACTTTATTATTACATTCATTTTACAGACAAATCAACAGATCTCTGCCAAGTGGTACAGCAGAGGTCAGGTCAGGATTCTGTGACCCTCTTCTCACTCCCCTGGGACTAAGACATAAGGCTTGGGGTCTAAGAATGGCAAACTAACAGGAGAAAGAAGATTAAGACACACACACACATACACACACATTATGGTAATTCAAGTAAAAATAATGCCATTGTTTATGACATTTTATGAGTGCCAAAGTGAATGAGACATTTTATTTCTCATTCACTTTTCCTGCCAGCAGCTGCAGGTCAGGTCTTAGGACTTTGTTCTAATTTCTTCTCTGGGATCCAGACAAGTCATTTTTATTACAAAGGGAATATAGCAAAAGGCTGCTGGAAATTCCCTGAGTGATTTGCCTGTCACAACAGACATCACTTCAGGTCATATTTCATTGGTCAAAGCATATCACATGGCCACACCCATTTCTGGTATTGTTTTTGTATTTTGTCTGCTTTGCAACAAGCTGTGGTAACAAGAAACCTTCCAAATCTCACTCATGTTGCACAGTGGTTACCATAAGCTGGCTGCTGTTCACCTTTTCCATACCTCATCTTATTATTGCACTACATGCTGAAGGAGCAGCCATTCCCATGGCCTTCTCATGGCAGACATACCATTCTCATGGAAGTGGGAATAGAATGAGATGGTTGGGAAAAACTCTTGGTGCCTATTGGCCAAAGTACCTGAGTTGGCCAAGCCTAACAACGATAGGGAATGGATGTTCTGCTTCCACAGTGAGGGAGCACTGCTAGTTATATGACAATAGATAGGTGGAGATGCACAATCCTCTTACAAACCAGAGGGAGACAGTAATTAGTTGGGAGTAATTTCACTTAAAAGTAGCAGAATATCCAACTAATAATGCCTTAAACTGGTAGGGGTTTATTTTTCTCATAAAGTATAAAAGAAAGTCTGGAGGCAAATGGTCACTAGTGTTAGTTTGTTAGTTGTAGTTTCTCAACAATGCCAGCAAGACTTATTCTTTTATTCCCACTCTCTTTCTTTCTTTTTGCTTTTTTTCACCCTAAGACAATGTCTCACTTTGCCACCCAGACTGGAGTGCAGTGGAACAATCATAGCTCACTGCAGCCTCAACCTCCAGGTTCAGGTTATCTTCCCCCCTCAACCTCAGGAGTAGCTGGGACTACAGGCAGACACCACCATGCTTGGGTAATTTGTATTTTTTGTAAAGACAGGGGTTTGCTATGTTGCCCAGTCTGGTCTCAAACTCTTGGGCTCAAGTGATCTGCCTGCCTCAGCCTCCCAAAGTGCTGGGATTACACGTGTGAGCCACTGCACCTGCCTCCCTCCCTGCTCCCAGTCTTGATTACACTATCCTCAATGTGTTAGTCATTAATATCTATGCACATTGCCTTTATATCACAAGAAGGCTACACACCTCTAAGAATCACATGCATATTGAGGAGAGGAAGAAAGAAAAGGGATAGTGCAATTTCATTAATTTATTTTATCAAAAATTCAAACACCTTTCTACAAGCCTTCCCATGCCCCACAGTGAAGACATTTACTTTCATCTCATTGTGTGGCACATGGTTCCCCTGCATTGCAAGAGAGGTTAGAAAGGAGGATAAGAAAGATTCTAGTGAAGACAGGCAAAGGAGAATGGAGCCTGAATGTCAGTTGGGTTATCCACCAATATTGTCTTTCACAGAAAATTATTAACTAGAGTAGATGTTTGAATTTGAGCTTCCTTTTTCATTGTTTACAGCTAGGGACAAAAGACAAATTTACAACCTCTGTTGGTTTAATTAGTTAGCTTTTCATTTGTTATGCACATAATTTCTTTAGTAATGCTATTAAATCCCTCAAACAATATAGTTCCATAGAATTTATGTAGGCATATTTTGCTATTAAAATTGCTGTTGCTACATATGTAATTGACATCTTCCCTAAGAGAGAAAAATGATATCCAGTTATGAAATTCCATTGCTTGATAGGCTTTAGGAGAAAAAGAAAACTGTTCTTATCATTTGACTTGCTTGTATTTGTAAATGCTTTGTAATTCTTTCAAAAGGACTCTTTTATGTAACTAAAACAGAAATAATTGTGTTGCCCAAGGTGATACATAGATGTCAGGACTCGTTTCCAATGACAGAAACACATTCTTGTTTCTTGAGAGGGATGTGTTATAAATGTCTCTCCCCTGTTAAAACTGTGAACTGCTAACAGGAGTCTGACTGATTTGTGATAGTAGAATATTTTAGAAAAGTCTAATGAAGAAAATGTATTTCTTTTACAACAACTTGGTCTTGATTTTCTATGAATCCAGAAAGGAGATAAGTATGAATTTTGGAAGGCATAGAAGGTAGGGACACGTTCTCCACCTTCTCCTGGTGCCATCTCCCTGCTCTTGAAATCACAAAACCACTGCCTATTATTGGTCATTAAGACTAGAAGGGACTTGACTGTATTCAGAGGAAGAGCTACTGGATATCTGGGAGGAGGTCAGTCAAGGGGAGTGTACTGGTTTCTTAGGGCTGCTATGACAAGGGACTACAGGCCAGGTAGCTTCAACGACAGGAATTTAGCTCCTCACAGCTCCAGAGGCTGGTAGTTCAAGAGTCAGTGGGTTGGTTTTTTTCACATGGTCTTCCTTCTGTGTATGCCTGTCTGAGCTCCAATCTCTTCTTCTTATAAGGACACTAGTCACATTGGATTAGGGCCCACCCATATAATCTCATTTTACCTTAATGACCTCTTTAAAGGCACTGTCTCCAAATACAGCCATACTCTGAGGTATTGGGGTTAGGACTTGAGCATTTGCATTTTGAAGGGACATATTTCAGTCCATAACAGAGAGGTATATAAGGAGATGTTTATTTCTCCAATCACTAATAGCCTATATCCAAAATGTTACTTACTTCTGTGTCACTACTGCCCAGTGAGTTTCCTTTTTCTGCTGTTGCTTTTGGGTCTGTTCGTACTTCACCTTTGCAGACAAACATGCATCACAGAGAGTGGTAGTGGTGTCTGTTAACCCAAAATCTCCCTCCTTCTCTCTCTCTCTCTCCTTCTCTCTCTCTCTCTCCTTCTCTCTCTTTTACTCTCTTTCTCACATACACACATGCATGTGCACACACTGCTTTTGCTGACTTGTACATCTCTATTCTGACTGTTGGCATCAGGTACTCAAGGCCAGGAGAACCTCCTGTCAGTTTCCTATCAGCTGGATTTAATGGCTGAGTTCTAATTACCCAGTCTGGCCAATGCCAGTTATTTAAATCAAGAGAAGAAGAGTTACACAATTTCACGATAAACTTGCCATTTGCAATTTTGTTGATGTATGTATTTATTTTTATGATTGCATATTCAAAAGTAAGCAAACCACATCTAATTTAATTTTCTTAGTATCAACATTTTTTGAACTTGGATAGAAAATTCCTACTTTGATATTTTACTTCATCAACAAAAAAGGCTAGCTTGAAACCAAATGCATAGAACTTTGTGATTTTTAAGTATAACGAAATCTATATCTACTTCTCTAAGGAATAGGAAATCCAAGTGCTTGAAGCAGCCATTGGACACGTATCGACTCCAGCTCATGACAGTCTTTTCTGTGCTTCACCACCATCACGTTGGTTTGTGTACCTTTACTGGAGTGAAAATTATGTTACCAGAAAACTCTCCAGCAGAAGAAGTTCAAAGTCTGTTTTGTTTGACAGAGGTGCCCTTGAGACTCTCCAGGCTTGGTTTATTTACATAGAGAGATGGAAGAGTCTATAAGGTAGCAATCACAAATCTTAAGGACAGCAGCCGGTTTCACTCTGCCGACATAACTGTTGTCTCCCCCTGAGGAGTGGGATCACCCAGAGAGCTGTGAGACTCACCGGCTGTTCTCAGGCAGAAGCAAAAATCCCCTTTGCATCAGAAAATCCAACTGCTTCCTGATACTGGTTCCAAACTGGCGTTCTGAACTGTTTATTTTTGCACTGCAGCAGCAGGCGTTGTAGCTTTTGAGCCTGGTTGCTGGTCACTTAGCAACATCTCAGGGCAGCAGGATGCAGATGCACGTCAGGTGGACGTGGCAACCTTGAGAGCAACGTGAGCAGAGACAGGTTTTGGCTGTTCTTCAACTGGTCTTTTATTTGTCTGCTTCGATCATCACTACTGCTGTAACCTGAATAGGTCGTTCCATTAAATGTGAGCTTGGCCAGTGCCTGGAAAAAGCTGATGGATTTATGTGAACTTGAAATGATACTTTTACAGTCAAATATATGGGGCTCTGAAGTGCAGGCACATCAAGCTGTGAAGAGCTGTAATGACCCAAAGGTCTTACTAGCCATTGAAGCAAAACTACCAGAGGCAGCCCTTTATTTTACCAATTTCTGATGTACTGCCAGTGTTTTGAGAGACAGGCAAGAGTTGACTATAATTTCACGGCCAGGCTTAAGATGTTTAGAGTGTTATTTAAAGGAATGGGTTCCCAGGCTGGGAAGAGAAGAGCTAGAGTAGATTGTGCGGAGGTTTGCCCACTGTCTAGCTGGAGAACTTGTCATGGGTGAAAGGGAGTGGGGTTATGAATTGACCCTACAAGTAGATGAGCAAACATACCCTTCCCTGAAGGAGCTGGTCGCCTATTAACAACAACAACAACAAAAATAACAACAGAAAGGTAGTCAAGTTTGAGGATTTTAAGTATTGAAACCCACAAATTTCTAACAGGTTTATGTAATAAAGCACAGGTTTATACTTGGGCATTAAAATTAGTTCTATGACAAATAAGGGAAAAACCCCAAACTCATTAGATAAAGTGGCTTTGATTTTTGACTCTAGGAAGCATAAAAATTCATCTGTTGATTTTTTTCCCTGGAAGAAAATATTTCAAAAACTTTTAACAGATCTATTCTGAAAAGGATCAGCATATGGGAAAAAATATTCTTAACCATAATTTTACAAAAAAAAAAAACCCACAAAAGCAAAAACGTTTGGCTGTACATTTGTACCTACTCTCTGTATAGGGAGAGAACATAATATTAAATTAAGTCATAATAAAGGGAGTCTGGGAGAGGTGTGTTAGCATAGAACAAATGTTTTGTTTTCTTATAAGTTTATTTAAATGCAGGGCAAGAACTTAAAAAAATTCTAATAATAACACGATTTCTGAATCTTTGAATGGATTCTGAATTTTAATCACTTCACAATTGTTTTCTAATGATAACAGTGAAAATTTTTCACAGCACATGATTGATTGCAGTGAGAGTGAACAGTTTTGATACTAGTCATGAGGAAAGAAGAGTTGGCATTTGGCTATGAACGTTGGTAGGGTGGACTTGTACTTGCCCAGAAAGCAGCAGGACAGGCATAGCAGGGTCACCATAGATTGAACAAACCGATTGTTCTTTCAAGAAGAGTTTAATAATGTCAAGCTGTCATTCTACTGATTTACCCACCAAAGTGTCGTCTGCATCTTACTACAGGAAAGTATGACATTAGTCATACAAGAGAGTATGGCATTTTAAAAGTAAGCTACATTGATTTATATTCTTTCCTTAAAAAACATCATTAAGACTTTGGTATTCTAGATTTTAAAAATGGCCTCCCAGGATTAGCTAGCTGCCAATTCTAAGTACACCTTTAGAAAGCTCAAGTCTACCAACTAAATCTTTGTAAAGACCTGCCAAATAAAATTGTTTTAGTTTCAGCACAATTGGTGCTAATCGATTTCTTTGGAAAAGAGGTTTCCAAAAAATTTAACTACTCCTAGTTACAATTACCAGAGTAACTAAGTAACTAACTAAACAAATAAATTACCACTACAAGGCAACTAATAATATCTTTACTTGCTGTAACAAGAGAATGTTAAGTCAATTATTTTAGTCATTATACCATTTTCTTTTTTAACCTTAAAAGCTTATTTTATTTTATTATTTTTTTTGAGATGGAGTCTCACCCTTTCTCCAGGCTGGAGTGCAACGGCATGATCCTGGCTCACTTCATCCTCCACCTCCCGGGTTCAAGCGATTCTCCTGCCTCAGCCTCCTGAGTAGCTGGGACTACAGCTACTCATGGTAGCTGTGTGCACCATCATGCCTAGCCAATTTTTGTATTTTTAGTAGAGAAGGGGTTTCACCATGCTTTTAAGCTTACAGATTGTTTAAAATTAGGTTTGTATAACTCACTCAAATTGGACAACTGACTTCTTCACAGAAGGGTGGCTGAAGCCCTGAAACACAGTCACTTTGCAGTGGCTGGGTGTCACTCGAATGGAACTATGAAGTCAGAGAATAAATAAATGGGAAACACCCTGAGGGTCATGCCTGTGTCTGCAGCTTTCCTTCCCCTTCCCTCATCTTCAAGGCTGATTTCTTCTCTCCTGCTTTAAATCTCATCCCTTCTACTTGCTATGAGTTCTTGCTCTATCAGTTACTCATTCTCTTCTTCATTTACACTGCCTTTTCTCTCCTGGCTCTTTCTTCACAGTCTAGAAACACAACAGATTTCTTGTACCACAAAAAAATCCCTTCCTTAATTCTGTGCCTGCTCATGTCTCTCCTTCCTTTCATAGCTAAGCTGCAAGAAAGCACTGTCTGATCAGCCTTTCCTTCCCTACCTCACCCCTGCCATATGTCTCTGGCCAGGCTTTCCCCTCCCTTCTTCCTTGAATCAATTCTGGAAAACATTGCCAGGGACTGACTTCCTAACACCCTAGCCCAAGCACCGCTTTTTTAAACTCTCATTTTACCCAATCTCTTGGGAGCATTTTGTAGATAATTTTCTTAAAACTCTTTTCACTCTTGGTTTCTAAGAAACCAATTATTCCTGCCTCCTTTTTTTCTGATTGCTCTTTCTCCGCCTTCTCTAATGGCTGTTTTCCTTTCAAGAATAATCTGCACTCCCCCTGGTTCCCTCTCTGGCCCTGTTGACTTCTCACCTGCAATATCTCTGTAGTGGATTTTGCTGTGGTCTTTATAGTGATGACTCTATAACCTCCTTAGCTCTAGCAAGGCATATCCATCTGCTTAGCAGATACTTCCAGTTGGATGCTCCCCAGACAGGCAACTTTGTATGTCCAGATTGAGCCATTTTGCCTTGCCTCTCAAGTTGCAACTCTGCCTAGGCTTCCTGCCTTGTTTTGTTGCCAGCCCTTAATGTAGTCTCCTCAGTGAGAAACCCTGTGAGTCCCTTGCCTTCATTTACAACACCTGAAAAGCAAGCAAGTGATTGCAGTAAGACACTGAGAGCTTTGAAGTGGAACTTTGGCAACATAAGCCTTCAGATCATGAAAGCTGATTTCACTTTTTAAGCCCTCATACCTTGGTGAGAGGCTTGCTTGGCTCACATTTGAATGAAGGAAGTGTGATTTGGAAACAGGACCATTTCCTGGAGCTCTCTGTTTCATGAGCACACCAGGTTATGTGTACATGGATTAATGGAAATGGGAGACTTGGCAGTCTGGAAATATGGTCTTGAGCTTAAGGTATCTGATATTTGCCAAGACTTTGGATTGTGTTGAATTGAAAATAAGATTTTTTTTAAAAAAAACATAGGCATAATAAAAATAATCATCCCTGGCCAGGCATTGGTGGCTGACGCCTATAATCCCAGCACTTTGGGAGTCTGAGGCGGGTGGATCACCTGAGGTCAGGAGTTCGAGACCAGCCTGGCCAACATGGCAAAACCCCATCTCTACTGAAAATACAAAAATTGCCTGGGTGTAATGGTGGGCACCTGTAATCTGAGCTTCTCAGGAGGCTGAGGCAGGAAAATCGCTTGAACCTGGGAAGTGGAGGTTGCAGTGAGCCAAGATCATGCCACTGCACTCCAGCCTGGGCGACAGAGCAAGACTCTGTCTCAAAAAAAAAAAAAAAAAAATCATCTCTTGGTTATGCATGATATTTACAAATTACTAAATGTCTCAATCCAGGAAGAAGATAATGAAAAATGGAATATGATGTTAAATGTCCAAAAAAAAAATTGCCTTGAAATACCCTATCTTCAAAATTACTGATATATGATTGAATTTTCCTTGCTAATGGTGTTAAAAACATGGCAATATTTTTAAAAAAGTGTTATTGAGAACAAATAACTGCGATAAAATACAGCATTTAACCACTAGGATCAAATATCATGAGAACATGAACTTGGTCCCTTTTGTCCATGCTAGGCGTAGCTCCTGGAATTATGCACCTGCTGAATAAAAAGGTAGTTGTCAAGGTAAGACTCCAATTATATATTCATATTCAAATGATTAATTTTGTAAATGTGTGTTTGTTATATTCCCTCTGATGTTGCTTATGAAAAGCAGTAAAGAATTTTAAGAAACAGAAACTATAAAGTTATTCTGAATTTGAAGAGGGACTGCAATTCATTTATTTCCATGCCCTGGTTGTATCATCGTCTTTGATGTATAAGTAAAATATCCAAATATTGCATTAATGTAATAGTTTAGATTATATGAACTTAGGACTTAATTTTCATTTAATAAAATGAGAACCATTTAGCATGTATAATTTATTGTCATATTGAAAACACATCTTTTGCTTCCAAACTTGCTGATGATTATTTAAGCTTAGGACTATAAAACTGACAAATATAAAACAGCACGATTATCACTCGGATTGTTCATTAAGATTCAAAGGAAGATAAATAAGAAACAATACCTATTTATTCAAAGCCATCTGGAATAATGTTATATATTCTTTCAGGAATGAGACTTACATAAAAAGGAAGAGTTTTAAAAATGATACAGACTGGGGGAGGTCATTGTATGGATGACTATCAAGAACTATTCAGATCCGCTCAGATTTGGCTGTGATAGAAGGCTGTTAGATTAACTTGACTTACATTTGCCTTTGGAAAGATATGTTTGGAGAGAGCAGCTTTGAACTTGCTTATATCAGCATTTACTAACTGCTGCCACTATTCCTAATAACGCTTTTTATTAATAGCTTGCCAACATCTGCACTAGGGGATAATTAGAGGATCATCAGATTCCTAGTGGAGACAGACATCTGATTTCACTTTAAATATGTTGTTGACTGATTACACGACCATAATTTGGGTCCACTGTAGTCTTTTAAAACAGCACTGTTGTTCTTGTGATAGACTAAATGTTTGTGGGCCTCCCAACTTTACATGTTGAAATCTTAATACCCAATGTGATGATATGAGGACGTAGGGCCTTTAGGAGGTGATTAGGTCATGAAAGTAGAGCCCTCAGGAATGGGATAAATGCCCTTATGAAAGGGACCCCCTAGCACTCTCTTGTCCTCTTTACACCATGTGAACACACAGTGAGAAGCCAGCAATCTTCAACTCAGAGAAAGACCCTTACCAGAACCTGACCATGCTGGTACCCTGATCTCAGACTTCTAGCCTCCAGGACTGTGAGAAATAATATTTTTTAATAAGCCACCCAGTCTATAGTACTTTGTTATAGCAGCCTGAACAGACTAAGAGAATTTGTACACAAGCAAGAGACAAGAACAGAAAACAAAGTGAGGATAAAATCTAAATCAAAGTTTTCTGGAAACTAGGTATTCCTTCAAATTTATTGGTGCTTATTTTTATTTGGAACCATGATGCCATATACAGGTTGAGCATTTTAACCTGAAAATCTGGAATCTGAAATTCAAAATACTTCAAAATCCAAAGCTTTTGAGTGCTGACATGACACTCAAAGGAAATGCTTATTGGGATATTTTGAATTCAGATTTTTGGATTCGAGATGCTCAATCAGTATCTGGATGTTCTTTTCATTCTAAGCTTTCAGTGGAAAGAAACTTTCTATTTAGAAAGTGCTTCTATGAGATAAGGAAGAAATTATGAAATAAAATTATTGGTTTCATAAACTACGTAATTCGTATTTCAAATTTATACCCAACTAGAACAAGGCCAAGTAGGCAACTAATATTCATTAGAATCTAAGGAATAAACACTGGGCTAGATGCTGGGGTTATAAAGATGAATTAGACATGTTCCGTGTCCTCAAGACAGTGTAGGGAGGGGTTAGATAGACAAAAATGCTAGAAGATGCAATACTCAGTGCAGTGTGATGACTTCGGAGTCTCCCTTTGCCTGCCTTCTCTCTCCTCTGTCCTAAGTCTCCTACCGTGTGTGTCCAGAAAATACCATTGTCTATCCTATGATTAATTAAATCCACTCATTCACTCATCATACATTCTTTGAGTGCCTCCTATTTGTCCGACTCTGCTCTGTGTGCAAAGGATACAGCAATGAAGGAAACATGTATCCCATCATCATAGAATTACATTCTCATAGGGGGCTGGTAATACATTGATAGCATATCGGATAGTGATAAATGCAATAAAACAAAATCAAGCTGGTTAAAAATGGTAGGAGGGTTAGAGTTTTAGACATTTCAGAGAGGTTGTTGGGAAAGCTCTTCAGAATAAGCTGATATTTGTATAGAGAACTTGCAACATAATGACTGGGGTCCAAAACCTGCCAGGTACTTAGTGGAATGGAGTGAGTCCTACTTGTCTCTGCATCCCTGAGATCCAGCAGGGTTTGAAACAAAGAAACTGCTCATTAAATAGGTGTTGGGTAAATGGGTTTCAGAGTGAGAAAACTCACTCTCATAACTTGGACATGGGCATTGGCAACGGGGTGGGCTGGAGAGTAAGAGTCTTGACAGTTGGAGACACATGGGCTCTAGGAGTGAGTCCAGACGTCCAGGGCAGCCTGGGACTCAGTTCTGGAAACCATCAGCACTGGGCATTCATCAGGTAGGCAGCAAGGTGTAGAGGATGTAGCTGGATATCAATGTCTTTAGTGAGGGTTGCCTCATAAGGCTGAGGAGGTTGCACACTGAAAAACCCTAGGAAAATATCACAAAGTCAATGTCTATGTTTGCTACAGAAGTCTTTTGGCCGATGGCAGTAAAACAACCTGCTGTGACACTCCATTAAGTGTCTTGGCAAAGCCTACCTGGCGGATGCTAAAATGCGTTTACAGGGTTTCAAAGGCACCACAGAGGAGACTGAGTGCCAGTGGCCAATCATCCTTTTTTTTGTTTTTGTTTTTGTTTTTTGTTTGTTTGTTTTTAAGACAGAATCTCGCTCAGTCACCCAGGCTGGAGTGCAGTGGCGTGACCTCCAATCATCCTTTCAGGATTGCCTTCGGGTTCAGCTTTATGCCTAAAGCTGGACTATTTGTCATGAATTCTCCTTCCAACTTTGTTAATTTGCAAAGTTGCAATTGTCACAGGAAACTCTGCTTTCTGTGAGGACCAGCCCCTGCCTGATTTTTCAGACTCTGCCTGGCACCACAATTCACAGCTGGGCCCCTGGTGGCCTCACTTGTGATTTCTGGGGCACCACTTCCAATTCCTGAGCTCAGTTGGCTTACGACAGGAAGTGGATCGGCAGCCTCCATCTTCTCTCCCACCTTAACCCTTGTCCATTCAAAACCTGTCCCTCAAACAGAACTGAAGGGATTGGCCTAGGACTGCTCACTGGGCTCCTAAATTTTCCACCTGAGTTTCTCTGCTTGAGCCCCTGTCTCCAGGAACGTTGGATGGGCAGCTGGCACCTGCCATCCCCGCTCTGCTCTCCACAAGCTGACTTTAAACATAGAGCAGGCAGCATTTTTCCTAAGTCTATTAATTACTCAGCTAGTATAATGGTCTTTCCTGGGATTACAGCTCTATTTTAAACCCTGTCTCTGGAAGCAGAGTCCTGCGAGTCTAGTCTTGTGAACCTGGGGTCCTGCCCCATTTCTAGCCTGGGGTGCGGGGCCCTGCTACTCATGGACAGGTTTATTTCCTTGGTGCCTGGGCCTCTGCAGGCACAGAGGTGACTTTGTGTGAATTAGAAAACAGCACTATGAAGAAATAAATAGATACATTTATCTATATACATTTAGATATAAAATATATTGTGAAAATATACATGTAAATATGTATTTTGATGTATGATATGTATGTTTTCTCCTAGTTTCTTTAGTGGGTATGTAAATAATATGAATGTGTATTAAGCAAGTGTTTGCAAAACTAAGGTCATATTAAATATGCTGGTTTTGAACTTTTAAGTAACATTGGCTTAGCATTTCTTTTACCATGAAATATTTGTTGACAATGCACTTTTAATATGGGTGCATAAGATCCCATCATCTAAAAAATATACCACAGTTTATTTAGCCAATTCCTAATTGTTGGCCATTTGGGTTTTAATTTTTTGCTGTTATAAATAATGATAGGACTATTATTGGTCTGTGTGAACCTTTGCATTTCTGACATTTTCATCATGGGATTATTATTAATAATCAGCCTTCAATGTTAATCAGCCTTTGGAAACAGCTATGCTCTCTTTGGTCCTCTAGTCAGAGGTTTTCTTAGCTGTATTGTGCAATTTGATTTCATATTTACATTTGACTAGGTTTAGATTTCTATTGCTTTATTAGTGTAATGGAGTAAATCATTCAAAAACAACCAAGAATGTGCATTAGCCTTTCTTGCTAGTTGATACTCAGCAATCTGTCTCACGTGTATAAAAATGTCCCTTCAGGGACTGGCTCAGAGAGGGCGTGGGGTCATTAGAAAAGCAAGTAGTTGGGGACGTCTGAGGCGGACACTGTGGTCCCAGTGAGTGACTGGTATATCCTGTGCTGTCTCCCAAGAACTAGTGTTATCCTTATTCCCAGTCTTCAAGATGAGTGTCTAAAAGAACTTCTCATCAATTAACTGTAATGCCTTGACTGAGCCTTGCTGGAAACTCAGTAGAGTGGGTAGGTGCTTTTTAGGGTTAAACTGTGCCCTCCTCCCAAAAAGATCCATTTAAATCTTAATCTGTAGTAGCTTAGAATGTGACTTCACACAGATATAGGGTCTTTACAGAGGTAAACATGTTTAAATGAGGTCATTAGGGCAGACTTTAATACATATAACTGGTGTCCTTATAAAAAGGAGAAATTTGGTCTTGGGAAAGATATTCCATTTTATTGCTGTCTTCACAAAGAGAGGGCTGTGTGAAGAGACATAGGGAGATGACAGCCACGTGAAGACTGAAGCGATGCTGCCACAAGCCAAGAAATGTCTGAGGTGACCAGAAGCTGAAAAGAGCAAGGAAGGATCTCTCTTCTACAGACTTCAGAGGGTGCAGAGCCTGACGACACCTTGATTTTAGACTTCCAGCATCCAGAACTGTGGGTAAATACATTTCTTTTATTCTCAGCTATGTAGTTCTTGATACTTTGTTGTGGCAACTCTAGGCAACGAATACATTACTTCTATGCTATAACCAGTGATACCACCAATACTTGGCCAGGGAGTTTTAGACTGTAGTACTTATAACTGTGTAGCTGCTGATGCATGATGCATTCATCCATCCATTTATTTCTTCATTTGACAAATGCTTATTTAGTATCAACTGGCTTCCTCATATCTCAATTTCTTTTTTTTTGAGATGGAATCTCTGTCTGCCACCCAGGCTGGAGTTGCAGTGGTGCCATCTTGGCTCACTGCAAGCTCCACCTACTGGGTTCATGCCATTCTCCTGCCTCAGCCTCCCAAGTAGCTGGGACTACAGGCGCCGCCACCATGCCTGGCTAATTTTTTTGTATTTTTAGTAGAGATGGGGTTTCACCATGTTAGCCAGGATGGTCTCGATCTCCTGACCTCATGATCCGACCACCCCGGCCTCCCAAAGTGCTGGGATTACAGGTGTGAGCCATCGTGCCCGGCCCTCATATCTCAATTTCTAATGAACCAGTGCCACAAACACCATCTGACTATTTGGCTCAGTCATTGTACCAAATTTTAGGGATTTTTTTTTCCCCTTTCCCTATAACTTAGTGTCCAAACAAAATATTCCTACAAGAAAGCTATACCTATGTCAGCCCTCTTTCCCCCACTGCCTGGCCATTCTACATGTTATTTGATGATATGTGATCCTGTATTGCTTGGTGGTTCTGCCCATTTATCTCATCCGCTTAACTCAGTGATGTTTGAGCCAACTCAGGTTGATCAGTTCCATATACTTCCACCCACAATAAACAAGTCTTTATTACCCATTTCTTACCTTTTATTTGACAGGAGAAATATGTCTACTCATTCAACATAGAGCCCTGTAGTTAAGCAAATACATCACTTTCTTTAGTTTACACAGAAACAGTTTATTCCTTGACAGTAGTAACCAGAATCTCTCCTATAATCTGATAAGGTTTAGCATAGAAATGAGCCCACAATACTGGTTTAATAAATATTTGACAATAAACTCTCTGTGATCTCTGTGTTCCCGTCTGTTTCAGACAGAATGGGGCTGAGTTTCTTGCTTAAGCTGGTGTCTTTCCAACCCTTCATTTTGTCCCTTAAAATGTGTCACTGTATTTGGGGAGAGTTTGGTTAGTATTATTGGCAAAATCATTGGAAATCATGGTGGCCGTGGAGAATCATCAAAGGTCTGATTCTCTGATTCTGGTGCAGCCTAGCTGGTTAAGACAAAGCCTTGAGATCCAGTTCCCAACTCTCATGCTTATGAGGTTAGTGACTTGAGGAAAGCAATTAATTCTGCCAAACTCAGATGTGTTCTCTGTAAAACAGGAATAATATAATAATACCTACCCCAGTAAGTCATGCCTACTCAATGAGATAATGAGTTTAGACTAAGACGCACAGTAACTGGCCCCCTAGTGAGTGCTTAATAGACAGCACACTAGTATTACTTAGTAGAGCCCCGCGTTGTATTTCTAGGTGTTATCTAGTGACTAAGAGAATGCCATTCATTGCAGGTCCTTTGGGGTAGTCACATGCCAACAGAGTGCTCTGGCTGCCATTGGTCTGGGCTGTATGCAGGTCTGGAGCTGCAGGCTCACCTCATGGCCTCTAAAAAATACAAAATTCTGGGGGCTTTTGCACTTTAACCTTTAACCTTTAATTTAGTTTAACATGTTTCTTTTCTCTACCTCCCCTGCCTCAGCTTCTGGGCAGTTGGCAAAAGGTAATAAGACAAAATCAGCTGCTGCTAGGGCCTTGTTTCAGTCCCTGTTTATTTTTCTCCACCAACATTTACATCTTATATTAATTTTTATTTTCATAAAATTCTCCTGTCAGTTATATTAGAGCATTGTATGTAGATATCATCTTCAACAGAATTAAACATTTTCAATAACTATCTTAAGAGCAATACTTTCAACTTTAGGTCTGTGAAAAAGGCAAGAGCAATGTTCTATATTTACCTCATTTTGCTAAGTCACTTAAGAACTTACTTCTTTAGCCCTGGAGATTTATAGAGGCTAACTTTATGAGTAACAGAAAAATAGTCCTAAGGCAGAAAAGCCTTATGTAACCTTGGAAAGCACCAAAAGAGCACATAGGTTACTGAATAGAAAGACACTGTAATGTGAAGTGTTTTTTTATGTCAGACAGCATCAAATTTTCAATCAGCTTTATGGTAAAGGAAAAGAGAGCAATGGTTTTTGATTAAATTATGAACATAAAATCTACCTCAATTGTGCTAATAGAAAACCCTAATGTTGATCCTGGCACAACTTCCAAATTTTTAAACATTTATGCTTTTCATTAGTCATAATCACCATTAACACTTGAGCACTATCCATAAAAGTAGACTTACTTGCAGATGCCAAAAGCTAAAGCAAGAGCAATTGACGATTCTGAACGTAATAAAATATCAGGCAGAAATATGAGGCCATAGAAACATTTATTTCTTGCAGACTTTTAGCTCCCTAGAAGCTATTGGTAGCCTATTCTATGTATTCATATCGTTTCATTTATTAGTATAATCTTATAATCTGGGGCATTTCTGTAAATAGTTTCATTTATTACTATGCCTTCTAATGTTGGAACATTTCTGTGATACTAGTTGGAACATTTCTGTGATACTAAATGGTCCTGCAAATGGTTTTAAACCTGCTATTATGTTCCTAAGACTTCTGACCTCCATTTCCCTCAACAAATCTTTTAAACCTCTCAACATAAGTGGCTGTGGAGCTTGGGAGATGGGAAATGTAATAACACCAGTCACATAGGGCAAGCAGTGGAACTTTTCTCTAATGTGCTTCAGACTGACTGGAATGAAAGAACAGTGCAGACTTTTCTTCAGGCTAGCTGCAAGTGAAGGTGAGCTGGGGGAAGCATTCATGATGTGAATAATCCAACCTTCAGAAGGTAAAAGGCGATGTTAAAACTCCTTTCTTCTGACCTATGCCAAGACTTTATTCCACAGGTGAAATGCCTGTGAGGTTATGGAGTAGACATTCTATTCCTGGATGTCACTTACTGTATCATTGTAGAGTTGCCACAAACAGAATTTCCTGATATGAGCCTCTCTATTTCACAGCAAATTTTCAGGGTTATCTTTGATATTTAAGGTATAAATCAGACTAATGTTTTAAAATGACTTCTGACTTGCAGCCTCGTAAGCTCTCAGTACAATACTTAGGAAACAATGCAAAATGTGAAAACTCAGAATTCCACAGAAAATTAAGGCAGGCAGAGAAATATGACTAGAATTTGGGTAGAATTTTCAATAAAGCAGATGTAGCTATATAATGAAAAAATTAAAGCAGGCTGTGATATATTCTTAGCCTTATGAAACAAAGGAGTTTCACTTTCCTTGAAATGACTAGAAACATGATTTCTCTCTCCCTTCCACTCTATGACTGCATCTGTGTCAGGGACCCTGGCAGGGCCTGGTATGTCTAAAGTAGCAACAGCAACATCAACAACGTCCACAAACAAAAACAAAACAAACAAGAAATACATTAGCTACTGAGTGAGGGCAGAATAGTGTCCTCCTCCTCCCCAACTGGCACTTGCTTTGTTCATTAGCCTCAGTCCAGCAATATGGAATAGCTTGTGGGGAAGGCCTGGTAGATGTCCCCTCACTTGAGGACTAGACTTCCTATATGCCAAGAGTTATAGTGAGGGCTGATTTAAAAAAAAGCCTTGGCACTAAAAGGAGTTTATGCATGGAAATAATTTTTTCATATATTTCATCAGAGTAGAGGCTAGTCTATGTAAAAAATGTGTTATTTTAAAAAGGCTTCAGTAACCAAATGCATGAATGTCAAAACAGACTTCTATCAAACTTAATGGAAAAAGAGGGGATTAGGGAATTGTATTGAGTGTTTGGAGACAACTAGAATTATCTTGGTCTTTATTCATACTACAGCCTTCATATATGGAACACATAATGAGTGGGGAAGGAAGGAGGGAAACAACATAGGGAGCTTTGAAAGCACGAGGTTTCCCCAAATATGACTAGGTGTACTGAGAGTGTCTCAGATTTCTCAACAACACTGGGGCCTAAGTGTCTCAAAGAATATCCTCAATTGTTTTTTTTTTTTTTTTTTTTTGCTTAAAAAACCACAACACAAAACTTATGAAAGCCTCACATGTACTTGGTACATGTGGTACGACAGCTAAATTACAAGGGGTATCCTCTCCTCTTGTCCTACAGGTTACATTCATGGATTATTGAATGTGAGGGTCATTCTTGACCCCTCTGCTATAGCCACACTATTCTGCTCAGAGGGCACATGGGTTAATAAAAGTTCTAGCTGGAAAGCAGAGCTATTCCAAGACTGTGCAAAGCAAATGTTCCAAATAGAGAGTGGAGGTCCTTTTTCAGTGCAGCCCTGGATGAATGCTGCTGCACACTGGGAATTCAGCTGGGAATTGCACTAATTAATCTCTGAGGTTGTTTGCCTGGAATTTATTCCTTCTGGTGGGTTCTTGGTCTCACTGACTTTAAGAATGAAGCCGCGGACCTCCGCAGTGAGTGTTATAGCTCTTAAAGATGGTGTGGCCGGAGTTTGTTCCTTCAGCTGTTCAGATGTGTCCAGAGTTTCTTCCTTCCGGTGGGTTCGTGGTCTTGCTGACTTCAGGAGTCAAGCTGCAGACCTTCTCAGTGAGTGTTACAGCTCTTAAAGGTGGCATGTCTGGAGTTGTTTGTTACTCCCAGTGGATTCGTGGTCTTGCTGACTTCAGGGATGAAGCTGCAGACCCTCACGGTGAGTGTTACAGCTCATAAAGGTGGTGCAGACCCAAAGAGTGAGCAGCAACAAGATTTATTGTGAAGAGCGAAAGAACAAAGCTTCCACAGCACGGAAGGGCACCTGAGCAGGTTGCCACTGCTGGCTGGGGTGGCCAGCTTTTATTCCTTTATTTGGTTCCGCCCATGTCCTGCTGATTGGTCCATTTTACAGAGCACTGATTGGTCCATTTTACAGAGTGCTGATTGGTGTGTTTACAATCCTTTAGCTAGACACAGAGTGCTGATTGGTGCATTTACAATCCTTTAGCTAAACACAAATGTTCTCCAAGTCCCCACCCAACCCAGAAGCTCAGCTGGCTTCACCTTTCAGTGGGACCAAGGGAAATTTATACATTGACCAGATCTCTCCAGAAATATATTGAAAAAAATTCCTTCAGCTTTTCTGGTATGTAGAAGTGGGAACGTTATCCTGAAGACTCAGTGGAACAGCAAAGCTCCTAAAATGTTTTATCATGAGAAGCATAAGACTATTTGGGATGCCTTCTAGTGGAATATCCATCAATAGGAGGAAAAAAATATATGACCTCTAAGAAACAAGTCCTGAAAGCAACAAGAAGAGAATGGGTTGTACTGGTTAGAATTCTTTGTTTGACATTGACAGAAAGTCTAATTAGAAAATGGTTAGAGCAAAAATGGAATTAAGTAACTCCCCTAAACAAAGCATTCAGGGGTATACTGGCTTTATAGTCTGGAGGGGCACAAGTAGGATTCTCATAAACTGATTTCTCACTGTCTATGTCTTGAAGAGGAGAGCCCTCTTCCTTTATCTGTGTTCTATCCTCAGAAAAGATTCTCCTTTAGAGGAGAAAGATGGCTACAGAAACATCAGCCACACTTTCAGGTTATGTCCCTGTAGAAACAGAGCAGCCGCCCCTCAGCCAGCACATTCTCTTGTGGCCTCATTGGCTGACTGGGTCATGTGTGCTTCCTGGAAACAGTCACTGCGGCTGGAGATCATCTAGCTGATTGGCTTTAGCTCAAGACTCCTGTATTTCTCTGAGACTTGCCAGGTCACAAAGACTAGAGTAAATTCCCAAGATAAATCAGGATCCTTTGTTTAAAAAAATAGAAATGAAAACCAGGTAGTCAAACTGCAAAGACCCATTACTTAGAGTGAGGTTAAAATGAAACAGAGCACAATAAGATTCATGAAAAATAAAAATAAAACAGATTAGAGTACAATATACAAGGACTGTTAAATAGTAATATAGAATGACATAATCAAAATCTTTATCAATTTAGTAAAGAAAAGAAATGAAATGATGTGAAAATTAAGTTGTGATATGAAAAAATTAAGAAAATCTTCCAGAAAGCAGAGGAGAAGGAAAAGAATAAATGATATAAAAGACAGAGAAGAGTAATCCAACTTAGAAATTATAGGTATTCTTGAGCAAGAATTCAGAACAATGAACATAGACATACTTGTGCATAATTGAAAAGACCTCCCAGACACTATGAAAAAATGTTTATCTAGGTCAGAGTATTTATTATAGTCCAGGAAATATTAATGAAAAAAGGCTTCCACCTAGATATAGTCCAGCTAAAGTTTTCAATTACCAGAATAAAGAAAAATTAAAATTAGACAGAAAAAAGAGGCTATCCAAAGAGAAATAAAAGGAATTCTGGCCTGATTACCAATTTCCAGAAAATAATGGAGTTTGTATTATCTCCAGAATTTTGAGAGAGTAATGTTGTGACCCAGAAATTTTATAGTGAGCTAAATTACTATTTAAGTATGTAGAAAATAAACATGACTTTAATGAAAAGATGATATTTACCTGCATATATTAAAACAAAATTACTTGTAGACATACTTCACCAACTGAGAATTGTATCAAAATAAAAATCATGAAGTGGAAATGTATGACATATACTGTGGACTAAATTTTTCTCCCCAACTCCACATATTGAATTCCTAATCCCCAGTGAGATGGTATTTGGAGGTGGAACTTTTGGAAGGTAATTATGTTTGGAAGAGGTCCTGGGGTTAGAGCTTATAAGGGGGTGAAGAGACTACAGCTCTCTCTCTTCGTCATGTGAGGATGCAGCAAGAAAGTGGCAATCTGAATCAGGAAGAGGGCCCTCATCAAGAACCTGACCCTGCTCACATCCTGATCTTAGACTGGTCCCCAGAACAGTGAGAAATATATGTTTGTTGTTTGAGCCACCTATGCTATGGTATTCTGTTACAGCAGCCCAAACTGACTAAGGCAGTATGTAAAGATTGATGGTGGAAACTGGAAACTGCAGTCCAGAGTCAAGTCTAAAAAGTTGTAATTATGGGTTCTAAGAATTAACGTCATTGTATAAATTATTATTAAAAATAATATGTATATGCTTTGAAATAATTCAATAACAATTCTCTGGTTTTGGAATTTCATGTTATACTAGCAAAAAAGGTGTTTTTTCCCCCTAAAAAACCCTTTATATTATACTTGGTATTGGAGAACAAGGAAACAATGAAACATACTTGTTTTATATTGAGGAAGTTCAAAAGATATCATTCCAGTTTTACCTTCATAAGTACATAAAAGAAAGTTAAGGAATGTTTTTTGAAAATTCAAAAGTAATAAATAGTAGTATTCAAATAAAATGTATAATTTATAAAATAACAAGAAAAAAAGAACTAAAAAATAATAGCCCAAAGCTCATACAGAAAAAGGCTAAAAGAAAAATGAAGTGATGAAGCACTAAAATTATGACAGAATCAAGGAAATTTAGGACAATATATTGTTTGTCAGTATACCTAATGTGTTAATATCTTCAAATAAAAGTTGAGATGTTCATGTTGTGTTACAAAGACAATCAAAGTTGTAAATACTGGTTATAAAAACAAACGGTAGTGATGTTAACAAAATTGCAAAGTAACCAATTATAAGCTCTCATCCTCAAACTGAAACATTGAAAAACCGGCAGAATTGACAGAACCAACATTGTCAGAACACTGAAAATGGGAAAACTGTTTACAATAGCCAAGTAAACACTAAGTCAAAAAAAAAAAATAAAAGGCGACTTCAAAAATAATAGGAAACCATTTTGGCATTTTTACTTGCCCTTGCCTCTCCCTGTAGACAGAAACCCTCATTCCCATTGTGAGACCCTAGCCTCTGTTTCTGGAGGAAGCAGAGATGACCCTACTTACAAATTGTTGTGTATGTATGTTTTAACATATTTGGAGGCTACTTGAAGGTGCTGATCTCTGTTATTCCAACCTTGAAACTCAGGCTGGAAAAGCAGCAAGTACTGCTCAAAAACAATACTTGCATGCCAAACTAACAATTCATAGACTCCCAAGGGAAAAGATGACAGATGAACCATAAAACAGAATGCTCAAGGATGCTTAAGGAGCAAAAACTGGGAACATTTCTTTGGGAAATTGGAACATACAAAAGTATATTGTGAAATTTAGAAGGACATATGCATGTCCAGAGTAAGACACATGCTTAGATAGTACCTAAGAAAATTCTCAACTTTCACCATGGGCTCAATGCAAGCCCGGCTATATGTTGAAGAAGCACTCTGGAACAGAACCAATCTGTAAAGACAAGAGAAAACGTCTTTTGTTGTTTATTTTATATTTAGCTCCTGAAATTCAAGGGAATTCCCTCAAAACATTAGCTAACACAAGCTAAAGAACAAAGAACTAAGTGACCACAAGAAATAGTCTTTGCAAGAATTATTTGGGATAGTCATTAAATAAGTGGACTATTACAGCCTTTAATCTAACAAGCAAACAAAAAACACAGCAAACTTTGGGGAAGGGTGTTAATCTGATTTTCAGAGTTACCACATTATAATACTCAAATGTCCAGTTTTCAACAAAAAACATCACAAGGCTTACAAAGAATCAGGAAAGGATGGCTCATCTAAAGAAACAAATAAATCAATGGAAATCATCCCTGAGGAAGTCCAAACATCAGACTTACTAGAAAAATACTTTAAAACAACTGTATTAAATATGATAAAAAATCTAATGAAAACCATGTATAAACAAAGGGAAATTAGGAAAATAATGTATGAACAAACTGAACATATCAATAAAGTGAAATTATAAAAAGGAAGGAAACAGAAATTCTGGAGCTGAAAAGTGCAATAACTGAAATAAAAAATTCACTAGAGGTGTTCAGTAGCAAAGTTGAGCAGGCAGAAGAAAAAATCAGCAAGCTTCAAGATAAAATAAGTAAAGTTATCAAATCTGAGGAGCAAAAGAAGAAAAGCATGAAGAAAGCTAAATAGAGACTAAAATACCTGTGGTATACCATCAAGTGCACCAACATATTCATTATGGGGTTCACAGAAGAAAAGAGAAAGAAAGAGGTGGAAAGAGTATTTTAACAAAATAGTGGCAGAAAACTCCTAAAATTCAATGTAAGACATGAGTCTACAAATCTAAGTGCTCGAAGAACTCCAAGCAGGATAACCTCAATGAGAGTCACACTGACACACATTAAAATCAAACTGTCAAAAGTCAAAGACAAGAAAAGAATCTTAAACACAGCATGAAAAAAGCAACTTGTCATGTACAAGGTATTTTCTGTAAGATAAATAGCTGGTTTCTCATGAGAAATCAAAGAGAACAGAAGACATTGGGATAACATTTAAAGTAGAGAAAGAAACTACACTTTCAATTGAGAGTTTCACATCTGGCAAAACTGTTCTTCAAAAATGAGGGAGAAATTAAGACATTTCCAGATAAACAAAAGGTAGACCTGCTGTATTAACCATGTCTTTTAATTTTGATGTTTTGACATCTGACATCTTATTGACCCTAGAGAGATTGCCCCTCTCTCGGCTAGCCAATTCCTAGAAATAGAAAACTATTTGTTTGTGAGCATGGCTTTTACATAAATGAACTAATAGACAGCCTTCCCTTCCCGCTTCCTCTATCACTTCCTCTTTACATTCTGAGCCAATAGTCCCCTAGCCTAGTTACCCCAGGGTCAAGTACCAGACAACTCAAGAGAGCTTGTACACTACAGAGCCCACTGAAATTATTCAAACTAGTCAATTCTAAGTCTGCTTACTCTGCTTCACCTATTCCTTGTCACAGAAACCTCAGTAAAGGCTCTTGCTCATGTTTTCTCTGTTCCTCCTGCTTCCTGACCCATCCTGATGCTTCCTTGTACAGCCCTTTATGATGAGGTGTGTTCCTTCCTCTTGGGGACTGTGAGTAACAAACTATATTTTTAATAACAATCATGCCCTGATCTTTTGGCCTTGCCATACCTGAATAATAAAACCTACATTTTAAAACACCTATCTTAAAAAGAAATGCTAAAAGATGTTCTTTAAGTTGAAATGAAAGGACACTCCACAGTTTAACTAAAAGCCATATTGAAGAGATAAAGATCCCCATTAAGGAGAATACATGAGCAAATCTATAAGTTATTATTGGGATAATTTGATTTGTAAATTCACTTTTTATTTCCTAAAGAATTTAAAAGACAAAAACATAAAAATAACTATAAATTGATTATTGGAGTAGACAATGTATAAAGATACAACTCAACAACAAAGACGTAAAACACAGATTGTGTAAACTATTGATGTTAAGTTGGTATCAATACAAAGTAGGTCTTATAAATTTAAAATGTTAAATGTAATCTCCATTGTAACCACAGATAAAATATCTAAAAAACTGTGTGTAGGAGGCAATGATAATGGAATAAAAATTGTTCACTATGAAAAAATCAGCTAAATAAGAAAAAGTAGTAATGGAGGAAATAGGGATAAAATATTTATAGGACATATACAAAACAAATAGCAAAATGGCAGAAGTAAGTCCTTTCTTATCAATAATTACTTTAAATGTAAATTAATTAAACTTTCTAATCAAACAACAGAGACTAGTAGAATGAAGAAACAAACAAATAACAACAGTAAAACATAATCCAACTATATGCAGTCAAGAGATTTCACTTTAGACCCAAAGATAAATTGATTGAAAGTGAAGGGGTAAAAAAAGATGTTCAAAGCAAATAGTAAGCATAAAAGAGCTGATATGAATACATTAATTCAGACAAAACACTTTTATTTAAAAACTGTTATAAGAAACAAAGATAAACATTAACTGTTGCCACAAGAGTCCATTCTTTGAAAAGAAATAAGAATTATAAACAAGTATTCGCCAGACTACAGAGTCCCAAAACATATGAAATAAACATTGTCAGAATTGAAGGGAGAAATAGAGGGTTCTACAGTAGAGAGTTCTACAATAACAGAAGATTTAACGCATCATGTTCATTAATGGATAGAACATCTCGGGATCAATAAAGAAATAAAAGACTTAAACAATGCTACAAACTAGCTAGACCTAACAGACATGTATAGCATACTCCTCCCAACAATGGCAGAATACACATTCTTCTTAAGTGCACATAAAACATTCTCCAGCATAGACTATATGTTAGGCCACAAGACAAGTACCAAAATAAACTTAAAAAGATCGAAATCACACAAAGTATTCTTTATGACCACAGTGGGATGAAGCTAGAAATCAATAACAAAAGAAAAACTTAAAAACTTAAAAATATGTGGATAGGCCAGGCACAGTGGCTCACGCCTGTAATCCCAGCACTTTGGGAGGCCGAGGTGGGTGGATCACTTGAAATCAGGAGTTAGAGACTAGCCTGGCCAAGATCATGCCAGTGCACTCCAGCCTGGGAGACAGAACGAGACTCCCATCTCAAAAAAAAAAAAAAAAAAAAAAAAAAAAAAAAAAAAAAAAAAAAGATTTATATTGTTAGGATGTGAAGACTATCCAAGATCCAAGTGATATACAGATTAAATGTAATCTGTATAAAAATTCCAAAAGCCTTATTCTTTGTATGAATGAAAAAGGCTTACGTGACTACTAATATACTATTTGCCTTTGTAGATTTTTCTATTCTGGATCTTCATATGAATGGAATTATATAATATGTGGTCTTTTGTGATGGCTTCTTTGGAAGTGGTAAAATACTGAATCTAAAGGAGTGGTAAGTTAAGAAAGTATATTATATTCCAAAGAATTGTCATTTAAAGATACTCTTAAATTCTTTAGCTAAAATGCCAATATAGGAATTAAAGTGGCAGGCTGATAATATCATACTAATATTTACATTGAATGTAAATGGATTAAAAATCAAATTAAAAAGTGAAATTATCAGACTATATAAAAGCAAGGCCTATTCGTATGTTGTCTCCAAGAGACATAGTCTAAATACAATGACAAAGATAAATTAAAAGTAAAAAGAAAAATGCATCTAGAAAACACTAATCATGAAAAAGTTGGGTGGCTATATTAATAACAGAAAATATAGGTTTCAAGAAAGTAAGTGGACACTTTGTAGTGATAAAGATTCAGTTAATCATGAAACTAAAACAACCATAAATGTGTAAGTACTTATTTAATAACTTAAAAATATATGAAGTAATATTGACATAGCTAAAGCAAGATATTGGCCTTGGTAATTGATAGGGTAACAAGATAAAAGTTAGAATAATATAAAATATTTCAATAACACTAGAATCCACCCTGACCCAATTAGCATCTATAAAATGGTATAAGTAATACCTACAAAATTCATACTCCTTCACATGCACATGGAATGTTAAGCAAGGTGTAACATAAAATTTCACAATGTATGTTTTTTAATATCAGTAGCATTATTTTATAAATCCATAGCAATAAAATTTTAATGAAAGCTGAATTATTTTGAAATTAACAGACTATAAATAAACTATGGGCCAAACAAATCACAGAAAGTATTAGAAATTATTTTGAATTAAATTATGATGAAAATGCAAAATAGTAACATATCAAAATTTGTGGGCAGCACCTAAAAATGCTTAGACATTTATAATTTTGAAATTCAGAAAAAAGGATTAAAATTGATTGATCTAATTTTCTACTTTAAGAATGAAGAAAAAAATTATTAAAATTTCCCCCAAAATAAATGACAGGAAAAAATAATAAAGATAGAGAATAAATCAAATACATAGGAAATAGATAAACTGTAGAGGAAATCACCAAAGCCAGAAGTCAATTTTGAAAAACATTGATGAATGCTAGCAAGATCCATCAAGGAGAAAAACCGAAAAAAACCCAAATTATTATAATATTTTAAAAACCACAAATTATTTATAACAAATAAAAAAGTAGATTTTGCAACAGATCCTACAAACATTAAAAAGACAATAAAGGAATATTTTGGACATCTTTACACCATTCACTAAGAGCATAAAAATAGAAATAGAAATTCTTGAAAAACACAACTGTCAAAACTTCACACGAATAAAATAGAAATCTAAACAAACTTGTACATATTAAAGAAATCAAATTTATTGTGAAGCTCTTTCCTCAATGACCTCTTCAAACCTGAAGTATTTTATTGTCAAACACTTGCAAGGGATAAAAACAGTCTAATGTATACTCTTTTAGAAAATAGTGAAAGGGGAATCCCTTCCCAACTAGCTTTATGTGGCCAGAATAACCCTAATATCAAGAATTAACAAACACATTATAAAGAATCTAGAATAGTCAAAAATTGTGAGTTTACACTATTTGACTTGAAGACTCTCTATTATGAATAATCAAGACCATCATATTGACATAGGAATATTCAAATATATTAATAGGACAGAATCAAGTCCAGAAATATTTATCTTTATACAATAAACTAATTTCAACAGAGATGTTAAAGTAATTCCATAGAAAAACAAATATGTTCCATGAGTTAAGGTAGAAAAGCTGAATGTCTATACAGTAAAAACAAACCTTGAGCTCTATTTCAAATCATACACAAATTAATGTAACAAAAATTCATATGTTAAGCTCCTAGCCCCCAGCAACTCAAAATATGACTGTATTTGGAGACAGGACCTTTAAAAAAATAATTAAGGAAAAATGTGTTTATATGTTTGGGCCCTAATCCAATGACTGATGTTCTTCTAAGAAGCAAAGATTAGGAGATGGCCAGTGCACAGAAGGGTAATGGTGTAAAGACTTGCAAAACTGTGAGAAAATTAATGTCTCTTGAAGTATGGTTTATTCTGAGGCAAAACTCCTCAACTGTGAGTCTACAAAATGAGACGTGTGCTTTTATTTATTTATTTTTATTTTTATTTTTATTTATTTATTTTGAGACGGAGTCTTGCTCTGTCACCCAGGCTGGAGTGCAGTGGCGCGATCTTGGCTCACTGCGACTTCCATCTCCCGGGTTCAAGCAGTTCTCCTGCCTCAGCGTCCCAAGTAGCTGGGATTATGGACATGCGCCGCCACGCCCGGCTAATTGTTTCGTATTTTTGGTAGGGACGGGGTTTCACCATGTTGGCCAGGCTGGTTTTGAACTCCTGACCTCAAGTGATCCTCCCACCTCAGTCTCCCAAGTGCTAGGATTACAGGCGTGAGCCACCACGCCCGGCTGACGTGTGCTTTTAAAATACCATGAAAGAGGCATTTCCATACCAAAAGGGGAAAATCAGAAATAAGAAATGGGTGATGGGTCCCAAGCAAGTCTGAAACCTAGCAAGGAAAATTTCATTACATTTTAAAGGATCAGGAATAATTCTCTTTGTCTCCAGTCTCCCTGGGGTGGCTCTGTCTTCCGGGATTATCAGGGCAAGGATCCTGCCCCCTCCATTTTGGGCAGTGGCCCTGACACCTCTGGAATTCAGGGGGAGACAGCACTCTACCCCAGGCCTGTGTCCTCTGGGTCTGTGGTGGGGCGGTAGCAGTTCTGTGGATGCCTGGACTGCCTTCTGGGTCATTCTTCCTTTTTCTTGAAGGATAACACATGTTCACTGCCAAATATCTCTACTGGATCATTCTGTAGAATCCCAGAAGTCAGATAGTCTTCTTTAACTGTCTCATCCTCGTTTCCTTCAGTCCAAAACAGCATTTTTGCCGGTACAACCCCATCTCTATTCCTTGCCTCTGCTGATATGGCTGATTGGATCCATAAGTCACACACCTGTAATCTCTTTATCAAACAGCAACATTCTTGATTTTTCTTCCCAGAATGTAATTTTTCATCTATTGCAACGTGGACAGCCCGAGAATTTTTCAAATCTTCAAGTTCCAGTTTCTGTTTGTGTAACAATTCTTTCAACTTATCTCTCTCCTCTCCCATTTTGCTATAAGTAGTAAGGAGAAATTAGGTTGTGCCTTCATCAGTTCCCTGTGCCTTGTTTTACCTCTCTGTGCACTGGCCGTCTCCTTACCGTTGCTTCTTAGAAGAACATCAGTCATTGGATTAAGGCCCAAACATACAAACACATTCTACCTTTACTTTTTTTAAAGGTCCTATTTCCAAATGCAGTCTCATTCTGAGGTGCTGGAGGCTAGGAGTTCAATATATGAATTTTACAGGGGGACACAACTCAGCTCTAACCCATGTCAAGGGTCTATTGAACTTCCTGACTCCACTACATATTGATCTTTACCTTTTAAGAACTCTTCTGTAATTTATCATTTACGATACAATTAATTAGATGTCATCTTTTGTTATTTGCTAATCCATTAAAGTATTGTCTTTCAATAAAATAATAATTTCTTCATATCCATCCATTGTGTTTAGCTGAATATGACAGCCCCTACAAGAACACTGAATTTAAGCAATCTCAAAAATGTTTTGGCGAAACAGTAATTTTACTTCCCTAATATAAGACTGAGGTACTCTGGATGAGAAATAGTTCCAGTGTTTATTAAATTAATTTAAAAAATTATTGCATCTTAGGCAATGTTATAGGCTCCTGGGATAGGGTAGTCAACAAAATGAAATCCCTGCCTTGATGGAACTTAACATTTTATTTGGTGAGACATGTAATAAGCAAGTAAATATAAGCATGATGACAGTTTCAGTCAAAGGAAAATACAAATACACACACACACACAAGCAGAGTAAAAATTAATAGATTGGAATAGGGTTAATAATAAAAATATCTAAATAGTTGAGATTCAAAATGAGTTGTGATATAATTTGTTTTTTTTTTTTTTTTGAGATGGAGTCTCGCTCTGCTGCCCAGGCTGGAGCGCAATGGCACGATCTCCGCTCACTGCAACCTCCGCCTCCTGAGTTCAAGTGATTCTCCTGCCTCAGCATCCCGAGTAGCTGGGATTACAGGTGCGCACCGCCACGCCCAGCTAATTTTTGTATTTTTAATAGAGATGGGGTTTTGCCATGTTGGCTAGGCTGGTCTCAAACTCCTGGCCTCAAGTGATCTGCCCGCCTCGGTCTCCCAAAGTGCTGGGCTTACAGGCGTGAGTCACCATGCCCAGCTAAAATTAGTTGTGATAAATTTGTTATGAGGTGATGTGTTTTTCTTCTGATTTTAAAGAATAAAAAACAATTGTGGGAAAAAAGACTATCTTTCTGTAAACAGAGGGGTGGACAAGACATTGCAGTCATGTTCTGCATAAAGACATTTCAATCAACGACAGACTGTACATAGTTGGTCCCATAAGATTATAATGCTGTACTTTTACTGCACCTTTTTTATGTTGAGGTATGTTTAGATACACAAATACTCACCATGGTGTTATAAAGGCCTACAAGATTCAGTGCAGTAACATGCTGTACAGGTTTGTAACCCAGGCTATACCATATAGCCTGAGGAATGTCGTGGGCTATACCATCTAGGTGTGTGTAAATACACTCTATGAAGCTCACATAATGACAAAATCGCTTAACAAAGCATTTCTCAAAACATATTCCTGACATTATGCGACACATTGCTGTACTTCCTTTGCCCCAAATATTTTCCTATACTATGGTTTCACGATACTATTACAAAAATTATACATATTTTCTTCTTTTAAACTTTCATACCCATTAACATATAAATGGTTTCTTTTTAAGCAGCTTGATTTTGTCCTTCAAAAACTTGATTACCAGTGGCAAATTATTAAAAAAACATTATATTATTTATTATTCTTTTCTAAAATTATATGAATTAAAACCCTTCAAATTTGAAGATTACAACTTCCTATTTTAAACTGTGGTTACCTAGCAGAAAGACGCTCATGGCAAACTGCATGTGTCAACAAACTTATTCTGGAGAAATTAGTTCAGACCCTCCAAGATTGCTTAGAAGATGCCTTTCATCCAGGAAGGCAGCAAGAATTCCAGGTTATCTGTGGGGCTAAATTACTGGGCGGCTCATGAAGAGACCAAAATTCCATGGTCCCAGACCTGAGACTCCCAGAAAGTTAAATGTGAAATGTGTTATCCATTAAAGAAATTGAAAAGACTGTCAGATCTGCCCATTCCATCGCTTCAAACTCAAAGAGCAATAAAAATCAATTATAAAATGTTGTTAAATGTTAGGCCTTATTGTTTAAATAGTTCAGTATCTGATTTAAAAAAAAATCCTGAATGGGTTTGCAAAGATTTTAAATTTTGTCTTATTTGTTTGACTTCAGTATTGATAGACAGATTATCTAGCCTGCAGGGTCTTTTTTCTTAGTCTACATTTAAAATTAGGTAATTAAATAGCTTTGAATGTACTTAGAAACTACAAATAACAAGTCATGGAAAGAAATGAGGATATAAAAATGACATTTTTCAGATCACAAATAACAAATTCAGAGAGCAAGTGAGCCCCAGCTCACAGCAGGCTGTGCTTCAGGTGGGGTTGAGGAAGGGATGCATTTCAGTGGTTCTGCCAGTTTACATGGATTGTGTTCTGTGGAGAAACTAATTGAACGAGACCCTACAGAGTTCACTTTACTTTTTCAAAACCCATATAATTTTCATTGCATTATGCGCTGGTCGACATAAGCAGAACATAAATTAGCTTGGTTAGAGAGCATTGTGTGCCTGTCAATAAGCTCTTTAGTTGTAATAAAGTTATATCGCCATCATACCGCTAAGTCCTGGGTTAGGAGGAGGAAATGCTGAAGGGAAACCTTCTCAGTGCACCTACTCATCTCAGCCCTCTTCCATTTCTCCCTCACTTTCCTTCCCCTCCTCGACTGTGTGAAGCCTTTGAAAGGACTGTTATCAGCTATCATTAAACCAGCTGTCTGTCTCCTTGGCAACCCTTATCAAGCTGTACCAGGCTTGGGCTGCTAGTGAGTACGTTCAAACCTGCATTGAGTAAGGTGCTTCAAAATTTTACCATCTACTATACTAAACTCTTATAAAATATCAGGAGAAGAACTATATCTTAGTCTGCCTACAGTCTCTATGGTCTAAGAAGATGCACTGGAATTCACCAGCAGTGAAACAAAAAAGGCGGGAGGAAGAGAGAAAAGTCATTTCATAGATGCAGAAAAAAAATTATCTTTGATCCCCTTTTCAAACTGATGAATATTTTTATGAAGAATGCCTGCTTCTGGCTCTGATCAACTATATGGTATTAATATCCTCATTGTCTTCTCTATATTCACATCTAAGCTTACATGGCACATGTTGAATCACTGAAAGAAAACAAGAAGCCACCTCTCTTAGCTTCTCTGATGGTTCAATAGTTAAGACTAAACAAGACACTGTTGGCTGCCTGCTGTCTCTAAATAATTTCTTTGTTCTTTCTGACTGCAGAGTTCCAATTTTGCTGAAATTTTCAATCCCTTCTCCCCTTCCACATTGTTCAGGGTAAATCCTGACTAATTTAAGCCAATCACAGTAATTTCATTCCTTTTTCCAGTGATTGATTAGAAGATTATGTGACCTAATGTTGGTTAATGAGAAAGAAGAGGAATTCAACAGGGAGGCTTCAGAATGCTGCTATAATCAAGAAGAGACATAAGTAAACCACCAGGGGTAACCATCTTGTGGTCATGAGGGTTTGCTGACCTGAGGTTGGCAGAGATGAAAGTAATAAAGATTCTGGACCTCCATGACGTCACTGAGCTATTGAATCTCCTAAAATTGAAGTCGTCCAGCATTGGGACTTCTTTTAAAGTAACAAAACAGAATTTCCTTATTGGTTATGGTGTTTAAATTATGTAAGTATTTATTTCACTTTCAGCATCCCAAATACACTCATAATTCTTTATCCTTCTCATTTTCAGTTCCCAGTGTCTCAAAGTACTTCTTTTAGAAACCTTGCTCAGATTTTAAAATCATCCAATCCATTCTCACACATGTAGGGGCAACTTGGATTAAGCTATTGATTCAGAAAGTTAGTTAAAATTCCAATGTTTTCTAGGGAGTCTGACTCAAAAGCATCCTTTAACATGGAATGGTTTGCCATATTGGCTCAAATTCAACTGGTTCCTTAAGACAGTTTTATCCAGGAGAGGGAAGATTCCATATAAAGAAACGGTCAGGAAAGAGGGAGGAAATGTGAACTCCATTAGGGGCTCTTAGATAAAGAATAGCATGAGGGCTAACGGGATATGGGAGGGTGGGCTTGGAAACCAGGAATAGAGACAGAATTAAATTTTTTAGTAGTTGTACGAAGAAAGATGAAGAGTGAAAGAAACAAATCCTCACCACTCTTTCTGAAAAGGTAAAGAACTCTTGTCTAAAGTTGATAAATCAGGAAATAAATGTATAAGCTAATTATTTCCAGAGTAAAACTCTTTTTGTTGTGATATTTGTGGCACTGCAGGCCTAAATATAGTTCACTCCTACCCGAACACATGTGCTTTTAAATAAAGCCCAGAAAATGCCAAGTAATACCCAGAACCCTATAAACAACTCACATTAAAGAGACAGGCCTAGTGAGGAGTTAGACCTTCCTAGAACACAGCAAAGAATGCTTACCAGCTAGTCTTTTTTTTTTTTTTTTTTTTTTTTTTTTTGAGACAGAGTCTCTCTCTGTTGCCCAGGCTGGAGTGCAGTGGCATGATCTCAGCTCACTGCAACCTCTGCCTCCTGGGTTCAAGCGATTCTTCTGCCTCAGCCTCCCAAGTAGCTGAGATTACAGGTGCATGCCACCACACCCAACTAATTTTTGTATTTTTAGTAGAGATAGGGTTTCACCATATTGGCCAAGCTTGTCTCCAACTCCTAACCTCGTGATCCGCCCACCTCGGCCTCCCAAAGTGCTGGGATTACAGGTGTGAGCCACCGTGCCTGGCCTTGTCATTTTTTTATTCTTAAATATGAACATAACTCAAGGATCACCATGTCATGAGGAAATTGAAAATCAGGAATGAAGATTATAAAAAACTTAATGAAACAAAAAAGCTAATAGAGGAAGTGTGTTTTGATAAGTAGAACTTTGAAAAACCTCTGATTAGAATATTCAGAAAATCAACATTTTTTAAATAAAATAAGAAGAGAATTGACAGAATACTCAAAGAATTTGAAAGTCCTTTCAAAGATTAAAAATATAATTGTAAAAAAAATTAAATAGAAGGCCTTTTAAATCAAAGTGACAAAATTTTCCAGAACGCAGAGCAAAATAATATTAAAAGACAAGCATAATTACAGGGTGAAAAGAGACCTGCAAGATAAAACCAGGAGTTGTAATGCCAGACAGTTGATAGTTTTAGAAAAGAAGAACATAGAAAAAGCAGAGAGAAAATTATTGAGAAGATAATAGGCTACAATTTCCTAGAATTTAAAAAGGACAATGGTCTGGGTGCAGTGGCTCATGCCTGTAATCCTAGCACTTTTGGAGGCCGAGGCTGGTGGATTGCTTAGGTCAGGATTTCGAGACCAGCCTGACCAACATAGAGAAACTCCGTCTCTACTAAAAATACAAAAATTAGCTAGGCATGGTGGCGGGCACACCTGTAATCCCAACTACTCAGGTGGCTGAGGCAGGAGAATCACTTGAACCCGGGAGGCGGAAGTTGCAGTGAGCCAAGATTGTGCCACTGTACTCCAGCCTGGGCAATAAACTGAGACTTTGTTTCACAAAAACAAAACAAAACAAAACAAAATAAAAATAAAAAGGATGATTATTTTCAGATTCTAGGGAGCAAGAAATTAACGAACATTTTTTACCTGGAAAGCAGTTGGTAGAGATTGGATTGGGAAGATATAGGGCTCTGCCAAGACAAGTATCCAAAGGAAAAGAGGATTCCAAGCAACAGCTAGGATAATTGGTATGATGGGATATCTTGAGAATATAAGGGACATTTTTTATGTGTGTCGAGAAGGAAAATAGGTTAACTGGAAACTACAAAAACCAAAACAAAACCCCAAAATAAAACACAAAACCCTGAAACTTGTAAGATTATCATAGGAAAGATAAATGGAAGATTAACATATCAGTTTACATAGTGATCATTAAGATCATGATTGAAAAACGAAGATATATGTATAAACTATCTATATAAGATGAGATATCTATACATATGTGTACATTTGTACATTTTGTCATACAGGTATATATACTCCAAGGATCACCATGTCATGAGGAAATAGAAAATAGAAAATAGAAATATACACACATACACATGCAACTATATACATATAGAGAGATATACAAAGATATTTATGTGTATATAGATATACAAACATAGCTATATATGTATAAATAATATGTATACAAACAGCCATAAATTTGTATAGACATTATATCTATATGTACATCTATATAGCTGCTGTTTAAATTTTAAAAAGTAACAAGTAGTGTAACTAAAAACAATATAATCTTCACACATTCTTAAGGGAATTGTCAAGCAGAGCAAATGCTCATCTTTCATTGCAGGGAGGCAAGAAGTATTTGTAGTTGATAAATCAGTCTTAATGACTTTGAACCCCAGAACTCCAGTTTCCTCTGACAGAATATAAGTAGGTAAGGGTCTACCCCTCAATGCCTGAAGGAATTCAGAGGAATTATTTTCTAGAAGCTGTAACTGTAGGAAAAGACTCCATACTCTGGCATTTCTGGATCACACAGCTTATGGGGTATAGCACACTTAGTCACCTGAATAGAGAGTTGTCCAGCCCATGTACAGACTTCCTAACCAGATTTTTAGTGACCAATTCTTTTTCATTTTTTTCTTTATTTTCTTCTTATGAAATAATATTTGACACACAAAAGAATATGTGATGTACATATAAGCTATGAAGCCAAATAAGGAACAAACATTGGTGAAATCACAGCCCATGTAAAAGCTAAAGTAAGAGCTGCTAATAAGCTGTAAACACTCTGTGAGTTTCTTTTCTATATCACATTGATTCTTCTTACCCATAGTTTATCACAATCCTGGATTCTGCAGTCATCCTTCTCATGCTTTAAAAAAATACAGCTTTACCCCAGGCATGTTTTCTGCTGGATAATATATTTAGTTTTTCTTTGTTTTGAATTTTATAAAAATAATATTCTTTATATATTTTTCTGAATTATGTTTTCAGTCATTCAACCGTGTATTTGTAAGATTTTCCTGGAAAAGACCACATAGAAAATATTTTAGCCTTTGTGAGCCATATGGTCTCTGTCACAACTACTCATCTCTGCTGTTTTAGCAGGCAAACAGCCATAGACAATATGTAAACAAATGGGCATGGCTATGTGGTTTACAAAACCAGGTAGCCTAGGGGCCTGGCCTGTGGGTTTAGTTTGAGTAAACCTGCACTACGGTGTACAACACAGGTGAGCAGGATGTTTGTCTTGTTGAATATACTGTTACTAGATGCAGTGTTGAAGCTCAATAAATACTCTTGAATAAGTAAACACATATATACATACATTCATCTTGGTGACATACTTCTCTGAATATTTCCTTGAGATAGATTATTAGAAGCAAAATTTTTGCACCAAAGAGTATGCAGTCGTGATGTTTATCTCCAAGGCTTTACGTAGCTCTTAAAAGTGTACCTTGTTTATTCACAGAAGCGATGTGTAATAATGCCCATTTTTTCATGCCATTATCAAAATTAGTTATTATCAATTTCTGCTGCCTTTACCTTCCAAAATGAAAATAAATGAAACCTTGCTATTTTATTCAACAATTTTTTTTATTACCAGTAAGACTGGCCATGCTCTTAGATAGTTTCCTCGTGTTTTATTTTCTTTTTTTGTGAAATAGATCTTCATATCTTTTGTATGTTTTTCTATTCAATTTATTTTTTGATGATTCATAAGATTTTTTGACTATAATAGAAATTAACCCCATGTATATGTTAAAGGATGATGAGGCATTATTCAATATCTGAATTAAAAAGCTGAAGTTATTGCTTAGTATATTAAAGGAGAGTGATGCTGGTCAGGCACTGAGTGACAATTTTGTATAGAGTTTTTGAAGGTGGTCAGGGATTAAGAGACTTCCAGATGTGGAAGTAGGTTGAAATCCCTTTAGTAGAAGCCCGGTTATGTGTATGAGACTTTGTTGATTGGTTTATATTCAGAAGTGCATTTACTGGAAAGTAAATCCATGATGGGCTGAGTCAGAAACTCAGGGTCTCAGATTGGTTTCTTTACAAAAGCCTATTCACTGAGGTAACTTGTCTTGGATGTGTGGAACAGATATACAAAATGGATTCTTCTGACTAGTTGCTAACATTGTTGAAGGAAAGTCAGGTTTTTGTCATAAGAAAGTTTGAAGTTTTATATAAACACACTTATTACTGTTTTACTTTTTAATTATTGAGTTTGATGTCATGTTTCCCATGAATATCCTCCACCTCCACCATGGTTATAAGAAATCAATTTTCTTCTGAAACATTCACAGTGGTTTTTTTATTGATGCATAATAATTGTACATATTTATGGGTACATGTGATATTCTGATACAGGCATACAATATGTAATGATCAAATTAGAGTATTTAGGATATCCATCACCTTGAACATGTATCATTTCTTTGTGCTGGGAACATTTCAAATCTTTTCTTCTACTTATTTAGAAATATACAATACATTGTTATTAACTATAGTCACCCTACTGTGCTATTAAATGCTAGAACGTTTTAAAAAATTTTTATTTCAATAGGTTTTAGGGAGCAGGTGGTGTTTGGTTACATGGATAAGTTATTTAGTGGTCAATTCTGAGATTTTGGTACACCCATAACCCAAGCAGTGTACACTGCACCCAATGTGTAGTCTTTTATCCTTCAACCACCCTTTCCCCCGCGTCCCCAAAGTATCATTCTTATGCCTTTGCGTCCTCATAGTTCAGCTTCCACTTATGAGTAAGCACATATAATATTTCGTTTCCCATTCCTGAGCTACTTCACTTAGAATAATGGTCTCCAATTCCATCCAGGTTGCTGCAAATGCCATTACTTCATATATTTTTTATGGCTGAGTAGTATTCCATGGTATATATACAGCACATTTTCTTGTTGATTGAAGGGCATTTGGACTGGTTTCATACCTTTGCTATTGCAAATTGTGCTGCTATAAACATGCATGTACAAGTATCTTTTTCGTGTAATGACTTCTTTTCCTCTGGGTAGATACCCAGTAGTGGGATTGCTGGATCCAATGGTAGATTTACTTTTAGATCTTTAAGGAATCTCCACACTGTTTTTCATAGTGGTTGTGCTAGTTTACATTCCCACCAGCAGTGTAAAAGCGTTCCCTTTTCACCACATCCTTGACTGTGGCCGTTTTTGCAGTAATAAGATGGTATCATATTGTGGCGTTGATTTGCATTTCTCTGATGATTAGAGATGTTGAGCATTTTTTTTTATGTTTGTGGGATGTTTGTATATCTTCTTTTGAGAATTTTCTATTTATGTCCTTAGTCCACTTTTTGATGGGATTTTTTTTTTCTTGCTGATTTGAGTTCCTTGTAAATTCTGGATATTAGTCCTTTGCCAGATGTATAGATAGTGAAGATTTTCTCCCACTCTGTGGGTTGTCTGTTTTCTCTGCTGATTATTTCTTTTGTTATGCAGAAGCTTTTTTTAATTAAGTCCATCTATTTATCTTTGTTTTTGTTGCATTTGCTTTTGGGTTGTTGGTTATGAAGTCTTTGCCTAAGCCAAAGAAGGGATTTTCCAATATTATCTTCTAGGATTTTCGTGGTTTCAAGTCTTAGATTTATGTCTTTGAACCATCTTGAGTTGATTTTTATATAAGGTGAGTGATAAGAATCCAGTTTCATTCTTTTATTTTTTCAAAAATGTTTTGTCAACTGGAAATATATATATTTGGTATTATGTCTTTTTAACTTCGTATTTTATTGTGACAACAAACTTTTTTTTAAATTAAACTTTAGGTTTTGGGATACATGTGCAGAACAGTTTCATTCTTCTACATGTGTCTTGCCAATTATCCCAGCACCATTTGTTAAATAGGGTGTCCTTTCCCCACTTTATGTTTTTGTTTGCTTTGTCAAAGATCAGTTGGCTGTGAGTATTAGGCTTTATTTCTGGGTTTTTATTCTGTTCTCCTGGTCTATGTGCCTATTTTTATACCGGTACCATGCTGTTTCGATTACTATAGCCTCATAGTTTACTTTGAAGTCAGGTAATGTGATGCCTCCAGATTCATTCTTTTTGCTTTGTCTTGCTTTCACTGTGTGGGCTCTTTTTGGTTTCATATGAATTTTAGGATTGTTTTTTCTAGGTTCATGAAGAATGATCATGGTATTTTAATGGGAATTGCATTGAATTTGTAGATTTCTCTTAACAGTATGGTCATTTTCATAGTATTGATCTTACTCATCCATGAGCATAAGATATTGATATGGTTTGGCTGTGTCCTCACCGAAAATGTCATCTTGAATTGTAGCTCCCATAATTTCCATATATTGTGGGAGGGTCCCAGTGGGAGGTAATTGAATCATGGGAGTAGGTCTTTCCTGTACTGTTTTTGTGATAGTGAATGATTCTCATGAGATCTGATGGTTTTATAAAGGGGAGTTCCCCTACACAAGCTCTCTTGCCTGCTGCCATGTAAGACGTGATTTTGCTCCTCATTTGCCTTCAACTATAATTGTGATGTCTCCCCAGCCATGTGGAAGTGTGAGTCAATTAAACCTCTTTCCTTTATAAATTACCAAGTCTTGGGTATGTCTTTATTAGCAGCGTGAGAATACGCTAATAAATTGGTACTGAGTATTGGGGCACTGCTGTAAAGATAACCTGGAAATGTGGAAGTTATTTTGGAACTGGGTAGCAGGAAGAGGTTCAAACAGTTTGGAGGGCTCAGAAAAGATAGGAAAATGTGGGAAGTTTGAAACTTCCTGGAGACTTGGAAGGCTCAGAACACAGGAAGATGTAGGAAAGTTTGGAACTTCCTAGAGACTTGTTGAATGGCTTTGACCAAATGCTGCTGTCTCAGATGGAGAAGAGGAACTTGTTGGAAACTGGAGCAAAGGTGACTCTTGCTATGTTTTAGCAAAGAGACATGACATTTTGCCCCTGCCCTAGAGATTTGTGGAACTTTGAACTTGAGAGAGATGATTTGATTTAGGGCATTTGTTGGAAGAAATTTCTAAGTAGCAAAGCATTCAAGAGGTGACTTGGGTACTGTGAAAAGCATTCAGTTTTATGTATTCACAAACACATGGTTTGGAATTAGAACTTATGTTTAAAAGGGAAGCAAAGCATAAAAGTTCAGAAAGTTTGCAGCCTGACAATACAATATAAAAGAAAACTCCATTTTCTGGGGAGAAATTCAAGCTGGCTGCAGAAATTTGCATAAGTAACAAGAAGCCAAATGTGAATCCCCAAGACAATGGGGGAAATGTCTCCAGGGCATGTCAGAGACCTTCATGGCAGCCCTTCACATCACAGGCCTCCCAGAGGCCTAGGAGGGAAAAATGGTTTCCTGGGCTGGGCCCAGGGCCTTGCTGGTTTGTGCAGTCTCAGGACTTGGTGCCCTGCATCCCAGCTGTGGCTAAAAGGGGCCAATGTACAGCTCCGGACATTGCTTCAGAAGGCACAAGCCCTAAGCCTTGGTGATTTACACATGGTGTTGGGCCTGCAGGTGCACAGAAGTAAAAGAATGTCTTTGGTATTTTGATATGAATGGCATTGAATTTGTAGATTACTTTGGGTAGTATAGTTATTTTAACAATATTAATTCTTCCAATCTATGATTGTGGATGTCTTTCCATTTCTAGGTGTCATATTCAATTTCTTTTATTTGTGTTTTGTAGTTTTTATGGTAGATGTCTTTTACCTCCTTGGTTAAACTTATTTTAAGGTATTTTATTTTTTGATAGCTATTGTAAATGAAATTGCTTTCTTGATTTCTTTTTTAGCTAGTCAGTCATTCATGTGTAGAAATGTCCCTGATTTTTTTTTACTAATTTTTATTCTGAAACTTTAGTAAGTTTGTTTATCAGTTCTAAGAGTACTTTGGCAAAGTCTTTGTGTAGGACTCCCATAAGCATTTCTTCTAGGGCAGGTCTAGTGGTGATGAATTACCTCAACTTTTGCTTGTCTGGGAAATACTTTATTTCCTTTTTATTTACGAAAGATAACTTTGATGGTTATAGTATCTTTGACAGATTTTTCCTTCAGAACATTAAATGTATTACCCCTTTATCTCCTGGCTTGTAAGGTTTCTGCTGGGAAATTTAATGTTAGTGTGATGGAGGTTCCCCTATATTTCACTTGATGCTTTTCTCCTATTGTTTATAGAATTCTCTCTCTCTTTTTTTTTTTTACTTGAAAGTTTGAGTGTAACGTGCCATGGATATGACTTTTTTGAGTTGGATGTATTTGGGGATGTTTGAGCTTCCTTTTCCTGGATGTCTACGTCTCTCGCAAGACTTGGGAAAGTTTAAGCTATTATTATGTTATACAGGTTTTCTATACCCTTGCTTATTCTTTCTCCTGGAACTTTCAAAATTTAAATATTTGGTTGCTTTATGGTGTCCCTTATGTTACATAGGCTTAAAAAATTGTTTTTTACTCCCTCTTCTTATTTTTTTTTTGTCTCACTGGGTTGTTTCAAAAGATTTGTTTTCAAGTTCAGAAATTCTTTCTTCTGCTTGATCTAGTCTATTGTTTAAGCTCTTGCTTGTATATTTTATTTCATTTATTGAATTATTGAGTTCCAGGATTTATTTTAAAATAATATCTATTTCTTTGTTGAATTTTGCAGATCATAAATTATTTTTTCTGCTTTCTTTGTATTGTTTATCTATGTTCTCTTGTATCTTAGCTTCTTTAATGTCATTATTTTGAATTCTTTTTCAGGCATTACATAGATTTCTTTTCCTGTTGGAAGGTATTGCTGGAGAATTATTGTTTTCCATTGCAGATGTTATTTTTCCTTGCTTTTTCATGTTTCTGGTGTTCTAACATTGATGTCTGTTCATCTACTGTAACAGTACTGCTTCTAATATCACAGATTTTTTTTGTACAGAGTGATTATTTCCTATTGATGTATCTAGTGTTGTTTGGGTAGGGCTCTTTGGCTTTGATTCTGAGTGGGTGCAAAAGTCTCCGTATGACTTCTCCTGTAATCAGTGTCAGTGATGCCTGAGTTCCTCAGTGGCCTAGGCTACAGTCAGGTAGGCTGGTCCTTGGGCACCAGTGGTGGCAGCAGCAGGCTGGATATGCCAATTTTGAGGCCTCCAGTTGGGTTGTTCAAGTGCTGGTAATGGCAGTGGTGGGCCAGGTGCGTAGGTGGATCCTCAGGCTCCTGGGTGGCATGAGTGGCATTAGCAATGGCAGTTATAACAGTGGGCTAACGCTTGGGTGTCTTTGTCCTGGGGCCCCTCAATGGTACACACAGGTACAGGCTGTGGTGGGCAGGTTGTTTGATTCCCAGGCTCCCAGGTGGCATGCTGGGGCACTGGCAGTGCTAGTGGTAGATAGGGTAAGCTTATATTCAATACCCTGGATAGTGTGAATGCATGCCAGCATTGACAGGCAGGGTGGATCAATCCCCAAGCCCCCAGAGGATGCATGAAAGTACTGCCAGTGGAGGGTGCAGGCAGGGTGGGCTTGTCTTCATGTGCCCAGATTGCACATGCATACACTGGCAATGGATGGGCCAGGCCTGTTGTCAGGACCCCTGATTGTGCTCATGGGCTCCAGCTGTGGCAGGCAGGTGGGCCTGTCTGTCAGTTGATGGTGCTCAAGTGCACCATGTGTTGTGGGCAGGGAAGATTGATTCCCAAGCATCAGGACAACGCATGTGGGCAGTGGCAGTAGGGGCAGTGGGCAGGGCAGATCCCCAGATCTACTGAGTGGGCCAGTCCCCAGACCCCATAAAAGCACCTTCCAGTGTGCAGTAGCTCTGCTGCTTGGGGGTAGGATGGGGCTGTCATCAGCGGCAGCAGCCCCAGGCATGCTGCTCTTAGAATCTTTGGAACATGGGCTTTGGCAGCCTTTGTCCCAAGGGCAGCCTCCTGACTGTGCTGCACTGCTGGTTCCTCGGGGTGTAGGACATTGTTTGGGCTATAGTGCTGGGGACCTCATCACACATCTGGCTCCAGCTGGCATTATGACCCTGCAGACCTCTGGGTGAATGTGATGGGATGTCAGCAGGGCTCCAGTAATGTGGAGGCCCCAGGGCAAGATGTTGTCTGGTGGGGATTGGGCTCTCAAAATGGTGCCATGAGGTGGTTACTTGGACCTTGAGAAGGTGTGTGTGACCAAGTGTGAACTTTCTCTCTGGAACGATGCCATCATGTGGACTCCAGGTTGCTCCCTATACTAGTCTCAGGGAATGTGAGAGCTGAGAATCTCTTCCATGGTTAGGATTCTAAGAATTTGTGGTGGGAATAGTGGACCACTGGCAATCTCTTACCTCTTTCCTACCCTGGGGAGTTTCTCCTGGCTTCAAGCCAATCCTGGCCAGGCTGGCTGCTTTGCTTTACTCTCCTTCCATATTTCAGAGGTTCCCTGTCACTTCCCAACTGAATTCCAGAGTTCTCTCTTACATACTCTATTTGACATGAAGTTATCTGCTCTCTGTTTTTATCTTTCTTTATGAAGATGGTGAGTGCCATGTGCCTCTCATCAGCCATCTTAAACCTAAGTCTCCTTCACAGTGTTTTAAAATCTAGGTCATTAAACCATTTAAATAATGTAATCATAATCCATCTGGAATTAAATTTTGGCATAGGTGTTAAGTAGTCATTTAATTTCTTATTTCAGACTGAGTTGCCAATTTTCCAACTCACATTCACTGGATAACTTATAATTTCTTCATTTATTTGGAGGACACAATTACTCAATTATAAAAACATATGTGTGTGTGTATTTATTTCATTTTTAGAATCTTGATTTCCTATAAAAGTATCAATATTTTCAGTTACAAAGCTTTGTAATATGTTTGAATAACTAAAAAAGACAACCTCCATTTTATTTTTCAACAATGTCTAGCTTACTACTAAACATTTATTTCTCTACACAAAAATTTAAAACTTTGGAAACTTCCTTTATTTGAAAAATGTGGCCTGTGTTTTGACTGTAAATGCACTAAATTAACGTTTCTTTGGGGAAGGAGGAACACCATATTTTCTCCCCATCTGGAAAGATGTAAGTTTCTCGAATTACTCAAATCTTTTATTTTTCTAACCAAAGTCACACTTTGGAAGTTATAACCCTTTCAGACAATGTTTTTGAAAGCATAAAACCTTCAGTCCTCAGAAAAAAATTACATATGCCCAAGCTCTTAATATTTTGCATATTTCTAGAAAATAACAAATTGTCATAAGTCCATCAATGGACTCAAGATTAAAAACTGTCTTCTACATTCAAGTTTTGTAGTTTTCTAAGATTTTATTTTTTCTTGTGGAATCTACCTATTTTATATTAACTTTTTTTATATGTTAAGCATTTAGATAATAAAATTATTATTGTTTTTAAACATATCATCATGACATGGTACTTGCCTGGCCTCTTGCAGGCAGTCTAACTGGGTTCTTGGGCCTTTGGGAGCATGGGCTTTGGCACCGTTTGTCCCAGGGGCAGGCTACTTACTGTGCTGCACTGCCTGCTCCTCAAGGTATAGGACATCGTGTTGGCTAGACTGCTGGGGACCTGGTCACACAGCTGGGTCCAGCTGGCATTATGACCCTGCAGCTCTCTGGGTTATTCTATATTTCATGATTCTACATTTCATTATTTGCTAGCTGTGACTTCTCCACTCGCTAGCTGTGTAGAAAGATCACTTGCACCTTCATACCTCCATTTCCTCATCCTTGATGTGGTAATGTTCAAGGTAACCTAACTCTTAGAGCAGTCTTTCAAATACTTATGTGACATATGAATTAATTGTCATTATTAAAAATAGATTTTTTCCAGTTAGCTAATTGCTATATGTGCTCATTTCCATTATTGAAAATATACTATTTTTTCAAATTAATTATTTTACTTGGCCACTTACTTTCTTAAACAATTTTCAAGTTAAATCTCTCAAATTTTTAAAGTAGTATATATCACTTAAAAATAATAGTAATCTTGGCTCTCCCTTTTCAATATTTATACCTTTCATTTATTCTTTTATTGCTTTTCATTGGCTAAAATTTGCAGAAAAATATAATGGTAGTACATGTCTTACATGGCTCTAATGTTTCACTATTAAATATGGTTGAAGCTGATGGTTTTTTATTGTAAGAGAATAGACTGCCATTCCTAAAAATAAGGGATTTTATTTTTGACGATAAATAAAAGGCAACTTTTATCAACTGCCTTTTTGGAAAATTCTTGGAATCATAACATTATCTTTCTTAAAATACATTATAATAAAATATATTAAAATAAAATATAAAGAGTTCTATTAATTGACTTATAAACACTGGTCCTATAATTAAAATTAGACTAGTATGGGATATTATATTTTAATAATAGCTAGACTTGTATTATTAAGGCAGTAGGTATAATCTGAGTCCATATATTTACATATAATTTTATTTATTTTTCTATACATCAGTTTTGATTCTGTCTCTGAGCCTTCATCCTGCCAGCTTGTGACCATTTGGAGGACTCATCACTTCTACAGGTGTCAAAGGTCCATAGTCTAAGGAAGTGCTACATTCACAGATTGTCTACACAGTTTATAGCTAAGACATTAACCACTATCCTTTTTGATCCAGTGGCACTCTTCTACTTCCATGTCTCTCTGGGGACTTCAGAACATTTGCAAGCTGAAAACATCAGGTCAGTGGTTGTGTCTCTGTAGATAAACCTTGAATATATTTGTCTCTGGGACATTGCCAGGTGGCAGGCATTTACTATCCAATATTCCCACTGCCTGAGTTTCCAGCAACCCGAAGATGACTTCCTCTTTCAGGAAAAGCAGCAAGAGCTTTGCTTCAGTTTCTTCAAATTGGTGATGGAACATATAAATATTCTATCATAATAAAAGGGCAAAGAAAGGGTATGTTTCCACCTTTAATCAGTCTAAATGTTTATATCTGATCTCACCAATATATTATTTAGGATTTCTTTATCTGTATTCATAACTCATAAGTGAAATTTGTCTGTAATTTTTTTCTTGGTCTATCTTTGTCAGATTTTAATGTCAAAGTCCTAAATACACCTGAAAGCTCTATGTCATTTTCTATATTTTGGAAAACATTAACTAACATCAGAATTATCTGTTCCTAGAGGTTTGATGGAACTTACCATCTGGATGTGAAGATTATTTTAGGTTTCAGTTTTGTTAAACTTCTTTTTCCTACCATATTTTAATAAAGTGTGTAACTCTATTTGCGCATGGAAGCTAAATAGTCACTTGTGATCTACAGATCTTTTCCCGCCAGTTTATTATGGCTTCTCGAGCAAGTTGTTACGTATCCCCTCTGACCCACTGGCTTATGGAACTGTCTATTGCTAATTAAATTGTTTTATGATTCCCATACATTCAGCCAAACTTTCCTTATTATTTATTTTAATTATCCCCACTACCACTTCCAACCCAATTTGCTGAATATTTATTCTTAAAAGAGAAAGTGGTAGGGTATATTTTGAGCTGAAGAACTATGTTCACAGCCCACATCAGATAATTGGAATTAACAGTACTACAGGAATTTCCTCTAAAACAATGCTGTAATTTAAATGACAGTAGTGACATTAGTCAGCTGTAGGTTGCTGCTAGATTTTTAAATAATGAAATATGGAATAATGAAAAACATGCTAGATATGAAGCCCAGAAATTGAATTCACTACTTGAGTTCTAAAAATTGTATTATTCTATTCTCTCATTTTTTGAAATACTTATACAATATGATTGATGCCTGAGGAAGGGCTCAAACAACAACTAAAACTAAAATGAAGTTTTCCATTTACTCAGGAAACAATTTGTAAATTATAAAGCTAAATGATTTCTGCAGTTTTTATATTTTTTATTTTCTCATGAAAATAGTGCCAAATTTCACCTTATTTCATGTTTTAGAAATATAGTTTTACATTGCGCAGATTCCTGGAGTGCCATTATACTTATTTGTGAAGAAATTAGAAATTAAAATAAATTATCTAAATATGATTGTGATATAATTGACATGTACATATATATCTTCAAATTGCATTACCTATATACTGCACAAAAGAATTAATAAAAATTTTTTTGAAGATTTTTCTCCTTTCATCAAAATCAGCATGTTCATTGGGAAATATGACTAAGATAAAAGAGAATTTTCCAGAAAACCATGACTCTATATCTTTCAACCAGATGGGACCATGTTGCAATTAGTAAAATGCCTTTTCCGAAGATTAGCAACTCACCCCTGTAGAAAGAATCAAACCGGTTAAAACAAGTCTAGATTCAACAATCTGAGTCCTCAGCTAACATAAATAGAACACTCACATTCTCTCTATACAAGAAACCTGCTGTTTCACTGATTTTTAGTTTTTATTGTGATTTTCTATTTACTGAAATTCATACTTTGGGAATGTACTACTTTTGAAATTAAGAAAAATTCAGTAATAGAACCATCTGTTATTATACATATACATATATATGCATGTATATGTATGTCTCTCTATCTATATATATTTGATTTTTTTTCCTTAAATAAAAGCTCTGAAGATAGAATTATTGAATGAAAGTATGTAAGCTCTTTTAGAATTCTTTGTTGATAGGGTTAATTGAATAATCTGTATTCTTATCTACTTTTCTTAAAATTTCTTTTTTTATTTCTGAGATGAGAATATTAAAACCTGCCCCTATATGAAAGACTTTATCACATTCTTCTGACATTTCTAAGTGTTTTCGTAAATATTTCAGTACTATGTCATTAGATATATAAAGGCTTATAAATCTGATTCCTTAGTAGTTTGATTTTTTCTCATTAAAAATATCCATCTTTGTCTCAGCAATATTTGTGTTTCTGCTTTTTTGTGAAAGGCAGTTGTCAGACATATATTTTTGCTCTTGTATTTTCTTTAAGACATGTTTCTTATAAATAACATTCTAATTAGATTTTGTTTTTTAATCAAGTCTGAGTGCAGTTATCTTTAAAAATAACTGTTTGTTCTCATCAATTTTAATTAGGGTTATGTTTAGTCTTATTTTTTCTATCATCTTTTATATTTATTATTAGTATTATTGTTTTTTATTTTCCCTTTTTATACATTTGTTGGATTGATAAGATTATTTATATATTTTTTCCACTCTGATAATTTGGAATTTTCTTGTATACATGTGTTTTTGCCAGTGCTTGACCTTATATTAATTCATATTTAAACCTGTGTTTCTTTGTTAGTAGAACACAATGAACAATGCTTTTTCTCCTTCTTCTTCCCCAAACAATAAAAATGGACAAGTTTTTTCTTAAGTTTATTATTATCAAGAATTTTTTTGTGATAGTCACATACCAGCTTATGATATTATCATCCATTTATTATGCTCACTGCTAACTAGTATCTTATATTCTTTAGTCTTCAATCTTGAAATTCTATTATACTAATGAACTTCCTCAAGTTATTTCAACAAAATAAGCACATGAATAGACTATTTCTTATTCATATTATGTACACACATGCACATACACACACAGAGGAAAAAGAGAGAATACAAACGATGGATTGCAATGCTGAATTTGAAGTGTTTCCTTCCTCTTTGCCCTTCTCCAGGTGTAACAGTTTTCCATATCTAATACATATTTTAATATATAATGATATACAATATTATATCTTATAGCTTCATTATAAATTATTTTATTGTATCAATTAGTTTATATACTATTATATTAAATATATAATTTTATATCGTATATACTATTGAACATATTTTAAATTTGTTTATACTATATAAATATATTTATATTTATAGTATAAAATATACTATACTCTCCATATATATGTATATATTTCTCTTGCTTTCTGTCACAATACTGATTGCAGGAACCATCTCTGGATGCTGTATATACATATATATGGAGAGAAAGAGAGAGTATATAGTATAGATACTATACTATATATGCATATGTATATACATATAAATGGAGAGAGAGAGAGACAAGAAGCTTAGAAATACAGGGCATTACCGACCCTGGTGGTAACCTTCAACCAGTGGGACATAAGGGATGGTGAATAATTCTGGGCTGCATTCTGTATGCTTCTTAGAGGAGCCAGCAGAGTTGGGGCCCTGTTGCTCACAGCAATGACTTTAGTAGCATACTTTTTGTTGGTCTTTCTACTTTCTGTTTCTACAATAATCCACAGCCACAGGTAGCTACCAGGTCATTCATGTTCTCTGTTCCCTCACTCATGTTCTCTGGGATTGCATCGCAAATAAAATCCTTCACCCAAGTTTCAGTTTAGGCTATCTTTTGGGGGAATCCAAGTTAAGATACTGGGCTTAATTACAAGTAAAAGAATAAATTTAACTGCTGTAATTAATCAGTATGTTGAAGTTGTTTATCTTGTAATAGGCAGCAAGACTAAAGGGCCAACCAGAGTGCCTTGTCCTCTAGAAATCTGAGGTGACAGCTAATAGATATTGTATTCCTAGGGGCAAGATAGACAGACAACCAACTAGGGTACTTCTTGACTAATAACCAGAAAAGGACATTACTACAGAAGAGAAGGGTATGTGTACACTGTGCCTAGTGATTACATCAGAAAATAGCCATCTCTTACTCAGTTTCTAGATCTTAGCTGTTCTCAGGTGCAGGTCCCATAGATTAAAGGGAAGACTGACTTTCTTTGAGGAAAAACCTGCAATGCCACCACCAACATTAAACACATCTATACTCCTCCAAAGAGACCTCTGGGCATTTACTAGAGTAAGAGTATACTAGGCAAAGAAAGTCACCCAGACATTTGAGAGCTGTTGAATGCAGGTCTTGAGCTGACACTAATACTAGGGGACATGAAATATCAATGTGGCTCAAAGTTAGGGAGAGCCTTGTAAAGACCATGTGATAAATGGACTGCTGGTCTAAGTCCATTTCACAGAGGGCTCAGTTGGTACATTGATTCACTCTGTGGTAATTTTCTCAGTTACTTCCCTGTGTGTATAATTGAGATAAATACACTTAGCAACTGGCAGACCCCTCAGGTTTTTCCCATATCCTGTGGAGTAAAAGATTATAGTAGAAAAAGCCAAGTGGAGATTTCTGAACCTGCTTTATCAGCAAATATAGTAAATCAGGTGCAATACTACCTCCTGGGTTTAATAAGAGAAATTAGGCCTCTCTCAGAGAACTAAAGGTTGCAAAGGTAGTAATCCTAATCCTATTCCCATTCAATTCACTTCCCTGTGAAAACCATTTGAATTTTATTGGATGATGGTGGACTACAGAAACTTAAGCCAAGATTTGTTATGCAAATGGCTTCTTTACTGAAATAAAGATAACCTCTAGTGCCTGGTATGAGGCCACAGATCTGATGATTATATTCTTTCTAATACTAAGAATAGAAATTACCAAAGGCAGTTTTTGTATGGGAAATACAGAAGTACACCCTCACTCTTACTCCAGAGCTGTTGGTTCTCTTGCTTTCTGTCACAATACTGATTGCAGGAACCACCTCTGGATGCTCTGTTGAATAGTACCATTATCAGAGTGCTTTGAGAATGCCTGATTTACTGATATGGGATCCTGAATAACATCATCTTGGACTCAGGGACTCATTTTATTCAGCAGTAGAAGTGTGACAGAGGGCATGTGACTGTGGGACTCATTTTTTCTACCATAATCCATATTAAGTGACTTATTAAAGGCTCAGCTAAAAAACCAGTTCAGGATGATACACTTATAAAGGTAGCTCTGTTCTCCAAAATAGACTATATACAGTAAATATTCAATAACATTATGTGGTCTCCTATAGCTGGTCTCTAATAGCCAACAACATGGGTCTGGGAACAAAGAGTGGAAATACAATTGGTGTCCTTTATTAAAACTCTTAGTAGCCCACTTGCAGAATTTACGAGTCCCAGCTCCACTATTTTAGGTTTTGCTGGATCAGACGTCTCAGATTCCAAGGACAGGGTAAGCAATCAACCAACCTGAAGCTACAATTACAACTCTGGTCACTTTGGGATCCTCATCCTGGTAGGGCAACCCTCAAAGAAAGGAGTGAGCAGCCAGGAGAAATAACCACAATCATCATGAGTAGCTAGAGATGGTGTTACAGGGAGCAGCGACAGGGAGGCATAATCTAGAACTTGTGTTCAGTGGGATCACCTCTTGGTGCTCCCATCGTCAGTGACAATAGTCAACATGCAACTGCAGCAACTAACCAGAGCCACCAAAGGTACTCAGACCCTAAGAGGTGAAAGGCAGTGTCATCTAATCTGGCAAGCTCCCAGAGCAGCTAAAGGTCTGGCTGAGGGAAGAAAGCAGGGAGTGAAGGGGGAGAGGACAAAGTCTAGTGTTGACCTTGGTACTAGCTGTGCAGTGGGATGTTTGCTTGTCCTACTATTTACTGTGTGTTTGTTAGGGATTATGCTGGCCACCTCTTTGAATAGGTGACAAAGTTTATCAGGTGGCCTCTGTAGATCCAAGCCATGTGAAGATGAACCAACGCAAATGCTTTCCGTGTCCTCCATTCTTCTCCTGGGCCCACTTCTGACTTTAACTATGGCTGTGGTGAAGAATCTGTGTGCATGCCACCTGCACCCCACCTCAATCACCCTCTGTTCCTCTCTCTGTTTTTCTGCCTTAGGATTTTTTCTTTCTTTCTTCTTCTTCTTCTTCTTCTTCTTTTTTTTTTTTTTTTTTTTGGTAAGAAACAGAAGCCCTTTTCAGCCCCAGATACAGGCAGGCACAGCTGAGAAGAAACACAAGGGAGTTAATACTCCTAGGGACAGCTCTCAGGCAGTGGCGGATGGCAGCTGGTGTGTGTGTGCTTTTTTTTCCCTTCAGCTCTGAGAGGCATCCTCACAGCTGCAACCTACATTGTGGACTCTTTATTGGATTTTCTCCCTCTCCATCTTGCTCTTCCTGCTCCTTCACTTCTCTTTCATTTTTTCCAACTTTGTTGAGATATAGTTAACAAATAAAAATTATATACATTCAAGGTGTGTACTGTGATGTTTTAATATATCTGTACATTATGAAATTACCACAATCAAGCTAATTAACACATCCATCACCTCACATAGTGTGTGTGTGTGTGTGTGTGTGTGTGTGTGTGCGCGCATGTAAGAATAGTTAAGATGTATTGTCTTGGCAAATTTCAGGTATATAACACATTGTTACTATTTAACTACAGTTACCAAATTTTGCATTAGATCTCCACAACTTATTCCTCTTATAACTGCAAGTTTGTACCCTTTGACCAACAGCTCTTCATTTTCCCCACACCCAAGCTCTGGTAACCAACACTACTCTCTATTCAACTATTTAGATTCCACATATAAGTGAGGTCATGCATTATTTGTCTTTGTGTGTCTAGCTTGTTTTACTTAGCATTCTGTCCTGCAGGTTCACCCACGTTGTCACAATGGCAAGATTTCCTTCTTTTTTAAGGTTAAATAGTGTTCCATTGAAAATGCCATTGTAAAATTCCAATTCCACATTTTCTTTATCCATTCACCTATGGGCAGACACTTAGGTTGTTTCCATGCCTTTCTTGTAAACTACCTGCATCCAAGCACTTTTCTCTATTTGTGGGGAGCCCAGACTAAGACACTGAGCTTACATTTTTCTCGACAGAATTAGCAGTCTTTACCCCTTTGGGATTAAACCATTTATTCCTCAGCCACTTCTCATAGAAAGCATGAAAATATCAAATTGTGATTTGAAATAAATAAGTAGAATTTAAGTATTTATTCAATGAAATCTTCTTTATTTTTGTTTTGCAAACTCATAAGAAAAAGAGATTTTATTGGATAAAAAAAATACAGGACCTCTGAATGGTAGACCAATACAAGATTGTCACTTGTAAAATGAGAAATATGTTCATGAGTCACACATACCCCCTTGTATGATGCTATTGCAATACAGCAACTACAAAACACCAAGTAATGTCAATCTTGAGCCTCTGTCTCAAGGCTGCTTTTCATTGTTTGGGCTACTCCTGTTTGTGTCTACGTTTTCTTTGTCCCTCTCATTTCAACAATCCAGACTGTCTATTTTTCATATTCTGTTTCTTTTCTTTCTGTTTTTCTTTTAATAAAATATTTCTTTTGACATTGAATAGCTATCATTTTGCGCCTTCTCCTCATTCAGCTTATAAATAATTGTGTTATCTGAGGATTTTGTAATTCAGATTCCCTTTCTCTAGAGGGTTCTTGAAATACTGGTGCTCCCCGTTTTTTAAGGTTGGTACAGTGATTTTCAGGAAAATCTGACTTGAAGGGACTTTTTCAAATCCAAGATTTCAGATGGTATCTAAAGATTCCCTGAGCATGTTCTTCATTTCTCAATGCATTGCTAGTGAAGCGTTAGCTCTTAAATAATTTTTAAACAAATTAGAATCTCAAAAAAATATGATGAATGTTTTCTGGAAATTCTTAACCTCAAGGTATTGAAAGCCAATTTCAGATCCAGAATTCTGTAACATAAGAACCTAAAAGCAAAATCATACACATGTAAAGATACTGTAGTTTTTATTTTTAGATAATATCAAGAACATAGCTGTGCTGTGGAATCACTGACACTTTCTTGCCTCAATGTCTTAAGAAATAATTAAGACAGTGCCCATGGACGGCCATAATCCCAAATCCTGTAGATGAAAACATGGGATGCTTGCTGTGGCTTTCAAAAACAACTATTCTTTTATTATAAAAACCATTAAAGGAGCATACGTGTAAAAAGCTTTCATGGCAAAAGAAGAGTTTCAGAGGGATACGGAAGAAGGGAAGGTACTAACTGTGTCAGAAGCTAACTGCCCTTTCCAGAAAGAAAATAAGAAAAAGTATCTAGACTCCAGACATGGACATGTGATGAGAAAGCAGAATAAAAACCATGGAAACTCATTTTTCCCTTCACCCTTCTCTCTTCCCCTTTTACCTTCACTTCTCCAAGTTTTCCACAACATCTTTCATTTAGAAATAATAACATTTAAAATGAATGGACAGTTTGTTATTCGTGCTAAGCATTTACATAAAGCAGGGCAGCATGAAAAACGAAACCAGTGACTTAAAACCCAAGTCTTATCCATACAATTTATAGCTTCATTGTCCACTACGGACTAGGTTTTCACTTTCTTAAATCAGTTCCCAGTCCGCCACCTCCAAGCCATTTTCCCAGTTGCACAGCCAAGATAGCACATAATCCACTCTTTCACACCTGGAATGCTGAGTTCTTGGATTCCTGCAAGCATAGTTCCCTGTCCATCCCTGGAATCGAATTCTGTTCCCATCTTCTTGGCTCACACCAAGACACCTGAGACCTGGTACACTTCCTTCAGGAAAAGTTGCTTCAAAAGCAACAGGGGTGAGTGAACATGCAAAATAAGATTTCTGGAAAGCAATGTTATTTGAACATGTGTCCCCCATCTCCTGTGCCCCCACCGTCAGTCAGTTTTTTCTGATACAAAACCAGTGTCCACCATCTTCCTCCTGAGAACCACTGCCCTGGGGCGGGGTGGGTGGTGAGAATCAGGTTGAATTCAAAAACAACGTGAACTATCTAGTGGGAAGAGTGAATCTGAAATCTCTTTTTAAATGTACTCTCTCTCACAGATAGTTTCTAGAGTGTGCCATATGTACAGATTCAGCTTCTTTCTTTCTTTTTTTTTATTTTTTTGAGACAGAGTCTTGCTCTGTCACACAGGCTGGAGCGCAGTGGTGCGATCTCTGCTCACTGCAACCACCGCCTCTTGGGTTTAAGCGATTCTCCTGCCTCAGCCTCCCGAGTAGCTGGGATTACAGGCACACGCCACCATGCCCAGCTCATTTTTGTATTTTAGTAGAGATGAGGTTTCACCATGTTGGCCAGGCTGGTCTTGAACTCCTGACCTCAAGTGATCTGCCCGCCTCGGCCTCCCAAAGTGCTGGGATTACAGCCATGAGCCACCACGCCCGGCCGTACAGATTCAGTTTCTAAGGAAGGTTTTGCCTCGTGCAAACATTGAGGCTGCTCCCAAATACAGCAAACCATGGGAAAACCTCCGTGTGAGTTTAAATAGGTTGAGTCTGTCACTATAGTAACAAAACTGACTTGCTAAATGAGTTTGCAGTATCCCACAAAAGACAAAAAATAAATTGGAGCTGATTTGGTAGGAAATGTCATTTTTCAAAAGTTGCTATAGTTAATGAGGATGCAGAGGGACTATTTCCTTTTAATTATGAAATGTTGACATTTTAGGTCTTGGTAGCTTCGGAATGGAGGGACATCTGTGGAGTATGTTGGGCACTTGTATCCTTCTCCTTGGATTTTTTTTTTTTTTTTGAGGGAAAGCCTATTTCAGACTACTGGGTTTACAGTTGAATGGCAAAATGGGATCTTTCCAATTACCAGATTTATTTAATATATTTTACGTCAAGTGAGAAAAATATTTATAAGGTAAGAATAAGCTTTAAAAAGCCAAATATGCAAAATCCCACACATTTGTTCCAATTACTTGCTACCTGATCTGTGTTTAATGTTAAGCCAAATCTGTATTCCCAAGTATTTACTATTTAATTAAATGTTCCTTTCTGTTAACTGCAGACCTGCTAAGCCATTATTTATTACCAGTCTCTCTCTCTCTCTCTTTTTTTTTTCCACGCGGGCTGTATTCTGGATTACATAACTGGTCGGAGCGAACTGTCAAGGCTCGGCATTCACAGGCATACCTCCCACCCAAACGCCAGCCTGGGCTTTTCAGCCTCAGCTGCTTTCCTTTATTTTCTCCTGGCGCAAGTCATAATTCTGTTGACTTAAGGCAGATCATTTTGTTTAACCATATATATTTATTTAAAATGAACTTTGGACTCAAATAATGCCTATGTTGTCAGTGTGAGTGCTATTTCCTTTCGAAATGTAAAGAGAGTTGATTTTGCTCATTTTGTAGTTTGAAAGAAGCCAGACTCCCAATACAGCACACTAAAAGCTTGGCTTTCGCTATAGAGCACGGCCAACTCTAGAATAAAATTTCTTTGCATAAATCTTTGGCTAAACTCTTTTGATGTGATCTGTGGCCAAGTTCTCATCTCCTTTCCCTCGGCAGTGCATTTTCTCAGAATACGGAGTTCTCATTAATGTCAGTGGGTCAACACCTACCCCAGGGCTTTTTTCTAAAAGAATTTCATGCTCAGGGCAAGCTTGTGCTGAGAATATATGAATGATGACAAAACAAAAACAAAACAAAGCAATGTGATTGATGTTAACCTGAAACACTCATTTTTAAAAGCAATTTCTGAGTGTTCTGTTTATTTCTATGATACTCATCATTGATCTATACCAGGACTTTTACTCTTTGTTAGGAGGACAGAAATATTTGGAAAGGTGCTGAGAAACACTGTCAATTTCCCAGTACCTATAGATAGACATAAAGGCAGATACAAGGCTGGGCGCTATGGCTCACGTCTGTAATCCAAGCACTTTGGGAGGCTGAGGCAGGCAGGTTACAAGGTCAGGAGATTGAGACCATTCCGGCTAACACAGTGAAACCCGGTCTCTGCTAAAAATACAAAAAATTAGCCGGGCGCGGTGGCACCCGCCTATAATCCCAGCTACTCGGGAGGCTGAGGCAGGAGAATCGCTTGAACCTGGGAGGCGGAGGCTGCAGTGAGCCGAGACTGTGCCATTGCACTCCAAACTGGGCGACAGAGGGAGGCTCCGTCTCAAAGAAAAAAGACAGATACAAAAGGCTATTTCCTAGTATCAGTTCATCCCAAGAAATGTCACATGTCACATGATTCTAAAATGTTTTGGCTAGAGTGATACTGTAGAATAATTTCTTGTTGCCTTTGTGTTGATTATAGTAGCAGTAAAAATTACAGCATGCTCTGCTTTTGTTTATTCAGTTATTTACTAGTACATGGGATTTTGTCTTTTGGCAAGGGATTTATTGAAAATGAAATAGCTATATTGATAATTTAGTAGTGATTTAAAATAAATAAATGATTTATTCAGGTTTTTTAAAGGATAAAAATTATAAGAAGCTAATGAACCTCTTATATACCCCAAGGCTTCAGTGTTCATGAACTCTAGCAGATTTTTAGACAAAGTTAACACCAGGACACATTAAAAATATGAAAAATTATAAATAAAAAGGCATGCTTGCTTGAAAACATGTCATGTTTATTTAATGTCAGTGCTTTGTTACAAAATTTCACAAAACGTATTTTCTCAGCCAATGTAAATGCTTCACATTTGCAGCTGGACTTTGATTAGTGGCAGTGGTTTAAATGGTATTACTGAGAAGTTTTGAGATCAGTACTTTAAACAAGAGGAACAGTATCTTGGTAAAGAGAAGGTTGTGCTTTAGGAATGTGCCAATTTAATGAGAAATACGCTTCCAAGGAAACTTTTGATAGAAATAATTCCTGGTGTGGAAAACACTGAATGTTTGTCTTCCTCAACAAGTGATTTTATTGCTTCTGCATAAACATATAAGAATGTATCATAGCCACATGAAAAATAGTGAATAACTTAACAGTTATTTTTTCTACTTGATCCAACAAGTGTTCAGCGTGCAGGAAATAGATCGATAGCATATACCACTCATTGTGTCTCCAAACTTGCTTACATCATGCATTTAATGGGAAGTTTTCTTCTTGTGATGCAGCCTTGTGAGGAAGATACTTGTCTGTCTCGTGTGACTATGGTTTGTCTCCAGCCTCCCCTCACCTCTGGAAGTTACGATCCTAGCAAGGTTTGTTGATAATGCTGCTCCGGAGTTTGGGGTGTGCAGTCTCAGTTTTGCTTTCATTATTGTGAGGAAGCTGCAGAATGCCAGACTGTCTCTGAGGCATTACTATAAATGTAGATTGTGAAGTGCAAAGCACCAGGGAAATCATGTTTCGCAATTTGGGTATAGGGAGAAGATTCAACTTTAAACATAAAAGGGTCAATTTAACGAAGGCTTGGGGTGATTTAGGCAGAAGCACTGTCAGTAGCA